>NC_000008.11:129464222-130089222 GCF_000001405.40 Homo sapiens
AAACAACCACACTAGTTATATTAACAGAGACAATTTAATATGGGGAAGTGGTTTTAAAAAAATCATGAGAAAACTGACAAATACATAGGAATGATGAGATAATAGAATGAAAATATGGCAGCAAGCAGCTACCCTATGGCTCATTAAAGGGAAGAGGTTGAGGTTATCGGAACCAAAAAGCTCAGAGAAGTGGCTCCAGGAAGCTAGGACCCAAACCTTCTGAAGCGCGGATGCTACCAGGCTGCTTCTGTTCCCTCAGCAGCTTGGAAGGAAGAGCTCTATAGAGGTGGAGTTCAGTCCCCTGAGGAAGGATGTTGCCAGGCTCCCTCTGAGGAGTACAATAAAACAACAAAAAGTATGGAAAGAAGCTGGAGATTGGAATAAAGTGCTGCTACTGGAATGAAAAGCTGTTGGGTGGGAAGTGGCACTGACAGGAACAATACACAGAAGGAAAAATGTCCTCTCTCCCTCCTCTTGCTTTCTGGTTTCTCTCCAGTGCTTCAGCGGGGAGAAACTAGCAGGAGCCAGCTAGCAAAGAAGAAATAGAATGTGTAGATTCTAAGCCCTCACATTGCAAAGCAGAATGTTGAACTGTTGATTTGGAGCTGAGAAACAATAGCTTAAAAATCAGCATATTTCTCCCTATCCAAGGTAGTCTTCAAGAAAGATTGAATAATTGTTTGGAAAGCCATTGTATTGGATAAAATAATACTACTAGTGATGGCTAACATTTATTAGCACTTGATCCGTATAAAGCACTGCTATGCACATGACACAGAATAGTTTATTAATTCCCTCAATGCTAAGTGTATATACCATTATTATTCTCATTTTATAAACAAGAAAACTGAAGTCAGTAATCTTTTTAAGGTCAAATAGAATTCAAACCCTTAAAACTCTGGTCTATATTCTTATCCATTGCAAGAAGCTTGTCTAATTCACCTCTTCTCAGAAGCCTTTGGAAAATGCCATTGCCCACTGAATTTAACTTTTCTCTCCTCTAAATTCCTTCATATTCACATTGTAGGTTATTATTTCTGTCACACTGAATTCAGTTAAATAAAGTATGCACAGCCTTTGATTGAAAATCCAGTTCCTTCTGGTTCTCTCCTAATTGAGAGTCTGCATATGTGTATGCATAGACTCCATGAGTAATATTTTTGAAGTCTTTATTTTATTAAACTCTCTTATTTGTCTCCATTTCTGTTCAGGTGATCTGAACTTTATATGGGTTACAGCCAATGCACATACATAATTGTGCTTGAAAATGTTAAAGAACCACCCATGTCCCACATGAGACATCAATCATCAATCAATTAGACATCAAAAAACCCTGGGTTTTTCTAAATCATTACGTCTAACTGGGTTGTTCTCAGAAAGACTGGGTGGGACACCCAGCAATCTCTACCATATGAGAAGCAAAGGATCTTAGGTCAACTCTACCAAAACTCCAGGAGGAAAAAGTGGTTTGATTTACTCTGCTATTTCTTTCTTTTCCATGTCCTAAATTACAGCTTTCCCTAAGATCAGCATTTGGAGGTGTGAGTGGCCAGGGTCAGATCTGGCAGTGATGAGGGTATTGCCTACAACACACACCTACACACTGAGAGACCCAGCACAGCCTGAGAAGCCTGTGGCTTGGTTATTCCTGATCTTCTGATGCCATAGGCACATACCTAATATGCAAGGTGAGCTGATCTCCTGAGCAGTAAAATGATGGAGGAAACCAGGCCAATAGATCCCCACAACCCACAACCAATTTATTCAGGGTCACAAAGACCAATACATCATTTAGACAAGCCATCTGGCCTTTGTGCACCTCAGTCTGACCCTGTCCAACACAATGCCACTATTATTGATTATTGTTATGGTGAAAACCTAGAGAATCTTGGGCTGAAGTTCAGAAACCCTGGATTCTAGGCTTATATCCGAATTTGCTCCATGACTCTTAGCAAGCCACTTCCCATCTCTGAACTTTCCCATAAAAATGAAGTCCTTAGACCAGTTCTAATTATTTGTGTTTATTTGATTCCCTCATTGTGGGGGTGCAATGCAAATGTGAATGTCTCTGTTCCTTAAGAACAAAAAAACTCACTGCCTTTGACAAGAATTATGTACATGGAACTGATGATGATGAAGTCACAGAATCTCAGCGCCTAAAGGACACCCCTTGTTTTTTTAAGAAAGCATGCTTACATTTTGTTATATACATAGACTGCATAGTGGTGAAGTTAGGACTTTAAGGTTATCCATCACCCATATAACATACCTTGTATTCGTTAAGTAATTTCTCATCATCCACCCTCCTCCCACCAGCTCACCCTCTTGAGTCTCCAATGTCCATTATTCTACACTCTACATCCATATGTACACATTATTTAGCTCCTACTTATAAGTGAGAACATGCAGTATTTGTCTGTCTGTTTCCGAGTAGTTTCACTTAAGATAATGGCCTCCAGTTCCATCCACCTTGCTGCAAATGACATGACTTCATTCTTTTATGGCTGAATAGTATTCCACTGTGTATATATATATACCATTTTCTTTAACCAGTCCTCTATTGATGGACACTTAGGTTGATTCTGTATCTTTGCTATTATGAATAGTGCTGCCATAAACATACAGGTGCAGGTATCTTTTTATTTTTACTTATTTGTTTATTTTAGAGACAAGGTCTCACTCTTCACCCAGGGTGGAGTGCAGGGGTGTGAACATTGCTCACTCTAGCCTTAAACTCCTGAGCTCAGTCAATCCTTCCTCTTAGCCTCCTGAGTAGCTAGGACTAGAGGTGTGCACCACCAAACACAGTTAATGTTTTTATTTTTTTATTTCTGTAGAGCCTAAAATAAAAAATAAAATTGCTTAAGGCCAGGAGTTTGAGACCAGCTGGGTCTCTATGTTACCCAGGCTGGTCTTGAACTCCTGGCCTTAAGCAATTCCCCCACTTCTATCTCCTAAAGCTCTGGGATTACAGGCATGAGCCACCAGTCTATCTTTTGATAAAATGATTTCTTTTCCTTTGGGTAGATACGCACTAGTGGGATTGTCCGAGCCTAAAGGAACTCTTATTTGTAGAGTGAGATGATCTAGGTTTCTCAAGCAGTAGTGTTCAGGCAAAAGCCACACCATGGGAGATTTGAGACTTAAGTAAACTCACCAGACTAACGTCCTGTGTTGTTTAGAACACACTCCACCACTTCTTGGCACACACATCAGAGTCCAATAATTGGACTCTGTACCATCATTCACCAATCCCTTTTTATTGAAAAATATCAGGAACTGTGGGACAACACATAAGCCATATTCACTTATTTAATAAATATCTTATTAAGTGCCTACTTGAATTTTGCTTTTAATATCAGCAGTCAAAAATAGAGCCAGTGGTCAATCTGTGTTTGAGGCACTGACCATCTGCTTGGCTCTCTTAAGTTGTATAATTATTTGTTTGCAACATTTTGAATTATAGTAAGCACAAGAAATATGGGGGATTTGTTGGCACCAAGGTAATGGTGATACTGGAAAGTTGAATAACTTCTTCCAGCTTCCTTTAATTTTTGTCAGAATTCAATTCCCAATATCCCCCAGAAGTCCGTAATGATAACAAGTATTGGGAACTGATTAATAAAAGCAGAATTGTCTCAGTCATTGTATCAAACCCCATTTCTTGCAGTGAGGATAGATCTGCCTAAGGGGGCAGTTGCAGGGGAAAGAGGAGCCCCCATTTAGCACTAGAAAATTGAGATCCCATTTTCTAGTGCCAGAAAAATCTGAGGCCCTACAGAGTAGGCAGGAATGCCTTGTCTTCATATACTCCTCACCTCAAGTCATAGTTATCTCTGTCATCTTTTTCCAATTCACAGTTCAAAATCAGTCATTTATTTATTCATCGAATTTTGGGGGTAGGATCTAATATATGTCAAGCACTGTTCGAGTTGCTGGGAACATTGCAGTGAACAGAAGAGAGCAACTCCCACCTCCATGGATCTCATGTTCTCCTCTCATCCCTGGGAAGCCTTGGATGCCCTGCCTCTCCATTGAAAGCCCATGCCTCCATCCAAGGTACCCTGTGGCACTACGTGACTCACTTTAGACAGCCCTTTACGTGTTTTATGTTTGTTTGTTTTGCCTTTTTTTCTTTTTCTGAGACAGGGTCTCACTCTGTTGCCCAGACTAGAGTTCAGTGGGACAATCTTGGCTCACTGCAACCTCTGCCTCCCAGGCTCAAGCAATTCTCCTGCCTCAGCCTCCCAAGTAACTGGGATTATAGGCGCACACCACTACCTGGCTAATTTTTGTGTTTTTAGTAGAGACTGCATTTCACCATGTTGACCAGGCTGGTCTTCAACTCCTGATCTCAAATAATCCACCCTTTGGCCTCTCAAAGTGCTGGGATTATAGGCATGAGTCACCGTGACCGGCCTCATGTTGTATTTTCATTAGGCGTGCAATGTCCATCTTCCCTTCTAAACTTGGAGCTCCTCAAGGACAATTAGCAAGATTAGTTTTCTCCATGTCATCTATGCCTAACATAAAATCTATCATGTAATAAGCACTCAGTCATTGCCTTAACTGTCTTCTTTATTTGTCTGATTTCAACTCTGCCTGCTGTGATAAGGTAAGTGTTAATTGTCCCTATTTAAAAGTGAGAAAAGTGAAACTTGAAGGTTTTAGTATCTTGTTCAAGAATACACAGCTTCTAAGACAGAAAGCCAGCAAATAGACCTAGCATGGCCAAATTCCCATCCTATGGTAAAGCATAGTCCCAGAGCAATCTTCAACAATTCTTGTGTTCAGCAAACACTTATCAAGATATGCCTTATAGAATTTTGAGCTTGGGGAGCTTATAAGAAAAGAAACCCATAATATCCCTTTCTTCCTGATCAGTTACTACATCCAGAATGTTAACTTACACCTCCCTCATACATTCAACTCTCTGGGCACAGCTATTCACTGACAGAGAAAGATTGATAAGATACATCCAAAAGATAAAAAAGGCTTCAATTGGCTGTCAGAACTTTAATTAAAACACTTATAGATCAACTTCACTCCAGCAAATTGTCTGTGCCACTATTACTATAGTAAGATGAATGTTCACTGGGAAAACAGAGTACTCTGCCCTGGACTAATGTGTAATTTCATAGCCATTGATTTTTTTACTTTAAAAATTCTTCCCTGACTATTGGGAATTGGAACTTGTTCTGGGTGACCTGGCAGCAATGTTACATTTTTTTCTTTTATGAATGCGGAAGACCATTTCCTAAGCCCATTCATATTTTATCTTCATTGCCCTGACTCAAAACTAAACTGAAGTTGTATGAGATTGTTGAGGACCTCAGATGGAAGTTTCTGAGGACAAAGGATGGAAAGAGGAATTTGAGCAGCTAAAGGGAAACAGATGAGGAAAAGGAAAGGCCAGAGGAAGAAAATGAATAAGAAATGGGAAAGATAGGCTGGGCGCGGTGGCACACACCTGTAATCCCAGCACTTTGGGAGGTCAAGGCAGGCAGATCACAAGATCAGGAGTTCAAGACCAGCCTGGCCAATATGGTGAAACCCCATCTCTACTAAAAATACAAAAATTAGCTGGGCATCGTGGCGTTCACCTGTAGTCCCAGATACTCGGGAGGCTGAAGCAGAAGCATCACTTGAACGAGGGAGGCAGAGATTGCAGTGAGCTGAGATTGCACTACTGCACTCCAGCCTGGGTGACAGAGCGAGACTCTCTCTCTCAAAAAAAAAGGAATGGCCAAGATAACTGGAAAAGAGAGGTTGAGTATTTTTAATAAGGTTGTCATTAAAGTCTGAAAATAGACTTATTTAAATGACAATTTCAAGTAAAAATTATTACAAATTCATTAGGAAAGAATATTTTTAAAAATAATTCATCTAATTTACTAAGTAAACTTTTATAGAATGCCTCCTATGTACCAGGCACTAAGTTCATAGTATAAATTAGAAGTTAACTTTTACCCAGAAATTCATGGTACAAAAAAAAACTGTTTTTAAAATATTTGTCTAGTTTCTCCAAATATAGACATGGCTATATAGTCAGCTATATCTATTTCTTTTGTATCTGTGTATCCATACATACAGATATATGGACATAATTATACATAACAATAGAAGTTTAGGATTAAACATGGAATTTCAGAGAGAGAGAGAGAATCCTTCTTTTCTGTAGTTCATAAGAGCTTAAATACAGTACCTAACCACTGCCTCCCTGCATGATTTATCCTGGAACAACCCAAATAATAATACTATATCTCATTGTGCCTGAGATTCTATCAATTTTTAAGTGCTTTCCAATTTCAGAAATGTTAATACGAAAAAATGGGCAAAGATAAACCATTATAGAAATGATAAAATGAGGAAAAAAATGTATCTTAGAATTGATGATATACAATAATAATCTTTATGATTTTCTGAATGCCTAATATGTTTCAGGTACTGTTCAAAGTGTTTTACATGTGTCATTGAAACATTGCAGATACTCTGCCTGGCAAGTCATATCATGGTCCCTATCTCACAGGTGAAAAAACTGAGGCACTTAAGGTTAACTAACTCTCCCAAAATCACGTGGCTAGTAAAAGGCAGAGTTCAGCTTCAAATCAGGTGCTCTGGCTGTGGAACCAAGTCTTTAAACACCATTGCTTCAAATGCAAAGTTTCCTTTGCTCCTATGGGGCATGAAGAGTGTGTCACCAGGAGTGCAGAGATGCCTCTCCTGCCAACTGTGGGCCAGGAGTATGTATGTGTCACTAGGCTCTCACAAGTATGGTTGTTCAGCTTTGACTCAGCTCTCTCTCTAGTCAGCTGCAGACATGATCAGGGTAGAAATGATCTGGCGACCATTTTCCTGGCCTTCACAGCCCTGCTTCAATTGAGCAGAGAGAGAGAGAGGGATGGATTGATTGATTTTAATGAATCAGCTCATGAGATTATGGAGACTGAGAAGTCCCAAGGTCTGCAGCTGACAAACGAGAGAACCATGAGAGATGTGTAGTTCAAGTCTAAGTCTGAAGGTCTGGGAACCAGGAGAGTTAACTGTGCAGTTCCATTCCAAAAGCCAGCAGGTTCCAGATCCAAGCAGACTCAATGTTTGAGTCCAAGTTCAAAGGATGGAAAAGACCAGTGTCCCAGCTCAACAGTCAGGCAGGAGGGGTTTCGTCTTACTCAACCTTTCTGTTCTAGTCAGGTCTTCAATGGATTAAATTAAGAACACCTACAATAAAAAGGGCACTCTCAGAGCAAGGCACAGTGGCTCATGCCTGTAATCCCAGCACTTTGGGAGGCCAAGGCGGGTGGATCACCTGAGGTAAGGATTTTGAGACCAGCCTGGTCAACATGGTGAAACCCTGTCTTCTACTAAAAATACAAAAAATTAGCTGGGCGTGGTGGTGCACACGTGTAATCCCAGCTACTCAGGAGGCTGAGGCAGGAGAATCGCTTTAACCCAGGAGGCAGAGGTTGCAGTGAGCCAAGATGGCACCACTGCACTCCAGCGTGGGCAACAGAGTGAGACTCTGTCTCAAAAAAAAGAAGGGAAATCTGCTTTACTCAGTCTACAAATTCTACAAATTCAAAAGTTAATTATCCCGAAATACCCTTACAGGCATGCCAGAATAATATTTGGCCAAATGTCTGGGCATTTGGGGGCCCAGTCAAGTTGACACATGAAATTAACTATCACACCGTGGAAATCCTTATCCCCATGCTCAGCACCCCAGACAAGCACATGCCAGGCTCAGGCCACACAACCCTACAGGTCTTAGTCTCAGGGCCAGGTATGTTTCAGGACTCAGCATTTTTTCAGATGTTAGAAAGGTAAAATTATACAAATGCCATATATTACGTCAAATCCCCAGTGGACAGTTCTCTGGGAAACCGCATCAATATTTTCATAGTGAAACATGAATAATTAATGTAACAGAAATATTCAAACCACAATTATCCTCATGTCAGTTCAGCTCAGGTTTTGCTGCCAATGAATTGGGTGAGTTTTACTGCCACATTGAAAAAAAATAACCTCTTTGTTTTCAGAGGTACTTTTAAGATTGAAATATGACATAGCAGATTTTGTGCACCTATATTAATAGTGACTAGATGCTGAATTGGGGCCTAGCTAGTTTTCCCATGACACACTGTTTTGTAAACAAACACAAAGTTTGTTTTAAAAAAAAAAGTTGATGCATAGTGATAGGAATATTTTTATTTCAGAAACATATTAGGATAAAGAATTGGACCATTTTTTGCTAGAAAATTAATTAAAAAATTGTTGAGGGTAGAGGAAAAACAGGCACAGCTAAGACTGTATGTTGCAACAGTCCTTCTAGAAAACAATTTGACCATGTGTATCCACAGCCCTTGAAGCTTTTATGACTTTTAACCCAATAATTTGACTTGTGAGAAAAAAAATTCAAACTTCGGAGGAAAAATAAGTATGAAGATGTATATTTCATCATTATTTGCATGTAGGATACAATCTAAATACTTTAAAATAGAAAAAGGATTAAAGATTTTGTGGCTTACATATGCAGTGAAGTACTATGAAGTCATCAACTTGAGAAAATGCTTGCAATATAGTATTACAAGGGAAAACTGTGTGTATAATATAGTGCAGTGGTTAAGGTTACTGGACAGATTGCTGAAGTTTGTGTCCTCAGAAAGTTATTTAACTGAGTCTCAGTTTTCTCATACATAAATGGTGACAGTCATCGCAGCAGGCAGAATAATGCCCTCCCAAAAACATCCCCATTGACCTGTGGATATGTTAAGTTAAATGACAAGAGGGGAATTAAGGTTGCAGCTGAATTAAGTTGCTAATAAGCTGACCTTAAACTGGAGGATTAAACTGGATTATCCAGGTGGACCCAAAGTTATCTCAAAGGTCTTCAAACACGGAAGAGGGTGCAGGAGAGGGAGGAAGAGTGGTGCAATACGAGAAAGGCCCACTGTTAATGGCTTTGAAGATGAACATAAGGCAAAGAAAGTAGAGACGTCCAGAAAGTGGAAAAGTCAAAAAACAGTCTCCCCCAGAGCCTCCAGAAAGAATGCTAATTCTGCTAACAGCATGGCTTCAACCCAGTGAGACCAAGGCTGGATCTGTAACCTCCAGAACTGTAAGAGAATCCATTTGTGTTGTTTTAAACCACTAAGTTTGTGGTGATTTGTTAGAGCAGCCATAGGAAACTAATATAGAATAATGTTTTACTAGTCAGGGAAATAAATTAACCCCAGCCAAAGACCTACATGCTCAAGAAATACTGTTAATATTATAATTATCATGTGTATAGAAAATACTGAATATCAATATTTTATCAATGTTTCCTCAAGGAAATGGTTTATAAGTGATTTTCTTGTTTCTTTTTAATTTCAAGATTTTCTAAACTGAGGATGAAATTCTTTTGATTCAATGTAAAAATAGCAATAAGTACCATACAAGAGTTGTTTAGTTTGGGGAAAATCTTACTCAGATCCAACTCCTCTGACCGCTCCAAAACCAACACCCTAGGCCAGTGGTTCTCAGCTGGGGGTGACTTTGCACCCAGGTGACATTTGATCATTGTAAGGTACATGGATGTGCTTTGGTCAAGGAATAGGCTGAGGCAGACATCCAGGCCTGCATAACTCAGCGAGTTTGGTGCACAAGCACACACCTCCACTTGTTATATAACCTGTTTGTGTAAGTTCATACCTGGCTTTAAGCCACTGTTGTCCGTAAAAGGTGTAACCGTCCGGCTAACGCTATACAGGGGATCTCGGGGCTCAGCTCAGCTTAACATGGTGGGCACGCTGGCGTCCAGAGAAAGAGAGAGAGAGCCAAAGCTGTCCATCCTGCGGACAGACAGGAGGGAGCCAGGGCATAGCTCTGCTTGCTTGTGCCCAGAGAAAGAGTTAAGCTGCTGACCCTGAAGGCAGGGGAGAGCCAGCCATGCAGCTGCAGGTGTGGGGGGCAGCAGGAGCCACAGAGCCAGAGCAGACAGCTGAGATAAAGGTGGACAGTGTGAGAAAGCTGTTGATGAGAGCTGCTGCTAAATAAAATCATCTTTCACCTGCTCACGGCCCCCGGAGTGTTCTTTCTGCTCATCAACCCACTCCCCTCTGGACTTCAGCATGGGCTGGACCTGGACCCTGGGATCTGATACCATCACACTTAGAATAAGTTGCTAAGTCCCTTAACATGGCAGGTTCTGTGACCAGAGCGTCCATCAGTGATCACTGATCCCCTTGTTCAAGCTATCCCAACCACGATGGCCGCCTCCTTGCTGCTCCCTGAACATGTTAAGCATGCACACACTCAGGTATTGGTGCTTGCTATTCTGACTATAGAGAGCAGTTTTCTCCTAGAGCTTCACAAGGCTCATTCTTATTTCACCTGGATCTCTGCTCAAAGGCTACTCCATCTGAAAGACGTTTCACGATCACCCTATCTAAAGTATCACTCTTCCCCCAATCATATTGTTCTGCCTTATTGATCTTCATATCATTTTGGTACCACACACACATACACGCACATGTATCAATCAAGATTCTCCAGAAAAACAAACATATACAACATATACATATACCTATGTGTATATATACATATACAGAGAGAAAGAGAGAGAGAGACAGATAATTGATTCATTTTAAGGAATTGGCTTGCTTGCTGTGGGAGTTGGTGAGTCCAAAAATCTCAGGGCAGGCTGGCAGGTCAGAGACCCAGCAAAGCACTGATATTGCAGCACAAATCTGAAGGCAATCTGCTGACAGAATTCCTTCTCCTTTTGGCGACCCAAGTCTTTTCTCTTAAGACCTTCAACTGATTGGATGAGGCCTGCCCACATCATCAAGAATAACCTGATTTACTGAAAGTCTACTGGTATAAATGGTACTCACATCTAAAAGAAATCCCTTCACAACAACATCTGGACTGGTATTTGACTGAAAACTGAATAACATGGCTTAGCCAAGTTTAATTATCACAGGGTATTTTACGTATTTATTTTCCAGCCTCTCCATCACGAAGTACGTGCCATAAGAACAGGAGTTTATCTGTTTTATTTGCTATTACTTTCCCATTGCCTAAAACAGTATCTGCATAAAACCAGTACTCAGTAAATGTGTTGGCTACATAGTGGTAAATTGTTTAGCCTCAGAAAGTCAGCTGGTTGCTTGACTGAATCAAGTAAGTCAGTACTTAAACTGCTCTGTCACAATGGAGCCAACTCAGACCTCACAGCTTGTGAGACATAAATTTAAATCCTACTGTCTCCATTCCAGTGCTCCCTAAAGCCGTGGTGATGGCCACACAGATTCAGGCATTAGGGAGGAGGCCAGTGGGCAAAAATGGGTCCTCTAATGCTTAAAGTAAAACAAAGAAGCACTGAAGGTGTGGCTGCAACACCAAGGAGATAAAAATATAAATGGATGAAGGGGAAGAAGAGTTGGCTGCTTCTGAGGGAGGAAGCACCGAGGACGGAGAATGCACAGCAAAGCCCAAATGTACTCTGTTTAAAATCCTGCCACTCATCAGGGGTGACCCTGAGCAGATCCCCTGGCAGCAGAAGGATGCTAGCTCCATGGGGGAGCAGTCATATGCTGAGGGAGCCACGTATGTTGACAAATACAACCAACAGCAAACATAAAGCAGAATAAAAAAGCTGTCACTACTCACCCCACAAACATACACACACACTCACTCGCACACACAACCAGCCAGCCACTCACAGAGTCTGAATTTCTACTGCATAACTACTCTGGGAAACCATCATTAAACCAGGGCTTTGTGTAGGTACTGCTGAGCAGAAAACCACCTGCACGCTCTGTCCCTATCACTGTAAACATCTTGTCCTCTCTCTGCCTACTACACACTGGACCACGGACTACATACTTTATTTCTCTGAGCCTCAGTTTCCTTATCTGTGAATTGGGGGCTATGATATCTACTGTGTAGTGTTGTTCTAAAGATGAAATCAAATACGTCTGAAGCAGTGCTCAAGCTAGGGTATGGCACATAGCATGGGCTCTAAATGTATGCAGACTTAATCTCTCCAGGCCTCTCTTTTCCCCAGGTACAGATGGGATGACAGGAGCATTAATAACTCATACCTCGTTCAGCTTCCTTCCTTGCTCACACCACATTTCAGCCCCATTCAGAAGCTTACTAATTATGACAGAGGGACTGCTCTTGAATGTCTCTGTCTCCACTGTGCATGGCATCTCTGCTTCCTTCTACCCCTTGCAGGTGCCTTCACCCAGTCTGCTGGATGTGGAATCACCAGGGATGCCTCACCCCTGCACCTGCTGCCTGCACCCCAGGCAAGAGTGGTGGTGTCCTAAGGAAGGGGGCTGCTTCTGAATGCTCCTGAAGCTGCTGGCATTCAAGGCACCAGAGGAAAGCTGCATTGTATGCACTAGTGGATCTCCAGGCGAAAAAAATGCCTTTACCCTGCACTGCTCACATTTCCTACCATTTATCAGCTGAGAGCTTCAGGCAGATTATTCCATGTCTCCTATTTTTCCTAATTAAAATAGGGGTGAGAAAAAAATCTACTTCACTCAGCTGGAATAAGGAATAAAATGGGGAAATGTATACAAACGCACAGAGTGGTACCCATCTGGAACATACATGGTGCTCAATCTCTATCGACAGTCCTTGCCACCATTACCTTCTTTTCCAAGAATGAAAACTCAGGACATAAAGCTAAGATATTTGTATACCTTCATCTCAGAGCAATCCCTTCAGCTTCTTCCTGGTTGCTTGCTATGAAATGAATATTGTCTCCCTCCCCCAAATTCATTTGTTGAAGCTCTAACCCTCCATGTGGTGGTATTTGGAGGTGGGACCTTTAGGAGGTGATTAGGTCATGAAGTTGGAACCCTCAAGAATGGGATTAGTACGCTAGTAAGATGACACATATGAAAGATGATCTATTTCTCAACCATGTGAGTCTATGGCAAGAACGTGGCCACGTATAGACCAAGAAGAGGGCCCTGACTATGCTGGCACACTAATCTTGGACTTCCCAGCCTCCAGAACTGTGAGAAATAAATGGGTTTCTGTGAGAAAGCCATCAGCCTGTGGTATTCTGTTACAGCAGCCCAGGCAGACTTAACACAGTGCTTCTTCATGAGTCTCAATATTGGGGCAGGCACTGATTCCTGCAATGGACACCAAGCCATCTTCTCACCCTAGGTCTCCCACAATTATCCAGAGTGTGTGTGACACACACACACACACACATTATCTTCCTTTTTCTAGTCTACAAAAAGAACAAAGAAAAACAAGATTCTAAAATAAACAAAACAAAGCAAACATTGTGCTAATTGTTTCTTATCCATTTGCACACTAGGCATGCCCAGAATTTCTGATTCTCAGGCTCAAGAATGCCTGTTGCAAAATGAGCCTTCTTCTGACTCCCTGTGACTAAAACCATCAAGCCAGATCCAGGCTGCTTATCTGTGGTTCTCTGAGGTCATTATACATTAAAGTAAAGCTGGATCCCACTATAAACCAGGTCAGATGACTCACATATTCAGACCTTTGTTCAACTGTGAATTCTGCAGATTGTTAACACCCATTCTTCACATTGGATTCATGTAAACCTAGTACGTGGGTTGCTGTTACTTGTTAAAGATGAGAAAATGGTGATGACTAGAAATAATAGCACTAGTTACAAACACAGGCCCTAAAGCCCATAGTCTTAACTCTCAGAAAGAAGAGAGGAGTCTAAGGAGAGAATTTAGAGAATTTTTGTACTTAGGTGGGAAAATAACTACATCTTCATTTCATTCACCTCTAACTGAAATTTAGCATTTCTTTGAAGTTTGAATGTAAGCAAAAAACCAAAGTACTATTAACAGTAACTGTATCATTGATGGAAATCACAGGTATTTTTATATCACATTACAATTATTACAAACACCACAAAATAATGTCATTTAAACTTATTGCCACTTCAAAATTATAATAATTACTAAACTTGTTGCCAGTCTTGTTTGATACATTAATAAAGATGTCCACATATTACTATAACATAAATTCTTTTAAAAATATTTTGGACCAGGCACGGTAGCTCATGCCTGTAATCCCAGCACTTTGGGGGCCGAGGTGGGTGGATCACTCGAGGCTGAGATTTTGAGACCAGCCTGGCCAACATGGCAAAACCCCGTCTCTACAGAAAATATAAAAATTTGCTGGGCGTGGTGGCAAGTGCCTGTAATCTCAGATACTTGGAAGGTTGAGGCAGAAGAATAGCTTGAACCCAGGAGTCAGAGGTTGCAGTGAGCCAAGACCACCCCACTGCACTTCAGCCTGGGTGACAGAGTGAGACTTCTCTCCTGTACCTCAAAAAAAAAAAAAAAGTATATATCTTTCATACCTATACTAAAATATAATTGGTTCGTGTTGAATTTCATAATGCATATGTATTATGATACATATTATATTAAATATCATTTCACATTTATTATAATAGGTATTATTTGATATTAGATATTATTTGATTATTAGGTAATAGATATTATTTGATAAGAATATTATTCTTAAAAAAGGATCCATAGGCTTCATTTGACTACCAGAAAGGTCCAGAGAACAAAAGTGGTTCAGAACCTCTGAAGCAGACAATTTTTACAAGAAAGGCATTGGGGAAAAGCACAGAGAAGTTGGATGAAGTTGGGCAAGGTGTTTGTTTATATGTAGGTAGCAGCAACGAATGGCAGGTTTCTATGGGTTAGTATTAACGGTCTTCAAATTCTTGGATAAGATCCTGATATTAAGATAATACAAAATATATCCCTTCCCTATCTTCCCCTGCCCTCCCCTCCCCTCCCCTCCCTTCTCCTCCCCTCCCCTCCCCTTCCCTTCCCTCCCCTTCCCTTCCCTTCGCTTCCCTTGGGTCCAAGCCTAGATGGAGTGGGCTACCCAGCACCTAGTCAGCAATCTGCAGCTGCTGTTTAGAATTTTAAATAAACCATTTACAAAACTCATCCTTCAGCCCATTTTAGCCTCCAGGTGAAAAGTAGGCTTCCCTCCTACTGTTCCCTCCTGTATCTGTGACCCCACCCCCATGCTTTATAATTGTCTAGTGTTTTAACATCCTCCAAAATCATTGGCATCTTAACTGAGGTCTTTAAGTACCTTAAAACAGGGGTCAAAAACTCAAACTTCCTCATGGACTAAGCAGATTATGTTAATGAGTGAAGATTAAACCAGTTGACTTGGGATCCTTCTGGTATATTGCAATACATTCTGGGGTCACCCAATCCTTGCTACATTCCCCCATTTTTTTCCAGACACTGAGTCTGTGTATTGCTGTACTGCAATAATGACCAGTGTTTCCAGAGCTTACAATCTTTCAATAAAAAACAGAATTCCAAAATGTTATATGATATATTCCAATTTTTAAATGCTATGAGTCAAATTTAGCCAGTAGCTGAGCTAATAACCTCTGGCTTAATAATGCTAACATCATAAGGAAATTTCTAACACCAAGGGAAGATTATTTTGATGGTGGCCTCCCCAGGACCTTCTTGGGTACCTCAGAACAGCATTTGACAAGGTTTTTCACATGCGTGATTATATTTGCCCCTAAAGAGCTGGGGCAGACATTAGGGACACCGTTCTACACGTTAGAAACTGAGACTCAGAGAGGTTGCCTGACAAGCCCAACATCACACAGCTAGACTGGAGCTGAGCTGTGCTATATTTCATTCTCAGATGGCCTCGCACTGCAGTGCTTTGCCCTAAACACTCCTGGGCAGTCAGTTAAGAGCCAGCCCTGGTTTAAGCTGGCTACCTCTGGCCTCCAACTCTCTCTCTGGGATACATTTAAATAGCTTTAAAACAGAGGCTTGGAAACATATAATTTTGGCAACTAGTCCAACTGCTCTGACTACCTCTAGTATTTTATGTTCTAATCAACTGACTTCATGTTTTTTAAATCCTCATATACATACTGGTGTGCAGTGATCTGACGGGCATCATGGAACAACTTTGACTTTTCCATTTGCTCAAGGATTTTCACAGGTTGATCACATCAGCAGTAAGCTGTGGGTCCCTCCCCCTTCTCCTCTGTCACAGAATTATTACCATGACTTGCTAGTTCTTCTGGAAATAGCCACTTGCCGAAGCGATAAATCTTAGGTTCACTATATAACCCCTGATGCATTTCACATTTTCCCACCAAATTCCACTGTCCAAATTTGGAGTCCCAACTTGACCACAAGCAGATACAATTTCACTTTGTGGGATTTTCCCAGCTTTTCCTTGCATTAGGATTGCAAAGCTTGTAACACCAGCTGTGTCTGAGCCAGCCCTCCAAAAAAGGCAATTGTGTTCCCTGATGGAATCGCTGCACACAAGAGCTGCTGCCAGCTCTGCTCCTTGAGCAGCCTTTTCAGGATTGTGGGGCTGCTTCCAGCCCCTCCTCCCCACTCACCAGTTAATGATGTTGGCCCCTCAAACAGCCCATGGTCCTTTAAAAGGCCTAGGAAAAGAAAGGGAAAAATAAAGCATACTCTTCCTCTCTCTTTCCCTGGGAATCCATTTTTATTTTTTTATTTTCTTCATCACCAAGATTCTCATCAATCTTGTATTTATTTCATCAATACACATTTATTTATAAATTACCATCCTTGTCCTTGGCACTTATGTTAGGGGTTGGGGAAAATAAGCTTAAACAAGGCAGGTGCTATTTCTACCAGGACTCATAAAACAACAGGGAACTGGAAATGGGATGATAATAATAATAATAATAATAGTAATACCAGTCCACAATCCCTTATCCAAAATCTTTGAGGCCAGAGAAGTTTTAGAATTCAGACATTCTCAGACCTTGGAGACATGACACGGTATATATACATTGTATGTCATGATATATATACACTGTATGTTTCACAGAATCTCATCATCAAATTTAACTTATGTAAGACAGGTAGCCTCACATCACCCCAGGTGAGATTTTGCCCCCAAAATTCATTTTGACATCCAACTTTCTATTTTGGATTTTGGATTTTGGAACTGCAGAGATGGGATTTGGACCCTGAATGGTTTTCACTTATTGAGTGTCTACTATGTTCCAGGCAATTGACATGTCTTAGCCCCTTTCATCCTCCAAAAAGCCCTTCAAAATAAACTATATTTTGACTGTTACAAAACACCCTATCTGCTAAACTTTTTTTCACACAGACTACCTTTCATGAGCATCATTAACACTGCAGCAGGATATTGCTCTCTCTATTTTAAGGAAAGGAAGCTGAGGTTCATGGAGGTTAAGGAACTCTCAGAAGGTTGTGGAGAATGTGAGTGGTAGGCTGGGAGCCGCGTCTGCTGGTGCTACCGGAAGCTCTACTGTTTCCATGATGTAAAACAGCTGCCTTTCCTGGGAGCCACTTTGATTCCACTGAACGCCCTTCCTGCCCTTTCCACTTTTGGTTCCAAAGCCCTCCCTAGTTTCCATCAGAGGTTCTACAACATGAAAATAAGTCCCACCTCACAGATTTGTTCCACGTAACATGCCCCTACTGATGGTCATTGGATTACTCTCTTCCATTGCAAAATAAATTCAGAATCAGACTTTTCTGGGGTTGAATTTTATTCCTGACTGTGACATGAGCTAGGAAAAGTCAGTTCACCTCTCTGAGAGTGTTTTCCCATACTTGAAATTGGGGGGGAGAGATAAAGTCAATAATCATTAGCATTATTACGGGGATAAAATAAGCTAATTTGTGTAAAGTGTTTAATGTGATGCCTGGAAAAGCATAAGTGCTTGACAAAGAGTAGCTATTACTGGGGCAATTATTATGACTTTTGTTATCATCGTTATTGAAAACTTATTGCTTGAGCACAATCTGGGCTAAGTAGGAAACTAAGTGAATGTGATGCAGTAGTCTATTACATTGTCACTACCTGGCAAGCCCAGTCTCTTCTGAAGAAAGCTGATCATATTATCCACAACACTGAACAAAACCCAGTGCCCCAAGAATAGGAACTTGACCCATAAACTGTCACCTAAGGTGGCTTCTGGCTTCTGAGTTCTCTTGGTACAAAGCACTTGCACACAAGAAATAATAGTGGTTTACTGAGTCTATATAAATATCTTTTTATTTGTTTCTTTTTTTTTCCAACTTTTATTTTAGACTCAGGGGGCATGTTTACAGGTTTGTTATCTGGGTATATTGCATGCTGAGGTTTGGGGTATGAATAATCCCATCACCCAGGTACTGGGCATCATACTCAATAGTTAGTTTTTCAATCCTTGTTCCCCACCCTCTCACCTCTAGTAGTCCCCAGTGCCTACTGTTGCCATCTCTATGTCCATGAGCACGCAATGTTTTACTCCCACTTATAAGTGAGAATATATGGTATTTTGTTTTCTGTTTCTCCATTAACTTGCTTAGGAGAATGGCCTCCAGCTGCACCCATGTGGCTGTAAAGGATATGATTTTGCTCTTTTTTATAGCTGCATAGTATTCCATGGTGTATATGTACCATATTCTCAAGAAATTCTTTTTAAAGGGAGATTGGATGTGAAAAAAAAATTTAAAAATCCAGAGCTCAAGCTATCTGCCTGCCTTGGCCTCCCAAAGTGCCAGGATTACAGATGTAAGCCACTGTGCCTGACCTATATCCACTATCGTGATTGCAGATGTATATTATGTCCAAACATTTAAAATTATACACTTTAACTATGTGTAGTTTCTTGCATGTAAGTTATAGCTCAATATAGTTGTTAAAACAGTTTAAAATAGCTTTAAAAAACTGTCATAGCTTGATTCAATGAATCTTTTTATATTAAAAAAAAAAGAAATACATAAAAGACCAGTTGGCCACAAGACAGTTGGCCACAAGAGGGTAGAGAATAGACATAAGGGGCAAAGAAGAAGAGGAAGAGGAAGAAGAGGAAGAGGAAGAGGAAGAAGAAGAAGAAGGAGGAGAGGAGGGAAGGGGGAAGGGGGAAGGAGGAAGGGAGAAGGGGGAAAGGGGAAGGGGGGAAGGAGGAAGGGAGAAGGGGGAAGGGGGAAGGAGGAAGAGGGAAGGAGGAAGGGAGAAGGGGAGCATTTATAGAAGCATGGGCAATAGTTGCAGAAAGAGAAAGAACTCTGGTCAGATCATCAAAATGCCAGAGAAGAGAATTGAACTCCAAAGTCTGTGCTCTTGATCTCTACAATAAGGGCCACAGATCCTCATGCCTCTGGGGCCAGTCGAGTAATAGAAATGAGAGGTGGGTGCCTGAGGAAGCCTATGTGAAAGTGGAGCGTGCACAGCCTTTCAAAAGGGGGAAGCCACTAGTGTATTTTGATAAATGGTACTCTGTGGGAACATGAGCCAAATTTATCAGGTCTTCTGACTTTTCAAGAGAAGACAGGAATTCAGATATCCATGGGAAAAGTCCAGTGTTTTAATGTTTAAAACTAATTTGGTCTTTTTTAATCACTGTGCAGGCAAAAATACATACACACACACACACACACACACATCATTTTTGGGTTAGATTTAGTCTACAGACCTTCAGTTTGAGAATACTGCCTTATACTATCAGCCATAAGACAAGGGAGATGTTTGGTGCAATGTCCAAACTGCCTTCTCTGACCACATATGCAAACAAGAAAGGAGAAGATGTGCTATCAGCCCAATGAGAAAATATCTCAGAGTTCCAGTTGAACTCTGAGAGAAGAATCCACAGAAGATGTTTCATCAAATGGCCCAAGCCATTTCATAAATCCAAAAGGAGAGCATATGTGTGTTTCTGGTCAAGATACAGTAATAGAGACTAGATTTACCTTCCCCTTGAAACAACTAAAAAGCCAGCATTTAAAACACATGAAACATTTTTGAGACATTGAACCTAAGTCTCACCTCTTTCATTTACTTTCTCTTACAGATCACTGTCCAGTGCAGAAAAGTGATCTGTAAGAGAAGGTAAATGAATGAGGTGAGCCCTCTGACTGCCCCAGCTGACCGCACAGACAGTTTCCAGGCCACAGCACAGGGAGAGGAATCCCCATGGAGCTGGGTGGTCCCACTGAGTTGAGATGATGGATCTGAGAATGCAGGAAACCAAAATGGCTGAAGTTTGAAGAACAGAGCACTACCACAAAGAGAGCTACCTAACAGAGGCACCAGAGATTCTACAGAGTCCTCCTTGAGTCTTTAGCTGTGCACTAATCAGCACATGCGTGCAGAGACTTTATGAGATGAGGGTGGGGGGAAGCACCAACAAGGATTAGAGAAAACATTCCCTGCCACGACACTGGCACCAGGAATAATTCTTTTTTCCAGTAACCTAAGTGGAAAACCTCATACTTCACGGAGTATTGGGTAAAATGTTCAGAATAGTTTTGCTACGTAATGAAAAATAGATAAATTGTCACTCTATCTTGCCTTTAAAAGCTTAAAAGCAAAATTCGAAAGTATCAGACAATAACAATTGTATACCACTGTGAAACCATCACCACAATCAAGATTACGGGGAAAATCATCAATCCAAAAGGTTCCTCCCACCTTCCTCCTCTCCTTCCCATTTTTGGACTCTCCCCCTGCCCTTCCCTTTTCCCCAGGAAAACAATGATCTGGTTTATCCTCATTATGTAAAGTAGTTTGCATTTTTCAGAACTTTGTTGAAAGGGAATTAAACAGTATGTGCTCTTTTGTTATCTGCTTCTTTCACTCAGCCTGGGGGTTTTCAGATTTATCTATGCTGTTGCCCATGCCCATTGTTCACCCCCTTTTATTGTTCTCTAGTACTGCAGAGAATGAGAGAGTATTTCCATGGCTTAGCAGGTTTGTCCTCTGAGTGTGCGGGTCTGTAAGGAGAGCAGTGACTCTCCAAAGGGAAGGAGCATTCTACTTCCTCAAAGCTGAAAGTCAGAGATATAACATGTGCAGAAAGCCAGGAGGGCACAGGAGGAGTACAAAGCCAGTCGTGGCTATCCAGAAACAAATGCCAAAGGCTGAAGCAGCCTTCCAAGGACCAGGAGGGAAGAATTTGGAACAAATGTTTACCACTGTGTGTAGGGGTTGACCAAGAAGCAAGAATAAGGAAATTTGTTTTTGACCTTTGGAAAATGAAATTTAGAGTTTGTTTGGAACACTCCAGGTAAATAATAGTTACTCAATCTCTGACCCAGTTGCAAGAAAATTTCACCTGCTGTCTCTGACTGTATTTTATATATATATGTAATATATTACATATGTATATATTATTATATATTATATATTTATGTATAACATAATATAAATGTATATATCATATATGTAGTATATACATATATAGTATGTATACATTTATCATATATGATACATATGTATATGTATATATACACACATATGTATATACATGTATATGTACATATACATATGTATTATATATAATACTATACATATTATATACATAATATAGTATACATTATATGTGTATTATTATATATTATCTATAATATATGTAATGCTAAATGTAATATATCATAGATTATGTTATATATATCATGTAAATATTATATGTTATATATTATATATTGATACTATATATCAATATATGGTGTATAAATATAATATATACCATGTATTATATATATAATGTATAGTACTATACATATAACATAACTGGAGAACTGGTTAAGAATGATTCTGAGTTTGCACAGAGATTGAAAGAATAGTGTTTTAGCAGTGGCTGTCATAGGCAGGAGATAAGAGAATGAACAGCACAGATGTTCCATTGTTGCCGTTCCTGCTCAAAGGTTTCTCCAGTTGGAGACATGAATTCATTATTTCCTTTCAGAAAAAGACCTCTCTTTGATACTCTTCTCCTTTTTTTTTGTATTTTTAGTAGAGACGGGGTTTCACCATGTTAGCCAGGATGGTCTTGATCTCCTGCCCTTGTGATCCGCCTGCCTCGGGCTCCCAAAGTGGATACTCTTCTCCTTAATCCCTCACTCATTCCAGGAGGCACAGAGCTTCCTCTAACTAACAATAAGGCAACTGGATGTGGAGCTTCTCAGTGTGATTGAGGCTCCCTTCGTGCCATTTCACCTAATTGGGCCTCAGTTTCCTCATCTGTTACATAGACCCATGTTAAAATACATGATCTAAACTTAATAGTAAAATAAGTAATTATATTATAATAAATAAAACAAACACAATTATTTTTGTCCAATATGATGTTTCCCTATTGCAGACTTCTTATGGGCTTTTTAAAAACCAGAAATTTAATCAATTCACATTTCAGATTGACCAGTTACTTTCCCTGTTCACTTTACTCCCCATCTGTACGAGTTCCGTTCTCTACGGTGATTAAACATTTTGCAAGGATAAGAAAAATTGTTTTTGACCTTTGGGGAATTAAATTTAGAGTTTATTGTTTGGAACGCTCCAGGTAAATAATAGTTTATACAGTAATAAATTGTGTAATTGCATTTAATCTGTGCCTAGAGGCCAGGAAGCACTGCAAATCAGTACATTCCAAATAAGGCTCTCTCATTCTGGGAGGCATTGGGAACCCGCTGCAGTAAGGACATCTGTTGATGCAGCACGCATTTCTCCAGAGTGCAAAACCATGCAGAGGCCTCGGGTTTGGTCCACTTTCAGTCATTGCCATTCAAGTGATGAGGAGGACTATGACAAATTATTGGGGGTAGGAAACACTGGTCCTAGGACAGAAAATCAAAAGATTCTGAACTGTAACCAAAAGCAGACTAAGGGCCAGCTTTGGGAATGTGTTTCCAAACCCAGGCAACGGAATCGGTTGAAAAAAGCCATAGAGTAAGAGGAATGAGATAATTCATTGAGGTTTTAGTCTGCAACCTCCAGTCACAGGTGTGACTTGAATAATGCATTCCTCCTTTCTTGGCTGGGGGTAAGAAAATACAGTGATTGAGATGTGTGTACCAGAGTCAGATTGCCTGGGTTTGAATCCAAGCTCTGGCCTGTCCTCTCCCTGACCTTGAGTTCTCCAACCCTTAGCTTATTTGTCTGTAATATGGGACCAGTCAGACACCTTCCTCATAGGACTGTGTGAAATTAATGAAGAGATGCCTAGGAAGCACTATATTGGCAATAATAATAATGCTCCATTTACACCAGGGATGAGGTCTTCAGCATAAATATGTTCTTCAGACAACTGAAATGTCATCTTTTCTCTTAGCAATATTTTTTTGTTTTTATGAAAACATTGTAAAACATACCATAAACTTTCCCACATACTAAAACAGGGTATAAGAAAAGAACATAATATTTGGAGTAAGAAAATACGGGCTTTGGTCTGGCTTTGCCACTTCATAGCTGGGGGACCCCGAGGTATGGGTGTCTCTGAGCAGCAGTTTGCAGCCATTTGAAATGATGCTTGCACGTCATGGAGCTGACAGAGGAGATATAGGTGATAAATGCTTTGCACACTCATTTGCCAAAAAAAAAAAAACCGTTGTTTGTTTTTCTTGGCCATTTAAGACCATTGTTATGAACATGGATTGGTATACCGCAGCATGATTACGTTTTTACCTCATGGAAGAAAATGTAAAAAAGCACCATGTGTTCACATCATGAGACTGCCATCCTCTTGGGACACCAGGCGTCCATAGCAACTGACATGGTACTTTTCCTGTGCTCACTGCCTGGGAAATATTTGTGAAATAGATGAAATAATCATGCTGTCTTAAAATAGTGACTTTAGTCTTTCCTTTTAAAAGAAATTATGTACTAAGTATTAAAAATACAAGTCATACTGACCTACATATAAAGAAGTTAGTTTTTTTTAAAAAAACCACCCAGCATCACATCACCTAAAAATAAGCATTGCCAGGCTTTGGTGAAGATCAATTCAGTTACCACTCTATTATACATAGAAACAGAAAGGATAGCCGGGCGCAGTGGCTCACGCCTGTAATCCCAGGACTTTGGGAGCCCGAGGCAGGCAGATCATGAGGTCAGGAGATCGAGACCATCCTGGCTAACAAGGTGAAACCCCACCTCTACTAAAAATACAAAAAAATTAGCCAGGCGTAGTGGTAGGCACCTGTAGTCCCAGCTACTCAGCAGGCTGAGGCAGGAGAATGGCATGAACCCGGGAGGTAGAGCTTGCAGTGAGTCTAGATCATGCCACTGCACTCCAACCTGGGCGACAGAGCGAGACTCCATCTCAAAAAGAAAAAGAAAGGAGAGTTCACAGACATACAAATACATTGATAGAAGGTATTAAAGACAACAATGGGGTTATAAGTGTTATTTCCAATAAAAATATTATATTTAAGTTCATTTAAATGTAATATGGTAAAAAAGAAACTAAAGAAAAATTGAAATAAACTGCTAAATTGAATGTTTCTTACCTGAAACGTTTGTTAATTTGTGACCGATACCTCTAAAGTTCAAGAAATAAAAGATTACAAAATATATTATAAGAAGCTATTTAAACATTCAACGTTTTGTTGTACCCTTGGTTTCACAGAGGACTGGCATAATTACTTAGTTTCTCACCTCTCATTTCCCTTCCTCCCACATTTATTAGCTATATTACTATTTTCAATTTGTCAGTGTTTAGAGAATTTGCATTTTACTCTAAAATGATAACTATAACTATATACCATTTAAATTATATTTTAAATGTATACAATATAATTGAGCACCCATTATGTGCCAGGTGCTATTTAACATCATGAGTATACAGTGGTGAATAAAACAGAGCAAATAAAATAGAGTCCCTGCTCTCATGGAACTTATGGTGAGAGACAAGCAATAAAAAATAATATTCTGTCTACACACATACATGCACATATAAAGTATGTCAGGCAATGATAGATGCTATCAATAAAAATAAAGCAGGTGAAGAAGGAAGAGAGAAGAGTATTTGAGTGTGGAATATTTATACAGGGTGGTCCAGTGATCTTAAAACTTTCTAGGAAATAGGAAAAATACAAGAGCCAGGCTTTTTACAGTGGCTTCTTTCCTCCTAGGGCCTTTAGTTTGGTTGGATTTTTATCAAGAAACAAACACTTGAATGAATTTTTTTAAGTACTCATTGATGCTGTATTCCAAAAGTTCCCAAATGCCGGAGATGTCTCCCTTTTGCCTTATTACTTAGAAGGCAAATTGGCAGATTCTAAACTTCTTGGCTCAAGTTCTTCTCCTTAGAACTTTATGGACTTTACTCCACTGTCTTCTGGCATTGACTGTTGCTGCAGCAACATCTCAGAAGAAAGGAGACTAGGAGACCAAGTGCCTGGAGATGGGGAAATGGGTAAATAACACTATCCCTGATGATAGGGAGTGAATGTGAAACTAGGGCAGTAGAAAGGGGAACAGGGAAAGGGTCGGAAGTGTTGCAAGATTCGAGATCACTTAACTTCTCTGTGTTTTTTTTTTTTTGTCAGCATGATGTTGTATGATGAGCATGTAGAACTGGATCCCAGCTTCGGAATCTAAGAAATCTAGTTTCCAATCCAATATCTGCCCCAGTATCTGCAGCAATACCTTAAGATAGTCCCTTTGCCTTTCCGATCCTCAGTTCATATATCTATAAAATGGGAATAAGAATTACTTTGGAAAGATCTATAAGAATTAGAAGCAATATAAGTGAAGATTTTGAGTTACTGCCAAGTGCCAATCAAGTTGTTTATGCTAGATAACAAAAGCTATGATTTCTATTGTGCCAACCTTGGCTACATATCTGTCGAGGGCCAAATAATGAATATAAACATTATAAAACAGATAAAAATACATATATGTATATGTTAGAAAAATATACATACAAGATAAAATGTACATACAAAAAGATGGCACCAGAATACTTAGACTCCTGAAAAGTGCTGCATTCAATTTTGATATAATGTTTATAGATGACGTGTGTGTGTGTGTGTGTGTGTGTGTGTGTGTGTGTGTGTGTAGCAGAGCCCTTCTCTGTAAATGTCAATTTAACCCACACTTGAGTTCAAGGAACTTAAATATTATTTGCTTTTACTACTATGAAAAACTGCTTGCAAAACAGTAACATCAGCCAGGTTCAGTGGCTCATGACTATAATCCCAGCAATTTGGGAGGCCAAGGTGGGTGGATCACCTGAGGTCAGGAGTTCCAGACCAGCCTGGCCAATAAGGCAAAACTCCACCTCTACTAAAATTACAAAAATTAGCCAGGTGTGGTGGCACATGCCTGTAACCCCAGCTACTTGGGAAGCTGAGGCAGAAAAAATATTTGAACCGGGGAAGCGGAAGTTGCAGTGAGCCAAGGTCACGCCACTGTACTCCAGCCTGGGTGACAGAATGAGACTCCATCTCAAAAAACAAACAACAACAACAAAAAAAACCAGTAACCATCAAAGTGCAGATTTCTTCTTGAGATCTAATATGTAATAGGTGAATTCATATAGTTGGTCAAAGTGAAGGGATTGACTAAACTGATGAAAAGTGACTAAACAGTTAACCAACCTGGTGATTCATCAAAATCCGGCCCTATCATCACCACAACCATCCCTTCTCCTATCACAGCTGGTATAGATGTCTCTTCCTGGACTATTTTTGTCTTATCTTTCCTATACTAATAAACCAAGTATCAACTTTGAACAAACAGGGAAACTGGGAAGAATCTGATAAGTTTATATCAAACTGACAAATTCTTTGGTCCCAGTATCTACCTCTATTTTCATTTCCTCTGTCTTTCAAACTTTATTTATTTTATTTTATTTTATATTATTTATTTTTCTATCAGAAGATTCCGGGCTCCTCAAAGCACACATGAGTCTTCTGTGATGTCAGAATGGTATATCTGTGGGAAAGTACCCTCAATAGAAATAAAATACTTCTTACCTGGTTCATACCAATCTAGGTTTCTTGGAAACTTCAGCCCTGCAACATTAACCATGTTGAATCACCAGTTAACAGACTGATAACAACTATTACATCAGGAAAATTCTAAGCTTTCAGGGCACCTGGATTTTCAAGTTTAGGGCAACAGCAATACACAGCTAGAAATTTGATAGGCCATACACTGTAAGTGAATGGGATCTGAGTGCGAGAGACTGATGTGGCGTTCCCAGAGCAGGAAAACAGACAAATACTTTTGAACTGGAAGAATCCTGCATAATCATCTCGGCTAAGAGGTGAGCCTCAAACTTCAGAATACATTGGAATCACTTGGGAGCCTTGTTAAACACAAGTTGCTGAGCCCCACCTCAGAGTTTCTGAACCAATGGATCTGAAAAGGGGTATGAGATTTTGCATTTATAATGAGTTCATAAGGTGATCCTGGTGCTACTGGCTGGGGGAACATCCTTTGAGAACAACTGTATTAGAGCGGTGGTTCTCAATCTTTGCTGCATATTAGAATCACCCAGACAGATTTTTTTAAATGCCAATGCCCGAGTCAATTAAATCAGAATTTCTATGGGTGGAACCTAGTATTCAATAATCTTAAAAGTCTCCCAGATGACTCCAGTGTACAGCCAATTTTGACAATCTAATTTCCAGCTGAGGAAACAAAGACTACCTTGTTTGTCAGGACAACATCTAGATCTTGAGTCTTCTGTCTCCCACTGAGGGCTGTTTCTGCCTCATGTAGAACACTGACTCAGAAAGAATGAAAGTACATAGTAGACTGGATTAGGTAACAGGTTTTAACAAGAAACCCCTATTATAAGCATTAAAATATATGTCTTAGTTATCCATTGCTGCATAACAAATTATTTGAAGTCTTAGTGGCTTAAAACAACAAAGAGTTATTGTCTCAGTTTCTGTGGATCAAAAGTCATGCCCAGGCTTCAGTCATCTCGAGGATTGACTGGAGGAGGCTCCACTTCCAAGCTCATTCTCATGGCTGTTAGCAGGCTTCAGGTCCTCACTGGCTGTTGGCCAACAACATCAGTTCCTAGTCATATGGGCCTCTCCTTAGGGCAGCTCACACCATGACACCTGGCTTCTTGCATGAGGAGCCTGTGAGCAAGATTAAGAGGGGATCAAGCAAGATGGAAGCCACAGTCTTCCTGTAACCTAATCTTAGAAGTGACACACAATGGGATACCATCTCCCACCAGTTAGAATGGAGATTATTAAAAAGTCAGGAAACAACAGAAGCTGGAGATGTGGAGAAATAGGAATGGTTTTACACTGTTGGTGGGAGGGTGAATTAGTTCAACCAATGTGGAAGACTGTGTGGTGATTCCTCAAGGATCTAGAACCAGAAATACCATTTGACCCAGCAATCCCATTACTGGGTATATACCCAAAAGATTATAAATCATTCCACTATAAAGACACATGCACATGTATGTTTATTGCAGCACTATTTACAATAGCAAAGACTTGGAACCAACCCAAATGTCCATCAATGATAGACTGGATAAATAAATTGTGGTACACATACACCATGGAATACTATGCAGCCATAAAAAAGAATGAGTTCATGTCTTTTTCAGGGACTTGGTTGAAGTTGGAAGCCATCATTCTCAGCAAACTAACACAGGAACAGAAAACCAAACACCACATGTTCTCACTCATAAGTGAGAGTTAAACAACAAAAATACATGGACACGGGGAGGGAAACATCATACACCAGGGCCTGTCAGGGGGTGGGGGGAAAGGGGAAGGAGAGCATTAGGACAAATACCTAATACATGTAAGAATTAAAACCTAGATGATGGGGTGATAGGTACAGCAAACCACAATGGCACATGTATACCTATGTAACAAACCTGCTCATTCTGCACATGAGTCCCAGAACTTAAAGTAAAATAATAAAAAAAAAAAAGAAGAAGAAGTTACATCTCATTTCTTTCATTCACACTCAAGAGGAGGGGAAAGGACTATACAAGGGCACGAAAAACAAATGGCAAGAATAATTGGGGGACAATCTTAGAGGCTACCTACCATAATACAACTACAGAAATTTAAAATAAATAAAACACTAATAATACACCACAATACTCTCAGCATACAGAATATAAGAACATTAAAGGCAATTCAAGGCTTCTGAGACATGAATTCTCCCTTAGATGTGTGTGGGAGGGGAGGACAAAGGGGAACCAGAAAGGAAAAAGGGAGAGAGCAATGCAGAAAAAGGAAACCAGGAAAAAAGTTTTTCCTCCAAATTTCCCAGGAGTATAAAGGAAAAGAACTTCTGAAAATTATGAAAGTCAAGGGAGGTAGAACACGAAGCTTTATGGGAAATGAAAGAAACTAGTATAATATCTGATAAACTATGCTATCCATATTAAAGTCATTGGGGAAAATATGTAAGTATTTTATTTCATCCAAATATCTAGGATGGCTAAATAAATGGAATAAATATAAATTAAATCTTAAATCTTGATGAAATTCTATTCTACCTCAGGATTTAAATAATAGGCTACACAGAAACAAAGACACTATTTTCATACAAGTAAGTAGCTCAGTAGGTCTATGACAAACTCACAACTAGAACTTGGGTCTCCTGGCTCGATACTTTCCTAACTCCACTCATAACCCAATAATGCACATTCAACTCCTTAGTAGATCACCAACACTTCAGACTATGGACTGCCCCTGTTTTAACCAAATCTAATGATAGAACAACCACTTGCAAAGATGGAAAGCAAATAGATAGATGAGTGTACTCATGCTGAAGGTGACTTTTTTTTTATGCCCAGTTTGTCTACATGGGCAAATGGGAGGATTACAATAGATATTTTAAAAAGCAGTAGGATATGCCCAGGTCAATTTTATTTTATTTTCTTAATTAATAAACATTAACTAAGAGTCAGATATGTGCCAAGCACTGCACTGGGTAAAGAGGTTGCAAGGCCAGAAAGGACATGCCACCCACTCTTAAGGAGCTCTGAGGCCAATAAAGGAGACAGAGAGGTAAGTCAGTAATTACTGTATGATGGAGATAGTAATTACAATACAATGGAGAGGTAAGTCAGCAATTACAGTATACCGCCTCGCCGAACATGGATTTGGGGAAATGAAGTCAGATTGGGTTTAGAGTTTAAAATGAAGTGATATTTACTTGGATAAAAATAGAGAAAGCCTTCAATATAAGTGATTTTATGCATAAAAGAATGAAGACTGAAGGCTGGGCATGTTGGCTCACACCTGTAATCCCAGCACTTTGGGAGGCGGAGAAGGAGGGTCACTTGAAGCCAGGAATTCAAGACCAGCCTGGGCAACCAAATGAGACCCCATCTCTTAAAAAAAAAAAAAAAAAAAAATGAAGACTTAAAAGAGTATTATGTGTTCATGGATACAAAAGAAATTCACTGTGGCTGGACTGATTTATGGAAGAAAGGACCAAAAGCTAAGAGCAAAAAGGACTGTATTAGTTTCCTATTGCTGCTATAACAAATTACCTCAAACTTAGAGGCTTAAAAATGTAAAAACTTACTCTCTAACAGTTCTGGAAACCAGAAGTCCAAAATGAGTCTTGCAGGGCTAAAATCAAGGTGTGAGTAGAGCTGGTTTCTCCTGGAGGATCCAGGGTAGAGTCCACTTCTTGTTTCTGCCAGCTTCTAAGGATGCTGGTGTTCCTTGGCACCATCACTCCGATCCCCGCTTTCTGTCATCACATTGCCTTCTCCTTTTCTACAGTCAAATATCCCTCTGACTCCCTATTATATGGACACTTGTTATTACATTTAGGGCCCACCTGTATAATCTATGATCCTCTCTCCATCTCAAGATCCTAACTTAATCACACTCTCAAAGCTTTTTCTGCCATATAACATTCAAAGATTCCAAGGGCTCAGTGTAGATATCTTTGGAGGTTTTTTTTCCACTTACCATGAGAACTCTATGAGCTACAATAAGAATTTTCACTTCAAAATACACGGAAAGCCATGATAAAGTCTTTAGCAAGAAAGTGATGAAGCAGATTTGGGGAAGCTCATCCCAGCAACCCCCTTGTAGAAGATGAATCAAGGGGCTGGGAAGGGAGGTGAGCAGCCAAGTTGTTACTTATCTGAGTAAAAAGTAATGAGGACTTTAAGTAAGGAAAGGGTTTGGAAGTAGAGAGGAGGAATTAATAAGATAGATTTCACATCTAAATCAGGAAGACCTGAAGACTTAGAATCTAGGGAATGAAGGGAAGGAGAGATCTGAGAGGACTCAGATTTCTGGTTCAAGTAACTGGTTAATATTAATCATATTCACATTGATTTGATATACAAGAGGTTAGCAGGTTTGTGGCTTAGTTACCGGACTATTGGAGGAGACAAGGGAGCTGAGGATGAAGAGTTCTCTCATGAACCAGTTGGGTTTTAGATGTCTACAAAATATTTCATGAAGATAACCAGCTATCTAGTAGGAAGTTGGTGATGTAATTCTGAAGTTTAGCAAGGAGGTCTGTCTAGAGAACTTGATTCAAATATGTCAGCATATAAACTAGTATTGAAGCCACATAAAAGGATATGATTAATATGACCATTCCTATATATATATATTCCATATATATATATTCCATATGTATATTCCATATATATATATTCCATATATATATTCCGTATATATATATATTCCATATGTATATTCCGTATATATATATATTCCATATGTATATTCCGTATATACATTCCATATATATATATTCCGTATATACATTCCATATATATATATTCCGTATATACATTCCATATATATATATTCCGTATATACATTCCATATATATATATTCCGTATATACATTCCATATATATATATATTCCGTATATACATTCCATATATATATATATTCCGTATATACATTCCATATATATATATATTCCGTATATACATTCCATATATATATATTCCGTATATATATTCCACATATATATATATTCCTTATATATATTCCACATATATATATATTCCTTATATATATTCCACATATATATATATTCCGTATATATATTCCACATATATATATATTCCGTATATATATTCCACATATATATATTCCGTATATATATTCCACATATATATATATTCTGTATATATATTCCATATATATATATTCCGTATATATATTCCATATATATATATTCCGTATATATATTCCATATATATATATTCCGTATATATATTCCATATATATATATATTCCGTATATATATTCCATATATATATATATTCCGTATATATATTCCATATATATATATATTCCGTATATATATTCCATATATATATATATTCCGTATATATATTCCATATATATATATTCCGTATATATATTCCATATATATATATATTCCGTATATATTCCATATATATATATTCCGTATATATTCCATATATATATATATTCCGTATATATATTCCATATATATATATATATTCCGTATATATATTCCATATATATATTCCGTATATATATTCCATATATATATATTCCGTATATATATTCCATATATATATATATTCCGTATATATATTCCATATATATATATATTCCGTATATATATTCCATATATATATATTCCGTATATATATTCCATATATATATATTCCGTATATATATTCCATATATATATATTCCGTATATATATTCCATATATATATATTCCGTATATATATTCCATATATATATATTCCGTATATATATTCCATATATATATATTCCGTATATATATTCCATATATATATATTCCGTATATATATTCCATATATATATATTCCGTATATATATTCCATATATATATATTCCGTATATATATTCCATATATATATATTCCGTATATATATTCCATATATATATATATTCCGTATATATATTCCATATATATATATTCCGTATATATATTCCGTATATATATATATTCCGTATATATATTCCGTATATATATATTCCGTATATATATTCCGTATATATATATTCCATATATATATATTCCGTATACATATTCCGTATATATATATTCCGTATACATATTCCGTATATATATATTCCGTATACATATTCCGTATATATATATTCCGTATACATATTCCGTATATATATATTCCGTATACATATTCCGTATATATATATTCCGTATACATATTCCGTATATATATATTCCGTATACATATTCCGTATATATATATTCCGTATACATATTCCGTATATATATATTCCGTATACATATTCCGTATATATATATTCCGTATACATATTCCGTAATATATATTCCGTATACATATTCCGTATATATATATTCCGTATACATATTCCGTATATATATATTCCGTATACATATTCCGTATATATATATTCCGTATATATATATTCCGTATATATATTCCGTATATATATATTCCGTATATATATTCCGTATATATATATTCCGTATATATATTCCGTATATATATATTCCGTATATATATTCCGTATATATATATTCCGTATATATATTCCGTATATATATATTCCGTATATATATTCCGTATATATATATTCCGTATATATATTCCGTATATATATATTCCGTATATATATTCCGTATATATATATTCCGTATATATATATACCGTATATATATTCCGTATATATATATTCCGTATATATTCCGTATATATATTCCATATATATTCCGTATATATATATTCCATATATATATATATATTCCATATATATATATTCCATATATATATATATGGAATAAGAAGAGAGAGTTGTAAATGAAGACCTGTGAGATGCCAATATGCAAAAGTGAAGGAGCCCACAAGGGGTTCTTGGAAAAAGAGACCGATATTGGAATAGGAAATTTAAAAGAGAATGGGCTTCAGATGATGAGGAAGAGGAAGGATCCAAGGAAGGATTTGTTGTTGTGAGGAAAAAGTACTGCTTGGGAATTCATATAACAGAGAAAGATCTAATTTCCCTGAAGATCTTCTGCAAACTAATGGGGAAAATATTAACAACTTAATAGACACATACAAAAAGATACATATATTTAACAGAAAAAATACAAATGGCAGTTAAAAATACGAAAAAAAGTTTCATCTGTCTCATAAAATAAAGGAAAATTAAAAGTACCCTGAGATGCAATGTTTGCCTGTCAAATGAGCAAAATTAAAAATTTTGCTAACACTGTATTAGCAGCAGTGAGAAGCAATAGGTACTCCTAAATTGCTGGTTGGTTGCATTATAAACCGGACAATGTCCTTGAAATGTTTCTTAATATCTATTAAAATTACTGATGTATACAATCTTTCATCAAGTGTATAGTGGTAAGTTAATGAATGTTTACTTCTGTTTTTAAGAAGTCAGGAAAGATATATGTGAAATTGTATATGCACATAGGTGCATAAATTTATAAGTATGTGTCTTTGCTCACACATATAAAAACTACTGATGAAACTGATAGAACTGGGATATCGCCAAGAATGAAAAACAAATGAGGACAAGGATGGTAAAAAGAATTTTTCATTGTCTTCCCTTGTAGCACTTTTGAACATTTAACTATGTGAATTTATTACCTATTCATAAATTAATTAATTTAATTAATTAATTAAGCAGATATATTTCCACATGATACAGAAAGTTAAAGACAAAAAAGAATCAAATGTTTGGGGATCAATACTAACATCACATGTTCTTATAAAGAGTGGTTCAGTGATATGGTAGAAATAGAAGCCAAATTATAGTTGGTAAATCCACAGACAGAAAGTTAGAAAAAGAAAATGACCTTAAGTGTGGGCTGATTTGTCAAGAAATTGGCTAAGAAAGGAAAATAAGAACATAAATAGTCTTGAGAAGGTAAATTTTAGGGTTGTCTGTTGGCTTGCTAATTTTTTAATATGTGCACCTTGCTATTTGAAAGGAAAAGAGAGTCATAAAATACAAACCAAAAAAAGTGGTATTTGACACAAAATATGAGATTCCTAAGGAAGTAGGAGGGCGTAAGATCTGGTATATATTTTCATGAGAATACTTGAATCCGAAGGAGTTACATCACATGCACTGAGATAGGAAAGATGAGAAGAGAATATGGATATACACAAAGAGATGAATATATGACTGTCAGAAAATTAAATTGTTGAAAATCTCACCTTTGGCCTTTATTTTTTTTCAGTTGAGTGTGCAATCAGCTGCTGAGAATAATAACAGTGGTGGTAAGTCTGAGGTTTGAACAAAGAAGCGAAAATTTTAATAGCTGCTAAAGGAATGAAAGATGATGTTAACCATGGAGAAATGCAGAAGAATTGGCCCCAGGCCCCAAAGGCCAGTTGAGACCCCGAATGTGAAATGATACCAAATATCCATGGTAGCTCAGTATATCAGTCCATTTTCACACTGCTATAAAGAATACCTGAGACTGGGTAAAAGAAAAAGATTTAACTGACTCAGTTCCACATGGCCGGGGATGCCTCAGAAACTTACAACCATGGCAGAAGGGGAAGCAGGCATCTTCTTCACAATGCAGCAGGAGAGAGAAGAATGAAGGAGGAACTTCCAAACATATATAAAGCCATCAGATCTCATGAGAACTCACTCACTATCACAAGAACAGCATGGGGGAAACGGCCCGCATGATCCAATCGCCTCCGTCACTCCACACATAGGGATTACAGGTCCCTCGACACATGGGGATTACAATACAAGATTAGATTTGGATGGCGACACAGAGCCAAACCATATCACATGATTTCTGTATCAGAATTCAGCTGTCTAGATATTGAAATGAGACACTGAGAGGTTAAATTGGTACAGGGTTGAGCTTTACAATAAAGACAAGTGAGCAATGAAAAGCTATTTATGAAAACATTAGTGAAATGGTGGGTCACGATAACTCTATTGAGCTAAGCTGGATAGCAAGGAATGTGAAGCACAAAGCAGGGTGATAACTGAAAAACAACAAAAGATCCCAGAGTTTGGAGGTTTAAAGGATAGGTAGAGGGCAAGAGAGAGAGGAGAGAAACTAAAAGTAAAAGATGGAAAGTGGGATTTGGAGTTCCAGATTTAAGGAGACTTTGGCCATGACAATGACCAAGAGAGAACATGGACAAAGTGGAAATTGAGGTAAGGATCCCTGAAGATTAGTAAGTCAAAACACTACCTCATGCTTCCTTTATCCTGGACTCCATGCTTATAACCACTGGGTCTTTCTTCAGAAGCAGAGTGTGCCACTAACAGGAAGACTTCATGGAAATTGCTTACTTTAAATGTTCCACAAAAGTACAGGTAATTGTGAAATGAAGAGTATTCATCTAATAGATTGTATAATATATGATTTTTCAAGACCATAATATGTCAACCCTTTCAACTTGTAAAATTTACTACAGAAAAACTGCTTCCCCTGGGAATGGGTCCAGGGATGGTGATGCATTTTACCGTGGTTTGACCCTCTGCAATTGTCTGTATTTGGATATTTGGTTACTGCTGAAATTCACTGGTTTCACATTAATACTAACTTAGAGAATGTTTGTCATGTTTCTAAATGTTGAAGACCTTATAAAACAGTGTAAATGTCTACAGAAGAGGAAAGAGCACTACAAAATAATTTTGCATTAGACCACTGTATTTGTCAAGGTCTTCTAAGTGTTGTTTATGAAATGTGGAAGAAGCTCTGCAACTTTGGCAGAAAAGAAGTCCTCCACACTCTCTGGATGGAACTATGACATCTGTCAGACCTCTGGAAGTCAAGATACCAGAAATTTGGGGTGACTCATTCATCCACTAAAAAAATGTATTACCTGCTTTCTTGGTGCTATTAACGAATTGGGTGATTTTAGACAAGTCATTTAAACTCATTGAGCCAAGGGATGTTTGTCTGTAAGGTGAGCCTATAAAACCTGACTTACTGATATTACTGAAAATAAAAGGAGAATAAAGCTATAAAATAGTAGTTCCCCTCCAAAGAAGCCTAAATCCTTGAGTCTAGAAGTTGAACCTCATCTTAGTAATTCCTTTTCCTTCCCTTATACATGCTGCCACACAATATATAAATCATGCCTCCACCCTATGGAAATATACCGCAGGAACTTAGTCCATTAATTAATCATCATCATGTCTTTGTCCTCTCTTATCACTTTCTCCCTCTTCATCCACTATTTTCTGTCAGCTTGCTCTCAGGCCACCTAGCCAAGCATGATTAAGGTAAAAGTACTTTAACCAAAGCATTGAAGAAATGGGATGCATTGTTTGCCATCTCTTTCCCCTGCCTCATCAAATCATCTCTGGGCCCACAACTATAATGGAATCTAGGAGATATCCCCCCAAATTTTATCATCACTCTTAAATAATAAAAATATTTTAGAGAGGTATGGTGGAGGCATGGTAGAGAGTCAGAACTTTCACCACTGTCCAGCAGTAATGAGAAACTTCCCCTCTTTGACTGTCAATAGCAGCCACATGGGAATCTGGACTTCTGTCTCTACGTGGAAGTTATGAGGTGGCTAGAGCAGTATAAAAGGCATCCAGATGTTATAAATGCCCATGTCTCCCCAAAAATTCATATGTTGAAACCTTAACCTCTAATGTAATGATATTATGAGATGGGTCTTTGAGAGGTAATTAGGGCTAGATGAAACCATGAGGGTAGATTCCTCATGAATGGAATTAGTGTCCTTATAAAAGTCCTGAAAGGGCTTTCTTCTTCAACTGCCAAGTAAGGACCCAGCAAGAGGATGGTCATGTATGAACCAGGAGATGGGCCTTCACCAGACACCAAATGTGCCAGAGCTTTTATCTAGGACTTCCCAGCCTTCAGAACTATGAGAAATGAATTTTTACAGTATCTTTGTTGTAGCAGCCCAAGCTAAAATACCAGCTAAAACGGAAGCTTTAAATAATACTAAAGACTCATAATATAACTGCCAAATATGTCCAGGTTTTAAATAAAAATCACTTATCACACCAAAAACCAGGAAGATCTCAAGCTGAATAAAAGAAAACATAGTCAATAGATGCAAACACCAAGATTACAGAGAGGTACAATTATCTGACAAAGATTTTATAGCAGATCATCATTAAAAAATGTTTCAAGTAGAAATTACAAACATGCTTAGTGAAAAAATATAAATATTAAGCAAACAAATAGAAGATATAAAGAAGAACCAAGTAGAAATTGTAGAACCAAAAAATATAATAACTAAAATAAAATATACAATAAATGGAATCAATGAAATAATAGTGGGTACAGAAGAAAGAACCAGTAAACTTAAACACAAAAGAACAGAAATTACCTAATCTGAATAACAGACAAAATATATAATGTGTATTTTTTTAAAAAGATCAGAACCTGAAGGACCTGTATGGCTATAACAAAAGATTTAACATTCATGTCATTAGAGTTCTGAAAGAAAAGGAAAAAGGGGGTGTGTCTGAAAAAAGTTCAAAGAAATAATGACCTCATGCCAAATTTGTTAAAATGCATAAATCTACAGATTCAAGAAGCTAAGTGAATTGCAAACAAAATAAACACACAAAAATACATGCCAAGAGCCATCACAGTAAAGCTTCTGAAAGTTTAAAACAGAGAAAAATAATGAAATCAGGGTGATAAGGATGACATCTTACCCATGGGGAAGAATTTGAATGAAAGTATATTTCTTATCAGAAACTATGGAAATCAGAAGGAAATGTAACAATATTTGTTAAGTGAAATAAAAGAATTGTTAAACCAGATCCTATATTTAAGGAAAATACACTTCAAAAGTGAAGGGGAACTCAAGACATTCTGATGTAGAAAAACTGAGAATTTGTCAGCAACAGACATGTCATAAAAGAATAGCTAAAGAAAGTTCTCTCAACAGAAAGAAAATGATTAAACAATCAATCTTAGAACATCAAGAAAGAGGCCAGGCACAGTGGCTCACGCCTGTAATCCCAGCACTTTAGGAGGCTGAGGCAGATGGATCATGAGGTCAGGAGTTTGAGACCAGCCTAGCCAACATGGTGAGACCCCGTCTCTACTAAAAATACAAAAATTAGCCAGGTATGGGGGTGCACACCTGTAGTCCCAGCTACTATGGAGGCTGAGGGAGAAGAATCACTTGAACCTGGGAGGCAGAAGTTATAGTGAGCCAAAATCACACCACTGCCCTCCAGCCTGGGCAACAGAGTGAGACTCTCTCAAAAAAAATTTTTTTTAAAAAAAAAGAACATTAAGAAAGAAAAAAGAAAACAGTAGGCAAAAATATAGGTAAATACAATGGACTGTCACTTCACTCTGGAGTTCTCTAAAGTTATGCTTAATAGTAGAAGTGAAAATTATAAAGCTCTCTGATATAGGTCTCAATATATGTGGAAGAAATGTTTATAATATAATATACCTAGAGTAACCACTTAAAAAGCTATATAGGCCAGGTGCGGTGGCTCACGCCTGTAATCCCAGCATTTTGGGAGGATGAGGCAGGCAGATCACAAGGTCAGGAATTCCAGACCAGCCTGGCCAACATGGTGAAATCCCATCTCTACTAAAACTAGAAAAATTAGCTGGGTGTGGTGGCGGGCGCCTGTAATCCCAGCCACTCAGAAGGCTGAGGCAGGAGAATCGTTTGAACTCAAGAGGCAGAGGTTGCAGTGAGCCAAGATCTGGCCATTGCACTCCAGCCTGGGTGACAAGGCAAGACCCTGTCTCAAAAATAAAAAACAACAACAACAAAATAAAGCTATATAAACACTCAAAAATACTATACATCAAAATGGAATTCTAAAAAGTATTTAAGTAACTATAGAAAAGCAAGAAGCAAGTATAAACTTGAAAAACTGATGTAAAAAACAGAAAACAAAAAAAATTCTAGTAATAAGCACTACAATATAAGTGATTACAAAATGTAAATTTTAGGCCAGCTGTGGTGGCTCACGCCTGTAATCCCACCACTTTGGGAGGCTGAGGTGGGTATATAGTCTGAGGTCAGGAGGTCAAGACCAGCCTGGCCAACATAGTGAAACCTCATCTCCACTAAAAATACAAAATTAGTCAGGTGTGGTGGCAGGCACCTGTAATCCCAGCCACTTGGGAGGCTGAGGCAAGAGAATCACTTGAACCTGGGAGGCAGAGGTTGCAGTGACTCAAGTTCGGGCTGTTGCACTCCAGCCTGGGCAACAAAAGTGAAACTCTGTCTCAAAAAAAATAAATAAATAAATGTAAATTATATTAAATAAATCAATTCAAAGAGATTGGCAGAGTGGGTTAAAAACATAACTCATTTATATGCTGTTTACAAGAAACTCACTTCATATATAAATATTAAAAGAATAAAAAAGATCTACAAACTAAGCAAAGAAAGACTTAAGTAACTATATCAATATCAGATAAAGTAGATAAAGTAAACTTCAGAGCAAAGCAAATTATCATAGACACAGAGGGACATTATATGATGAAAAGGTCAATTCAGCAAGAAGACATAGCAATCCTAAAGTATATAGACAACAGTACTGCAAATTATGTGTAGCAAAAGCTAATAGAATTAAAAAAAAATTTAAAAATATAGTTGAATAATTTAACACCTCTCTCTCAAAAATTGATGGAACTAGATAGAAAATTATCAAAGTATAGTAGATTCAAAACACAATCAAATGTCATAATCTAATTGACCTTTATAGAACACTCCACCCAACTGAAGCATAATACACATTATTTTTCAGTTTCCATAGAACACATACCAAAATAGATCACATCCTGGGCCATAAAACAAATGTAGAAGAATTGAGATCATACAGAATGTATTCTCCAGCCATGATGGAATACAACAGAAATCAGTAACAGAAGGTAACCGGAAAATACCCAAGGAACAAAAAGGAAGGTAATGTTTCTACACATTGCTTAAACTGGTGAAGTGATGGTATCAGCAGACTGTGGTAAATTATAGAAAAAGATAGATAGATGATAAATAATGGATGGACAGATAGATAGACATACAGATAAACAATATACTTCTAAATAAGCCATGAGTCAAAAAGGAAATCTAAGGGAAAATTTAAAAATTCATTAACCTGAATAAAAATTAAAATACTGAATATCAAAACTTGTTGTAGACAGCTAAAGCAATGCTGAGAAAAAATATATAGCATTAAGTGCATACATTTAAAAAGAAAAGCCATATATAACAGACCCACAGCTAATATCATACTGAATGGGGAAAAACTGAAAGACTTTCCTCTGAAATCTGGACTATGACAAGGATATCTACTATCACCATTGTAATTCAAAATAATACTAAAAGTCCTAGCTAGAACAATAAGACAAGATAAAGAAATAAAGGACATACAAATTGAAAACAAGTAAATCAAATTATCCTTCTTTGCAGATGATATGATCTTATGTTTGAAACAAATCTAAAGACTCCACCAAAATACTATTAGAACTGATAAACAAATCCAATAAAGCTTCAGGGCACAAAATCAACGTACAAAAATTAGTAGCATTTTTATATGCCAACAGCAATCTGAAAACAAAAATCAAGAAGGTAATCCCATTTAAAAGAGCTACAAATAAAATTAGATACCTAGGGATTAACTTAACCAAGGAAATGAAAGATCTCTCCAACAGAAATTATAAAACATATATGTAAGAAATTGAAGAGGGCACAAAAATTTGAAAGATATTCTATGTTCAAGGATTAGAAGAATCAATATTGTTAAGATGTCTATACTACCCAAAGTAATCTACAAACAATGCAATCTCTATTGAAACACCAAGGATATTCTTCACAGAAATAGACACAATTCTAAGATGTATATGGAACCACAAAAGATGCAGAATAACCAAAGCTTTTCTAAGCAAAAAGAACAAAACTAGAGGAGTCACATTGCCTGACTTCAAATTATACCATAGAAAAAAAAATCCTACATTTAAAATAACTAAAAGACCGAAAACTATTGAAAAAAATTTTAATAACAGAAACAGCATAATTGGATTGTTAAAAACACAAAGGATAAATGCTTGAGGGGATGGATACCCCATTTACCCTAATGTGATTATCATGCATTGTGTGCCTGTATTAAAATATCTCATGTAACACATAAATATATACATCCACTATGTAGCCACAAGATTTAAAATTAAAAATTTAAGAAATAAAAAGAATAAAAGTCTTAAATTAATGGCTAAGCTCCCATCTCAATAACTCAGGAAAGAAGAACAATATAAATGCAAAGCAAGAAGGAAAGAAATAACAAAGTAAAAACAGAAACCGATTATATTGAAGGCATAAAACCAATAGGGAAAATTAATGAAACAAAGAGCTATTTTTTAAAAAAAGATCTATAAAGTGACAAAATGTTGGCAAAATTGACAAAAAAAAGAAGATACAAATTACTAATATCCAGAATAAAACAGGAATATTATGATGAGCTTTGCAGGCTTCAAAAGGATAAGAGAGTACTAAGAACATTTCTTCACATTTAAGTTTAAAAGCTTGGATGAAGTGGACCAGTTAGTTAAAAAACACAAACTACCACAAATCACTCAATATTAAATAGATTAGTTGAATGGCCCTATAACTATTAAAGAAATTAAATTTGTAATTTAAAAACTGAAACTTCTTCCATGTGTTCAGAAATTGTTAGGAATATTAATAGGATATTATTAGAAAGAGTTAGCTCACTGATCTACAACATAAAGCCTGATACAGAGCTAACATTCAGTCCCTGTCATAATACACAAATATATACATGAATAACAAGTTTAATATTGATCTTATAGAGATATTAGGCAAGTCACTTGTTCAATTCTCATGTATTTTAGGCAATATAGAATTCTACCCAATAAAGACTTGAGAAAGTATCAGCATTCACTTGGTACTGGGCATTTGTAAAATGCTAAAGGTATATTCATTTATCATTCATTTATTCATTCAGTATTTTTTTTTTTGAGACGGAATTTCACTCTTGTTGCCCAGGCTAGAATGCAATGGCGTGATCTCAGCTCACCGCAACCTTTACCTCCCGGGTTCAAGCAATTCTCCTGCCTCAGCCTCCTGAGTAGCTGAGATTACAGGCATGTGCCACCATTCCTGGCTAATTTTGTATTTTTAGTAGAGACAGGGTTTCTCCATGTTGGTCATCCTGGTCTCGAACTCCCGACCTCAGGTGATCGCCCACCTCGGCCTCCCAAAGTGCTGGAATTACTGCGCCTGACCTCATTCAGTATATTTTACATGTCAAGCATCATGCTAAATTCTAAGGAGGTAAATATAAATGATGTTATACTTGACTTCAAGAAACTAACAGTCTATTAAACAAAATTTAACATGGACCCATTTGGCCAAAAGTCGGAAGAACTGAGCTCCAAGCCCTGACCTTGACTCTCTGTAGCTTTCTTCTTAACCCAGTAGGACTCTTCTTCCCCAAAAGTATCTTGACTCACTGACCTTGTCACCATCCCACCAACATAGCCTGAAATTCAGAAGAACTCAGACAGGTAAAGAACACTGAATTTATCCGAAAAGTATATTTTCAGATTACTCTTAGAGCCATAATGTGAATGCCAAAGAACAAGACTCATGGATGAGCAAGGCACAAAATATATCATTTAAACCACATTTCTCATGGATTCTGAGACCCTTTGCCTGCCCTTTATGATAGTACATAAATGTGCAGATCAATAGAGAAGGTTATGTAGACAATGTCCAGTTTCAAGTTAAATACAGATAAACGTTACTACCCATATGCATATCAAAATCTTGAATATTTTATTCCTTCTCTTTATCCTGAGAAAAGAGGGAGAGAGAGGGGGAGCAGAAAGAAAGAGAGAAAGAACAAGACAGATCATTATTTAATAGATACAGCAGATTTTATCACTATTTCCCTCCTTAGCAGATTTGTTTTTCCTAACGTTGCAAGCTTAGCAATTGCTCTTGGGAGACACAATGGCATTTCTCAGCAAATCCTGTATTTTGGATTTGGCTTCATCTGTATCTAATGAGTCTTCATCTAATTCGGATCATCATGGATCAATACACTCACATCATTTATTCAATCCATTTTAAAAACAACCTCACTAACACCTCACACTTAGAATGCTTCATTAATTTATAGTAACCAGGACATTTGAAAACAAACACTGATTGATGTTTTAGTCTCATCTTAAAATGCGTGAATGCTGATTTTATATAACTTTGAAAACACTCAAAAGAAGAAAAAAGTAAAAGCAACCACGAAGTCTTATACTAGAAAATATTCGGTTATGTTTTCTGTGTAAATCATTCTAATCTTGCACACACATATATATAGAAATATTTATTTATTTTGTTTTGATTCTTAGCTTTTTTGCATGGTGATAATATTCTATATTCTATATCTGTGTCTATATTCTAATATTCTATATCTGCCTCTTTCTTGCCTATTATTACAACTGAGCATTTTCCAAATTAGTTACAAATTACTTCTTATTTTTAAGGACATTATAGCTTTATATCAACTGAGTATTCTGTGGTTTATAGCCATTCACTGGGTATCATTTCCACATTCCAACTATTATGAATAAGCTGTGATTACATCTTTGCTCATAAACTATTCCTCTGTATGCCCCTTTCAGAGTCTATTACCAAGTTAGTTACGTGTCTAGGTACATGTCTGCTACTTGTCTGTTCACTCTGCACTATAAATCTGGAGGACAGGGATTGTGTTTTCCACCTCTGATCCTCCAGTACTCAGCACAGAGCCTGTGCTTATAGTAAGCAAGCAACAAAAGCTTGTGAGGACAAAAATCGCTGATCACTTAGGCACCTATACAGTACCCTACAGAAACAGAATTACAAAAAAAAAAAAATAGTGTTCATGCTAAGGACTTAGAGCAAAACACACCAGTGATTACTAGGGAGCCCAAGGATGCCAGATTACTGATGGCAGTCTTCTTAGCAGTGGATGAGCTGACCCATAAAAACACCTGTTCACCTGGCCTTGGCAATGTGTTGGTGCCTATTTCCAAGTAACTGGTCTGTTATAGGAATTCCTTTTCTGAGTACAGCTTAGTCAGGTACAGCTGAGGTTCTTATTGATATCTCTGACTCAAGTTCCTTTGAACGAACCAACAGGACTTGCTAAAATGCCCACAAGTTTCCTGGGTTTACATATGGATCTAGAGATTTGTTTACATACCTGTCTCTTTGCCTCCCTGTTTAATTTCCTACCCCTCATTGTGAGCTCTTTGAAGGCAGAAATCAAATCTTACCTATCTTGCTTTGCCCATTATTTAGCATTTAGAACAGAAGACATGGAGTTCAAATTTGAACTCAGCCTATATGATTCTGAGCCCTGGGATATTTCATTTATTCAACAAATATTTATTGAGAGTCTGCTATGTACATGGTTATATGCCACCTGCTAGATACAGAGATGTCAACACAGAAGGGGCAATTGGGTGATGGCCACCACAATCCTCTAGGTACGTAAACAAAATCCTGGCTGAATCTAGCCCAAAGATAATGTTGAAACAAATTGAACTTAGACTTCCTTTGACTGGAAAATTAGAGTGTCTGAATCTTCAACAAAATGTCTAGAATAAATGGTTTAGTTATCTGATATCTTTAAAGGGCCTGAATAATTTGGTGGCAGTGAGAACACAGGTCCTACTCCTTTGTCTTACCTGGAGCATTTTAAGTTGCAACTTCCATCGACCAGAAATTAGTAGTCATGATGCTGACCTACTCTGGGGACCCTGGAAAGATTAAGCTATAGTCACAGATTGCTGTGATTAACTGGAGGTGGTGCTCTCAGGCTTACACTGTTCTCCTTCAGGCTGGCTTCCCATGCAAATCAGTCATATTTGAATAAATGGCTCATATTCCCTTTAACACAGAGAATCCCCAGAAACATGGAAAAGGGTCAATTTGTGACCCAGGAAGGGGAAAATTCTCAAAGAGAAAGACAATACTCAAGATCAGGTTGGGTTTAATCAGCCATGTTGAGAGAAACAAAAATTATTAAAGCTATCCACTCCTTAGGGCACTAGATCTTTCAGGAGACATCCCTTCCCTCTTCTTCTACCCAACTCTTCAATGTTTTTGCTTGTCCTACTTTCTCAGTGTCTTTTTCATCGAGGAGCCTGCATCCAGGGGCTCTCAAAGTCTCTGCTCCAACCCAGGCTTTGTCATATATGTGTTATATTACTTTGATTGAGCATCAGTTTCTGCATCTAAAAAACAGAGATTAAAATGCCAATTTATTAGCTTCCTAGGGTCGCTATAACTGAGAACCATAAACTGAGTGGCTCAAATAACAAAAATTTATTATCTCACAGTTCTAGAGGCTAGAAGTTCAAGATCAAGGTATCAGAAGGTGTCTTATTCTGTCACTTGAGCTGGAGTACAGTGGCGTAATCATAGCTCACTGCAGCCTCCAACTTCTGGGCTCAAGCAATACTTCTTCCTCAGCCTCTTGAGTAGCTGAGATTAGAGACACATGCCATCATACCCAGCTAATTGTTTGTATTGTTTCTGGAGGTGTGGCCTCACTATGTTGCCCAGGCTGGACATTAACTCCTAGCCTCAAGTGATCCTTCCACCTCAGCCTGCCAGTGCACTGGGATTACAGGCATGAGCCACCATGCCCAGCCAAGGATTGGTTCCTTCTAAGGACAGTGAGGAATAACCTCTTCCAGGCCTTCTCCTAGCTTCTGGTAGCCTCAGGCATCCTTTGGCTTATAGGTGGTATTAGTCTTGTGTCTTCATACTGTCCTCCCTCTGTGCATGTCTGTCTCCAGACTTCCCCTTTTTATAAGGACACAATCACATTGGATTAAAGATCACCCTAATGACATCATTTTAACTTGATTGTTTCTACAGAGACCCTATTTCCAAATAAAGTCACATTCAACAGCACTGGGAGGTTAGGGCTTCAACATAATGTTTGAGATGAAAAGATTCAGCCCATAATAGCCAACTTCATACCATCTTTATAGCAATTAAATGTTCTAAAGTGTGAAAAATGGCATGTGCCTAATAGGTGCTCAAAAAAAACTACACCCTTACACCCTTTCCTTCCTTTTCCTTTCAGCTTTGCTTTTTTGCCTTACCTGAATCATTTTTTTCTCTTGGTACCCTAAAATAAGCTTTTCTCCCAAAACACATTTTTTGTCACTGCTTTCTTCAATCTAGGCTTTGCAAGAATATGAGGGTATAACCGAACATAGTGCTGTGTACTTACTAGGTGCTCAGTAAACATTTTACAGTGAAAGGTTTCATTTTTTTTTAAGTACCCTGATACTTACATTTTTCAAAAATATATTTTCAATGGAATGAGTGAGAATGTAATGGTATAATGTTAAATATGAATTAATTAAAAGCACATTTAGCTTTGAATCTGTGTGTTGGATATATAAAGCGCTATGGTGTTTAGGTGCACAAAATGTTAAAAGGCAGTCACATTCATTTCATTATTTTGAGAGAATAAAATGAGATCATGTATGTAGAGCGTTTGACACTAGTAGGCACTCAGTAAATAGGATTTATATTTGTTGTTTTTGTTGCTAAGTCGTGGACACTACTCTCTAGGAGCTGTCAAATGAGATAGTGTAACCAGAATAGACAACCTGCTTCAAAGATAAATAGCCTCTCCCTTTGCTTTCTTCAATCTCTAATCATATGCTTATTTAAGAATTCCAGGGGCTAATCTTGAAATGACCTAGGCATGAAGTTGAGATCACAGAATCTTTCCTTCCCAGAAAAATTGTTGGGCAGTAGTTAACTTATAACCTGAGAACAGTCAAGATGATGCCAGCCAGACCTCCAAATGGTCCATTACTCAAGAGAGCCATCAGAATCAGACAAGCAGACCTGCACCCCGCACCGCTCTGGCACATAGTTTCTATGCCACCTTCTCCCTTAAAATCACTTTGGCTACCCTGAGAATTTGCAGTGTTCTTTGAGACATTAGTTCACCATCTCCTCAGGTTGTCAGCTGGATGTATTCAAATAAACCTGTTTTTCCTTCCACCAACTCTTGTCTCTTGAATCTAGCTTTCAAGCAGTGAACAGCAGAACCTGAGTTTCCAATAGTAAAGGGTACCACAGAAACACTGAGGAAGGAGGAATCCCTCTAGGCCTGGGAACATTTCTAGGAGTCAAAGACTTTATCAGCTCAACATGCAGAGGAAGGAAAGCTCAAGACAGTCAGTAATAGCATGTACAAAGGCAGAAAGAACGGGGCAAACACTACATGTTCTGAAACTTGTCTGTCAACTCACCTCTGCTGGAGTATAAAGTACCTATTTCACATATATGGACAATCAGTTGGAGAGTTCAGCAGGACCGATCAGTCATGGAAGTCTACATATGAGACTTGTATAAGAGGTCAGGAGTTTGTCCCAAAAATGATGGGGAAATCACCGGAGATTTATAAGTAGGAAGTAGCTACATTTATCCAGTCAGTCAAGAATTCATTCGTATAACAAACATTGCTATTTGTTATACTAAGTTTTGTGCTAGTTTTGGGGTAATAAAAGATGAAAAAGACATAGATCCTATCCTGGTTAGGTTTGGAATTGCATTTATAATATGGGCTTTTCAGTTATTCCAAGTGGAATATTCCTAATTCTCTAGGCTTTGGATTTTTCCTTTGTAACATGGCAATATTAGACAAAATTGCTAAGGGTCATTCCTGGGAAAGTTTTACAAATTCCAGAGAATAAAGGCAGAGTTTGCTTTACACTGGAGGCTTTATAATATAGTGCTTAGACGTAAGGGCTGTAAAGTTAGAAAGACTGTGGTTCAAAGTCAAGCTTCATTGCTAATCATTTACCACTAATTATATTTCACCAAATTACTTAACTTTTCTAAACTTCAGTAACCTCATCTACAAAGCAAGACTATCAATACACACTTTGAGGGGATGTTATAAGCATTCAATATGAAAATAATGTGAGCCACTTAGAGAAAAGCCTAGCACATATGAATACTCAATGCATAAATGGCAGACACAGAACTCATATATATATAAACTCATGTCTATACTATATATATATTCTATATACATAAATCCTATATGTGTACCATGTATATACATACATAGGGATATATCATGTGTGTGTATATATGCTATATACATACAGTTCATCACATATGTATATGAACATTCAGATATATTAACCTGTATTTGGGTTGGATTATTGTGTTAGTCCATTTTCACACTGCTGATAAAGACATACCCAAGACTGGGAAGAAAAAGAGATTTAATGGATTTACAGTTCCACCTGGCAAGGGAGGCCTCAAAATCATGACAGAAGGTGAAAGGCACTTCTTACCTGGCAGCAGCAAGAGAGAGAATGAGACAGAAGTGAAAGCGGAAACCCCTTATACATCTTGTGAGACTTATTCACTACCACAAGAACATGGAGGAAACTGCCCCCGTGATTCAATTACCTCCCACTGGGCCCCTCCCACAGCACATGGGAATTATGGGAGTACAATTCAAGATGAGATTTGGGTGAGGACACAGAGCGAAAACATTATCAATTATTAATGCTTATTTTTTAAAAAGCAATGCACATATTGGTAATTACATCTTCTAGTACTTCTGATATGCACCAAGAAACCGAAATCAACTTCAGAAGGTAGAAGTTGTTTTCCTCAAAGGGTATCTTTGTCTTATCTGGCTAAATATAAAGAAATGGCTTGTAATAATTTATAAATGTCTGATTACTCAACAAACACCTTGCAAATATTCCACTGTTGGGAACTGGATTTGCTCATCATATGCTTAAATTAATATTTTAACATAATTTAATGTAAATGGTAATCTGATAAATATGAATCCAAGCCAAACATTAAATAATTTATGCGACTTGACTTGCTGAAAAGAAGAAATGGCTTGTGATTGCTTAGTACATATGAAATATTTATGTATCATGCTACCTGGAGAAATTAAAGCATTCTGTGCTTCTGGCCTGTCCCTTCAACGAAAGATGTGCTAATAACATTGTATATGTTGAAGAGACTAGAGAAGAGATATGTCAAATAATCTATCTTGTACTCCCTGCCACTTGGCCACAGATGCCCCCCCAACCTAGCCAATATGAGCCCTAACTTCAAATCACATCAGCAACCACTCCTTCATATTTGCTGCAGACACTAGGTTGTCTTGTTGCAGGAAATCAGAATAGCTAGGGCTTTCTTATGATCGTAACATACCAAGGAGAAAACAAAGAGGACTCTTGTACCTACTGATAATGAAGTAGGCTTTACTATACAGCATGATTTCATGCATATTTATTACTTGAATGGGTTTGCCTAGAGCAAAAACTTAGTAGACAATGATTACACTTTTGGGCAAGGCACTATACCAAAAATGTGAGATATAAGTGATTCAATAATGAAGTCAAACTGGTATCATGTGCCTGTAATGTGCAAGGCAATGAAAATACAGGCTGAGAAGCTGCTTCTGCAATGCAGCCTTAATTCATGAGTGTAAATGATGCAATCTGAAGATCTAAAATTCAACAGAAGGTGGAAATGTGCTAAGAACATAATTGGGGATTAAAACCTAGTCCAGTGTTGACTTAGGAACCACAGAAGCAACCCCTGACTCATGCCCCAGATTGGCAGGAGATCCTGCAATAGGAGAATTCCTTCAATTGGAAGAACACATTATTGATATTTGGCTCATCACTGGGTTTTTTACTTAGCTGAATAAGGTGAGAGATGAATTGCAAGAAAATAAAAATAAAAGTGGTGGTTTTATTTACTGGTTATAAAGGAAAGGAAAAGCACAGTCACTAAGAAAAAATTGGGAAAAAAAGAATTCTCAGGTAGATATTTTGACAAGATTTTGCCACATGTTGTGATGAAATCCACAAAATCTTCAGTAAATCTTATCTTACTTAATGATGCTTCCTTTTGTAAACATTAGTGCTAATAACTGATATATATCCAGTCCTCCTCTTTTTTCAGGTGAAGAAAATCAAAATATTTTATCTCAGAATATATTTATTTGGCATATTTTGAAATAGTTGCCACAGAGCCAGCAGACTGCAGTGGCCCCACAAAGCTGTCTTTTGTGGGGGCAATTTACATCTGTAGAGAATCATCACTAATACAGCCAGGTCTTTCTTTTCTAGGCTTTTTCCTGAACTGGGAAATATTAACTGAGAGTCTGGCACCATTAAAGTTCTGAAAAGGAACATTTACCATCTATTGTCTCTGACAGCTGCTACCTATAGGGTTCATCTACATAACAAGACCCCCTTTGCTAGCCAAGCCTCTTTCTCTCTTCCAAAACCCTTCCTGCCAATAAAACCTGTTATTGTCCATGCTCTGAGACCACATTCTTTCTATAACTTCAAGATCGCATATAAATTTCTGTCCCTTCTTGGGAGTTTGGGTCTTCATTCTAAAGGCTCTCATGTATTCATGTTAAATAAATTTGTATGCCTTTTCTCCTATTAATCGATCTGCCTCATGTCAGTGATTGTTCAGTGAGTTTTTAGAGGGCCTTGGTCCCCAAACAGGCATATTGAGGACTAAATTTGTTGACCTCTTGGTGGTTGGCTAAGACCATGTTATTAGTTTTCTAGGGCTGCTGTAACATAGTACCACAAACTGGGTGTCTTAAAACAACAGACATGTTTGGTCTCCCAGTTCTGGGGGCTATATGTAATTAAGGTGCCTGAAGGCTGTGCTCCCTCTGGAACATTTAGGGGAGAATGCTTTCTTGCCTCTTCTTAGCTTCTGGTATTTGAATGGCATTGGAATGCCTGTGACTGGTACTGGAATGCAAGGAATCCTTGGCTTGCAGCTGCAGCTCTGCAATCTGTTCCTCTATCATCATATGGCCTTCTTTCCTCATGTGTCTGTGCTTGGGTTTTCTCCTCTTCTTATAAGAACCCCATTCATATTGGATTAGGGCCCACTCTACATGAGAATGACCTCGTCTTAACTTGATTACACCTGCAAAGACCCTACTTCCATATAAGATCAAATTTATAGGTACTGGGTTTAGGACAGCCACATACCATTTAGGTAAACACAATTCAACTCATAACAAACCACATATATGGTTCTGGCCAATAAATGTGAGCAGAAGTAACATGCGTCTTTTCCAGGCTATAGCACTCAAATAGTGGTGGAAGACCTGATGCGGTCTTCTCTATGCATGTTTCCTTCCAACATTCCCAGTGGTGACTATTTTTTCAGCATGGGTTGTGTAGTGAAAACAGCACAGAGCTAATTTCTAGTAGACATACAGTATGAGTAAATAATATATCTCTACTGTCTTAAGCCATTGCAATTTGGAGTTGTTTGTTACTATGGCATAATTTGGCCTATCCTGACTGATATACTTCTAGTGTAGGAGTCTTGGCTTGAGGAGGAAATGAAGTGATAGTAAAACCTGTCCAAAGAAGATTGGAGACATTCAGGTTAATTTAATTAAAAGGCACTAAAATTTGAACAGGGGAAATGTAAGCAGAAGAATCCCTGGGGAAATTTCAAGTTAAAGACCTGAGCGGAATTAGTACTAAGAGCCAGTTCAGTATGAGATTTAGTTTCTGTTTTGTTTTGTTTTTAATGAAAAGAAGACCCTTGTATTGAGTTTATACAGTGAGCTGAGCTCATTTAATCCTCACAATAACCCCATGAAGCAAGCACTTTTTATAGATACTGATATAGGAGTTAAGAAGGAATTACTTAGGCAGATAGCAAGGGCATGGGAGTCCTCTGTAAGGCTTTTCTTTTTAATGAGAAGCAGCCCCACATCATTTTCTAACAAAGAGCAGTCTGCAAGCTGGGAGCTTGCATGGGTGAATGCCAGCAAGAACTAAGGGCTAGACATTTTCAAAATGGCGGCTCCATCTTCCCTTCTCTGCCAGCCACTGTGTACTATAAGGAGCAGACAAGTTGGCACCAATCAACTGGAAAGCTCATTTGCATAATAAGATTAGGGTGGGGAGACCAGCCTTTTTCAAGTGCTATGTAAACGTCATACCTGATAGAACAAATCTATGAGCCCTATGTAAATCAAACACTCAAACTGAACTGTAAAACTTGGTGCATTCACCACTAGCCAGTCTTTTCTGTTCGGAGACTCCTTCCCCTTTAGAGGAAGCTGTTTCTCTTTCTCTTCTGTTCTACCTATTAAACCTCTGCTTCTAAACCCCTTGTGTGTTTCCATGTCCTAAATTTTCCTGGCACATGACGACGAACCCCAGATTTATACCCTAGACAACTTAGCCGCTTCAACACAACTCTTCCAACCTTGATCCTGATAGACAGAGTTTCAGCATCCTAGGAATTTATCAAGAGCAAACATATGGTCAGGTAATTCAAACAGTAGAAAGAGTGTGAAAGAACTAAGAAAGGGACAAAAAGGACCACAGTATAGTAGAGAAAAAGGAGATTAATCTCAGCAGGAATGGCGGTGGGAAATCTGGTATATCATCTAAAAAGGACAAGATGTGCACAGAAGCTTTAAGCATAAATAGGATTTTCACAAATGGTGAAGAAAAGGTGCCAAAGGAATTCAGGGAGGAAGAATTGACATAGCAAAAAACACAACAGTGAGAAAACACAGGCAATATATCAGAATCGAAGAATATCTAGGTATTTTTAATTATTATCATAAAGATTTCATCACACATCAAATCACATTAGAGACGCTTTATTGGAAGTAGAGAGACTAGTTTGGTTCTGAGAGAGTTTAGATACACTTGGGGAGGGGCAGAGCAAGATGGCAGAATAGAGAGCTCCACTGATTGTTCCCCCAACAAGGACACCAATTTAACAATTATCAAACATAATAAAAGGCATGGAAGAGGTAGGAGAAACAAATCACCAGTGCCACCCCTCTCTCATCCCCTGGCAGCAGCAGCATGGTGCAAAAAGCATTTCAGTGTGTTGGGGAGAGAGAAAGAGCACAGAAATCATGAGGCGTTAAACTCAGTGCTGACCTATTATAGTAGAAAACAAAACAAAACCAAAATCAGCTGACATCTGCTTACAGAGGGAGCATTTAAGCCAGCCCCAGCCAGAGGGAAATCATCTATCTCAGTGGTCCATACTTGAGTTCCTGCAAGCCTCACCATCTTGGGATAAAGTACTCTGGGACTCTACATAAAATTGAAAGGCAGTCTAGGCCACAAGGACTGTAACTCCTAGGTGACTCCTGGTGCTGAACTGGGCTGAGAGCCAGTGGACTAGGAGGGCACATACCCTACTGAAACATCAGCTGAGACAGCAAAGGAAGTGTTGGCATCACCCCTCCCCTAAACCCAGGCAGCACAGCTCATGGCTCCCAAAGAGAACCCTTCCCTCTACTTGAGGAGAGGAGCGAGAAGAGTGGGGAGGACTTTGTCTTGCATCTTGGATATGAGCTCAGCCACAGGACGTACCAGTCAGAGTCATGAGGCCTCCTTTCCAAGCCTTGGCTCCCAGATGACAGTTCTAGACACAGCCTTAGCCATAAAGGAACCCACTGCCTTGAAGGGAAGGACCCAGTCCTGGAAAGATTCATCACCTGCTAACTGAAGACCCCTTAGTCCCTGAATAACCAGAAGCAGTGATACCCAGGTACCCTGTCAAGGGCCTTGATTGAGATACTGAGATTTGCTGGCTTCAGGTGTCAGCCGGTTACAGGGAAGAAGAGCACCAAGTAGGCTCTTGGGTCCTCAATACCAGGACTTGGCTCTCGGGTGGTATTTCTGGACCTACCATGGACCAGAGTCCACTGCCTTTATGGGTGAGTCCCAAGCCAGGCAGCATTCACCACAAGCTGACTGGAGAGCACTGGGCCTTAAGGGAACATAAGCAATAGTCTGGCAATACTCTTCATGGGTCTGTGGTGGTGGTGACCACAGGTGAAAGTCCTCTGCCTTTGGAAAGAGAGAAGAGTAGGAAGAAAAGTGACTTGTGCTTTGAGTGCCAGCTTAGCCTCAGTACAGTAGAATAACAGGTAGGCGTCTAAGGTTTGACTTTCATCCCTGGGTCCTAGATGGTACCTCTGGAACTGCCTGGCTTCTGGGAGAATTCACCACACTAAATGAAAGGACACAGGCCTTTCATTAATCATTTAGTTATGCATCTTAAAGAATTAGAAAAGCAAGAGCAAAGCAAACCCAAAATCAGCTTTGCCACCTGCTGATTGTAGAGCCCCAGGGCCTTGAACAAACATAGACAGTAGCAAGGGAGTGGGTACAACAGGCCTGGGGTGAGATCTAATACTGTACTGGCATCCAGCACCCTCCTAGTGGTGGTAGCCACAGGGGTGCTTGTGTCACTACACACCCAGGACCTAGTGGCTCAGAAAAGAGAGAGAGACAGAGAGAGAGAGAGACTCCACTTCTTTGGGAGAAAGTAAGGAAGGATAACAAGAGTCTCTGCCTGGTAATACAGAGAATGCTTCCAGATTGTGTCTAAGACCATCAAGGTGGTACATCCATGAATCTGCAAGAACCACAGTGTATCTGAGTTTGGGGTGCCTACTAAAAGAGATACAGCTTAGATCACAATTCCCAAGTCCACTGGAAAATCTGGAAAGCCTTCCCAGGAAGGACAGGTACAAACAAGGGTTAGGGTGCCTACTAAAAGAGATACAGCTTAGATCACAACACCCAAGTCCATTGGAAAATCTGGAAAGCCTTCCTAAAAATGACAGGTACAAACAAGTCCAGATTGAGAAGACTACAGTAAATACCTAACTCTTCAATACCCAGACACAAAGAACCTCTACAGGCATCAAGATCATCCAGGAAAACACAACCTCATCAAGTGAACTTTAAATTAGGCACCAGGGACCAGTCCTGGAGAAACAGAGATATGTGACCTTTCAGACAGAGAACTCAACATAGTTATTTGTTTCTTTGAACTCAAAGAAATTCAAGATTACACAGAGAAGGGATTCAGAATTCTATTGGATAAATTTAATGAAGAGATTTAAATAATTTTTAAAAATCAAAGAGAAATTCTGGAGCTGAAAAAAGCAATTGGTACATAAGCAGAATATGTATGAAAAAATAATGAATAAATTTAAATAATATATTTCAAACATGTTTGTAAATGCAGTTGGCATAATGAAGAATGCCACAGTGTCTCTTAATAGTAGAATTGATCAGGCAGAAGAAAGAATTAGTGAATTTAAAGACAGCCTATTTGAAAATACACAGAGGAGACTAAAAATAAAATAAAAAAGAGTTAGGCATGTCTGCAAGATTTAGAAAATAGCCACAAAAGGGCAAATCTAAGAGCTATGGGCCTTAAAGAAGAGGTAGAGAAAGAGACAGGCATAGAAAGTTTATTCAAAGAAATGACAGAGAACTTCTCAAACCTACAGAAAGATATCAATATCCAAGTACAAGAAGGTTATAGAACACCAAGCAGATTTAACAAAGAAGACTACCTTAAGACATTTAATAATCAAACAGCCAAACTTCAAGATAAAAAAGGATTCTAAAAGCAGGAAGAGAAAAGAAACAAATGACATACGATGGAGCTCCTCTAATATGTCTGGTAGCAAATTTTTCAGTGGAAATCTGGCAGGCCAGGAAAAAGCGGTATGACATATTTAAAGTGCTGAGGGGAAAAAAAAATTTTTACCCTAGAATACTATATCCCAGGAAAATATTCTTCAAACATAAAGGAGGAATAGATTCTCCCAGACAAACAAAAGCTGAGGGACTTCCCAGATGACAAACAACAGACTTATCTTACAAGAAATGCTAAATGGAAACCTTCAACCATAAAGAAAAGAACTTTAATGAGCAATGACAGATCATATGAAGGTACAAAAGTCATTAGTAATAGTAAGCACACAGAAAAACCTAGATTATTATAACACTATAACTGTGGTCTTAAGTAGAAACACTAAATGATGAACCAATCAAAAACAGTAACTACAACAACTTATCAAAACAGAGTAAAATAAGATATAAATAGAACAACAAAAAGTTAAAAAGCATGGGAACAAAGTTAAAGCATAAAGTCTTTATTAGTTTTATTTTTGCTTGTTTATCCAAACAGTGTTAAGTTGTCATCAGTTTAAAATAATGGGTTATAAGATAGTATTTGCAAACCTCATGGTAACCTCAAATTTAAAAACATACAATGGACATGCCAAAAATTAAAAGCAAGAAACTAAATCATGTCACCAGAGAAAATCACCGTCACTAAAAGGAAGACAGGAAGAAAGAAAAGGAGGAAAAGAATGCCACAAAGCAACCAGAAAACAAATAACAAAATGGCAGGAGTAAGTTCTTATCAATAACAACATTAAATGTAAATGAACTAAATTCTTTCATCAAAAGATATAGAGTGGCTGAATGGATTGAAAAAACAAGACCCAATTATCTGTTGCCTACAAGAAACACACTTCACTTATAAAGATACATGTAGACTGAAAGTAAAGGAATATAAAAAGATATGCCATGCCAATGGAAGCCAAAAAAGAGCAGGAGTTGCTATAATTATATTAGACAAAATAGACTTCAAGACAAAAATTATAAGAAAAAACAAAAAAGTTACTATATAATGACAAATGGGCCAATTCAGCAAGAGGATATAAAAATTGTAAACATATGGACACCCAATAATGAAGCAATCAGATATATAAAGCAAATATTATTAGAGAGGATAGGCCCAAGTACAACAACATCTGGAGACTTCAACACCCTACTTTCAGCTTTGGACAGATCTTCCAGACAGAAAATCAACAAAGAAACACTGGACTTCATCTGCACTAAAGACCAAATAGAACTCATAGATATTTACAGAACATTAGATCATTCTCAAGGATAGACCACATGTTATATTACAAAATGTCTTTAAACATTCAAAACATTTAAACAATATCAACCATCTTCTCTGACCACAGTGGAATAAAACTACAAATCAAGAACAAGAGGAATCTTGGAAACTATACAAATACACGGAAGTTAAACAATATGCTTCTAAATGACCAGTGGGTCAATGAAGAAATTAAGAAGGAAATTGAAAAAATTCTTGAAACAAATTATAATGGAAACACAACATAACAAAACCTATGGGATATAGCAAAAGCAGTATTAAGAGGGAAGTTTATAGGTGTAAGTACCTATATTTAAAAAGACTTTAAATAACTTAATTATGCATCTTGAAGACTTAGAAAGGCAAGAGCACAGCAAACCCAAAAGTAGTAGAAGAAAATAAATAATAAAAATCAGAGAAGAAATAAATGAAATTGAAATAAAGAAAACAATACAAAGGATCAATGAAACAAAAACCTTTTGAAAACATAAACAAAATTGACAAGCCTTTAGCTAGGCTAACTAAGAAAATAAGAGAAAAGATCTAAATAAGTAAAATCAGGAATGAAAAAGGAGACATTACAACTAATACCACAAAAATTCACAGGATCATTACTGATTACTATGAGAAACTATATGCCAGTAAATGTGAAGATGTAGAAGAAATGAAATTTAACCTTCCAAGATTGAACCAGGAAGAAATCCAAAACCTGAACAGACTAATAACTAGCAACAAGACTGAAGCCATAATAAAAAGTCTGCCAGTAAAAAAACCCAGAACCCAAATTCACTGCTGAATTTCACCATTTAAAGAAGAAGTAATAGCAATTCTACTCAAACTCTTCCAAAAGATAGAGGAGGAGAAAATACACCATTTAAAGAAAAAGTAACAGCAATTCAACTCAAACTCTCCCAAAAGATAGAGGAGGAGGAAATACATCCAAACTCATTCAAAAAGGCTAGTATTACCCTAATACCAAAAGGAGACAAAGAACACCAAAAAAAAAATAAAATTACAGGCAAATATTTCTGATGAATACTTATGCAATAATCCTCAACAAAATACTTGCAAACTGAATTGAACAACACATGAGAAAGATCATTCATCACAAATGACCAAGTGGGATTTATCCCTAGGATGCAAGGGTAGTTCAATATGCATGAATCAAACAATGTGATATACTATAACAAGAGAATGAAGGACAAAAACCATATGAACATTTCAATTGATGCAGAAAAGGCATTTGATAATATTTAACATCCTTTCATAGTAAGAACACTCAGATATACCCCAACATAATAAAAGCTATATATGACAAACCCACAGCTAGTATCATGCTAAATGGAGAAAATCTAAAAGCCTTTCTTCTAATATCGGGAACATGACAAGGATGCCCACATTCACCACTGTTAATCAACATAGTATGGGAAGTCCTAGCTGGAGCAATCAGACAAGAGAAAGAAATAGAGGACATCCAAATTGGAAAGGAAGAAGTCAAATTATCCTTGTTTGCAGATGATATAACCTTATATTTGGAAAATCATAGAAACTGTAGCAAAAACCTATTAGAACTGATAAATTCAGAAAAGTTGCAAAATACAAAATCAATACACAAAAATCAATAACATTTTCATATGCCAACAGTGAATATTCTGGAAATTAAAAAAGTAATCCCATTTACAATAATCACAAATAAAATTAAATACCTAAAAATTAACTAATGTTGTAAAAGATCTGTATAATGAAAATTATAAAATGTTAATGAAAGAAATCAAAGAAGACTCCAAAAAATGAAAAGATATTCCACGTTCATGTATTGGAAGAATCAATATTGTCAACAATGTCCATACTACTCAAAGTCATCTACAGATTCAACGCAATCCCTATCAAAATACCAAAGACATTCCTCACATCAATAAAAAAGCAACCCTAAAATTTATATGGAACCAGGAAAGTCCCTGAATAGCCAAAGCTATCTTAAACAAAAAGAACAAAAAAAAAAACAAAACCAGAGGAATCACATTATTTGACTTCAAATTATACTACAGAGTTACAGTAATCAAAACAGCATAGTACTGGCATAAAAACAGACACATATCACGCCTGTAATCCCAGCACTTTGGGAGGCTGAGACGGGCGGATCCCAAGGTCAGGAGATTGAGACCATCCTGGCTAACACAGTGAAACCCTGTCTCTATTAAAAATACGAAAAATTAGCCAGGCGTGGTGGCAGGCACCTGTAGTCCCAGCTACTCTGAAGGCTGAGGCAAGAGAATGGCATGAACCCAGGAGGCAGAGCTTACAGTAAGCCGAGATTGCACCACTGCACTCCAGCCTGGGTGACAGAGTGAGACTCCGTCTCAAAAAAAAAAAAAAAGACACATGGACCAATGGAACAGAATAGAGAATCAAAAACCAAATCCACATACCTACAGTGAACTCATTTTTGACAAAGAGGCCAAGAACATACACTGGGGAAAAGACAGTCTCTTCAGTAAATGGTACTGGGTAAAGTGGATATCCATATGCAGAAGAATGAAAGTAAACCCTTACCTATTGCCATATGCAAAAACCAAATAAAAATGAACTAAAGATTTAAATCTAAGACCATAAAAGTTTAAACTACTACAGGAAAACTTTGAGGAAACACTCCAGGACTTTGGAGTTGGCAAAGACTTCTTGAGTAGCACCCCATAAGCACAGGCAACCAAAGAAAATATGGACAAATGGAATCATATCAAGTTAAAAAGCTTCTGCACAGCAAAGGAAACAATCAAAAAACTGAAAAGACAATCCACAGAATGGGAGAAAATATTTGCAAACTATCCATCTGACAACAGATTAATAACCAGAATATAAAAGGAGCTCAAACAATTTTATAGGAAAAAAACTTAATATTCCATTTTTAAAATGGGCAAAAGATTTGAATAGATATTTCTCAAAAGAAGACATACAAATGGCAAACAGCCATATAAAAAGTTACTCAACATTATTCATTGTCAGAGAAATACAAATCAAAACTACAATGAGATATCATCTTATACCAGTTAAAATGTCTTATATCCAATAGATAGGCAATAAAAAATGCTAGTAAGGATACGACCAAAGGGAACCCTCATATACTGTTGGTGGGAATGTAGACTAGTACAACCACCATGGAAAACCATTTAGAGGTTCCTTAAAAAACTTAAAATAGAGCTACCGTATGATCCAGCAATCTCACTCCTGGGCTTATATCCAAAAGAAAGAACATCAACATATCAAAGAGATATCTGCATTCTCATAGTTGTTGCAGTACTGTCCACAATATCCAAAATTTGGAAGCAACCTAAGTGCCCATCAACAGATAAGTGGACAAAGAAAAATGTTCTACTTATACACAATGGAGTACTATTCAGCCATAAAAAAATGAGATCCTATCATTTGTACAAACATGGATAGAACCAGTGTTCATTATGTTAAGTGAAATAAACCAGGCACAGAAAGACAAATATCACATGTTCTCACTTATCTATAGGAGTTAAAATTTAAAATTTAAAACTGAAGTCCTGGAGATAGAGTGTAGAAGAATGGTTACCAGAGGCTGAGAAGAGTAGTTAGGGGACAGGGGGAAGTGGGGATGGTTAGTATGTACAAAAAAAAAGAAAGAATGAAGAAGACCTGGTATTTGATAGCACACCAGGGTTACTATAGTCAATAATAATTTAATTGTACATTTAAAAATAACTAAGAGTATAATTGGATTGTTTTAACACAAAGGATAAATGCTTGAGGCAATAGATACCCTATTTTATCCAATGTATCAAAACATCTAATGTACCCCATAAATATATATACCTACTATATGCTCACAAAAAATAAAATTAAAAGGTTTAAAAAATATTAAAATAAATTTTTTTGAATATGCATTTGGTGTGGATTTATGAGAGACAGACTGAGATGTGTAATAGCATTAGAATTTATCATGAATGCCTGGAGGAATTTTGAGAGAGGAGTGACCCTACAAAGTCAGGCATTAGAAACTCTGTAAAGTATAACGATAGTTAGCCAGTATAGTGTGGACTCTGACTACAAGAATTTGAATAGTGACTGGGGTAGACAACCTCTATGATAGCCCCAGTGAGCCCCACCTTTTGGAATTTATGCCTTTGTCCTCTCCTTCCATCAAATAGAATGCAGCGAAGATGATAGGATGTCACTAGTGACATTAGGTTACAAAAGATTATGGCTTCTATCTTAGGTGTTATCTCTCTTTCTTTTTCTCTCTCTCACCTCTACTCCTCATGTGTGCATCTGCACATCATAGTTTCTATTACTCCTACTATCTTTTGCTCACTCTCTCTCAGATCACTAGTCCTGGGGAAAATTAAGTGCAATCTCATGAGACTACACTGTAGAGATAGCCACGTGTTCAGGAACCAAGGCCTGCTAAAAACCACATGAGAGAGATTAGAATTGAATTCCCCAACTCCCACAGTCTAGCTTCCAGATGAAACTGCAGCCCAGCACAATAGCTTGACTGCCACTGATGAGAGACCTTGAACCAAAAGCACCAGACAAGCTGTGCCCAGATTCTTTACCCACACATGTAGTGTGATTATTAGTGTTTGCTGTTTTAAGCTGCTAGATTTGGGGTAATTTGTCATGTAGTCATGTCGAAGTAATATATCTGCTATTCCATATTAGCCAGGTGGCCTTGGCCAAATTATTTAACTTTCTGGGCTTCAGTTTTGTCATCTGTAAAATAAGTCCTTAAAAATATCTAACTTATAAGATTACCATGAATTATAAATGAGATAATACATTTAAACTATTAGAGTAGTCCAGAGAACACATAAGTCTTCACTAAATGTTAGCTATTGCCTTTATAATAAATATTATAACAGATATTGGCATTGGTAGATAAGGTCACAACTAAGATGGGAGCTTACTTGGGAACTGAAGAGTTGCACATGTAAAAGAATACCTAACTAAAAATGCTTTAAGCCATAAAGTAAATTGTCAAGTTAACAAAACTGAGATCCAGAGAGGGAACTTAAGGACGATTATTAAGGCCTCTAAATCATTTTCTCTGCAATTTTCCTGACTCCTCCCTCTCTTGTCTTTCAGCTTGGTCCTTAGACTGGCTTCCAACACACAGTCAAGCAAACCACAGTAATCTTAGTCTTCATGCACTCATAACACAAATCCAACAGAGCTTCTCTTTGCCCAGGGAATCCAGTGTTTCACAGTGAGTGGGCCAACTTAGGTTGTAAAGCTATACATGGAAGGTTACACATGGACCTATCAGTTTGACCATGAGAAAGTACATCATTACCTGGATTAAATGTATTTCCTGCAATCAATCACAATGTGAAGATGTTAAGGATATGGTATTATATCCCATGAGGTATCATTGTTGGAAATGTGAGTGTGGCCAGTCTCATTGTAACACATGGTTACTGCTAATGGAGGAAACATAGAATGGGTTACTATGGAGGAAATAATAATGTCACACACAGGAAGGTATTTCAGTAGTCCAACTATGAGCTCAGATGATTTGCACTAGGGAAATCAGTAGCAATGGGGACAAAATAATCAATATGGTAAGTGTCACAGTTGAGAAGAAACGTTATAGAAAATATGGGTAAGTGTCAGACTTGAGAAGGAAGATTATAGAAACACAATAGAATTTGGTACCCAAATGAATGGAGTAGCTGAGGGAGAAAAGAGATTTGAAGAGTTCTAAGACCAGGAAAATGACAAGGAATTACACTTATCGAGCTAAAAGTCTCAGAAGGACAAGCAGCTTAAAATAGATGAAGAGTAATGTCACCAAGATGGAAAAATAGGAGTTCTCTGGCTGGGCACTGTGGTTCATGCCTGTAATCCCAGCACTTTGGGATGCCTAGGTGGGCGAATCACTTGAGGTCGGGGTTTGAGACCATCCTGGCCAACATGGTGAAACTTCATCTCTACTAAAAATACAAAAACTAGCTGAGCATGGTGGCAGGTGCCTGTAATCCCAGCTACTTGGGAGGCTGAGGCAAGAGAATTGCTTAAACTCAGGAGGTGGAGGTTGCAGTGAGCCAAGATTGTGCAAGTACACTCCACCCTGGGTGACAAAGCAAGACTCCATCTCAAAAAAAAAAAAGAATGGGAGTTCTCTGGCTTCATTTCCTCATATAGAAGTTCAACTAACAACTATCCACAGGCAAAAAAATACCATCATGAATATCTCAGAAATTGGGAGTAAGGTTGAGACATCCTCCTGGACCACAGAACCAAGAAAATCTATGATTAAACAGTAAGAGAAACAGTCCTCCTTGACCATGCTGCCCCTCCCCTAAGGTGTCACAGCACCACACAGAGAATTCCTTCCAAACTATGGTTTCTATAGGAGGAAAAGTGAGTTGGAAGTGGGCATTCAGCTTCCTCACCATTTTGGGACCTTTTGGGGACCTTTTTCGGACCTTTTTCAGGAGGCTCACTCCTGAAATGTTTCATGGGAAACATTGGGAGTACTGGCAGGGCTAGATCACCTGAGATCAGTTAGAAACAAAAATCATGGGTGGCATTCACAGTACCCAGTGTACAAGTGTTGGTGGTTGCTCTGCATTCCAGCCAATGAAAGTGCCACATCAGAAAAACTAGCCAACAGCATCACCCTGCAAGAAACATGGTCCATGGGTCTCCCAGGCACAAATCCTTAGCCAGCTTTCTCACACAGCCTAGGTGCTCTCTTTAAGTCTTCCCCAGGTTGAAAGACAACTGCAAGTCAGCAATTACCTGTGGAGAAAACATCAGGCCCTGCCCAACCCTGGTGGCAGAGAGGTGATCCAATTAAGTTTCAGTGCTCAAATTAAGTATTCCCCAAATCAGGAGGCAACTTCAGGGCAGCAATTACTCATGGGAGGAGCCCAACTCTAACAGTGGAGAGGTGATCCAACTAAGCTTTTTCCCTGTTAAAATAAATAAAAAGGCAAAGCATAATAATAGATTTTCTAGTACCTAAAACCACAATCTTGAGCAATTTCGAGCCTCCTGTATTTTCGCTTCCTTTAGAAAGCACTTTCTCTTCTACTTGTTTTGTTTCCTTCTGAATTTTGATCCTATTTTGATAGCAACTACTGTCTCCATTTGACAGAGAAGGATAACCTTAGCATAGAGAAGAAATAGGACTTTATAGAAGATGTGCAATGGTTCTGTTCTTCAACTCACTTCTAAATGGAGAAGAGATTCCTATGCATGTTGATAAAAGTCTTTTATTTTATCTATTATTCACCCCTAATCTAGAGCAGGATTTGAAAAACTAGTGGCCTGTGAGTACTTTCCATATGACAATGATGTATAATGCAAAGTGGAAGGCATTTCTAGGTGGGAATCAGGAGGTCTGAATTGTCTCACAAAATTGTCTTCTGAAATAGACATGAATTTATTCACATGTGACAAAAGTGGAAACTGATGTTCAGCGATGTAAAATCACTTCCCACACTTAAGACGGTAGTAAGTGTTGGAATTATCTTCCTAATTCTGGTCTTTCTGATTTCAACGTCAACATTCTCCTGTTAAAACTTGCAGCATGGGAATAACATACATGTTATTCACTCCTTCATTCACTTAATCCATCTGATACTGACACAAAAAGTTCTACCAACCTCAGGTACAATTACGAATGTGTGATCCTCCCACTTGCCAGATTAGAAAGAAGTCATTTGTTTTGAGATTCTAATTTTCCACTAAATTGCACTAAAACACAAACTGTACATTGTCAAAAAGGGTCATTCTTTCAAAATTACATTACAGCAGGCAGAGTACCAAATTCCAACCTGCAGCTACTGGCATGACTTATCATTCTAGGTTGTTGTAATGGAATACAGGTCATCATGGCAATATTGTCTCATTAGTCAAACTGCTTGCTCAGAGCACTACTATTCTTCAAAAAGGAATAATCTAACAACATAAGCCAAAGGGATTCCAGGCTGAGACTGGTGTTCAGTTTCACCATCACATTAAGCTACTGTTCCCCAGAGTATAGCACTGTGTTGAGGTGGCTGGATCTGGAAGCAATTCTGACAGCACTCACAGTAGGAGGCAACCAGCCCACCTCCAAGGAAATCTAGATCCAGCCTATCAGCATAGACTGTCTCATACTGAAGAATAATTTTATTTAAAGAGTCTCATTGCGTTTGTCTGCACCTGGGTAGTCAGTCATTCCACCCAGCTTCACTCTGATAATTCTCTCTTAATCACTATCTCAGGGAGAAAAGACAGTTTGTTGTCCCTTCTCTTTTAAAAAGCTGCAAGATCCTCATGCAAATTTATTCACCTCTTCTGCAGAGATCAACATTGCATACCATTCATCTAGAGACTGACACTCTTAATGAAGTTATACAAGTTTGCTATACGCTATCTCAACACAATGGCTATTTTACTCTTGCTATATATTTGCATAATTAAGTGGCCCACTTAAATAAGCCTTCACAAGAAAGTCAGCGACTTTTGATTAAGATTTTAAAACAAACAAAAACCAACGCTTTACTTTGGTACAGATCAATAAACATTTAAATGATATTTATGGAACATTTACTTGGTATCAGACATTGAATACAATGACCTGGTCTTGGCTTTCAGAGCTCACAGAGTAGTAAGTGGGTGAACAACTAGATCTCAGTACAAGAAAACATAGTAAATGCTAGAAGAGAGTAATATATGGAACACCCAAGAGAAAACAATTCATTTTATATTGGGAAAGGAGGGTAGGGGCAGTGGACAGTGAAGAGGCAACACTTAAACCAAGAGTTGAACATTTCACCAAGTGTAGAAATCAGGACAAATATCTATTTTTTGCAAAGGCAAGATAAGTTCATGTCCAATTGTGATGATCTTTTGGATATATCAATTTGGCTAGCCTACATTCCTCCATTATTAAGTAAAACACTAATCTATGTGTTGCTGTGAAAGCATTTTGTAGATGTGATTAAAGACCGTAAGCAGTTGCCTTTAAGTAAGGGAGATTATTTTAGATAATCTAGGTGGGCAAAATTCAATTGGTTGAATGAAAATCAGTGTTCTGGCTTCCTTAAGAGAAAGAAAAATTCCATCTGTGGAGAGAAGCTTCAGTCCATGTCCAAAAGTTCCAGTCTTTCTTTTCTGATGACTTGCCCTATGGATTTCGGACTTGCCTAGCCAGTCCCTACAATCACATAATCTAATTCATTGCAAAAAATCTTTTAATATTTATGTCCTACTGGTTCTGCTTCACTGGTTGACCTGATTAGTTGACTGATACAAATTTTGTTACCTAGAATTTGGATGCTGGGAAAACAAATACTTAGAAATGGCTTTGGAATTGGACAATGGGCAGAAGCTGGAAAAATTTTGAGGAGCATGACAGAAAAAGCTTAGATTGCCTTGAAGGGACTATTAGTAGAAATATGCACATTAAAGACTCTTCTAGTGATGGCTCAGAGGGAAATGAAGACCACTGTAGAAAGGCAATGTCTCAAGAGGTCAGGAAACTAAAAATACAAGTGAATAAGCCACTGCAAAGTAGAGCAGAGTTTTTGTCAATGCTAAGGTATTGAGGAATCCAAAAGTTGAAGGTCAAAACCTGCTTTAAGGAAAGCCCAATTGAACACCCAGGCCTGAGTTAGTACCCCCAGAGGGCTACACCTAGGAGTGGGGGCAAATACAAATTCAGATATATCCATGCAAACATAGCAAACCCAGCCTTGAAGAAACTCCATTCTTGATTATGATGACTTGTTCCTGCCTTAGATGCCTATTAGAGAAAAGGATAAACCCTCCATGGAGGAAAAGAGCATCCCCTAGAGCCTCTACAATTTTTAACACACAATGTCAGGTCTTCAATATAAAAGTAAGCATAACAAAAACCAAGATGAACAGAAAAAGATATTGAAATAGATCTACAAATGACTGGTCTTCAATATAGTAAATACCTACAGTAGACTATCACAAACTTGGAGACTTAAAAGAATATTCATTCATTATCTCAGTTTCTGAAGTTTTGAAGTCCATGCACAGTATACTGGGTCCTTTGTTCAGGATTTCACAAGGCTGAAATCAGTGAGGCTGCATTCCTAGCTTGGGGTCCTCTTCCAGGCTCATTCAGGTTGTTGGAAGAATTCAGTTCCTCGTGGTTGTTGATGTAATGGCCCCACTTTCTTCCTGACTCTACTAATCATGTGGTCCTCTCACAAGTTGGAAGCTTACTTCTTCAAAGCCAGAAGAACTTTTCTTCAGTCTGCTTTGAAGGAGTCTTATCAGAAGAGTGACTAGCTCATCCTCTCTGTTACATAATATAGTCTAATCAGTGATATCCTATGAAATTTACTGGTAGCACTCACACTCAAGAGGGAAGGGATCATACATGGAATGTGTACACTAGGTGGGAAGTGTGAGAAACATCTTGGGGGCCATTTTACAATTCTTCCTACTACATGACTCAAATATTGGTTTTATCTGAAACTAATATGTAAAATAAAATATATAGCAAAATGGGTAATTTCACCAAAGAAATTGAATAAATTAAAAATCTAAATAGAAATATTAGAACTAAAAAATGCAGTAAGTTAAATTTAAAACTTAATAGGTGGATTTAACAGCAAATTAGATGGAGGAAAAGAAAGAATTAGTCAAATGGAGTATAGATCAGTAGAAAATATACTAACTGAAACAAGAAGAGTAAAAAATATGGAAAATATAGAAAGAGGGTAAGATATATGTATATTTTACTAATATACATGTAATTGAAGTCCCAGAAGAGGACTAAAAAGAGAATAAGGCATAAAGAATAATTGAGGAGAAAAAATATATCAAGCAACCCAAGTGAGACAAATTCAAAGGAAACTACGGATAAACATATCATAGTCAAATGTCTGAAAACCAAAAAGAATAAAATTAAAACAGACAGAAAAAAATACATTAACTTCAAAAGAGAAATAAGACTTACTCTGGGGACTGTTGTGGGGTGGGGGGAGCGGGGAGGGATAGTATTAGGAGATATACCTAATGCTAAATGACGAGTTAATGGGTGCAGCACACCAGCATGGCACATGTATACATATGTAACTAACCTGCACATTGTGCACATGTACCCTAAAACTTAAAGTATAATAATAATTAAAAAAAAAAGACTTAAGGCTGATTTCTTAACAGAAATAATAGGAGCCAGAGAATAATGAAAGAATGTCTTTAAAGGGCTGAGAAAAATAACAATAAACACAAATGTAGACCTCTATACGCAGTGAATATAACCTTCGAAGTGAAGATAAGGTAAACACATCTCCAGACAAGAAAAAATTGAGGCAATTCATATCCAACAGATCTATATATCCACAAAAATAACCAGAGAAATTTTCAGACAGAAGGAAAATTATCCCAGATGGAAACCCAGAAATAGAGGCAGAAATTAGGAATAATAGAAATGGTAAATATGTTGGTAAATGAATATAGAGTAAACACAAAAAAAGTAAAGTTTTATAGATTTAAAGTATATGAAAAATTATAATGAATATTTTATTTTATTTTACTTATTATTATTATTTTTTGAGATGGAGTTTTGCTCTTGTTGCCCAGGCTGGAGTGCAGTGGCGTGACCTCAGCTCACTGCAACCTCCGCCTTCCAGGGTTCAAGTGATTCTCCTGCCTCAGCCTCCTGAGTAGCTGGGATGACAGGTGCCTGCCACCACGCCCGGCTAATTTTTTTGTATTTTTAGTGGAGACGGGGTTTCGCCATGTTGGCCAGGCTGGTCTCAAACTCCTGACCTCAGGTGATCTACCTGCCTCAGCCTCCCAAAGTGCTGGGATTACAGGCATGAGCCACCGTGCCTGACCTTATAATGAATATTTTAAAAAGCAATAGAGGATAAATGAATTTTAAGTGTTTAAAGATCTAGCGTTGTTGGAGAGATGGTAGAAATATTAATTTGTGTTAAATTTAATAAATTTGGAATTAGTCTTGTAATGTTCAGGATAACCACTTGAAGTATAATATAAGAATGTAAAACTAAAATTCTAATTAAGAGGAGAAATGGAATTTAGAAATATTTGCATATTTTTAAATAAAGCAAAAAAAGATAAATATTAAAAAGTGAGTCAAACAGAAAATACATATGTTTTAAAAGCACAAATATATCAGGAATTATATTTAATGCTAAGGCACTAAATACTCCAATTAAAAGACACACATTGTCAGATTAGAAAAAACCTATATGCTGCTTACATGTTATATACCTTAAATACAAGGACACAGAAAGGTTAAAACTAAAAGGATTTAAAAAGATAAACTATGCAAAAACTCAACAAAAGAGATGTAGTATAACTACACCAGTATCATCCAATATGGACTTTAACATAAGCAGTATTACTAGAGATAAGAGGCATATTTCATGATAAAGGGTCAATTCATCAGATGTAATAATTCTAAATTTGCATGCACCTAATAACATCAAATGTATACAGCAAAACTTTCCAGGAACAGGACAAAGAGAAATATAATTATAATAGGAAATGAACATGGCATAGAAAAACCCTCTGATCTGAGGCCAGTCTGTAACTCCCCTACTTCTCTATTTCCTGGTAGAATTCTAGAATTCATTTTTTCCCCACCTACACATTTAGGTTTTTGGCTTTCCTTTGCTTTTATTATGCCACTACCCCATTCCTTCCATCTCCTTCAACTGATCACTGAATACCCTTATCCTACATAATCTCCAAGGCCCAGCTCAAGAATCACCTTCTTGGTCAGGCACATGGCTCATGCCTATAATCCTGGAACTTTGGGAGGCCAAGGCGGGTAGATCACTTGAGGTCAGGAGTTGGAGACCAGCCTAGTCAACATGGTGAAAAGCCATCTCTACCAAAAATACAAAAATTAGCAGGGTGTGGTGGTGTACATTTATAATCCCAGCTGCTTGGGAGGCTGAGGCAGGAGAATCACTTGAACCAGGAGGCAGAGGTTGCAGTGAGCAGAGATCGCACCACTGCACTCCAGCCTGGGTGACAGAGTGAGACTCCATCTCAAAAAAATAAAAATAAATTTAAAAATTACCTTTTCCATGAAGCTTTCCCACATTCCCCTTTTTGGGAGTATGGAATTTCTCCCACCTCAAAATTCAGAAATTTTTTCACATTTCTTGGCATTTTCTACCTTACATTCTAATTATTTTTGCACATGTATTAATTTCTTCTTTTATTAAGGCAGGGCTTCCATGGGCTTCCATTTTGCTTGGATTATACCTGACAGAACCGAATCCAAACCATAATGAGAGCTCACTAAATATCTGTTAAATAAATGAATGCTGACTCTTCCCAGAACCTTTCTCCCAAAAGTGCCAGCCAACTCTAAACTGTGTGTGTGAGAGAGAGAATTAGAAATTAGAATTAGAAATCTGGCTTTGGAGAAAATGAGCCCCAGATCAGAGCAGAGTTTCCCAAGCCAGAAAACTTTTCTAACTTTTGTAGTCGACCATGTCATGCTAAACGGGCTCCCTGGAAGCTGTGACAGAATTTCACGGACACATAAAAACCTGTCTTGCCAACTGCTTGAGGCCCTGGTCATCCACTCAAGCGACAGCAGACCTCACTGGCCAGAGCCCACCACTCTGTCTTATCTCAAATTCAAATAATTCATTACAGCTATCATACTGCTATTTATCTAACCCTTGATTTTCCTCTGCCTGAGCAAAACAGTGAGAAAAGGGAAAAGTAACTGAGATCTCAGAATTACATGAGCATGTCTTGGCCACCCAGCTCTGCCAAAATAGCTGCTTGACTTGGATTGGATGCCTCAAAGTCATTTTTATAACGGAAATAATAACACTACTTATTTTGTAGGTTGTTATGAGAATTAAATGGGAAAATCCATATGAGGCCACCCAATAATGCCTGTTTTAAAAGATTAGCTTCTTCCCTTCTCCACCTTCCCACCACTTAAGAGGCCAGCAGATCACTTCCCTTATTCAGAATAAACTTTGGTGGGAGACAGGAGATGATGACAAATTCACATCCATCATCTCCCTGGATAAGAAAAGAGATTCATGCTGGCTGGCTGGCATTTCCAGAGCCTTGCAGCCATTCCGAGGATTCCGTGTGCACTGGATAAAACTGGATTTCCAATAAAATACTCCATGCCTGGGCATCGCCCAGCCACAAGCGCTGACTATTGCCCAAAATTAAGCTGAGTTTGCCATCTAGAGGACATCAGCGGACAGGCAGGGCCCGATATGGACTTCAGCAGTGACTCACTGGGCACCCGGAACAGAGATGAAGCTTCATTCCTTCACTGACAAATGTTTGTTGAGAATCTGCTATAAACCAGCCACTGTAGGAACAGGGCATGATGCAGCCTCTGTCCTCAATGAGCTCACAATCCAGTGGAGAGTTCACACTAAATTGATTTCATTGTCCAAAATGAGACTTGGTTTCTGAAAGGAGGAAGAGTTCCTCCTCTAACAGTACAAAACGAATTTGCTCACTGATAAATCAGACAGCCAGTAAGTAGAATAGCTGAGCTGTGTCTTGGCCTCGGGGATTGGATTCCAATTTTCTAGACACTCAAGCTGAGTTGGATATCAGAGGAGCCCACCTTCTCATTTTGCAGCCAAAGAGAGGTAAAGTGAGCCAACCAGGGCCTCGCAGCTAGAAAGTAGCACAGCCACTCTTGCAATGTCCGTGTTTCTTCCAAGTGGCTGAATTATGCCTGAAGCAGCCAGACACCAGAGCAGAGCGGACAGAGACGGGGGTGCACAGAGCTTTCTGAACTGGGTGTTCGTCAAGGGCAGGTTTGCAGAAGCCAGGAGTTTTTATATCTTGTTGAGGCCCTCACTTGCCAACGATGGAATAAATGAGGAACTTTGGCCTCTGGCTAGATTCACATAGCTCTTCTCACCCTATAAATCTGATTCATTTAAAGAAAGTCCCTCTGACTTTCATGGATGTTCCTTCAGTTGCCAGGAATGTCTGTGTATTTGGAACTGTGCTTATAGTCTAAGAATCTCTTAGCTTTTGAAAGGTGGCAATGTGGCTACACGTAATTCAGGACATTTAAACTGGAAGGGAAATCTCTTTTCCAGAAGCAGGAACGTACTTCAGGATACTAAACATTGCACCAACATTATGTGCTTTTCAGACCTCATTATTGCATTTGTGGCCAGTTTTGGCTTATCCACATAGTCATTAAACAAGCATACATTCTGTGCTTCTTATGTGCCAGGCGCTGTACTTATGTGCCATTGCTTTATGAGCAAAGCGCTGAGGATACAGTGATGAACAAGACAGTCATTGCCACTGCCTTCATGGAGCTTACAAGTCATTATCCAGAAAATTATGTCAAGTTATGATGAGTCCATAACAAAAAGAAAAAAGAAGGCTCCTCTGAGTAAATGCCAAAGACTACTTAGCTGCAGAATAAAACTGGATTTGTAATAAGCTTTTCTACTCACTCCCTATTTGTCCAGATTATCCTGTACATATTTGCTTAACTTTCTCCTCAACATTTTTGGGGGTTTTTGTTTGTTTGTTTGTTTCGATTTTTGTTACAGTTGATATTGTATTTATTACCCACAAGATTCTCAGCTTCTTGAGGTCGGGGAAAAATTCTCATTTATTCCAAGATCTTCCATGCCTACTAAATAGTAGGTGCTGATAGTATTATTTTAATAAATAAGTGAAAGGATTAAATTGATTTCATCAGTCTGTCAATCAATTTCAAATACGACTGATAAAACCACATTTATAGTCTTTAATATGTGATGCTGAGACTGAGGCATAGTCAATGACAATAGGTGAAATTGTTAAAGTTACATTTCTATCCAAGTGTATCATTGCAAGTCCTCCACCATTTATTACACACCCAATCTGTCAGATATGATGCCGGATGCTGTCTGGAGCAGGAGATGAGCACTTACATACATAAACATAAAATGTTCAAGGTATTTCAGAGGGGAGCACACCTAACACTAGCAGGAATGATCAATGTTATGGAAATACAAATAACCACTAATCACTGCTAAAATCCAAACAAACCTAAAATCTAACCATAATCATTGGAAATAGCTGCCTCCATGGAGCGCTGTGTCCCAGGAGTGAGGTGCAGATTGTGAATATGTCCAAAGACTGTGTCACAAGTGAACAGAAACTTGCCAGAGTACACTCAGTATCTACACACATAAATAGGAAACATTGAGTAATCACTGATGGTACTCTCCAGCTTGGTTTTAAATGAAGCCAGTTTTAGAGAAAGAGCCATAATATCTCTTCTCACTGCATCATATCCTTCATACCCCATCCACCTGGAGCACTTTTACTCACTATTTAAGTCTTTGGTCAAGTCAAACTTTGACTTTCACAGCTCTCCACAACCCTTGAAAAGTTAGCCCCCAAAGGATAGTGTACATACTTCTAGTCATAAGTTTTCAACAGCAAAGACTAGTTAGTACAAAAAAAAAAACAAGCTATGATTTCAAGAGCATCTACTATGTGCCCAGCACTGAGCTAGGCACTTTCTCAGAATGATCTCTTTTACTTAGCATAAAAACACTACGTGGCAGGTGTTATTAACTTCAGTGTATACATTTTTTTTAAAATGATGTTGAGAGAGGCTAGGTCACTTATGAGAAATCAGCTAATTAATAGTAGAACTAGAATATTCATCCAGGCCCATCTCCTCCAAATCCCACTTTCTGCCCTCTTTCCTAATGTTTCTCAAAATATTAAATACGAAGTATAGATACTGTTTTCTCTACTTTGCTAATTTTTATGCTTTATCTTTCATTGATGGCAAGTGGTACTGCTTTTCAAATTATGGTGAGTATGTAAAGTTTCCTATTTAAAGAGATTAAGTTATTTTTTGGATGAGAGTTTAAAAGAAATCTGTTATGTAAGTAATAGCACAATTGATGTGTGGCTATACCAAAAGCCATGCATGTGACACATCACTGACTGATGTCTGGGAAACACTGCTTTGCCCGGTAAGTGCTTCTCAACTTCCTTCATTTCTCACGTTATTTCTTGATCTCGTTACCTCTACACCAGTGCCTCTCACCTCTGGGTGCACATAGAATTATGCAAGAATACTGATGTCCAAGCCCCCTTCTTGCCCAATTAATTAAGAAATTCTGGGAGTGAGACCTAAACACTGCTATTTTTTCAAAACTCCCCAAATAATTCTAGTAGCAGTCAGGGTTAAGAACTACTGCTACAAACTATGAACCCCTTTGGGTATGCCCAGTGCACAGCACACTGCCTGGCACATAGTAGGAGATCAACAATGTTTGTTAAATAAGAAATGATGTTATCCTGGATTCTACCAAGTCCAGCATTCTTAAATGAATCACTGGGGCCATATTTCAGATCCTATCTCTCCAACATGTTCAAGAGTATGTGATGAGGCCTCTGTATAGGCAATCAGTCTGTTACAGAGTGAGACTATATTGTGAGCAAGCCAACATTAAATAATTCCCAATTCCTCATTTCCATCAGGGTGCTGACTTTCCTCCTACTCTGTCTGCAGAAGGATTTGAGGCCATTTCACCCATCCACAAGCAGGAGGCAGCCATGCTGTGGGCAACCCTGTATCTAGAGGTGGTCTCAGCAGAGCCACTTCCTCATTGCATGCCTGGTACTCTTGAACTCCTCAGAGTTACCTGCTTGTGAACTTAAGCAAAGCAGATAAGGCCTAGCTCCCAGCTAAGGATCTGTGAGGTAGACGGGAAAAAAGAATGGACTTTAGGAACAAACAGATCCAACATTAAATTTCATATCCATCACCTCAGATAAATCACTTACCCTCTGTGAGCACCCACTTCCTCATATTAAAATAAAAATTATTATATAGGTTTTACAGTATTGTTAAGGATTAGAGATACTGAATGGAAGCTTCCCACTAGTGTTTGGCACATGGCAGGTGCTCCACAGAGGTGTATATGGCTTTTCCATAGTTGAAGGGAGGAATGAATGAGGAGATATATAAAGCTACACAAGGTTATTACAAATACAAGAGGTCATACATTTCTCTCTTTTCCTTCTTTTTAAAGCCCCCTGTTTTAAGAAAACATAGCACTTTTACCACACTTGACCAGTTCCTTTAGCTGTTGTTCGTTCCCCAAAGAAAGATTAACTCAACAAGAAGATTCTTCAAGGCTTAGAAATGCATGTCACTTTACTGACATAACTTTAGGTAACAAATAGACTTTTATAATAATTCTATTATTGTACTTTAGTTGAAAAGGATACAAATGTTGAAAATTAAAGAGACTTTGTTTTGTTTGTGTTTGAAACACAAAGCCTGAGAAAGAGCTAATTTGTGTGGTAAAATCTAGGGTTTAAAATATTTCCCAAAGGACAAATTAAAGTAACTCCTTGGACCCTTATTTTACTAAGAACAAAACACATCTCCACCAGAGAGGCATTGCTTCCAAATCTTTCAAACAGCCAGACTTAAATCTCAGGACTGTGTTTTCATTATCCACATAGAAGGGAAATCCTCCCTCCTGCTTATTGAGCAAATTCTCCTTGAGTTCCTGCTAGGTGCAATGCACCATTTCAATCAAACTTTTTTTTGATATGGAGTCTCACTCTTGTCGCCCAGGCTGGAGTGCAATGGCGCATTCCTGGCTCACTGCAACCTCTGCCTCCTGGGTTCAAGTGATTCTCCTGCCTTAGCCTCCTGAGTAACTGGGCCTACAGGCCTGTACCGCCATGCCCAGCTAATTTTTGTAATTTTAGGGAGATGGGGTTTCACCATGTTGACCAGGCTGGTCTTGAGCTCCTGACCTCAGGTGATCCACCCGCCTCGGCCTCCCAAAGTGCTGGGATTACAGGTGTGAGCCACCACGCCGGGCCCAACAATATTTTTTAATACTCACCATGCAAACGCAACTATTTTAAATATCTTATCTTTTAATCCTCTTTCTTTTATCTTATGGCAAATTATTTGCACCAAGTTATAGCATTATTATCATCAGCATCACTACCACCATCACCATCATAACTACCAATTACTATGTAAACTCTGCTAAAGTGTTTTACAGACATCATCTTAAATCCAATCCTTTCATCAGCCTTAAGACGTACACGTCCTTAACACTTAGTTTATAGAGTAAGAAGCCAAAGCTTAGAGAAAAAGACCTTGATTAAGGTCACTTAGTAAATAAGTGATGAAGGTGGGACTAGAAATCATGTTTACTTTTGCCTAAAACCAAAGTCTGCTTAATCCAGGTGAACTCAGGGACTATAGAAGTCACTGCTGAGATGAAGTTTGTCATGGTGCATAGAGTGCCAAAGCAATGACAAATAAAGGGATTTAGCGGCAAATTTTTATTTGGATATTCAACTCATTGCTTTGGACTGTTTCAGCATACACAGGTCTTTCCACAAAGGTCCTATTGTTTTCCTATCTCGAAAACACAATTTATAGGGAATTATCATGGCAGGATCCGTAAAGATCATCTAATCCAATCCCTCCTTATGCCAAGACAAGGAAGTAAAGTCTAGAGATTATAGTTGCTTTGCTTAAGGTCACATAGCAAGTCATCAATACAGCTGTGACCAGGGCTCTGGACTCCTGACTCCCATTTCAGTGTTCTTTCTGATATGTTTCCTTCTGTATAAACAATGCTATTTCCATCTTACATCTGATGTTTAGAGTTGTCTTAACTGGTCTGATTATAATAAATTATGTAAAATAAAACATTTAACAAATTATGTGATTAGCCCTAGATAAACTCAAATGGAGAAAGAAGAGGAGGGGAAAAGACACTTCTAGCTAAAAAAACATCAAAAACAATGACAGAGTCATGAAATAAATCCAACTTAGTGTGTTCATAAAAGGGAATTCATCTGGTATAATTTGAACAGACACAGCAAGGGGAGTAAAGAGAGAGAATAAATTATTCTTCCCCTGAAGCCCATTCTAGGACCCTGGAAATACAAAAGTGACCATAACATGGTCCCAGTCTTCAGAAAATTTATAGACTAAGGGCTTATATCAAAAAAGAAATAGGTATTTACAATACCATATAAGTGCTGTGATAGATGTTAAGTCCAAGTTGCTACAGAAGCACAGAGTAGGAGCTTACAATCCAGATTTAGTGGGGAGTTCCTGGAAGAAGTGGCACTAAGCAAAGTCCTAAGGGATGAGTAAGGCTGGTAGAGGACAAAGTCAATGAAACATTCATGACAGAAAAAAGAATCACCTTAAAGGCATAATGGTTTGTCTTCAGTACAGCCCAGAGTTCAATATGGCAGGTCACAGAGTGAAGAAGAGATTGTAAAAAGCCAGTCTAGAGTAAAAGGAAAGCAAAGACCAGGATGCACTGGACCTTATACATTGTGCTTGTTATTTGTGATATTATCCTAAGGACAGAGGGGACCATTGAGAATATTTAAGCAACTGGATGACATGATTAAATGCATTCTTTAGATAGATCATTATGACTGCTGACTGGTGGATGGAATGAAAGAGGGCAAGACTGTAAGCAGAGAGACTGGTCAGCTAGCCACGACAATATTCTACACGAGGAATAGCAAGGGCATAAGCTATAAGCTTAGGAGAAGTAGGGGGCAATCAAGCAATATGAACAAAGTGAAATCTTCATGTCTGAGAGATTGATTGGATGTTGAGAAGGAGGAGTTAAGAATAACTCCCAACTTTCCAAAGGGGGTCATTGGAGACATAATGGGTTGCTCAGCAAGATAAGATATGTCCCGCTGCATAACGTATGTCCCTGAAAACATGAAGGCCTGAAGTTGAGAACAGTGTTTTGTTGACACTATGTGAACAGTTTCTAAAAGGAAAATGTTTTTGAGATTTTCACTGCACAAGATATCTGAGCCTAACTAAAAGACTCAATTGAATAGATAGAATAGGTTGTAATGTCAGTCATTTTAAAGAGTGAGGGGAATAGATCTCACCAAGTTTATATCTTGTCATATGATTTGGCTTTCATGGCCTAAATACAAATCAAGATGTACTAGATTCTAAAGCCATTTAATCTTGCCCAAGTATGTAAAGGGACGAGATTGGGAAAGCAAAGCATTCACAATATTTCAGCAGGAATCATTAGATATCTTGGACACTTTACACAAAACACAATCCTAATGAGTGAATCATGAATTAGTAGACCCTGAGAGCGAGGACTTCTCCTACCCCAATGTCAAGACAATTTAAACTTCATGCAGAACGTGTCTGGCTACAAGAGTTCCGGCTTTTGCCAAACCTCATAGAATGAATTGGAACCATTTTACAGACCTCTACATTCTTATAGGGCTCCCCACCCTGAGCTCCGGTCCCTCTAATGCTGTGTTTCTGTGTGGATGATAGCTCTTGGGGCCTCGGGTTTGATTCAGTGCATGCCAGGACTTGGAGACATTTTAAACAAGTTAGAATCCATGTGTTGCCTTCAATTAAAGGTTTTGTAAGGCAAAGGGACACCAACTCAGCCACCAAATATTTGGGTCTGGGGAAGTTTCTTCAACCTTTCTGACAGGCCAAGTGTGATGTGGCAAGCCTGGCTCCTGTCAAAAGCAATGAATGAGACAGAAATGAACATTGTGAAAATTAGGCTTGTCACCAACCTAAGCCACTGAACATTCAAATGCGTGGCATGCAAAGTGTGGTTTGAACATCATAGCCTGGAAAGCAATAAGAATTCTTGGTAGGATTTGGGTAATTATGAGAAATGCTTGAAAAAAAATCAACCTCAATGTAAAAATGAATAATTAGAAAAATATCAATGGTCAGATAGAGGGTAGGAATCGGTAAAGAATATACAATTTCTATGTAGACTCAATATTGGTTTGCTTACCAAATTCATTCATTCTGTGAGTATTTACCCAGCCTGAACTTTGAGTGTATTTGGAAGTATTATGGAGGCTATAAAAGACTTAGATGTAAAGAAAGGTTTGAGTGAAGAGAGTGCACCAAAAACTCTAATACTAGTGAAAAGTCATAAATTTCCCAAAAATATCTATTTTCAAAGTCATCATTGGGTAAAGAGTATGGGGCTTGGGAAGTCCAGTATCTGACAGTCTTGGCTCTCCTATTTACGTAATACGTAACCTTGGATATTATGGTAAAGACTGACATGCAGTGCCTGGCATATTGCAGATATTCAATACGTTCTCAATGAATGGATGAATGAATTAGCAATGCTTCTTTTTTATTAGACAGAGTCTTACTCTGTCATCCAGGCTGGAGTGCAGTGGCATGATCACCACTCACCACAGCCTCAACTTCCTGGGCTCAGATGATCCTCCCACCTCAGCCTCTCAAGTAGCTGGGACTACAGATGCATGCCACCACACCAGGCTAATTTTTGTATTTTTGGTAGAGATGGGGTTTCTCCATGTTGCTCAGGCTGGTCTTGAATTCCTGGGCTCAAGCAATCCTCCTGCCATGGCCTCCCAAAGTGCTGGGATTACAGCAGCCATTGCACCCAGCCATGAGTGCTTCTTATGGGCCACACAATGTGCTAAGTGTATGCACATTCTCTCATGAATTATAAACACCCTATGAGGCAGCTACTACTATTGTTCCTATTTTACAAATAAGAAAATTAGAGTTTAGAGAGTTTACGTACCTTGCATAGGGTTGCACAGCTAGTGAGTAAGCAAGCCAAAACTCAAATCCAGCCTTTTTCATTCCAAAAACAGAATCTCAAATCTCTGTCTTAGAATAAATTGTTCTTATATGGAATAGGAATAGAAAAAAATCCCAGGAGAAACTGAGAAAATCAGTTTTACCTGAATCACCATCAAGCCTACCAGTTTCTACTCAACTGAGCTAGTTCACACAAGGTAAACAGCTACATGGACCTCTGAAGTTGACTTTATGGTGAGAAAGCATCCTTAGTCCTTATTAGAGGCTATGAGACAGGGACTGAGCAAGTAGCTTTCATACTTATTACCATAGTGAACCCTCCCCACAACCCAGGAAAGCAGGCATTGGTGCTCCTGTTTTACAGAAGCAGTAGAGACACAGTTTGAGCCCAGGCTTATCGAGATTATATCATAATACAAGTTCCATCCAACCCCAGGTAAAAATTAAAGGACTTGCTGGCCCAGATGATACTTTGCTCTCTTCTTGTTGAAGATCATGACCTTTTAGGGAAAGGAACATTTGCAAAGTGTGGACCTGCTATCAAAATGATACTGGTAACTGGGCTTTGCAGTGAAGATCACTGCTAATCATGTCAGAAAAAATGGGTTCCTGGAAGGGAAAGTCACCATCTCATCAATGACAAGGACAACAGCTGGGCAGGCAAACTGATGAACTAGACTTCAAATCAAAATTTTAGAAAAAGAAGGCCGGGCACAGTGGCTCATGCTTGTAATCCCAGCAGTTTGGGAGGCCGAGGTGGGTGGATCACTTGAGGTCAGGAGTTTGAAACCAGCCTGGCCAACATGGCGGAACCCCATCTCTACTAAAAATACAAAAATTAGCCAGCATGGTGGCAGGTGCCTGTAATCCCAGCTACTTGGGAGGCTGAGGCAGAAGAATTGCCTGAACCTGGGAGGCAGAGGCTGCATTGAGGCAAGATCGCACCACTGCACTCCAGCCTCAGTGACAGAGCAAGACTCCATCTCAATAATAATAATAATAATAATAATAATAATAATAACATTTTAAAAGAAGGGGCAAAAGTGATCCTGTACAACTGAAAACTAGAAAGAATTAAAATCATGAAAGACTCTGGAGACACACAGGAAAAGAAACAAAGTCAGCAGCATTGCCAAGAAGACGAAAGAAAACACAACAAACAATTCTAAGGCCTCTAGATGCTTCCATCCAACAAACATACTGGTTAGAAATGTAGAACTAAATTAAATCCAAGAGTTTCTATCAGGTATCATGTTGTAACATGAGGTAGGAGCACAGAAAGAAACCATGATACAGATACCATCATAGGTAAAAGCAGTGGCTCTAAGTCAGACTTGACTTCATGTCTCATCTACCATTTCTAGGTGAATAATTTGGGCAAGTGGCTTAAGCTTTCTGAGCCTCAATTGCCCTAACTGTAAAAGAAGGTTAATAACATTGCCTCATTGGGTTACTGTGATGATTAATTTTTTGAGTGTAAAATGCTCAGCATATAATAAAATGCTCAATAAATATTGAACATAGTATATTACCATTGAGAATATTACAAAGTATGAAGGAAGCAGATCAGAGACAGTTCCTGAAACAAGATGTTTTAGCTATGTCTTGAGGGAATGTAAAAGTTCATGAGGTAGAGACTTTCTGGGGTGGGTGAAGTAGCAATGAATGGTTGGGGGGGTGAGGTGAGGGTGACAAGGTAGGTTGGTCTCTTTGCCTCCAGTGTTGCCCAACCCCATTCATTATCCATTCCATCTCCAATCATTTTCCATTCTATCTCTGAGCACAAACCCAATCCTGCCACCACCCCTGCTTAAAACCTGTGAATGACTGTGTTTGGATTCAGGGTAACATTTAAACTCTTAGCATGCAGCCTCCGAGTAATGTGCTCATTCCATGTCTATTTATTTAGCATCTACTGTATGTCAGGACCTGTTTTGTGAAGAATAATAAATGGGCCTTGACTATGAGAAATTCACAGACCAGTGGAGAGAAAGATGAAGGACAAACAGGTTCAGTATATTACAGTCAGAGCTATGATAGGTATATGCCTACAACACTGTGATGAAGAAAAATCTCATACCTCTTTTAGATTGGTAGTCTCATGGAAAGCCTTACAGTAGAGATATGGTTGAGCTGAGTTTTCAAAACTAAATAGGAGAAGAATAGGAAAATATCTAGAGAAAATATAGGGAACAGCATACAGAAAAGGACAGAGGCAACACAAACTGCATTTCAGTGGTATTCCTAAGAGTCCATTGTTGCTGGAGCTTAGAGAGGTGCACAAGTCAGGCTGTAAGAGACAAGGGGGACTAGTAGCCAGCCAGAGACTAGATCAGTGTTCTTGGATGCCATGCTAAGGAGCTTGCCCTTTATCTTGTGAATAACAGAGAACCAGAGAAAGGTCATGTTCAGTGCTGCGAATATGGTCTGAGCAGGGGCCAGAAGAGAGGGAGAGGGATCACTGAGGGGCTCTTGCAATAATCTGGGCTATCCAAGATGAATGAATGAATAAACAGATGAATGAATGATCATATAGATGAATGGTTCTGATAAGTTCTGCTGGAGTTTCTACTCACATGAGAAAAGGAAGTGGCTTTCACATGCTTTTCAACTGCTCTCCCTTCCCCCACCCCCAGCACTCATGAATGGTTTCTCTCTTTTGCACGCATGTGTGTCTCTTCCTCATATACTGATTTCAGAGCTGCAGCCTAAGCGTCTTGTATTGTGCTGGTTATATTTAAACAATTCACTGTGCGAGGCAAGTGCCCAAACCAATTAAATAGAAATCTTCAAGAGTCCCAGGCAGAGAATAGAAATCAACAGTCAAGGTAGAGTTTGGACCAAAATGGTCATCAATTAGAGCTATTCTAAGATTGCTCTGACTATAGAAGAGTAAAATTGAGGGTGCTGAGAACAGGCAAATGTCTGAAAAGTGGGCACAAATTGTTAGCAAATGTGGCTCTCAGATATGCCACATAAATGCAGAGGCCAAGGCTAGTTGTCTTTGATTCATTGATTTACTAGCATTAATACACAAAATTATATGTGTGCCATACAGTGAATAGTAGATGCAAAGATGAGTAAGACACAGTGTATACCTTCAGGAAGCTCCCAGTTTAGTGGAGCTGAATGGGAAGCCAGTTAAGCATACTACATTGCAATAGCTGCTGAGACATATGAAAAATAAGGGAGCACTTCATTCTACCTTGGAGTAAAGACAGCCTTGACATGAAAGTCCAGCAGGATCTAGAAGGGTGAGTTAGGCTTTGTAAAATCAGGTAAACAGCTCATACAAAGACATAAAGGTGTGAAAATGAGGTAGGACTTGGAGAACTAGAAAAATAATTTGGCCAAATCTGAACACTTAAAGCTGAGATCCTTAGTTGATGATCTCTTTGTCACTCCCTCTTGCACTCAGGACAATGGTTTCAAAAGGCAGTTCCCTACTCTTGACAACAGAAAGGCTGGGGGGCAAACACTGTCTTCAGATAGTAAAGAGATACTGCTAATCAGCACATCAGGAAACCTATGACCCAACCATTGTTAAAAATGAAAGCAATTAGGTACAGTCCTTCTACAGGGAACTTCCTAAAATACATGTCTGAGATTATGAGCTTGTTCAGTTGCATGAGAAACAACAGGGAAAGCTAAACTTCTTTCCCAAGGCTGGCACTTACTTAGTTGAATGACCTTAGAAAGGTAAGAAACTCCCTGAATCTCTGTTTCTTAATCCATAAAGGGGGATGAGTACTTGTGTGATAATTCCCACTCCATAGGATTATTGCGAGAATTAAATATGACATATATAAGATGATCATGCACAGAGCCTAACACATGTAATGAACAAATGTGAGCCCCCTTACCTTCCTCCTGTCCCCTTCAGTCCTGGACTGAGTTCAATGCACACATCTTGCACAGAATAGATGTTCATATATTCTTGGTTTAAGTGCCTATCAACCTTCATATAATTCCACTGGGTCTACTGAAAGATGGCAGAAGACGGACAGTCATAGTGTTTACTATGGGCCAAATCCTTCTCCCATATTTGCTCCTTTAATTTTCCCAATTCAATGAAGTAGCTCAGTGAAGTAGCTCAATGATGTAGCTCGGTGAAGTGCCCCACTTTGCAGTTGACAAGTTCTAAGGCTCAGAGTTGAAGTGACATCCGAGGTCATTCAGCTAGTGACATGGCAGAGTTCTGTGCCTACCGTGATAGTCGGACTCTCCAAAAGTGGCCACTTCCTGAGATGAGGCTGAGGTTATCTCAGTCACCTATACAAACCAGATCTGGATATGGTTATGACTTGTACCGGAGTGGCATTGTCTTGAACCTTGCTCAATTACATCTGCCAGTATGTCCTGCATATCAGATCCAACGTCCACGTGACTTGCTCTGTTTAAGGTGGTATTTCTGGAACTTTTTTATTAATGATAAACAACAAGAAGAATTCTCATGATACTGAAAGAGTCTGTGAGGAAGTGGCCTAAGCAATAATCTATAGGCTTTCTTAATATCCTACATGAGTACAAAAACAAACAAACAAACAAAAACACAGAAAATCAACCAAATGAGTTGGATATGACACAGTTAAAAATGTGCAAAATGTCCTTGTTTCTCAGTATCAGTCATTTTGGGGCCACTTTGGGGAGGTTTTGTGCCTTTTTTTAAACTTCCAGATTTCATACTTTCTGTTCAGCTTTTGCAACTTCCCATGAGTACAGTTATAAAGAAAATAGAAAAAAACAGAACCTCAGCCCTCCTGTATCACTTTTAAGAAGGTGCCTCTTGCAGAAGAAAATTTGGGCCATAAAAAGCCCTTACAGGTTTGCTTTAGCTCTCCCCTTCAAGAGCATTATTTTTCTTCTTTTTTTTTTTTTTTTTATCTTTTATTTTTTTCTGGTAAGTAAGTAGTCTTCGGATGATCGGCGTTGCATATCTTTGGGAAAAATTCATGCCAGACTAGTCAAATCATAACGGCTGCTATCATCAGTTCGCTATGGTTTCCAAGTCACTCTCCAACACAGAAACCACACATACACACAACTACATAAGTCTCCTCTAATTTTGACATTGGAAATATCCATTTCAAAGTTTTTAGGTTAAAAATGAACATAATCACAAAATAGCATCTGATCATCACAAATCTAAAATAGAATCCAGATCATGCAGTGTACAATGCTCATTGACTACGCCTTTCCATTTCTTAGCACACAGAAATAAACTCTGGATGTCTGCATGGCACACTACTTATGGTGGTCTACCTACTGTAAGCAGCTGGCAGCTTTGGTCACTCGATATGAACCTCCCAAGCAAAATTACTGCAGTGTGCCATTTACCTGGAAAAAAAGAAATGTGCCTTCTTCTTGTTCTACCACTGACTACCTGAGAAACATTGTGTTAATCCCCCACACTGAGAAACTCTCTCTTTAGCTTTCATCTGAAAATATTTCTAACATGCATTACTATACATTACTTTATCTTCTTGAAAAAAGCCATGCGAAATATTGTCTTTTCTGAAAAATGCGGTCATCATTTCATTTAATTCAACAATTAGTGTATTCAAGTATATTCAATTTAGAATATTTGAGGGCCACTGAGTGATGACAAGCACTAGAGGTGCAGAAGTGAAAGACATTGCCCCTTATTGTGTAGTTTTGTGGCACTATCTAATACGGTGCTTCCTAACCAATGTGTTGGGACACATGGGACAGCTGTGCCAAGATGTTGATCCACTTAGTACTCAGGGAGGCTGGATAGGGCTGAGCTGGCCAGAGCCCAAGGATAGTGAACTCTGCAGAGAGCAACCTCTTCTATTTGTCCTAGTGTACTGAACAAATAGCAGCTCTTCCATGACTGCCATACTGTGACAAAGGTTAGGAAGAACTTTACTAAGATTATTGGCATGTCCAGGGTTATTGGCCCCAACCTTGAATAACCCAACTTTCATGCTTTTGAAATCTTATGTCTACTTTTTATAGTTTTTATGTTTCTGTTTCCTTCCAGTTAATTGCCACATCTTGCTATCATGAGTGTTCTTCCCTTCTTGGTGGCTGTTTCTAGTCTTCTCTTAGACAAAAACACAAAGCAGTGAAGCAAAGAACTCATTACACTCAACAAACACTTCCTGAGCACCTACTATATGTTAGGCACTCCATGTTCTTGCAGAAGAAGGGAAAGTGTAGGTGGAGAAGGTACACAGTTACATTTTTTAGTGAGAACACAACCTAAAATTATAAATAAAATATAGGTCACTAGGCCCTAGAAGAGTAATAACAAGGCCCCCAAATTCTAGGGCTAATATTTGAGACTATTGCAAAGTGCTTCATGAGTTTTAAAGCAAAGCCCAATTAGAAGGTTCCAAAATCCGAGCTGAGGAGTAAGCTTTACTCGTGCATATATAAGCAGACCACAGAAGCACAGAGCACACAAATTCTGAAACAGACCTGAATTCACCCTCTTGGCTCCATCAGTTATTCATCAAGTAAGACTTGAAATTTGAAGTTGCTTAATCTCCTCAGTCTCAGGTTCCACTCTTGGAATGTGTAGAAAATAATGCTGTAGAGTTACGATAAAAATTAGAGATAATATGTACAGCATGGTCTTGACTCAGTTAATGTTTGATGGATGGTAACATTTTTAAGAAATAAAAAGGTCTACATTTTATATTTGGAAATTCACCTGTTGTTGTTAAGAAAAGAAAGTTTTCCAAGTACATATATTTAAATGTCTATTACTGAAATGCTTACAGAGTGTGGAGGATATTGTCAAGTATAGTTTTGTTAACCAACAACTCCTATGCAGTCAATCTGTTTCTGAAGTGCTTCTAAAATGGCATTACTTCGCTGACTTCTCTCAGTATAATGAACACATATACATCTTGTTTTGTTACACATGCACTAAAATCTTTGTTTGGAACGCTAGTACCCTCTACAATGCTATGTACACAGTATGCCTTCACAGTTTTCCAAGGAAGTAAAGAAATGATTGAACACAAGTTTTTTGTTTTCTGTTTGTTTGTTTGTTTTACATGGGCACGGGAGCTTGTGCAAAGTCAGCTCTGGCTGGCTTCTTTCTTTGATCATATCTTGAGATAAGCCTGTTTGTTTATGAATGGCCTCTGGCTCCTAAAAGTGGAATCATAACCATGGTGATGTGCACACAACCATTGCTCTAATCCACTGTATTCCACTGTGACAGGAGACAACTCTAGTTACTCTCTGAACTCTGATATTTTTATCCGTAAGATAATAATGCTTACCTCATAAACTTGTGTGGATTCAGAGAGGAAATACATATAAGAAGCCTAGCATTGTGCCTGCCATGCAGTTGATATTCAATTTGTGTTTCCTTCCTACCCATCCTTTTTATCTGTGGTAATCTTAGGCCAATAATTTACCCATTCTGAACCTCAATTTTACATCAATGCAAAAAAGGATGATAACACCTACTTTGAAACATGCAGGGAAGAGTTAACAATGTAGTCTATGGGAAGTATCTAGCATAAGGTCTATTGCATGCTATAGACCTCAAACATTGCTACTTTCCCTTCACCCTACAAAACTGTGTTTATAAATTCTGATTTATTGGAAATTCTAATCACTGAGGAGTGTGTGTGTGTGTGTGTGTGTGTGTGTGAATTTCATTTACCAAAAAGCCATTGGATATTTAAAAACCATAAGAAAAGCCCATTGTAACCTAAATGCCCCCTGGAACTATTTCCCACGTCAGAAGGGTTGAGTCCCATGTGGCTATGCTCATTCTGAGTGGCTGAATATCCAGAGCAAAGCTGAGAATCTGCAGAATGCTAAACAGTCAGTCACCCACTGGGAAAGAGGCCGTACAACCCTGAGTCATGTGAGAGATGTGCAAATTCTGGCCAGCAGAAATAGCAGCATCAGATAATGCCCTAAGGCTTGCTCTACAATGGAGTTTATTATTATTCATGTGAACGAAGTGGGAGAAGTACTGTCATCTCTTCCTGAGGTTTACTGAATTTTCATTGACAAAAAAATAAGAACACTTTTGTTTGCCGACACACTGCCCTTTGCCGGCCAGCTACGGCCCAGCTATGTGAAGTTGCACTTCATGTTTCAATGCAGGAAATCTCCCCAATGAGAGAAAAGGTTACTTCCTCCATCATACTCCCCTGACCACTACCTCTGCCAGATCCTGTCATGTGCTAGAGAGAGAAGACAAGGCAAAAACAGATCAGCCAGCAGAAAAACCACTTCTCACTCTCACCAGCTTCCGAATCCAGAATGCAAAACCAGAGTCCAATGGTGTTATCAGCCTCTGTGGTCAAGACCCTACCTCTGGTTATGATTCATGAACAGGGACGGCGTGAGAAGTCTTCTTACACGAGGTCATGAAACAGCCATGTTGGTAGTAGCAGTGATGTCTCAGTGGCATTATCTCAAAGCCTATCTGTAAACAGTCTTTCTTTAAATAACAAGAGAAGTAGTACAGTTATAGCTTTCCTTAATTACAATCACATTCTCAGCTTACCCCCTGATCACCTCAATTGCATTTGGGCTCCCTCCTCCAAATTAGAAGATTGAGGTTCACAGGGTTCAGTGATCTTCCTGGTATCACCCAGTTAAGAAATGCTGAAGCCATATCTACAACCAAGAGGAGAAAAACCTAGTCTGGAAATTCAGATTTTAAAACACTGTTGAACTGAAAGGCATAGGGAATGTCAAGCACAAAGCTGGGCTTAGAGTAGGCATGCAAAAATTGTTTCCTTTCCTCCTGTAGCAAAGTAAAACACCCTGACTAACATGATTCTACCTGTTCTAACTGTGGTGATTCTAGTAAACTAATACAGCCACTATGGAAAACATGTGGAGATTCCTTAAAGAACTAAAATAAGAAGTACCATTTGATCCAGCAATCCCACTACTGGGTATCTACACAGAGGAAAAGAAGTCATTATACAAAAAAGATACTTGCACATGCATGTTTATAGCAGCACAATCCACAGTTGCAAAATCATGGAACCAACCCAAATGCCCATCAATCAATGAGTGAATAAAGAAAATGTGGTATATATATATATATATATATATGGATGATGGAATACTACTCAGCTATAAAAATGAATGAATTAACAGCATTTGCAGCAACCTGGATGAGATCGGAGTCTATTATTCTAAGTGAAGTAACTCAGGAATGGAAAACCAAACATTGTATGTTCTCACTGATATGTGGGAGCTAAGCTATGAGGACACAAAGCCATAAGAATAATACAATGGACTTTGGGGACTTGGGGGGAAGGATGGGAGGGGGCGAGGGATAAAAGACTACAAATAGGGTGGGTGCAGTGTATACTGCTCAGGTGATGGGTGCACCAGAATCTCACAAATCACCACTAAAGAATTTACTCATGTAACCAAATGCCACCTGTCCCCCAAAAACTTATGGAAAAATTAAATATTTAACAAAATAATAGCAGTGGTGATTCTACACCACAGGCCCTTTTATCAGCAAAATTCTTTATCCCCCATACAAGATGATGATAGCCATAACACAATAATACTACTGCTACAATAATAATACTTATCATTCTTTATAGAACTGCCAGAGAATGACTTCTGACCAGATGTCATCTCTCCACCCATGCTGACAACCAGAAACACAGTGAACAAGTATCCCCCAAGCTGGGGCCAGATCCCATGTGACAAGGGTAGGGTGACCACATAATTTGTCACTGAAAACAGGACAGAACAAATCTTTCAGAATAAAAGCGGGTGCTGTGAATTACTCTGGGATGATGTAGATACATCAAGACTGTCAAGTTCTCTCCATGCTAGAGTCTTCTCTTTATGTGACTTCCTTTTACAGACAAGGAAAGATCATTCAGAGAGATGTTATAATTTGCCAGGAGGATTCAAGCCCAGGACAACTATGACTTGATTCTATAATCCAGCTCTTTTTATCAATAGAAATGTGGACCCCAGAGACCCCATTGTGGGTCTCAGTCCCCTTCCCATTGGCTGTTCTTGTCTTTAATAAGATGAGAGTAGCGTCCATCTAAGAGGGAGGGCTTTCCCTGACCTCATGTCTCAATCTGAGAGGCACCTAACTCTGTTGACTTAAATATTTAATAGCAATCCTTAAGTAAAGAATTGATCTTTATTTTATACCAAGCCTAGAAAAAAAATGCCCATTTCCTTCTCCTCTATCACACAAGCCTCTGGGTATCTCCATTGAATTTCCTCTTACTTTCTTTGTACAAGCTTTTTTTCTACTGGTTAATTTCTTCTTGTTGGGAAATTCGGGGAGGAGATTACCACCTACCCCTGGGACTGCCAAGCCGGAAGAGCCTTCTCAGTGGGTGTCTCTCAGAGGAAAGAACAGATGTGTGACCTGAAATGAACTGGTTTTGGGGTGAAAGCCTCTGGTGTCGCTGGCACCTGCTGCCTGCAAACAGTACCTGTGAGCTGCTGTTGCCCAGTGAACAGATGTCACAGGGAGATTCTGTAGGTCACTAAATGTTCATAGACTGATCAGCTTAGGAGACATCCTGTAAGGTGTCTCACCTGGCTTGAGGTGGTCAAGACCCTGAGACGCCCTAGAAATGAAAGACAGTAAGTAATTCATGAGCTGTGTTCCGTATTTCCAAAAGCTAAAGATTTTATTTCCTCTTAGTGCATTTGTTTATTTTGCAAATGTTTCCTCAATTATTATGTGTAACTTTCATGATTACATTTGTTTACAATTATTAATCAAAATAAAATTATATTTTTATGCATGATAAGACATGATAAGCTAATTAAAATGTCTTGTTCAATAATAATAATTTGAGGAGCAAAATGAGAATTCAATGCTCATAGAAGAAGATACACAAACCCATTCTCTAATACAAATCAGGTTACAACACTCCAGTGTATCAAACTACAATGAATTCTCATGCCACTTAGAATAAAATTCTAATGCCTCAGCATTAGCCTAAAAGGCCCAACATAATCTAGCCCCCACCAACCTTTTTGATTGCACTTTCTGCCATGAACCTCCTGACCCACCGCGGTTGGTTTCTAGAATACGTCTCAGGGACTTTGCACAGCTGTTCCCTCTGCCTGTTACACTCTGCCCTCCTGTCTGCACAGGGCCATTTCCTTTATCCACTCAAATCTCAGCTCAAATGCAATTTCCTCAGTGAGGCCTTCCCTGACCACCTGATCCAAATTAGCACTTTTCCCACCCTCCCACAGTTGATCTCTAGCACAACATCTGTCTTGTCCTCTTGGTGATATATATTACCACCTGAAATTACTTTGCTCTTTTATTTGTTCCAAACTGTTAAGGGGTACATTCTCTTAAAAGATACTGGCCAGTACAGTGGCTCGTGCCTGTAATCCCAGCATTTTGGGAGGGCCAAGGCAGACTTGGGCAGCTCCTGGGCTCAAGCAGGTGGATCGCTTGAGCCCAGGATTTCAAGACCAGCTTGGGCAACATAGCAAAACCCCGTCTTTACAAAAAAAATCAAAAATTAGCCAGGTATAGTGGTGCATGTCCATAATCCCAGCTACTTGGGAGGTTGAGGTGGGAGGATCGCTTGAGCCCAGTAGGTTGAGGCTGCAGTGAGCCATGATTGTGCCTCTGCACTCCAGCCTGGGTGACAGAGTGAGACCCTGTCTCAAATAAATAAATAAATAAACAAACAAACAAATAAATAAGAGGTATAGTTATGACCCTTGTACACATATAGGATGAACGTATATCAAAGATTTTTTAAATAACTCACCACAAAAAGGAGAACTATGTGAGCTAATGCATTTGTTAATTAGCTAGATTTAACTATTCCACTATATATGTGTGTGTGTACATGTATTTCAGCACATCAAGTTGTACATGATAAATACATACAATTTTATCCATCAATTTAAAATTAATTTCATAAATAAATAACTTCATAAAAGGTTTTATTAGCTCAATCATTAATGAGGTAGCCAGTGAGATGTTACAACCAGTGCCACACATGGATATTCAGACAAACAATGTTAAAATAAATATACAAATCCATGCAAACTGGCAAAAATGTTCAATATCCACAGGGTGATAATCAATTGCATTCCACCAGATGCAGTTTGCATTTCTATGGACAGGAATTCATTGCCTTACTACCAGTTTTCTACAAGTTAACTTCTATCTCAACAGCTATAAAACAGCCAAGTGGAAGGCAAAGACTCACATCCCAGTAGTACCAGATAATCTCCAGCTGCTCCAGATTTACTGACAGAATATTCAGTAATCTCTTTTGCTCATTTCAAAATCATCCACAATTGTTTCCTATAATATATATTACTGTCTGAAAGTATCTTGTTCCTTTACTTATTCCTTTCCTAATAACCCTGTTCTGGAATGTAAGCTTCATGAAAGCAGAGACTTTGCCTTATTCACCAGTTTCTCCAAAGCGCAAAACTATGACCAATTTCTACTAGATGCTTGGGAATATTTGCTGAATAAGTTGGTGACCAATAACAGCATGAAGAAAAAATGCAAAAAAATAAGACAGCCACATCTTTCTTTTCATATTGCCAAAGGGTCATAAAAGGTCCCATCAAGTTCTGCGGAGTGTACAAAGGACATCTCCAGGGTTGTCAGTTATCAGCTCAGCACTATCACCCCACACTTCTAAGGCAGGAACTGCATTTACTAGAATCCCTTCCTGGTGTGATTCAGAGTTAGAATTTGCCAGTGGGAAGAACTCACAGGAGATTCGGAAGGCAGAAGCGATATGAAGTCAGAGATCCTAGTGGCCAGAGACAGTGGCATTTTAGACCTTTCCATGCGTTCCAACTTTACAATCATGTTGACCCCTTGTGACAGCTTCTCAGATGTCTCTGCCAGCTCCAACTCTACCAGCTCCAGTGCTCTAGGCTGAAGTGCTTCTGGATAAAGCCTTCTGGACCTTCACTTTCCTGCTCTTCCCACATTTATGTAAGCCCTAATTTCTGTATTAAACTATTTTCCCTAAAAAACTTGTAGTGGTTCTATTTTCTTCGCCAAACCCAGACTAACACAGAAGAGATTTCATACACTGCTGGGATAAAAGCCTTTTCCGTTTCATTCAACTTTCAATAACTATTAAGCAGTAACATGTCTTGGAGAGCAATTTGATAATAGTCAGGCAAGAGTTCACAATCTTTGACCCAGTAACCCACTTCTAAGTTAAGTCTGTTCTAAGGAAGTAATGATTTATCCAGACAAGATCTCAGTTTATGAAAAAGGATGTTAATGAAAGCAAAAGGAACACTTTCTTTCCAGGGAAATGGTCTAAAACTTAATGCATATCCATAAGATATAACATTATGTAGTTTATATGAATCATGTTTTTTTAAAATTATTTTATGATATGGCAAAATTACCACTATTAAAGGTGAGTGAAAGTACAACATATCAAATCATATATGAAATAATTTAATTTGCAAAAATAAAAATAAAATCAAATGCATACTGTGCTCCACTGTATATTACCTGTGTGACTTTGTACATGTCAGTTAACTTTTGAACATCAGTTTCCACAGCTGTCAAGTAGAGATCATAATACTTGCCATGCCTTTCCTAAAGGGTCAAATGAGATAAGTTCTTTATCTGAAGCACCAGACCAGCGTAAAAGGATCTTACAAACTTCATCTCATTAACAGCAGGAAGTGCCTTATAGTAATTAGAAGCAAGCCCTCTGGAGCCAGCTGTTACGGTTCAAATCCTGGCTTGGCCACTTACTAAGAGTAACACAATAGGGAAGGCACTTAGCCTATCACTGCCTCAGTTTCTCCATCTGAAAAATAGACATAAAGCTATTAATATTTCATATTATTATTGCTATATGAGAACTAAATTAGTGCCATGTTTAGGACTTAGTACATGGTAAGAGTTAAATTAATGGCATTTTTCCTCCAAAGTACTCAACATATTCATTCTATAATTATTTATGGAGCATTCATTGTGTGTTTTAGACTGGGAGGTTGCAGAAACATTTAATACGGGATCCCTTGCTCTCAGAGGAATTCACCATCAAGGGGGAGAAGGGCTAAGTACATGATCATAACGATAGAATAAGGAAAAAAAATCTGCATCATAGAGCTGCTTCTAGGATTAAGAGGTGAAAATACATGTAAAGTATCATATGTGAGATCAAGTAGAAAAGAATGGTACCCCTTTGATGAGATAATTGTGTTTCCACAAGACTAAGTTGTCCAGCATCACCCAGTTAATTTGCATTTTACATACTTGATCTCCTTAGGTCTTTACATCAACACTATATAGTAAATATTATCATCCCAATTTTACCACTCAAGTAAAGTTTACCGACTTTACTAAAGCTCAGTAAAGTTATAATTTTCCCAGGGACACATGACTAGAAAATGGAGGAGTAAGAACTTTAACCAAGGTCAGGCTAACTCTTCCTAGGACCTTTTCCACTGGGCCATAAACCATAAAAATGTTTAATTTCAATTTTGATAACATTGTGATTCATTGCACTATCCCTGACCTCCACATCCCGAGATCTTTTTCCCCTAGACATCAGGGACAAACTCTTAAGCATTATTTCTGTATCACCCAGTACCTGGTACAGTGTCTACCTACTAGGAACCCCAATAAATCAGTGTCACATGAATGAAGAAAATGCATGTAAGTACAAGTCAATGAGGGAAAAATAGAACCATTGTCTTCTATCAAGGATTTATTTAAACAGAAAGAATAAAAGCTCAGATAACTAGCCATGAAAACAGTAACCACTCAGCTTCCAGAAAACGGTTTGCTCCCTGATGAGTCTCCCATCAACTTCAGTCAACAGTGCAATCCCACGGCACATTAAGTGGAGAATATGATCCAAAAGAAACACTATCAGTAGGTGCATACTCAATTGTTCTGATTAAATACAGCCTGCCAGAATTAAAACACCATAGGCTGTTTGCAGAACTCCTTAGTTTTAATGAGATAAATCCCATTTTAGTCACAAAGATACAATGTATTCATCAGGCCCCATGAAGTGACAAATGTAAGTGACAAATGTAACTGGTCTATGATACAGTGTGGCTAATCTGAACTTAGTTGTGGAAATTACAAGATGATCAATTAACGCTGCCCAACTTAATTCCTTGAAGCCTCACTTGGTGGATTCAGGTAGGCAGTTATTGTGTCAGCCTTTAGAGAGCAATTTATCTCACCAACATTCCAACTAAAAGGAAACTAACATTTGTTAGCAGCTAATTATGTGGCAGGCTCTAAGCACAAGCATTTGCATCAGCCATCTCCCACTCTCTCAGCAGTGACCATATTACCCCCAGAATTGTACAGATGTGCAAAGTGAGGCTCAGAGATGCTAAATAACTTGCTCTAACACACATCTGGTATGTAGCAAAGCCTGGATTCAAACCTGGACTTGTCTGGTTTCAAAGACATTGGTGTTGGTGGGACAAGAAGAGGTAGGCCTGCCGGGGTTCAAATCCCGGCTCCTACATATATTAGGACGTAGCTTTGGCAAATGTCTTAAATTTCCCTATCCTTAGTTTTATCTGTCAAATGGATACCATATTTGTACCAATTTCATAAAATGAGTGTGAAAACTAAGTGAGACTGCAGAAAGAACAAAGGGGAGTTGTTAGCTGTTCACTCACAGAATGTTGCACATACTTCTGCAGGGTCAAAAGAAATAAGCGAGGACAGTCCAAAGAGTTCCGCGTGTTTAGATGAGGTCACACAGATAGTAAGTGCCAGGCTAGGACTGAACACATCGCAGGATCTGTTAAACACTCAACCAAATGCCCACATACTTCCACTTTATCTTCATTGATCCTCATAACTAACCAGGTAAGTAGGGAGCCTAGGTAGAATGCCCTGAGTTGGGAGGATGAGCTCAGAGTAGTGAGGCACTCACCCATTGAAACAAAGGCAAGCATAACCTTCCCTCACCTCACGATGTCTGTGGCACTAGAGCTTGCGAATAATTTTCTTAGTTAAGATAATTTGGGTCCAAACCCCAGCCTGCAGCTTATTAACTGTAAGACCCAGGTCCCTCATCTGTAAGACAGGGACAGCAATAGTTCCTACATCATGGTGTTGTTGTAAGTGTTAGGACTGGGTCTGTCATTATTTAACCTTTCTATAGCCAAGTTTTGTTATCTCTATATGAGAACAACAACTATCCCCACCTCCTATAATTGTTGTGAGTGTTAAATTATTTAATCCATATAAAGTATTCAGTGTGGTGCCAGGATGTATGTTGAAAGCACTCAGTAAATGTCATTTGCCTTCCTTTAGTAGTGGTAGTGATGGTAGTGGAGATAGTAAATTATCAAAGTACAAATACCTTGGTAAAAATGATCCTCCCTAAATAGCTAATGCATGCAGGGCTTAATACCTAGGTGATGGGTTGATAAGTGCAGCAAACCACCATGGCACACATTTACCTATATAACAAACCTGCGTGTCCTGCACATGTATCCCAGAACTTATTAAATATCCCAGAAATTATTAAAATAAAATAATTTTTTAAAATCCTCCCTAGATTCTTATCAGACCTTCACACGTTAACCTGAATGGATTTTTTATTTAGTTGGTTGGTTGGTTTGGTTTCTTTCCTAAGAAATTTACTTGTTTATTCCCAGAAAGTAGAATAAAGTCATAATTCTACTAATTACTCCCAATAATGGAGAGGGTCTACCTTGCTAAGGATATAGAAAGGCAAACTTAAGCTGCTCGGAGCTGCTGAGAATGAAATGGAATGATGCATGAAAAGATCATGGTGGTGGCTGGGATGCACCATTAGTTCCTGGTACTATACATACTAACCAAGTGTTGTAGGATATTGCCTCAGGTGACATGAAGGTTTTCCCACTCTAACACTCTTCATGTGAAAGGGTGTTGGTCTGCATGTTCATTCGTACATTGATTTTAAGTGGTGGTTTAAAAGCAGCAATTCTTGGACAGCAGTGCCCCCTAATGATCCCATTTAATTTAAGACATCGGGGTCCAAATGATGTTCAAATAACTCACCCACAGTTAACTCGGACATACTTTAGTGCTTTTCAGCTCTGTAGCCAGCTATGTTCTAGGTGCTGCTGGGAACGCAAATGTTCAGAAAATTTATGGTAAGGCTTGAATGTGCCTTCCAAAGTTCATGTGTTGGAAACTTAATCCCCAATGCAGCGGTGTTGACAGGTAGAACCCTTAAGAGATGATTAGCTCATGAGGGCTCTGCCCTTACAAATGGATTAATGGTGTTATCATGGGAGAGGGTTATCAATAGAATGGGTTCTAATAAAATGATGATTTTCTCTTTTCCTTTCACATGCACATGCTCTCTTGCCCTTTCACCTTTCTCCATGGGATGACACAGTACGAAGGCCCTCACCAGATGCCAGCGTTATGTTCTTGGACTTCCAAGCCTGAACCATGAGTGAATGGACTCTCATTGTTTGTAAATTATCCAGTCTATGATATTCTGTCAGAGCAGCAAAAAATATACTAGGACAATCTACCTCCTGGGAGCTGTTTAGAGCGCTAACTCCAGCCTGCATCTTTGGCAGCAGCACATATACCTCTCATTCTGGCTGGCTGTGCTCTGCCACATTGACCTGCTTTGTCACTTGCAACAACCTCTTGCCTGACTCCAGAGTCTGCAAATTTTATTTCCGCTTTCTGATTGGCTCTCTTGACCCTCTCCTCCACCCTTTACTACTTATCTCACTATTGCCACTCATCTTTCAGGTCTTGGCACAAATGTCACACAGAAATGTCTTACCCCACTCCCCAAGCAAGGACACAGTCTCCTGTTATATGAGTTTATCTCACCCTTCATTTTTTCTTGCAGGCCCCATCACAACTACAACAAAACTATTATTTGGGCCATTGGGTGTATAATGCCTCTCTCAGCACTCACCTAACTGTAAGCTCCATGAGGACAAACTCACCTCTGTATCCCTAGTACCTAACACAGCACTGGAATGTGGTTGCCACTCATTAATAATGTGTTTACTTAATTCAGAAATTACAGAGGGGTGTGAGGTATTGGGGTGTTGCTGAGTTCACTTTTGTTTTTGTTTTATTTCTTAGAAGAGGAATAGTGGTAGATTAAATTTCTTAAAGCAACCTGGCATTTAAAAAATCAAAATGCCTGTTTACTTTTTTTTAAAATAAATGTATTTGAAGTTTACAACATGATGTTATGGGATACATATAGGTAGGAAAATGGTTACTACAGTGAAGAAAATTAACATATCTATCAACTCAGATCATTACTTTCTTGTGACAAGAGCAGCTAAAATCTAATTATTTAACAAATATCTATCGCAAGAACAAAAAACCAAACACCGCATATTCTCACTCATAGGTGGGAATTGAACAATGAGAACACATGGACACAGGAAGGGGAACATCACACTCTGGGGACTGTTGTGGGGTGGGGGGAGAGGGGAGGGATAGCATTGGGAGATATACCTAATGCTAGATGACGAGTTAGTGGGTGCAGCACACCAGCATAGCACATGTATACATATGTAACTAACCTGCACGTTGTGCACATGTACCCTAAAACTTAAAGTATAATAAAAAATATATATATCACCAGCAATACAACTTTGTTACTATAGTCCTCATGTTATACAATTAGATCTCTAGACTTGTTCATCCTACATATCTGCTTTGTATTATATTTTTAAAATAACTTTTTAAGATGAATTTATTCTTTCACTTTGAATCATTTTAAGGTAGCCAATATTGCATAGAAATAAAATGTTTATGGGTTTAGCAAAGTTACAATTGACTTTCTCTTTGACCCATTAATTCTATTTCTAGAAATCTACCCTACAGAAACATTTGCAAAAGCATGAGATGACAAATGTGTAAGGTCATTCATTATAGCATTATTCATAAATCAAAACATTAAAAACAACTCAAGTGTTCAGCAATGGGGAACAGTTAAATAAACTGACACACAATGGAGTAACATGCAGCTATTCAAAAGAATGGGGACAGTATCTATGTAGTAATATGGAAAATTCATCTGAGTGTATTGCAAAGTGAAAACAGGAAAGCGTAGAAGAGTTATAATATGCTACCTTTTGTGTAAGGGAAGAAAATATGAACCTCTATATGTTTCATATATCTGCAAAAACAGGAGGACGAAAAACACAGAGAATGTAAACAAAAAACTAATAAAAGTAGTTACCTTATAGGAAATGCATTGGGAATATATGTAAGGGAAAGAGAAACAAAACTTCTTTGTGTATACCTTTCTATACCATCATGCCCTTTGAATAATGTGGGTTCATTATTCATTAAAAGTAAAGCTAATTTTTAAAAATATTTCTAAAATTAAAAATAAACCAAGACAAATAAATATAACCATATATCAATTTAGAAATATTATCACACAGAGAAACAATTATTTTTTCCCCAAGATGTTTGAGAACACAGCACTTTGTACATTCTTAGTGGGATACACTTCATGGACAAAAGAACTACATCAAATTTTAAACTAAATCTGACTATTTTATGTTCACATTCATATTGTTATTTTGAAACTATTCTCTTTGTATCATTCAAGAAAGCAAATGAGGAATTCTATTAATGGTGTTCTAAGAGAACAAAAGCCAATCATGAAATCAAAAATTAAGCATAAAACTAATGTTAAAATTGAAGTGATGACAGTTAAATGAACTTTCTGTTTTATTAATTACATATTTTCTGTCTTAATTCATTGAAATGGCCTAGCCACCATGTCATCCAGTATCAATAACCACACCTGGCACCAGATTTTGCTTTGTAAAATCAAGAGTTCTTGTAGAACTGGCTGCTTTCAGGACTGAATTAGGGAAGGTACAAAATACGCCTAGAACATATTGTTATGTTCAAAGGCAAAGAAGCTTTCAAAGAGTAATTGGGCATATCAAAAGAACACAAGAACCAGGTGGAAGGAGCTCTTGCTGACCCAAATTGTGATGATTGAAACACTAAAAAGAGTAGTGATTATAGCAAATTAAAATATACTGAATACACTAGAGCCACGAGTCCATAATGACTCAAAAAAGAGAAAGCCAGAAACAAAACCTCATTTGTCACCATTTGGAATGATTCTTAAAAACAATTTCTCCCTTTCCGAATTGGGAATTAAAAAGAAGTAGTTAAGTGTTTATTTTGCCTTTTCAGTAAAAACTCTATTTCAGGGCAAATAGACCCATTTATCACAGAAAGTTCTGTTTTATGTCAAGCAGTAAAGATAAAAGGAATATTAGAATTATGAAGTCGACAATTTACCACTCCCAATGAGAATCTTGTTTCAAGCATAGAAGGCTGTGCTGTTCCCACAAAAGAGTAAATAATTAAGTGCAGTCTGGGGAGGATCCGAGGAAGCTTCCAAGGAGAGGCAGTTTGGGCTGAGGCTTGAATGATGAACAGAATCAGCCACAACATGAATACAGGAGGACTTGTCAGATGGAGGGACATTATGGGGGGCCTGAAAAAGCTTGAGGAACTGCACTTACATTGGAAGGGATTGTTATCCACTTAAGATACCCAGAGTCAGCACAAAAACTGAAAATTGCAAAGAGTCAAATGTATCCTTACAAAGTCCCATTTTGGAAGGAGCTTTCTTGTAGCCCAATACACTGTCTCTCAGTAAGCCCATCACAGCCAGTTTCTCCACAGAGTTGTGATCAGATCACTATTTGAGAAATATGAAGCAGTTAACAATTGGAGGTGATGTTGTTCAAAGACAGCATGCTCTGAGATGCTCCCACTCTGGGGGGCATGTGGGGACTGACACCAATGAAGCGAAGAACAAGAGTCATAGCTGTCCTCTCTGGCTTCCTAGGGGCATATGGCACGATGAGTGGACCAGCTGCCCACGTTGACATTGCTCAGAGTGTTCATTGTTCTCTTGCTCTCCGTATCCCCATCCCCTCTTAGTTTAAGTTGAAAACATCCAGGTAGTCAGCCACTATTGCTGAGTATACATGATGCAAAGGTGCATGGAAAGGGACTGGAGGGACCAGGTCTGAGGGCCCTCTGGGAAGTAAAGAGAGAAGTGGGAAGGAGTCACATTAGGACGGGACTATTTTGCTAAATTAGCTAGTGTAGGCTTTGAAATAAAGGGAAGCCAATGGATGGAGTTTCAAGCAAGGTATGGCATGATAGGACCTGTGTTTTGGAAAGATTACCCTGGATTTATTGTGAAGAATGGCCTGGCGGCTGTGGGGATTCCAGGAAGGGGGAGAATGCAGACAAGCAAGGAGACTACAGGCATTATTGTCTTTACATCTGGCTTCTTTTTCAGGTCCTCCTTGAGAGGCCAAGCATCACATGAATTGGACATGAAGGCAAAATTTTTGATCTGAAGGGGGAAAGGATGCCATGTTTAGAACTCTGCACACAAAGGAGAGGCTATTTAGGGATCTAGATTCTCCAACCACAGAAAGTTGGCGGGTGAGAAGTGGCTGCTTCCCACTGAACTCCCCAGGGCAAATGAAGGGACCCACATGGCGTTTCTTCCCAACAACTTACCACAGACGTGGAAATTATAAATGGGGCCAGGAAGTGGTCATTTCATGTCAACCCACCTACCATACATTCAAAATAGCTGCCACTTGCCCAAAGACACCTCCAAATTCTAAACAGTCTGCCTAGCACATATCCATGTATACAACAAACCTTATTGAGCATCTACTATGGTAGGGACTGCACTATAGTTTAGTTAATAAAAGTTAGAAATTAGGCCAGGCACGGTGGCTTACGCCTGTAATCCCAGCACTTTGGGAGGCCGAGGCAGGAGGATCACGAGGTCAGGAGATCGAGACCACCCTGGTTAACACGGTGAAACCCCATCTCTACTAAAAATACAAAAAAAAATTAGCTGGGTGTGGTGGCGGGCACCTGTAGTCCCAGCTACTCGGGAGGCTGAGGCAGGGGAACGGCGTGAACCCAGGAGGCGGAGCTTGCAGTGAGCCGAGATCGCGCCACTGCACTCCAGCCTGGGCGACAGAGCGAGACTCTGTCTCAAAAAAAAAAAAAAAAAAAAACAAACAAAAGTTAGAAATTAGCCCTCTGGGAGATAAAGACCTGATAAATAAGACAGGCAGAGTTCCTGTTCTTGAACAGGAGATTCAGGACAGGGTGATGAGGGTGAGCCAGGAGAGAGATCTTTCTCCAAGCCAAGTAAAGGCTACTGACTTCAGTGACCCTGGGACATCACACCTGAGGGTAATTGAATGGTGACAAGCTTCTTCTTATAATCAAAATAGTATTAGCCTGAGTATGAAAAATGGAAGAATTCTAGTGTATTTCATTTCCAACTTAACATCTATCAAGTAATATGTTGCTGGTTTCCAGCCTCATTGCTAAAAATATTCTTAAGGTGAACAAGACTGCTATCCTGGTTACCAGCTATAGTAGAATGAATGAAATTAAATTATTCTGTGATAGTTATCAAATAACAAAAAGAATTTTATTTCAGGAATTTGAGAACTAGATTTGAAATTTAATCGTTTGCTCCAGAATGCTAACATAAACAGTAATAATAGATAGATGGGTGGGTAGATAGATAGATAGATAGATAGATAGATAGATAGATAGATAGGTAGATAGATAGATAGATGATAGAGACTGCTAGATATAGTATAGAATATTCTATAGTCCTCATATGGTCTTTGCCACATGTTTGTTTGCTTTTTTCAAAATATTTAATGGAAGAATAAGAAATCTCAGTTGATATAAAAATTCTAGTGAGTCGTGACCTAGAGATGCACAACAATGTCATGCAAAACTTTTCATCTAAAGGTCATCAACTGATGAGTACATATGCAAAGTGTGGCATATCCATATATAGGAACACTACTCAGCAATTAAAAGCAACAAACTACCAATTCATACTACAACATGGATGAGCCTCAAAAATATTAAGCTAAGCCACATGCAGAAGACTACATATATTATTTACATGAAATCTCTAGAAAGACTATATATTTCATTTGTAAGAAACATCTATAAAAGGCAAATTTGTAGAGACAGAAAGGAAACCAAATTTGCTTATGACTGGGAGTAGGAGCAGGAATTAACGGCGAATGAGCACAAGGAACTTTTGGGGGTGATGGGAATGTTCTAAACCTGGACTACAGTATGATGAGTATGTAGAGTACGAACTCTACAAATTTACTAAAATAATTAAATTGAACAATTACAATGAGTAAATTTTGTTAGGAAATTATAGCTCAATAAAGCAATCAAAACAAAACACACACACACAGGCACAAACATATTTCATGTATTTTTAATCCAGGTTCATAGGAAAGTGCTTGACAATAATGCCATGTAGCTGCCTTATACTGATCATCTCCTTAAGAGCCAGCTACTTTTATCCCTGTTCCTGAAAGCCACCTTCAGAGAGAAATCATAGTAACCCAGGGACACGCAAAGAAGCCAGCTGAGTTAGGAATGGAACACAATTGGGCCTACCTCTAAATCCTATACACAATTTATCTCATCATACCCACTGATATAGAAAGAATCCATTGCCCCAGATTCACATGGTGTAGTCAAAGTAATAAACTAGATTCACCCTGCACCTGCTTATCTTTCTTGCTGTTGTCAGACCCCGCTACCCTGATCTCCTGGCCACCATCTTGGGATGATCCCGCAAATCAAGGTTGATCGTGTCATTCCGGTGCTCAAAAGGGTGCCCTGGTGCTGAAACCTTGGCTTGGGCCCTTCCCAACCTGGCTCCAGCCCCCAGCATCTAGGGCATCCTTGCTCACTGTTTCCCCATACCACTGTGCACTGCTTTTCTCTGAACTTCTCACCTGTCTTTGAAGTTGATGGCCATTTTCACATTGCTTTGTCTTTGTCCGTGAGGTTCCTCTCACCTGAAATGCTTGACTTTTCCTTGCCACTGCCACATATCAGCTAACTCCTGCTCTTATTTTAACATCATGAATATCTATCATTCTCAGTGAGCCTTCTACTGCTTCTCCGAGAGAAGTTAATTGTTCCAAGCAGGTTTTATACACTATGTTTATTTTCTTCATTCTCTTTAATAGCATTTTAAAACATGCCCCCAGTTTAAGTCTAGTGCGTTTGTCATATTTTCTTCATAACCATAGCATATACCATTAAAGGATTACTTGGATTCAGTTCTGATCTTAAGATTCCATCATTTATTAGCTCTGTGACCTTGGGAAAGTTTATGTAAACTCTTGACATCAGTTTTCCCAATTATGAAATGAGACCAATGAAAGCACATACCTCAAAGATACTTATAAGAATTAAACAATCTAATAATCATTAATGAAAAAGCATATTTTCCAGTCCATCAAAAGTGCTTAAAAAATGTTAAATAATAATACTAATTTTTACCAGTATAGCAAAGGCTCAATAAATGTGAATCGAATAAGGGAGAGAGAGAAGATACAGGAAAGAAGTAAAGAAGGGAAGGGGAAGAAGAAGCTCCTTGAAAAAATGGATAAGAGCTTATGATTTAGCATCAGGCAATATTGAATCTTTGCCTTGCTATTGTAGATTGGGTAATCTTGGACAAGTTATTTGAACTCCACATGTTTCAACATGAAGGTAAGTATACCACTGGATAACACATATAAAGCACTTAGCACAGTATCTAGCCTGCAGTAAGTCATGTTAAAGAAGAAAAAGAAACAAAGGTTTGTGAAAAAGAAAAATCCTCTTGCTTAATCTTTTTTATTCATCTTTGGCAAAGGTCACCTAAATAATTTCTTAACCATTCTGCCTTTATATGCTGTTTGGATACTGCCTAGAAATCCAGGATTCCAAGGTGGTTGAGAGAAGTGGGTTATGAACAATGATGATCCAGTCTCACTTTCACCTCTACCTGATATACAAAATTCCCTTCCAACATGGTCAACTCCAGTGAATCTTCACTATTTTGATCTTTAGCTACTTTCTCATGAGAATATTATTAAAAGCAGAGAGGAAATAACTAAATGGAAAAAGATTAGCCAAGAAGCAATGAAGAAATTCTCAACAAAATATTTAGCAAGCCACGTAAAAAGGATTAAACACCTTGGCCAAGTGAGATTTATCACAGGAATGCAACATTGTTTTGACAACAAAAATCAAAAAAAAATACATAATCATCTCAATAGACACAGAAAACACATTCAACAAAATCCAGTGTGCATTCATGATTTCAAAACTTGGAATAGAAGGAAAATTTCTCATCATGATAAAGAGCATCTACAAAAAATTTACAGCTAACACCACACTTAATGCTAAAAAGACTATATGCTTTCCCCCATAAGATTCAGAATAAAGCAAGGACGTCTGCTTTGGCACTTCTATTCAACATTGTACTACAGGATCTAGCCAGTGAAATCAGGCAAGCATATAAAATAATGGGCACCCAAGTAGCAAGGAAGAAGATGACAGGATTTTGTATGTAGAAAATCCAAAGGATCCATTAAAAATACTGGAAATAACAAGTTTAGCAAGGTCACATGATAGAAGATAAATTCACAAAAATTGACTGTATTTGTACAAGCAATGAACAATCTGAAAATGAAATTAAGAAAAAATTCAGTTCACAATGACATCAAAAGAATAAAATGGAAAGTATTTTAACAGATGATGAACAAGACTTGCACACTTAAAATCACAAAACATTCTTGAAAGAAAGAATATCGGCTGGGCACGGTGGCTCACGCCTGTAATCGCAGCACTTTGGGAGGCCGAGGCGGGAGGATCACGAAGTCAGGAGATCAAGACCATCCTGGCTAACACGGTGAAACCCCATCTCTACCAAAAATACAAAAAATTAGCCGGGCGTGGTGGCGGGCGCCTGTAGTCCCAGCTACTCAGGAGGCTGAGGCAGGAGAATGGCATGAACCCGGGAGGTGGAGCTTGCAGTGAGCTGAGATCGCGCCACTGCACTCCAGCCTGGGTGACAGAGCGAGACTCCGTCTCAAAACAAAACAAAACAAAACAAAAAACAAAAACAAAAAGAAAGAATATCTAAATATATGAAAATATGCCCCATGTCCATGTATTGAAGACTCAATAGTGTTGAGATGATGATTCTACCCAAATAGATGTACAGATTCAATGAAATCCCTATCAATTCCCAGCTGGGCTTTTGGCAGAAATTGACAAACTAATCTTAAAATTCACATGGAAATGCAAGGGAACCAGAATAGCCAATTTTCAAAAATGAAAACAAAATTAGAGGACTTACACTTCTCAATTTGCATATTTCCTATAAAGCTAAACTAATCAAGACAATGTGGTACTGGTATAAGCATAGACATATAGATCAATGGATAAACCCTTACAGACAATAGATTTTCAACAAGGGTGTCAAGAAAACTAAATGGGAAAGAAGTTTATTTTTCACCAAATAATTCTGGAACAGTTGAATATTCACATGCAAAAAGATTAATTAGGACACCTACTTCATACCACACACAAAAACATACTCAAAATTGACTACAGGCCTACATGTAGGTACTCAAAACTATAAAACTCTTAGAAGAAAACACAAGAGAAAAGTCTTCATGATTTGGGGTTAGGCATATTTCTTAGATACAACACAAAACAAGCAATAAAAGAAAAAAACTGATGAATTGGACTCAATCAAAATTAATATTTTTGTTGCTTCAAAAGACACCATCAAGAGAGAACTCACAGCTTGGAAGAACGTATTTCCAAATCGTTTATCTGATAAGGGATTTGTATCTAGAATATATTTTTAAAAGTGTTACAACTCAGTAGTAAATATCTTAGAACCCAGTTTTAAAATGAGTAAAGAATTTGGATAGGCATTTTTCCAAATGATCAATAAGCACACGAAAAGATGCTCAACATTAAGTCATTAGGAAATGCGAATCAAAGCAGCAAGGCATCACTTCACACTCACGAGGATGGTTACATCTAAAAGTCAGATAATAAGAGTTGACAAGGATGTCAAAAACTTGGAACCCTCATTCATTGCTGGTGAAAATGTAAAATGGTACAACCATGTTGGAAAATAGTTTGATAGTTTCTTAAAAGGTAGAGATTGACTTACCATGTAACCTAGCAATTCCACTTTTAAATTTCTGTCCAAAAGAAATGAAAGCATATGTCTACAAAAACAAAAAACTCATATACATAAATGTTCATAGCAGTATTATTCATAATAACCAAGAAGTAAAAAAAGCAATGTCTCTGCACACTTTCTATATGGATTTGTTAATCCAGCTAATTTGAAGTCGATTTCTCTTGTGTTTTACATTTGACTCTGAACACTTGAAATATTCAACATTTTATATCCTAAAGATTAGACTTTCCTTTTATTGACTTTGTTATTTTTGCAGACTTATGCTCTGCCTTTGCCATAGGCCTTAAGCAAAACTCATCTGCCAATGCTAGGAAATAGTAGTAGCAAACTGTCCTAGATCTGGCTTAAAAATTGTTTTATAGTTTTCAGGGAATTCAGACAATTGATTTCTTTGGCAAAATTATTTTCACTGAAAAGGTTTTCAGGGAATTGGTGTTTTTGTGAATTGCCTTTTGACAATGGATTATCAGCAAATTGACCAACAGCCAGTAAACAACTCCCTAATTCTCTCCTGTCCTCTCTGCCTCCTCACAGCTTCACTCTGTTCACATAAAGGGGCCTATTGGCAGTCACGTGTTTGCATTGTTTGAGCCTCTCAGAGTGTTCTGGGCTTTGAGATCTAAAGCTTGTCAATTCAGATATGTTGACCTGAGTGTGGGTCATAACAAAGGTAAAGGGTGAACACTTTTTTAATAGCCATGAAATTTTTTCTTCAAAATTATTCAGAATAAAATATAAAGGAGATGAAAGTAGAGAAACTCTTGCTGCTGTGGTGACCTGTAAGCCCACCCACTCCTAACGTCTCCATGTTCACATCTATTTCTCCAGTACCCTCTGTCTCGGAAGGTGACCTGCCATTCCACATATCACAGTTTAGAAATCACTGACTTTATCTAGTCACTTCTTCTCATGGGTCAGAAAACTGAGGCCCAGGCCTGGCACGGTTGCTCACGCCTGTAATCTCAGCACTTTGGGAGACTGAGGCAGGCAGATCACCTGAAGTCAGGAGCTCGAGACCAGCCTGGTCAACATGATGAGACCCCGTCTCTACTAAAAATACAAAAATTAGCCAGGTGTGTTGGCAGGCGCCTGTAATTCCAGCTACTGGGGAGGCTGGGGCAGGAGAATTGCTTGAACCTGGGAGGCAGAGGCTGCAGTGAGCCGAGATTGTGTCACTGCACTCCAGCCTGGGCAACAGAGCAAGACTCCATCTCAAAAAAAAAAAAAAGGAAAAAAAAAAACCAGAAAACTGAGGCCCAGAAAGTCCCAAAGACTTTTTAGTCAAATTCAATGGGGAGAATTAAAAAATGACAATAGAATATTAACTCCCTCCCCCATGAAAAAAATATAAATAATTATTAGTTGAATCCCACTACTTGGTACAGAAATCTTCTCTAGTGTCCAAATGGCTTTTCCCAAACTAACAATTGGAAACGACATGGATTTCTACTCTAAACAGGTATCAGGTCAAATTGCATTTCTATTTCTTCCTATCTATGTAAATTTAGACTGTCTCTTAACCTGAGCCTCAGTGTTCTCATCTGTAATGAATGGAGAAAGACATCTATGTTCTCAGATCATTGTGATGATAAAATGAGCTAATATATGTAAAACTTTTCAACATCTGCACCATCATAAGTACACAGAACTATTCATTCCTTTCCCTTCTCCTTGCTTCCTACCTTTCACTCCGCTGTACTCAGGACCTAAGGGTTTGAGTGTTGTGTCTGTCTTTCAAATGCAATCCTCTCCAAAAGAGCCACCAACACTCAAAATAATCTGTAGCCACAAGTCCAAAAAAAGGGTCACAATGATCAGTCAATTAAAAACCACAAAGTAAATAAATACTATAGGGAGCAGCAAATACAGCTGAAAATAACTAAAACCCATATAAATTTGCATCAGAAATATCACTTCTCTTCAACATCTCTCAAACATCTATCAACCTCTCTTTCCACAGTTTTTTTTTTTCCTAAAATTCTAGTGGAAATTTCCAATGCAGTTATAGAAGCTAGATGAACCAAAAACACGTCTAGATGTTCCAAGTCAGGCTGCTCACCCCTGTGCAGGCTTTCAGGGGAAATAATGCTAAAGGCCTGTCTGGTGACTACCTTGTCTAATCCCTAAATCAAGGTATTCCTGGACAGCTAAGTAATCTACCAGAGGAAGGTCAGCTTCCACAGAAGATTTGGAGTATGAAACTCTCAGGGTTTACCTGGAATTCATATGAAGGAAAGGGAAGGAGTAGGAAGAAAACTGTGAAAATTAAAACATTGGCAAGCAAAAAAGAAAAGAAAGAATTCTCTAAAAACTAAATGGCCCCGCATTCCTGAGGGGTAAGAAGTGAGATATCACATGTTGGCAAGAGAATGAGCTTGGAGGTGAAAACAGCCCAAGTTGTTTCACCATACTCATTCTCATAGATGACTTTTATTGACAGTCTTTTACATAACAGGCACTAAGCGAGGAGCTTTATGTACATTATTGCATTTGAAATTTAGAACCTATCTAGGACTTCTTCATTCTTATTTTTTGAAGTAAGGAGGGAATACTAAACTTTGACCCCCCCCAAAATGAAAATTTTATCCCAATATTAAAACTCAAAAGTTCTGCATTGGGATCACTCTGATTTCCCTTAAGTATCTCTGCAATGTCTCTTCTTAAAACTCACCACTGGTTCACTATCTCTACCTTTTCTAAAGCTGGTAGCAAAGTATCCCTTTTTTGACATGAAATTGTAGGTCTTTACCATGTACAACATGGATGAGCCTGGAGGACATTAAGTGAAATTAGCTAGACACAGGAAGACAAAGACTACATGATCTCACTCATCTTAAAAAGAAAAAAAATGATCACAGGGAAGTAGACGACAGTAGAATGGTGGTTACCGTGGGCTGGGTTGGTTGATGGGGGTGGTAGGGAGATATTGGTCAAAGAATACAAAAGTTCAGTTACATAGGAGGAATAAATTCAAGGGATCTACTGTACAACATGATGACCGTAGTTAACAATATATTGTATTCTTGAACAATGAATGCTAACAGAGTGGATATAAAGTATTCTTACCACAAAAATGATAACTATGTGAGGCAATGCATGTGTTAATTAGCTAGATTAACTCATTCCACAATGCACATATACTCTAAAACAATATGTTGTACATGGTTCACCATTTCTTTTAGACTATAAACCAAACTCCTTACCTGGCCAAAAAGCCCAGCATGATTTGATTCCCACCTCACGTTTTCTGCCACTCCCTCCTTTAATATGGTGTGCTCCAGACATACATAATTGTATGTTTTCTCTCCCTCTCCCATTTTCTCTTCTTCACTTTCTCATATATTCTCTCTCTCTGTCTCTGTCTCTCTCACGTGCACGTGCACGCTCCCTGTTTTTTCCCTCTCTCCCTCTCATTGGGCTCCCTTTCCCCTCACCCTTTAACTTACATAGCTGATCTTCGTAATTTCCGACCTCAGCTTCGGCATCACCTTCTTTGGGAAGTCTATCCAGCCACCCCAAGACTACATTAGATAACCCCCTAAGACTCTGCAGTTGCCTGATTATGGGCCAGTAGCACTGTAGCGTAATATTTTACTTGCTCTGTCTCTTATGTGACTCTAAGCCCAGTGAAGGAAGAGGCCACACCTGTTTTGCTCATCACTTGCAATATCTCAAGTGCACAAGAAAAGAAGGAAAACCACAGAAGACAGGGCAGTTGGAAAGAAGGGAATAAGGACAAGAAGAAAGGAAAGAAGGGAGGAAACTAATTATAAAGATGAGGCTTCTTTGCACCAGAAGCTTCCATTTCTGCTACCTTTATTAATATTTTTATACCTAAAATCCCACTGATTGTGGCAATAAGTAAGTAACCCACAAACCAGCAGGAAGAACAAGGAGAAGGGAGTTGCAATTCTGGTTCTGCCACCAGCTCACTGTGTGGCCTTCATTGCCAGACACTTGCTCCCCTTGCCTCTTAATTCCCGCCTCTGTAAAATGAGAATGTAAGACTAGTTCATTCCTAAGGTCATCTCTATCTCTTGTAAGGTCCAATTCTCATATGGGGCATCGGTTGGATTTATGACAAATAAAGCTTGAGGGAGACATGAGACACTGCCACCCTCTACCTTCTCATGGACTGTTGAACCAGTGCATCGTAGACTATCAGAGTTGGAGACCCTTATTCCAACCTTCTCAGGGTATTGCCTAGGAAATGGAGCCCTCAAAGAACATTACTGAAGTGACAGAGGCAGGAAATGAGTTATAACTTCTTAGCAATGTCACCAAAACAAGCTTATTAGGTCATGATAACCTATCACTCTGTCACCCAGGTTTTAATCCAATTCTGCCTCAAAGAAGCATTTGGGCCTGACTTTTGTGTCTTTGTTTTTCTCCCAGTCACACACATACACACACACACACACACACATTTTCTCCTTTACTCCATCACACCACTTTATTTATTGCATGGAAAAGTTGCTGATGAAATATTTCTCACCAAGTCATGCATACTTGGTTTAATGTCTCAGTCTTCCAAGAGCAATTGCATTTTAATAGGGGGCAATATTTTATTAGCATTAATGTTAATTATTAAGTAAAATAGCTTTCATTTTTATAGCACTGTAGAGTTTACAAGGCACATTTACATATAATATCAAATTTATACTCACAAAGGTGAAGAGAGGAGCATGTTTTTATTAAAAGAAAAAAGTTACCTTGAATTACATTTTCTTCCTGTGGTGTGACTCTGCCATTTATTTGGGGGAGGGGAGGTTTTTAAATTGAAATATTACATGTTAACAAGAAACAATTCTAAATTCTAGAAGATCTGCACAATCAGAGGAGATTATAAAGTATTTCTATATTTTAATAGAAAATGTTTATTATTAAAAATTAATGCTTATCATAATAAAATTTTAAAAGAAATTTTACCTCAAAATTCCTGATATGAATTTTTATATTGATTATAAAAACATATTATTTAATCAGAAAGTATTATACAAGGGTGGAGTTCCATTCATGATTGCATGGAAAAAATAAAGCTGGATGTTAGGACTTTGCCCAGCTTCTAATTTTTTTTCTTTATTTCTCCTCTGTTACACATGAAGATTCATTCGGAAGGAAAATATGGTGTTTCTTTTTTTGTGGGATCTTAGTTCTCTGCATTAAGTCATTGGAGGCTTTGAACAGAAGTAGTGATGCAACCAGAAGGGAATTTTGCCAATCTTAATCTAATGGCTATGGCAAAATTGCAATAAATGGAGAGGTTGGAAGTAAGAAATATCAGCCAGGAATCCAGTTGAGATATAATTAAGGTCCAATCCAGATAAGCAAGCAGTGAAGATGGACAAAAGGTGAAATGTGTGGGAGTAACATAAATATACCCCTGTAATCTCCGGTATTGATTGAGGTGTCATCTTCCTGCAATGATGCCACATCCCCAAATCCATTATTAACTTTGCCAAGCTGTTCAGGCAAAAGGAGAAGCCAATCTCAATACACAATAGGAACCTATGCATTTTATTGTACAAAATGGCCAGCATTCATTCAATAATTACTAGGAAGAATAAGAAACAGTACTGAGGGGGGAAAAAAGAAATTGGCAATAGGAATAAATACAAAGATGATCCATTTATTGAATTTAATAGACATGGACCTTTTAAAAATTGTGTTAAGGTGTTCAAGAGCACAGGTGACATTACAGAACATTCTTGCAGGATGCAGAACATTATCAGAGAACTGAAACCTATGAGAAAGAATCAAATGAAGATCCCAGAACTAAAAACAAATTATAACTAACATTGTAACAAATAATACAATAGATTCAATACAGCTCATAAAAGGATTAGTGACCCAATGATATATCAGTAGAAAATATCCACATTGAAGCATAGAGGAGGAGAAGTATTGAAATCCAGAAATGAATTGAGAAAAAAAATCCACCATGGAGAATAACTAGAGGATAGATGTTGTAGATATACTACTATTAAACTAAGTATTCTTTTAGGCAATAATCCCTTTTAGAGATAACAAGGATACTGTATAATGATAAAAAAATTAATCTACCAAGAAAATATGATCATCGTAAATGTGCCTGCATTTTCTAATATATATAAACTATATATGATATAAAATATATATATTATATATATCATACCAAAGAAACTATGTATCATAGTTTCAGAATATATAAATTGAAAATTGATATAACTATTAAAAGAAATGGACAAAATTGCAACCGTACTTGAAAATTTCAATACACCTCTGTCTGAAACTGATGGAAAAATAAGTAAAGTTATATTAAAGACCAGGAGAATACACTGATTTAATTATAATTAATTTGTTAGTGAACATTAATTAGCTGATTCTAAAATTTATAGAACATAAAAAGGGCTGAGAAGAACCAAAGCAATTAAAAAGAATACTTAGAAGACTTACATTGTCAGAGATCAAGATTGAGTATAGAGTTACAGTTAATTGAGTCAGTGTACAAATAAACAAACCAATAAAATTAAAAGTAGTATACAGAAACAGACATATATGTGGTTACTCAATGCATAACAAAGGCAAGACTAGTTCAATAGAGAATGAATGGTCTTTTTAGTAAATGGTGCCATGAAAATCTTGACTCCTTATTTTATAATACACACAAAATTCCCAATGTACCATAAATCTATATGAAAATAGCAAAACACAGTAGAGCTTCTACAAGAAAGCCTAGAAAAATATCTTCATATTTTGAGTAGACAAAAATTTCTGAAACAGAACATACCTGCAAAAAACTAACCATATAGAAAAAGAATGACAAATTAAAATTTAAAATACTTGCATCAAAAGAAACGATGAAGAGCATGAAGGTGAGCCACTGTGTGCAAGATGTTTGCAATTCATGTATCTGATGACTGTTCAAACTTCAGATTACATAAATAACTACCTCAGCAAAAAGAAAAGAAGACAAGCAATAATAGACAGAGAGCCAAATCATGACTGAACTCCAATTCACAATTGCTACAAAGAGAATAAAATATCTAGGACTACAATTTATAAGGGATGTGAAGGACCTCTTCAAGGAGAACTAGAAACCGCTGCTCAAGGAGATAAGAGAGGACATAAACAAATGGAAAAACATTCCATGCTCATGGATAGGAAGAATCAATATTGTGAAAATGGCCATACTTCCCAAAGTAATTTATAGATTCAATGCTATCCCCATCAAGCTACCATTGACTTTCTTCACAGAATTAGAAAAAACTACTTTAAATTTCATACGGAACCAAAAAAACAGCCCATATAGCCAAGACAATCCTAAGCAAAAAGAACAAAGCTGGAGGCATCATGCTACCTGACTTCAAACTATACTACGAGGCTACAGTAACCAAAACAGCATGGTACTGCTACCAAAACAGATATATCGACCAATGGAACAGAACAGAAGCCTCAGAAATTATGCCAGACATCTACAACCATCTGATCTTTGACCAACCTGACAAAAACAAGCAACGGGGAAAGGGTTCCCTATTAATAAATGGTGTTAGAAAAACTGGCTAGCCATATGCAAAAAACTAAAACTGGACCCCTTCCTTACACCTTATACAAAAATTAACTCTAGATGGATTAAAGACTTAAACACAAGATCTAAAACCATAAAAACCCTAGAAGAAAACCTAGGTGATACCAGTCAGGACATAGGCATGGGCAAAGACTTCATAACTAAAACACCAAAAGCAACGGCAACAAAAGCCAAAATTGACAAATGGGATCTAATTAAACTAAAGACCTTCTGCACAGCAAAAGAAACTATCATCAGAGTGAACAGGCAACCTACAGAATGGGAGAAAATTTTTGCAATCTATCAATCTGACAGAAGGCTAATATCCAGAATCTATAAGGAACTTAAACAAATTTACGAGAAAAAAAAAAAAAACAACCCCATCAAAAAGTGGGTGAAGGATGTGAACAGACACTTCTCAAAAGAAGACATTTATGTGGCCAACAAACATATGAAAACAAACTCATCATCACTGGTCATTACAGAAATGCAAATCAAAACCACAATGAGATACCATCTCACACCAGTTAGAATGGTGATCATTAAAAAGTCAGGAAACGACAGATGCTGGAGAGGATGTGGAGAAATAGGAAAGTTTTACACTGTTGGTGGGAGTGTAAATTAGTTCAATCATTGTAGAAGACAGTGTGGAGGTTCCTCAAGGATCTAGAACCATAAATACTATTTGACCCAGCAATCCCATTACTGGATATATACCTAAAGGATTATAAATCATTCTACCATAAAGACACATGTACATGTATGTTGACTACAGCACTATTCACAATATCAAAGACTTGGAACCAACCCAAATGCCCATCAATGACAGACTGGATAAAGAAAATGTGGCACATATATACCATGGAATACTATGCAGCCATAAAAAAGGATGAATTCATGTCCTTTGCAGGGACATGGATGAAGCTGGAAACCATCATTCTCAGCAAACTAACATAGGAACAGAAAACCAAACACCACATGTTCTCACTTATAAGTGGGAGTTAAACAATGAGAACACATGGACACAGGGAGGGGAACATCATACACTGGGGGGCCTGTTGTGGGGTGGGGGACTAGGGGAGGGATAGCATTAGGAGAAATACCTACTGTAGATGACAGGCTGATGGGTGCAGCAAACCACCATGGCACGTGTATACCTATGTAACAAACCTGCACATTCTGCACTTGTACTCCAGAACTTAAAGTATAATTTAAAAAAAGAAGATAAGCAATAGAAAAAAATGAGTACAATATTACACAAGTACTCCACAAGAATAGATATCCAATGGGTGGGCAACAGAAAAAAAGTCTTCAAACTCATTAGTGAGCAAGATAATGTAAATTAAAACTACAGTGTGATACCTCTACATGCCCACTAGACCATCTAAATTTGAAACACCACCAGGGCTACCTAGCATTAACGAGGATGTGGAACCATCAGAACATTCCTGCCCTGCTAGCAGGACTGTATATTGATACAACTTTAGAAAACCTATTGGCAGTGTCTCCCTAAATGGAACACACCTGTACCCTCTGATACAGGATTTCCACTCTTAGATATATACCAAACTGTATACCAAACAATATACCAAATAGGAATGAGTATATAATTGTCCTAAGGGCATAAAGAAGAATGTCCTTAATTATCATTGTGAAAAATTGGAAACAAATATCTTCAATAGTAGACTAAGTAAACAAGATGTTGCATATTCAGGTAATGAAATAATTTACAGTATGGAGGGTGGACAAATCATTGCTACACACAACCACAAGGCTAATATTACTAACATAATGTTGAGCAAAAGAAGCCAGACACAAAATAGTACATGTTCTATGATTCCACTTATATAAAGTTCAAGAACAAGCAAAACCTAGAAGTCAAGGTGGTGTTTCCATCCTTTGGGAGATGTAGTGACGGGAGAGAAGCATGGGGGATCATCTGGGGCTTTGGTAACTGCTGTTTCAGGATCAAGGTGGTAGATACTGGGGTGTTTCTTTTTGAAAATTCGTCAGGCAGTACTTTCATGATTTGTGTACTTTTGTGACTTTGTTTCATAAACAATTTATTCAATAACAAGTTTACTTATAAACAAATTTGTGTAGCATTCCAACATCTTGCCAAATCTACTCTTTAGTCTCTGGGACTATTTAATATTTAACCCACTTTTTAGTATTCTTATTCAAGACACTTCCCCTAAGTAAACCCCTGATATGGTTTTATTGGACTATTAAAGAGGAGAAAGGAGATTTTTTTAACTTTTTTAAAAGAATGGTGCTGTATCCACCCAGTATTAAATATCTTGTATTTAATATTATATATTTATAGTAACTATAATAGTAATACTAATATTAAACTTACTGAAATATAAATCAAATTCAATATCTCAAATATCACGTATGTTTAAAAGATTACAATGTGGGGAGTAACATTCTTTATTAAAAAGCTAAGATTAAATAAAAGGACAGCAACTAATAATAAAAATCTTAGGAAATTAAGATCAATACATGGAAAATTTTGAGATTACAGAACTGCTTTTCCATGCTGGGGATCTGCAGATTCACCTCTCCTGATTAAACTCAAGAACTAGCTGAAAATTTAAATATAAAAAGAAGACAGTAAAGTCAGGAAATCATCTCTTCTGCTTTTTAACTGGTGAATCCTCGCTTACAAATTGCTCAGTCCTGAACAGGTTCTGCTTCTGCACCTAAGCCAACTAGCAAGCATACGAAAGCATCAGCTATTGTCAGCACCTAAGTCAACACATGAGCACCGTTTTCCTTCCATCTGAAATCCTGCCACAGCCTCTACCCCAATGGGCAGCCCTAAATACAGCTGTCTGATGTCCCAGGCAGATGTGGAACATGGAAACTCAGTGGGGACATGATTCCAAATACATGGGCTGCCTTCAAATCCTGGCCCACAAGCCTACATCCTTACAACAGAACCCTCTCTGGAAATGAGACAATTATTTCTTTCTAGTGGGGGTTGCAGAGAGTAGAGGAAGAGAGTTGGAAAGGAGAAGGAGAGCTAGTGGATGGGAAACCAACAAAATGTGGTTCATTTTCAGGAAGCTGCGAGGCTGGATCTTTCAGAACAGCTCATATTTTTTCGAGATGCATTTTTTTTGAGGTCCCCCACTCCGGATACCCCAGTGCCCTCCTTTCAGCCTTGGCCCTTGCATCACCACCAGCCAGGGGAAGGAGCCGTGGCATGGCAGTGGTCACAGTTCTCTTGGATAAGCTTTACCGTAATCTTCATAAACCTCAATGCTCAAGGTGCAGAGGGAGATTGGAGGAAACTTGTTTTTCCGTTGGTTTCTCTCTGACTGCTGCGGCTAATCATTCCTAGAACAGGAAGCTGGAGAAATGTAGGTAGGAGACACTCTTCTGACAAGTCAGGTTGCCTCACCCTTCCAGGGCACAACTGATTAGGAAAAGCTTCAGGGTTACATAACCTCCTTCCTTTACGGTGGTTTTCCATCAAAAGGTGAATGGACTCAGCCCTGAGAACTGCCCACCCCTAAGAAGCGGGGAAGGGATGTCTTGGTTGTATTTTAGTATTGCTGCCTCCTTCATCACAATGCCCCAGTGCACAAGTAAGGGGAGGAAAATAGGATGCATTAATTTATTCCATGAACCTTTATTGAGTGTCCATTCTTCTATGTATTTGAAATACATCAGTAAAGGAAATGAACTCTACCCTGGTACACTCATATCCTAGTGGAGGGACACAGAGTAAACCATAATACATAAGTAATTTACATTGTGGGTTAGAAGTTGATGAATGAAATCAAGAAAAGTAGAGCAGGGACAGAGGGATAGGTGGTTGGGAGGGCAAAGGCATGGATTGCAATTTTTAACGGAGCACAAGGTAAGACTCCTTGAAAAGATGACATTTGAGCAAAGACTTGAAAGAGATGAAGGTGTGAGCTACATGACTATATGAAGAAATAGCAAAGGCCTAAGGCAGGAGTGTTTCCAGAGTTGTTGTCAGGGTGGGAGGAGCACAGTGAGCAAGGAAGAAAAAAGTAAAAGATGATGTATGTGATTGGCTGGGGGGCAGGTGTCAGATCAGGTGGCACTTTGCAAGTGATTGTTAAGGACTCTGTGCTTTTAGAGTAAATAAAATGGCAGCTATTATCGTTCTGAGAAGAGTAACAGAACCAGCACGTTCACCCTGGTGCTCCTTCTGGGGTGAGAGCAAACACAGAAAGGGTCATCCGATATCATTAACAGCTGTCTGTACTGGAGGCCTCTTTAGGCTTCTGGGTCAAGTCAAATAACCTACAGACCCACCTATCCTCATGGCCGGGGTGGGGGTGGGCCAGAAGAGTGACAGCCTATGTGTTTAACAACATGATTTAAATCATTCAAGTGACCCACTGAGAGCTGTGAAAGCAATTTTGAATTTCTTTTCCTGCAGAAGGAATGGCTTTACCTTAAGTCACTACCTTCCTCAATCTTCTTTGTGACCAAAAAGACAGATTCCAAACACTGCCAGCTGAGTACAATCTACACCCTCCAAATATAGCAGAGCTAACTGCCTACACCGGACCCTGGTGCCATTAGCTCATGCTCTAGCTCCCTGCACTGGCCACCCATACTGCTTTATGAAATGCAATCTCTTTTTAAAGATAATGACACAGTAAGTGTGTTATGACTTCAGTGATACAGTAAGTTAGGCAAATTCTTTGAAAGCTATCAGCTCATTTTGAGCAGGGCCACCAGCCTCTGGTAGAGAGAAGTTTGTTGATCTGAAGTCATAAAACCAAGGGGTAAAGGACATGCTGAACCAGACGATAAACACCGTCATGGCGGGTGTCCCTCCCACTGCCAAATTCCAACAAATCATAGCAAGAAGATGAGGTTACATAGCAGAAATGCATGGAAATCAGCCTGATCAGAATCATTGACCTTTGAATTTTAGAGCAAAACAGTCATTTAGAGATTGGCCAGTCTTCATGTCAACCTGTTCAACCTTTCAACACAGATTCAAATCCAATTGGCAGATGTGTTTTGTTTAAACTGCACAGCATTAAAAAAATTTATGTAGCTGCCAATATTTATAATAAATCAGGATATCTCGCATGCACAGAATTGTATTTCTTGCTTCTCTTTTAAAATATGAATATCTATCAACACCACATCTGCATTCCAGTATGGCTGGAGCTAAATAGTAGTTGTCCCTATGGACTGGGCAGGTGGTCACCATATCACCCCAACTCCTGCCACTCACTATTACTTATTTCTGGCCCATTTCACTTATTATAGCTCTAACGTTGTCAAGCCCTCACTTGACCTAATATCCTCTTATACAAAAAGTAGAAAACTGAGGCCTAAATGAAGTGAAATAATGGAATCTTGAGTCAAAGATCAGTCACCCCCAGAAATGTGTGAACCTAAAAATAAAAACCTCACAGGAATTAAATTTGCATAGGCCAGTCCCTCCTCCTAACATAACCTGGTGGCCAAGCCTCCATAATACTCTGGGGCCAGGCTCTTGGTTATGTTTTAGAATTATTTTTAATTTAACTTTTGTTCTTGTTCACTCAGTGTCCCACAGTAAGGTGCACTGGGGGCTAAAGGCTTGAAAAAGCAAACAGAGTTAGGGGCCCTAAGTTTCTTCTCAAGAGTTCAGATGGAAATCATAAAACCACCACACCAGGTTCCAGATGAGTTCCACTGGAAGCTGGCAAAAACCTCCCGCCCAGCCTGGTTAATGGCACTTAAGCACTGGATTGTTTGACTGCCACTCTCCCTTACTGGAATTGTTAGAATAATCTCTCTCTCTCTCTCTCCCTCCCTGCCTCCCGTTTTTTTTTTTTCTTTTTTTTCTTTGAGACAGAATTTCACTGTCTGGAGTGCAGCAGCACGATCTCGGCTCACTGCAACCTCCGCCTCCCAGGTTCAAGCGATTCTCCTGCTTCAGCCTCCCAAGTAGCTGGGATTACAGGTGCCCACCACCACGCCCAGCCAGAACAACCACTCTTTAGGACCTGGACATACCTGCCACTCTCTGTGCCCTTTCCACTTGGTAAATGCCACCATCTCCCTCTCAGACATGCAAAGATCCAGGCTATTCTGTTATTTGCCCTTCCTCACCCTCCGCAGCAAAGCTCTTGCTCTTATTGCATCGTTTTCTGCCTTTCCCAGGGGAATTTCCATCATTAGGCTTTGCTATAACAGGGGAAGAGTTCCATGAATGAACAAGAAGGTAAGGAAATGATTTAGAAGATCAGAATGCTTTCCTACTCTTTTATTCATCCATTCATTGTTTCAGTATTGAGCGCCTGCTGGGTTGGGCGTTTAGAAGATCTAAATGTAACTAACATACCTGCCCTGCTCTCAGGGAGCTCACAAAGTCAAATCCTGATTATACAGTGTAACATAAGTGATGATTGAGGGGACTTTCTTGGGCCTCAGATTCCTCATTTGTAACAGAAGAACCCCACTTACTTCCACATAGTCTGGCTGTGAAGAACAAATGAGAAAAATGGATGTTAACATTCTTTATAAATGACAAAGCACAATGTTAGCACCTGATCGCGATCTCATATTAGGTGTGCTCAAGGATTTGAACCATTGTGGAGAGGTCCTTTAAGTAAATAAATGTGGAAGTAGGGAAATCTCCTTACAGCAAAAAGCTAACAAACGAACGTGGAAAGGATGATGGAAATAGAAAACAACAATTTGGCAAACTTCAAAATAGTAATCAATTCAGGATAAGAATCATCAATGATGATAAAACTAGTAGCTTAAAGTATGAGGAGTAACAGAAATTTCACATAATAAAGTACCTCTTAAGATACTTATTAATTACAAAGGGAAAGGTTGGAAAACGCCTTTACGGCAGCATTTACTGTAACTGGCAGACACCATCTTCACCAAATAAAGTCAACATCACTAATAATGAGGGAAATTGACATCATGTGCAGCCTGATAATAATGAATGAAAAAGGACATAACATCACTTCTATGATATTCCAGCTGAAAATGTATGACCTGAATCTAACCATGAGGAGATACTGGAGAATCTCAGATTAAGAAACATTCTGCAAAAATCTCACCAGTACTTTTCTAAAATGTCATTGTCATAAAAGACAGAAAACTGTTCCAGATTTAAAAAGATGAGACACTAATAAAGTCAATGTGTGATCCAGTGTTTTCTTTTACCATATAGCATAAAACTGGAACAATTGGTGAAATTCAACTGAGGTCTGTAGATTAGGTAATAGTTTTGTATTAATGTTAATTTCCCAGTTTTGATGATTAACAATAGTGCTTATGTAACAAAATGCATTTTCAGAAAGTACACATCGAAGTCTTTAGGGATAAAGAACATTATGTCTATACATTTCAAATAATTCAGGAAAAAATATGGCATTATATGAAAATATATGGTATCATATAAAAATATATGGCATATATAATAGATGGTACATATATATTAAATTAAGTAAAGTTGGTAAATTATTAACACGAGGGAAACTCCTTGTACTATTCTGCCAATGTTTTAAAAAGTCTGAAATTTTGTCAAAATAAAAAGTTAAAAGCAGTAGCAAGAAAGAGGTACAATGTGGATAACTTTAATCAGCCCAGAACCAACACAAAGCATAGCGAAGAGGTTTGGCTGCACTTTCCAGAAACTCCAGATGCCAAACATGTTTCACCCATTTTTTTATCCCTGTCTTCCAGGCTTCTGATATTCATGACAAGATGGGAGATGATACTAAATGGGCCCATTTCTTCAGTGATGGTTTCCCATAACTAAGCAGTGTCGTTAGAACCACCTATATTATTGCCGAGCCAGCTGGAGTCTTAAAAGTTTATTTCCTAGAACACATAGTCCACATAATCTCTTCCATTACTGCTGGAAGGCAGCAGGGTACCTCTCCTGTAGTGCCTCATGCCACCACAAATAGATCATGCAGAAATCAGGTGGCAATGGGGTCTCTCCTGCTATTTGCACCATATGATGGCTGTTTGTTGTGCTGGACTCTTCATTTGCCACTTGAGCCACGGTGTTCAGCTCCTATCCGCCCTGGAAAAAAACACTGGCAAAGTCAGCTGGGCCAGGATGCTTTGCATTTTGAGGAATCATGAAATGGCCAGTCCCAGCTAATGGATAAAAGGTAACTCACCATCCCCACAGTGACCCAAGGACTATACTGGACAATAGAGACAAAAATGCATCCCCTCCTCCCAACTGGTGAAGACAATCTAGAGACAGTGCAAGAGTGCTCCCTTCTGCCCAGAGCTCAAATTGCCCTAACTTCACACAGTTTCACCTCAAGAGAGTTTGAGATGAACCCTTCTGCTTCTGGAGCACACATCTTAAATGCTATCCCATAGTCGCCCCTTAAGCCTGCACTTAAGATTTCACCTTTATGATCTCATTTCATCTCTTCAACAACCTCAATAGCTAAGTAGAGCAGATATCATCACACCCTCTAACAGGTGATTTGAAACAGGTGCCTCAATAGTAAATTACTTACCCAACGTCAGGAAGACTCCCCACAGAAAGCCTCATCTCCGTATTTAAAATTCAGTGGCTGCAAAGAATGGCTTTAAATTCTCCTGCACCCCGAAAAGTATAGGCAAGATTCTGCAATTCTGGGTCATCCTCAGTGATGAAGGGGCTGGGGAGGAATGGAAAACTGGCAGAGGGACTATCTACAGTCATTATAAGTCAATACAGGCTTTATTAGCTTTCCTGTTGAGATCTGACCTACCTAGCGCTATCTTCTTGGTTTCTCATGAATCTACTGTTCTTCACTACCTGCCCTCAGTAGGAGCTGCCAGAATGGAAATGACTATCAAATCTGAAGAGAAAACAGACGAGACTTGTGCCACAGAGAGCATCGATCCAGGACTACGGGGTTCAAGGCTCTCAGCTCACTCAGACCATGGGGGTAGGGAAGAGGAGGGGAGGACAGGTGCTTCTTCAGGTACAAGTGAATTTCCTATCCCTGGAGTTTACAAGCAGAAGCAAGCATAGTAATCCCACCTCTCAGTCTGCACACCTGAGAAACACACACATTTGTTTGCACAAGGAGCCACATACAAGATTCTTTTTACAGTAGGAGAAAAAAAGAGATGACAACAATTTATCAGTAGAGGAATGGTGAAATAAACCATGATATATCTCCATTAATCAATACTAATAATCAGTTAAAAGAAAGAGGTATATTTGTACATAATTTCAAGAAAAAGTCCAAGTGATATAATAATGAGAGATGAAATTATTTGATTTATGTTAAAACATATACATACCAAGGTACCCAAACATGTATATAAAGATGTAGATAAAGCTTTAGAAAGCTGTGCACCAAAATGTTAACATGGGTTTCCTCTGAGAAAACTTCAGGGGTTTGGAGAAAACCTCCTAAAGGAGACTTTGGCCTTACCTGTGATATTTTACGATATCACCTTATAAGAAGGTATTTACATATTAGAAATGCAACTAAACATTAATTTTTTTCTTAAAATTCAGGCCCTTTCTACTGGACACTTCAAATTTCAGCTGGGGCATGGAGACAGTTTCTGTTTTTCCCGGACCAGCCACTGTTAAAAGGTACCAAAATAGAGCCCTTTGCAATTCAAACAGTTGATAGAATTTTAGGAAGATAGACCTAAATAGTCAGAGCATTGCACCAGAAAATGACAATGAAGTCCCTTCTAATCCAAAGATTTAATAGTCCTATATGTGTATCAATGCACCATGCATTGATTCAAGGGCTGATGGAAACTAATATAGAAGCACATTCATAAATGTGTGGTTCTTCCCAAAGACAGACTTCTCCATTAGTGGGAAAGAGAATTGTTTTTATGGCTAACCAGGCAAGCAAACTTGGTGAGTTTTAGCTGCTTTATCTATCTTCTGGGTACATGTAAGATACATTCAGTACAGCAATCCAGCTGTCTGAATTACCTGTGCCTAGCTGATGATGGCTAAAATCGATGTTCCTTTTCCAGAATGTCAAGAGATTATGGTTTTGTTGGGGGTGAATTGCTGAGAGAAACAGAAAAACCTGAAAGATCAAACTGGAATCCTCCAGGAGCTGGACTCCACGGTAGAAGGAGAGCGGGTGCCTTCACTTCCACCCCCTGAAGTCTAGAGACCATTTTGTATCAAATTGTACTTAGCAGTCATGGAAGGAAGCTTGCACAAACTTAATGTTCTTCAATGGCTGTGCTCACTTAAAGTTAATTTTATTGTGGCAGTTGTTGTCTTGAAAGTTTAGAATAAAGAGACTCCAGGAGGTCTTTTCATAACAGATAATGATGCTGGAATGCAGAAATGTTTTGCGGAATAGCTTGGAGGGATAAATTAATTAATTATTTGGGCTAAAAATGAGCTGGAAAGAAATGGAAAAAATACTACACTTGGAACTAGAAGACCAAGGTTCAACACTCGGCTGCCATACTCACTAGTTGTATGACCTTGAGCAATACAGCGAACCTCTCAGAGCCACATTGTCATCTGTAAAATGGGTATAATGCTAACATGCAACTGGTCACAAGGTTGTCATACAGTACTAATAAAATAGTTATCATTAGTTTCAGTTGACTGATGAGGAAACTGAGACTCAAAGGGTTAAATGAATTTCCCAAGGACACATAGCTAGTGAGTGGCAGAGCCCAGTTTAAAACCCAGGTACATGTGGCTGCAATGTCTCAATTCTTCCATGCCACCATTCTCTGCAAATATGTTGGGTTTAATATTGGTTATTTGAACTCCATTCATACCTAGGTCCCATCCTGCAGCACCTGGCAAAGAAATTAGTAAATATTAGGTATTCATTATGTATTTGTTGAATAAACCAACCCATAAATCAATCAGTGAGTAAGCTAACAATTTTTTGATTCATTTACAAATACTATTAAATAGTTATGTGCATAACACATGGGTGATGATTGTTTCATGTTCATAATGTCATAAATATATTTCTCCAAATTTGATATGTGTGTTTCAAATGTTAATGTTTGTATATATGTTTGCATCTGTAATGTATGAGTGTGTGTGTGTCCAAAAGTGAAGGAACATGAGAATAAGATAAAAACAAAAGCAACTGTATTCTGTGAACAGCCTCCTTGGTATTAGATAGATGCCAGCACCTGTCTTTGGAAACTCTGGAAGCTCTCTGGGCAGTATCTCCTTCCACACCTCAGCTGACAGCCTTTACTTTGAATTGCATAGAGAATTGTCTTTGAGGAGCAATTCTAGCTCCTTTCTCCATCAGCATTTGGTACATAGAAAAGGTCAGACTTGCAATTGGATCTATTTTCTGCATTCCCAAGGTTCTGGCTCAAAGTGAAACATCAGGGAGCTTTGTGATCAAATAACCAATGTGATGAGACAGCCTTTCATTACACAATAAAGGCCACCGGCGCCTGCTTCCACCTTGCCATGTGGGACAAAGGTGGTCTATGGAATGCTGAACTTCCAAGTCTGGCTCAAAAATGCAGTTCAGGCCTCCAAGACAACACCCAGCTGCCTTTTCCATTTGCAGTAATGTTTTCAAAACCTCGATTCTCCTTTTCCTCTTGGCTATAGATTTCAGACTGGTCTGGAATCTTTGTGACTTCATAGGCTCATAGATAACTAGGAGTCACAACTCTCATTCTTATTCCACCTCTTAACAACTAAGTTATTTGGGGAAGTTCCTTGAGCCCTCTGAGCCTCAAGTTTCTCCTCTGTGAAATGGGAGTAACGATACTTAGAGGTTCAAATGAGTGGCACATATTGAAGTGTGGAATGCTTATCAACTGCAAGGTTTCATTAAGCCAAAGTAGGAAAATGCTAGCATATGTGAAAGATAAAAATATAAATTTTGACTATGTAAAGGTTTCCCAGTTGAATTTGAATTTCAAATAAACAAATAATTTTATAGCAGAGATATGTCCCATGCAATACTTAGGATAGACATACACTAAAAATATATTTGTCATTTATCTGAAATTCGAATTTAACCGGGTGTCCTACTTTTATTTTTTTCAGAATATGGCAGTTCTACTCCCAGCCTTAGCCCCTCAGCCACAGTCACCTGGCTGAACTCAGAGCTTGGCAGGTATAGAATGTGGGCCAGGTTGGGGGGTGTTGGATTTCTGGAGCTACAAGAGATTTGCTCCAGGTACCTGAGGAAAAGGTGTCCAGAAAGGTGTGATGAGGAGAAGCACAGGAGGGAGGGAGAGAAAGAACAGTACTTTGTTACCAGAGCCAGAATCCCATTGAGAGGCTGCCACTGCCACCTCAAGACTCCATAAAGCTCCAGTAATAATTACCACCCTCACAGCATCCATCACAATGATCAAATGAGATAAGGCACATCCAGTGCTAAGACCTGGCACTTAGCAAACTCTCCAAAACAGCCTTTATTATTATTTTTTGAGGGACTGAGAAGTAGCATGTATTGGACATATTGATATCCCCAGCCCCAAAGTGAGTATTGTATAGATATCATCTCAGGCAAACATCATAACAATTTTCCAGGGTAGTTCCTGTTATTGATTGCAGTTTACTAAGGTACAGAGAAGTTGACACCTCCACAAGTCCTCTTGGCACTTGATAGTAAGTGGTGGAGACCACATTTGAATCCAGGCCTGCTTGTGGTTAAAGTCTACCTTTCTGCACTGCACTAAGCTGCTTGGAAGAATCCTTTCGGGGTCCTCATGTTTTGGTAACCCATTTGCTGCTGACACCACTAGAAGACTTGAAGCCATTTCCGAATGACTTCAAGCTGCTCCTTTCTGAAATAGCGTACTGTTACCCATTTTAGAGAAGGCACATGGGGACAGGAAGTGACTGTCCCAGGTTGCCTCTTAAGAGATTAAGTGCAAGAGGCTCCAAGCTGAAATGGAGGCATCAGGACAGGGTCCTGACCCCCTTCCAGGCCCCCTTACTGACCAGCCCCTGAGAGCAGGGCTACACTTCTGTCTGGTGACCTCTGCTAGTGTTAAGGGGCCCACTCTTTGCTCCATCTCTCTTGGCCCAGAGCCAGGGGTGGGCTGTGGAAAGACACAAGGGTGGATAAGTCTGAATGGACCCCCCCTCCAATGGTCACACCCCCCCCAGCCCCAATTCAGTTAAAGATTGCAGGAAGTGGTTTGTCCGTTTAGAAGTCTTCACAGCTCTGAGGCCCTTCTGAGAAATTAACTTGCAGTTCTCTAAAGATAGATTGCGCAAAATGGGAGGGGGCAGCCCCCAAGGACCCTCCAACAGCAATTCTCCTGAGGACTTCCAGAGACCTCTGCCAGTGCCCCCACCCCCACCCCGCCCCCTTGAGCAGCTGCCTGTCCTTGGATGGACCAAATCAACACCCGACTCTTGTGCAAGGCTCGGGTTTCATGTCCCCAGTGAACAAATTCTGTTCTGAAGAGGCAGTGGGGTGGGGAGGCTGAGGCGGGGAGGGGACATCAAAAACAGGGGGAGGGGAGGGGAGGATGGTGGGGGTGGGGTTTTCAGCTGCTCATGTCATTTATTTTCCACGGAATCTTAACTGTAATTTCAAACTGCATCTGGGTTTTCTGAAACTATGTGATTTGCCATGAGGTTCACAGAGAGTTTAGGCCTTGCTCCAAACTTCAGCGCTTTCACGCCTAGAAAAACAGGATCCAGGAAGGCAAAGTGATGTGAAGAAGGGGATACTGCTGTCCCCTGATGGAGGGACATGTAAAGAAATAAATAAGCAATTGGTTTAGCCAGGGTAGAGGGTAGGGACATGGGTGCCACTCAAACATTGAAATTTCCTAGCAATCAGACAGAGCAGAGCTGGCCTTGGGAGGAACAAGTCTGTAATTTTTTTTTTTTTTTTTTTTACTTTGGACAGAGTTTTTAAGCAACTGGTTTTGGAAAAAGAAGGTGGTTCTACCAAGAAAGGCTAAGATGGGCTTGAAGCTTACATATGCCGCCAACCCATATCCCCAACCAGCACCCTGATCAGAATTGCTCCTTCGCTTACACAATCCTTAAGATTTACTCCAGTTTGTTTGCAGATCTCCTGTCTGGAGTATTGGGGATATAGAGACTGAGACACAGTGAGCTTGGGATCTAGTGAGAGAGGCGGAAAAGACATAGACGAAGAGGACCCTGTGGTTCCATACAACAGCATGAGTATTGCAAAGCGTAGCTGTGCAGAGAAGGGAGCGACACCCTGAGGGCGATGGGAGCTGCAGGCAGAGACCATCAGAGGAGCCTCCTGGAGAGGATGGCAGTGAGCTGTGTTTGAAAGATGAATTCCAGGCAGACAGGTAGCCAAGCCCCATTCTGGCGTGAGCAAATAGCATGTGCATGGAGCCATAAAACAGCCTGGACAATGTGGGTCTGTAATTGTTCAGAGGAAAGGATGTGGGTCACAGTGGAATCGAAGCCCCAGCCCCCTAAAGCACTGGGCCATGAAGTCCCAGGGAACAAGGATCTGCTATAAGCTCTGAGTAGCTTATTACCCAATCTGGAACTCTAGGAAAGAGGGCACACCGGGGCTTAGACTCCCACAGTCAAGACCCTCCAGCCACACAGGACTTAAACATCATCACTTCCCCTCTCAGGGCCCAGCCCACTGGGTAGACTTGCCTGCTAGAGATCTCTACCATGCCCAGCCCAAAGCTCGACCCCAGAAAGCCAGTTGGAGCCTCAGGACAAACTGCGAATCCCAGCCGCCTTTCATGTCTGTCATACGTGTTTGCCTCCTAAGTCACCCACCCTCTCAGCCACGGGGCTTCTGTTCTTTCACTCCCTACCAGTTTGCACTATAAGATGATTTGTCTCCTCTGCGCACTCAATGTTCTCACTTTCGCACATTTCCACTGTGTCCCGAGAAACTTATTTCCCTTTAACCTCAACCTTTCCATCAAATTATAATTCTTTCTTTTCCACCTTCGTAACTTAGATTTGACCGGGCAGCACTAGAGGGAGCTCCTCCCCTCCTCCCCTGGGACCCTTGGAACTGGGCCCATTCTCCAGGCCCACACGCCTAAAGGTAGGAGGTGGAGGCAGGAAACCCATCAGAATCAGTGTTTCCACCACCCATTCCTGCATTCCTGCAACCTGGCAAAATCCCAAACCTGAATTAAACTCACTGTCGCCTTCTTTGATCTTCTATTGGGGTGACTGGGCACAGCTGGAGAAAATTGCAGAGCAGAGAAGCAACACGACATCTCCATCACTCCACAGCAAACGTCTGTTCAACACATTCAGTCTCTCGGTATCAAGGTTACTGGTCCATTCTTTTTCTTCTGCTAGTTTAGCAGCCTTGCCATTAACTTCCAAAAACTTTTCCTTTCAACTTCCCTAGCTTATCCCCATTATCCTAAAACATAACCTGGCTTTCTGATCCAAAATAAAGTTGAGACCATTGGGTATGCACAAGTTAAATTCCTGTCCAACTCTCTCAAAATTAACTATTCCTGTGTCTTCTTCCCTTCTAGTATCAGAAGATGTATTGATTTCCTATTGCTGTTATGACAAATTACCCCAAACGTAGTGACTTAAAATGACACAAATATTCTCTTACATTTCTGGATGTCAGAAGTCCAAAATGAGTCTCACAAGGCTAAAACTCAAAGTGGTCTGCCAACAACAATCAGGCAGACCTGGTTTCTTCAGGAGAAAATCAGTTTCCTGCCTCTTCTGGCTTCAAATGGCTGCCAGCATTCCCTGGCTTATGGCTGCATCACCCCAGACTCTGCTCCCGTGGTCACATTGCCTGCTTTTCTTCTATAGTCAAATCTTCCTTTGCCTCCCTCTTAGAAGGACACTTGTGATTATGTTAAAGGCCCACCCAAATAATCCAGAATAATCTCACTCTCTTAAGATCCTTAATTTAATCACATCTGCAAAGTCCCTGTTGCATATAAGGTAGCATTCACAGGTTCAGGGGATGGGGATATGTGCATCTTTGAGGGGCCATTATTCAGCCTCTCACAAATGATGCAGTGTGACTGCATCTTCATGGCCACGCCTCCATCTATTCCCCTCAAGATCTCTGCTCCTCCCCCTTTCTAGCCTCTAATGTCGTCTTCCAGTCCCTATGAGTTCACTCCCATGAGCCTATAAACATAATCAAGTGTCTTCCATATTAAAATATAAACACTCTCTGGATCTAACGTTTTCCTCCAACCTCTATTTCTACTCTACCTTTTCTTCTAGAACATTCTGGAAAGCATCCTCTTCACTTGCTGTCTCCACTTCTCACCTCCCCCTCCCTAGCCAGATCACTACAATCTCCCTTTTCTCCCACTGCTCCACCAGAACTGCTCTGACATGTCTCCAGTGACCATGATATTGACAAAACAACGAACATGTTTCAGTCCTATTCTAACTGAAGTCTCCACTTATTGGACTGTGGACTACTCACAGATTTTTATTTCTGAAACTTTCTTTTGCTTGCTTATGTTCCTCATCTTCTGCTAATTATTTCTTTTCATTATTATTCATGAGTTCCCTCTCCTCTTTCCACTTTTTGAATACTAGAATTGGGTTCTCCCCATAGACACCCTGCTTGGATTATCTAATCTACTCTCCTTGTTTTAACAACCACCTATGTGCTGGTGTCTTTTATTTATTTATTTATTTTTGAGACAGAGTCTCACTCTTGTTGCCCAGGCTGGAGTGCAACGGCGCTATCCCAGCTCACCACAATCTCCTCCTCCGGGTTCAAGTGATTCTCCTGCCTCAGCCTCCAGAGTAGCTGGGATTACAGGTGCATGCCACCATGCCCAGCTAATTTTGTATTTTTAGTAGAGACAGGGTTTCTCCATGTTGGTCAGGCTGGTCTTGAACTCACAATCTCAGGTGATCCACCTGCTTCAGCCCCCCAAAGAGCTGGGATTACAGGTGTGAGCCACCACATCTGGCCTGCAGGTGCCTTCTAAGACTGCATTTCCAGCTCCACTGTCTCCCCTAAGTCCTTTATTCAGTTGCCCACTTGACACCTCCAGCTTGATACTCCACAGCCTCCTCAGGGTGATGAAACTTGTACATTCTCCTATGTTTCAAATCTCCATCAAAGTCATCATTAGCTACCCAGTCATCACTTTTCTCCAAATCACCAAATCTTAATGATTTCACCTTTCTAAATGTTTGTTTTCCCTTTTATCTACTGACCCACTGACTTAGTTTAGGATATTGTGCAAAAGCCCCATAGCTGTTCTTACACCGCCCTGCTCACCCCTGCCCACAGTGGATCCATCCTACATGCAGTCTTCAGATCTGTTTTTCTATTTGATCTCTCTGCTTGAAACATTTCAATTGCCCCACATCACTTTCAGAATAAAACCAGAGTAAATACTCTTTATACTGGAATCCCAGCCCTCTCCAATCTTGCCCCCATCTCTCTCTCCTGCCTCTTATAGTTGTTCTTTAGTTAGTTAACACCAAGCTTCTTTTAATTCCCACAAATGTCATGACGTTTCTTACCTTTCACCATTGTTCATGCTATTTTTTTACACTTCTTTGATGGCAAACCCGATCTTTAAGCATGGGCTCAGATAGCACCTCTTATGAGAAACCATCTGTAAATCCCCAGGCCTTCCTCTGAACTCACTGACTGCCCTCTATGTTTCTCTACTAGCACCTAGCACATTATTGAACTGAGGAAATAGAAGCATTTAGATGAGAAAGTCTACATATTCTCTTCTTCCAGTTTCTGTCCCTTTTTTCTCTTTCCCTTACAGCAAACCACAGAAGAGGAGTCTATTTGACCGCATTGCTTAAAACTCTTCAATCAAGTGGTGCTCTCCATCACTTCCAGAATAAAGCCAGGAAATACTTCCCAGACTGTAATAGAAAGCTCTCGGGTCAGAGCTACCTCCTGGAATCTCTCCTACCTCACTGGCCATTTTTATTCTGCCCCTTTGCTGATCTATCTCATCACCACAAACTTCATTTCTCTATAACAGTTTTATTTCTCTATAACAGTTTTATTGAGACATAATTCTCTATAACACTTTTATTGAGACATAATTCACACACTGTACAATTCACCTATTTGACATATACAATTCAGTGATGTTTAGTATACTCACAGGTATGTGCAACCATGAGCACAGCCAATTTTAGAATACTTTCACCAACTCAAAAGGACATCCCATGCCTTTTAGTTATTACCCTCTTATCTCCCTACTCCCTCTAGCCCTAAGCAACCACTGGTCAGCTTTCTGTCTCTATAGATTTGCCTATTCTGTCCATTTCATACAAATTGAATCATTTAAGATGTAGTCTTTTTGACTACATTTAATTTAGCATAGTCATTTCATTTAGCATAATGTTTTCAAGGTTCATCATGTTGTGGCATGTATCAATACAGGATTCCTTTTCATGACTAAATAATATCCCATTTTATGAGCATACCATATTTTGTTTATCCATTTTTCAGTTGATTAGGACTTCCTTGTTTGGGCTATTATAAATAATACTGCTATCAACATTTGTGTACAAGTCTTCATGCAGGCATATATTTTCATTTATCTTGGGTATATAGCTAGGAGTGGAATTGCTGGGTCACATAGTAACTCTGTGTTTAACCATTTGAGGAACTGCCAGACAATTTGTCAAAGTGACTGCACCACTTGACATTCCTGACAGCAGTATACAAAGCTTCTGGTTCCTCCATATTCTCACCAACACTTGAAATTGTTTGACTGTTTAAATTTTAGTCTTCCTAGTGGATATGAATGCATATCTCATTGTGGTTTTAATTTACATTTCCCTGATGACTAATGTCAAACACCTTTTCATGTGCTTACGAACCATTTGTATACCTTATTTGGAGAAATGTCTTTTCAGATCGTTTGCCCATTTTTAATTAGATTATTTGTCTTTTTATTATTGAGTTTAAGAGTTCTTTATATAGTCTAGATACAAGTTTTTTGTCAAATTTATGACTTGCAAATATTTTCTTCCATTCTTGTCTTTGTACTTTCTTGATTGTGTCCTTTAGAGCATAGAAGTTTTTTATTTTGTTGAAGATTCATTTATCTTATTTTTCTTTTGTTGCTCATGCTTTTGGTGTCGTATCTAAGAATTCATTGCCAAATTAGAGGTCATGATGATATATTTGTACATATCTTCTAAGAGTTGTATAGTTTTAGCTCTTATGCTTAGATCCTCGATCCACTTTGAGTTAACTTTTTATATGGTGTGAGATAAGGACCCAATTTTACCCTTTCGAGTGGGGATATCCAGTATTCCTATGAAAGACTACTCTTTCTCCTATTGAATGATCTGGGCATCTTTGTTGAAAACCAGTTGATTACAGATACATGGATTTATTTCTGGACTCTCAATTTTATTCCATTGATCTACATGTTTGTACTTATTCTGGTACCACACTCTCTTGACTACTGATGCTTTGTTGTAAGTTTTGAAACCAGTAAGTGTGAATCTTTCAACTTTGTTTTTATTTTTCAAGATTGTTTTCATAATTCAAGATCCCTTGAAATTCCATATGAATTTCTGGATAAGCTTGTCAATTTCTACAAAGAAGCCAGCTGGGATTCTGATAAGGATTCCATTGAATCTCTAAATCAATTTGGGGAGTATTGCCATCTTAACAATACTCTTACACGCCACAAATATAAAATACTTTTTATTTATTTTAATCTTTAAACTCTAAAACATTTAAAATTTTTGAGTTTTCAGAGCATAAGTTTTATGCTTCTTTTGTTAAATATATTACTAAACGTTTTATTTTATTTTATTATCAACTTTTAATTTCCCGGGTAAATGTGCAGGATGTGTAGATTTGTTACATAGGTAAATGTGTGCCATGGTGGTTTGCTGCACAGATCAGCCCATCACCCAGGTATTAAACCCAGCACCCATTAGCTGTTCTTCCTGATACTCTTCTTCCCCAACCCCGGTAGGCCCCAGTGTGTGTTGTTCCCCTGCATGCATCCATGTGTTCTCGTTGTTGAGCTCCCACTTATAAGTGAGAATATGTGGTGTCTGGTTTTCTGTTCCTGCACTAGTGTGCTGAGTATAACAGCTTCCAGCTTCATCCATGCAAAGGACACGATCTCATTCCTTTTCATGGCTGCATAGTATTCCATGGTGTATATGTACCACATTTTCTTTATCCAGTCTACTGTTGATGGGCACTCGAGTTGATTACATTTCTTTGCTATTGGGAATAGTACTGCAATGAACATACACATGCATGTATATTTATAATAAAGTGATTTATATTGCTTTGGGTATATACCCAGTAATGGGATTGCTGGGTCAAATGTTATTTCTGCTTCTAGATCTTTGAGGAATTGCCACACTGTCTTCCACAATTGTTGAACTAATTTACATTCCCACCAACAGTGTAGAAGTATTCCTTTTTCTCCACAACTTGCCAGCATCTATCATTTCTTGACTTTTTATAATAGCCATTCTGACTGGTGTGAGATAGTATCTCATTGTGGTTTTGATTTGCATTTTTCTAATAATCAGTGATGTTGAGCTTTTTTTCATATGTTTCTTGGCTACATGAATGTCTTCTTTTAGAAGTATCTGTTGATGCCCTTTGCCCACTCTCTTTTTTTTTTTTATTTCCATGGGTTTTGGGGGAACAGGTTGTATTTTGTTACATGAGTAAGTTCTTTTTTTTAATTATACTTTAAGTTCTAGGGTACATGTGCACAACTTGCAGGTTTGTTACATAGGTATACCTGTGCCATGTTGGTTTGCTGCACCCATCAACTCGTCATTTACATTAGGTATTTCTCCTAATGCTATCCCTCCGCCCAGCCCCCCACCCCCAACAGGCCCCAGTGTGTGATGTGCCCTGCCCTGTGTCCATGTGTTCTCATTGTTCAACTCCCACCTATGAGTGAGAATGTGTGGTGTTTGGTTTTCTGTCCTTGTAATAGTTTTCTTAGAATGATGGTTTCCAGCTTCATCCATGTCCCTGCAAAGGACATGAACTCATCCTTTTTTATGCCTTTCCCACTTTTTAATGGGGTTGCTTGTTTTTTTCTTATACATTTGTTTAAGTTCCTTGTAGCGTCTGGATATTACACCTTTGTCAGATGAATAGATTGCAAAAATTTTCTCCCATTCTGTAGGTTGTCTCTTCACTTTGATGATCGTTTCTTTTGCTGTGCAGAAACTCTTTAGTTTAATTAGATCTCATTTGTCAATTTTGCCTTTGTTGCAGTTGCTTTTGGCATTTTCATCATGAAATCTTTTCCTGTGCCCATGTCCTGAATGGTATCGCCTATATTTTTTTGTAGGGTTTTTGTAGTTTTGGGTTTTACATTTAAGTCTTTATTCCATCTTGAGTTAATTTTTGATAAGGTACAAGGAAGGGGTCCAGTTTCAATTTTCTGCGTATGGCTAGCCAGTTCTCCCAGCACCATTTATTAGATAGGGAATCCTTTCCCAATTACTTGTTTTTGTCAGGTTTGTCAAAGATCAGATGGATGTAGGTGTGCAGTCTTATTTCTGAGTTTTCTATTCTGTTCCATTAGTCTATGTGTCTGTTTTTGCACAGTATCATGCTGTTTTGACTGTAGCCTTGTAGTATAGTTTGAAGTTGGGTAGTGTGATGCCTCCAGCTCAGTTCTTTTTGATTAGGATTGTCTTGGCTATATGGGCTCTGTTTATGGATTTTAAAATAGTTTTATTCTAGTTCTGTGAAGAATATCAATGGTAGTTTAATGGAAATAGCATTGACTCTATAAATTACTTTAGGCAGTATGGCCATTTTCATAATATTATTTTTGATACTTTTTTTTTTGAGATAGTGTCTTACTTTGCCACCCAGCCTGGAGTGCAGTGGTGCGATGTCAGCTCACTGCACATCCTGAGCTGAAACAATCCTCCTGCGTCAGCCTCCCAAGTAGCTGGAACTGTAGGCCTGCACCACCATGCCTGGCTAATCTTTCGTATTTTTTGTAGAGTCAGGGTTTTTCCATGTGCCCAGGCTGGTCTCAAACTCCTGAACTCAAGTGATCTACCTACCTTGGCCTCCCAATGTACTAGGATTACAGGCATGAGCCACTGAGTCTGGCCTTGTATTTTTAGTAGAAATTGGGTCTCTCCATGTTGCCCAGGCTGGTCTCAAACTCCTGGCCTCAAGCAATCCACCCACCTCAGCCTCCCAAATTGCTGGGATTACAGGTGTGAGCCACTACACTGGCCTATTTTTTTTGATACTATTATAAGTGAAATTGTTTTCTTCATTTCAATTTCAAATTCTTTATTGCAAGTGTTTTGAAATATAATTTGTTTGTGTATATTTATCTTGTATCTCGCAACCTTAATAAACTCATTTATTGGTCCTTATAGTACTGTCCTTAAGATTATATATATACAAGGTCATGCCATTTGAAAATAGAGACAATTCTACTTTCTCCTTTTCTATCTGGATGTCTTTTATTTTTTTTTCTTGAACAGTAGTTATGGTTAGAACCTCTACTACAATGTTGAATAGATTTTTCAAAAGCAGATATTGTTTCCTTGTTCCCAACCTTAGAGAGAAAGATTTCATTCTTTCACTATTAAGTATAACATTAGCTATGGGTTTTTTATAAATGGCCTTTATCAAGTTGAGAAACTGCACTTCTAGTCCTAGTTTGTCAAACATTTTTATCATGAAAGGGTGTTTGAATTTGTCACATGTTTTTCTGTATCTGCTGTGATATCATATTCTTTTTGTTTTGTATTTTATTGATATGGTATATTACATTAACTAATTTTCATACGTTAAACCAACTTTGCATTCCCAGGATAAATCCCACTTTGTCATGGTGCATAATTCTCTTGAAATGTTTTGTGAAATTGTTTGTGAATAGGTTGTTGAGAATTTTTGCATCCATATTCAAAAGAGATATTGGTCTATATTTTTCTTTTTTGTGATATCTTTGCCTGGTTTTAGTATCAGGGTAATACTGGCCTCATAGAATCAATTTGGGAATGTTTCCTACTCTTCTAATTTTTAGGAGAGTTTGTAAAGAATTGGCATTAATTATTCTTTAAATACTTAGTAGAATTTACCAGTGAAGCCAACCAAACCTGGGCTTTTCCTTGGGTGTGGTTTCTTAAATGGTTTATTGATATAAAATTTACATAATGTAAAATTATCTTAATTTTGTTAAGATGAATAAAATCAATGACATTTAGAATATTAACAATGTTGTGCAACCACCATCTCTATCTAATTTCAAAATATTTCCATCATTCCAAAATAGAACTACTTAAACATAAAGCAGTTTCTCCCCAGCCCAGGGAAACCATCAATCTTCATTCCATCTCTAACGACTTATCTATTATAGATATTTCATATAAGTGGAACTAAACAATATGTAGATTTTTGCATCCAGCTTCTTCACTTAGCATAAAGCTTTCAAGATTCATCCATGTTGTAGTAAAAATCAGAACTCCATTTCTTCTTATAGCTAAATAATATTCCATTGTACATATATACCACAATTTGTTTATCCATTCTTCTGTTGAGGATTATTTGGGCTATTTTCACCTTTGGCTATTGTGAATAGTGCTCCTATAAACATGCATGTACACGTATTTGTTTGAGCATGTGTTTTCAATTCTGTTGAGTATACACATAGGAGTAGAATTCCAGGGTCATGTAGTAATTCCATGTTTAACTTTTTGAGGAACCACCAAATTGTTTGCACGGTGGCTAAAACATTTTATTTTTCCACTAGCAGTATATGAGGGATCCAATTTCTTCACTGTCTCACCAAAACTTATTATTTGCAGGGGGTGGGGTGTTTGTTTTTATCACAGTTATCCTAGTGGGGTTGAAGTACTACCTGATTGTTTTTATTTGCATTTTTATAATGAATAATGTATTAGTCCATTTTCATGCTGTTATAAAGAACTGTCCAAGACTGGGTAATTTATAAAGGAAAGAGGTTTAATTGACTCACAGTTCCACATGGCTGGGGAGGCCTCAGGAAACTTACAATCATGGCAGAAGGGAAAGCAAACATGTACTTCCTCACAAGATGCAGGAAACAGCAGTGCCAAGCAAGAGGGAAAAACCTGTTATAAAATCACCAGGTCTCATGCTAACTCACTCACTAGCCACAGCTGGAGGTGAAGCAGCTGGGATGCAGGACACCATGCTCCAAGGCTGCACGAGCAGGGTTGCCCTGGGCATGGCCCAGTAAACTATTTTTCCCTCCTTTTCCCTCTGATTTGGGTGGGGACACTGCCAAACCATATCATTCCACCCCAGCCCCTCCAAAATCTCATGTTCTCACATTTCAAAACACAATCATGACTTTCCAATAGTCCCTAAAGTCATAACTCATTCCAACATCAACTCAAAAGTCCAAGTCCAGGATCTCATCTGAAACAAGGCAAGTTCCTTCTGCCTATGAGCCTGTAAAATCAAAAGCAAGTTAGTTACTTCCTAGGTACAATGGGGGCACAGACATCAGGTAAATACACCCATTCTAAATGGGAGAAATTGGCCAAAACAAAGAAGCTAAAGGCCCCATGCAAGTCCAAAACCCAGGAGGGCAATCATTTAACCTTAAAGTTCCAAAATGATCTCCTTTGACTCCATGTTTCACATCCAGGTTGCATTTATGCAAAAGGTGGGCTCCCATGGCCTTGGACAGCTCTGCTCCTGTGGGTTTGCAGGGTACAGCCCCACTCCCAGCTGCTTTCATGGCTGACATTGAGTGTCTGTGGCTTTTCCAGGCACACAGTCCAAGCTGTCAATGGATCTACCATTCTGGGGTCTAGAGGATGGTGGCCCTCTTCTCACAGCTCCACTAGGCAGTGCCCCACTGGGGACTCTGTGTGGGAGCTCCAACCTCACATTTCCCTTCCACACTGCCCTAGCAGAGGTTCTCTGTGAGGGCTCCACCACTGCAGCAGACTTCTGCCTGGACATCCAGGCATTTCCATACATCTTCTGAAATCTAGGAGGAAGTTCCCAAACCTCAATTCTTTACTTCTGTGCACCCACAGGCTCAACACCACATGGAAGCCACCAAGGCTTGGGGCTTGCACTCTCTGAAGTAATGGCCCAAACTGTATGTACCTCGGCTCCTTTTAGCCACAGCTGGAGGTGAAACAGCTGGGATGCAGGACACCATGCCCCAAGGCTGCACAGAGCAGGGTGGCCCTGGGCATGGCCCAGTAAACCACTTTTCCCTCTGTGGCCTGTAATGGGAGGGGCTGCTGTGAAGGTCTCTGACATGCCCTGGAGACATTTTCCCCATTGTCTTGGTGATGAACATTTGGCTCCCCATTACCTATGCAAATTTCCTCAGCTGGCTTGAATTTCTCCCCAGAAAATCTGGTTTTCTTTTCTATCACATTATCAGGTGGCAAATTTTCCAAACTTTTAAGCTCTGCTTCCTCTTGAATGCTTTCCCACTTAGAAATTTCTTCCTCCAGATATCCTAAATCATCTATCTCAAGTTCAAAGTTCCACAGATCTCTAGGGCAAGGTCAAAATGCCACCAGTCTCTTTTCTAAAGCATCACAAGTGTCACCTTTATTCCAGTCCCCAACAAGTTTCTCATCTCCATCTGAGCCTGGGCTAAGATGAGGTGAGATGAGATGAGGAACTTGTTGGGAACTGAGACCATCTCAGCCTGGACTTCATTGTCCATATCACTATCAGCATTTTGGTCAAAGCCATTCAACAAGTCTCTAGGAAGTTCCAAACTTTTCCACATTTTCCTGTCTTCTTCTGAGCCCTCCAAACTGTTCCAACCTCTGCCTGTTACCCAGTTCCAAAGTCGCTTCCACATTTTCAGGTATCTTTACAGGAGTGCCCCTCTACTCCTGGTACCAACTTACTGTATTAGCCCATTCTCACACTGCTATAAATAACTGTCCAAGACTGGGTAATTTAAAAAGGAAAGAAGTTTACTTGACTCACAGTTCTGCATGGTTGGGGAGGCCTCAGGAAACTTACAATCATAGCAGAGGGGGAAGCAAACACATCCCTCTACACAAGGCAGCAGGAGACACAAGAGCCAAGCAAGGGGGAAAAGCCCCTTATAAAACCACCAAATCTCATGATAACTCACTCACTATCATGAGAACATCAGCATGGAGGTAACTGCCCCATGATTCAATTACCTCCATCAGGTCCCTCCCACGATATGTGGGGATTATGGAAACTACAATTCAAGATGAGATTTGGGTGGGGACACAGCTAAACCATATCAAATAACAATATTAAACATCTTATCATGTGCTTATTGGCTATTTGTAGATCTTTTTTTAAAGAAATGTCTATTCAAGTCCTTTGCTTATTTTTTAATTGAGTTGTTTGGGGTTTTCTTTGTTTTATCTATATCTTCTTGGGTCAGTTTCAGTAGGTTGTGACTTTCTAGGAATTTGTCAATTTCATGCAAATTGTATAATTTATTGGAATACAATACTTTTTTATTTCTAGAAGGTCAAAAGTAATATCTTCTCTTTTATTTCTTTTTTTTATATACTTTAAGTTTTAGGTTACATGTGCACAACGTGCAGGTTTGTTACCTATGTATACATGTGCCATATTGGTGTGCTGCACCCATTAACTCATCATTTAGCATTAGGTATATCTTCTAATGCTATCCCTCCCCTCTCCCCCAACCCCACAACAGTCTGCAGTGTGTGATGTTCCCCTCCCTGTGTTCATGTGTTCTCATTGTTCAATTCCCACCTATAAGTGAGAACATGCGGTGTTTGGTTTTTTGTCCTTGCGATAGTTTGCTGAGAATGATGGTTTCCAGCTTCATCCATGTCCCTACAAAGGACATGAACTCATCATTTTTTATGGCTGCATAGTATTCCATGGTGTATATGTGCCACATTTTCTTAATCCAGCCTATCATTGTTGGACATTTGGCTTGGTTCCAAGTCTTTGCTATTGTGAGTAGTGCCGCAATAAACATAGATGTGCATGTGTCTTTATAGCAGCATGATTTATAGTCCTTTGGGTATATACCCAGCAATGGAATGGCTGGGTCAAATGGTATTTCTAGTTCTAGATCCCTGAGGAATCGCCACACCAACTTCCACAATGGTTGAACTAGTTTACAGTCCCACCAACAGTGTAAAAGTGTTCCTATTTCTCCACATCCTCTCCAGCACCTGTTGTTTCCTGACTTTTTAATGATTGCCATTCTAACTGGTGTGAGATGGTATCTCATTGTGGTTTTGATTTGCATTTCTCTGATGGCCAGTGATGGTGAGCATTTTTTCATGTGTTTTTTGGCTGCATAAATGTCTTCTTTTGAGAAGTGTCTGTTCATATCCTTTGCCCACTTTTTGATGGGGTTGTTTGTTTTTTTCTTGTAAATTTGTTTGAGTACATTGTAGATTCTGGATATTAGCCCTTTGTCAGATGAGTAGGTTGCAAAAATTTTCTCCCATTCTGTAGGTTGCCTGTTCACTCTGACGGTGGTTTCTCTTTTATTTCTAATTCTAGTAATTTGAATTTTCACTAATTTTTTGGTCAATTTAGCTAAATATTTATTAATTCTGTTAATGTGTTTAAAGAACTAGCTACTCTGTTGTTTGGTTTCTATAAATTTGTGAGTTTCTCAAATATAAGAAAATCTTTTATTGATTTCTAATTTCATTTCATTACAGTTAAGGAAGACAGGTTTTATTATTTCTATACTTTCAAATTTATTGAGGTTTGTTTTATAGCCTGCCATAGGATGCATCCTTCACTTGAAAAGAAGATATATTCTGCTGTTGTTAGGTGGAGTGCTCTACAGGATTCTGTGCAGTCTAGCGGGTTTATCATGTTGTTAAATTCTTCACTTTCTTTGTTGATCTTCTGCTACTTGTTCCATCCATTACCAAAAGTGTGATATGGAAGTCCCCAACTATTGTTTTTAATTATCTATTTCTTCTTTCATTTCTGTCAGATTATACTTCATGTATTTTGCTGCTTTCTTGTTAGATACATATATGTTTATAATGGTTACATCTTTCTGATGAATTGAACTTTTGATTATCATAAAATATCCCTCTATATCTCCAGTAAAGTTTTTTGTTTTAAGGTCTATTTTGTCTGATGAACACACCAGCTCTCTTGTCATCACTGTGTACATGACATATCTTTTTTCATCCATTTACTTTCCATTTATTTTATTTATTCTTTTGATTTTTCAGAAAGAGTCTATTCTGTTGCCCAGGCAGAAGTGCGATGGTGTGATCTTGGCCCACTGCAGTCTCAACCACCTGGGCTCAAGCAATCCTCCCACCTCAGCCCCTGAGTAGCTGGGACTACAAGCAAGTGTGCCACCATGCCTGGCTAATTTTTTTTTTTTTTTTTTTTTTTTTTTTTTTGGTAGAGACAGGGTCACCCTATGTTGCCCAGCTGGTCTCAAACTCCTAGGTTCAAGCAATCCTCCTGTCCAGGCTCCCAAAGTGCTGGAATTATAGGCACAAGCCACTGCATCCAGCCTTCAATTTATTCTTGTCTTTAAATCTAAAGTGTATCTCCTATAGACAGCATATACTGGGAACTTTTTTTATCCAGTCTCACAGTGTTTGCTTTTAATTGGATCATTTATTTTATTCACATTTTATGATACTGATGTAGTTGGATTTATGTCTGCCATTTTACTTCCTTTTTTCTATATGTCTCATGTCTTTTTTGTTCCTCTATTCCTCCTTTACTACTTTCTTTTGCATTAACTTAATATTTTCTAATGTAGCATTTTCATTTCTTTAATGATATTTTCTACTATTTTTAGTGGTTGCTCTAGGGCTTACCATAGATATACCTTAACTTACCAAAGATATACCTTAACTTACCAAAAACAGCTTCAGATTTATACTAATTTAATTCCAATGAGATATAGAACTATTGCTCCTATATACGTTTATTACCTTCTTCTCCTTTGTGTAGTTTTATTGCTATGCATATTACATATGTAAACATTACCAATTCAGCAATACTTCGTAATAATTATATTATTACTTCATATAATTTCATGTCTTTTAAAGACATTTCTTTTTAAATTTATTGGCAAGAATATTAAATTTCTATGTATTATAGAGACAAAAAACATATTCATACTGTTTTATATGGTTTTATAAAAAATTAGTTACAAGAAAAAAGGCATAAATTGATTCATAAGCCAATCAAATCAAATTCAGGCTCCTTTGAAGGTATAGTTCTGAATGTCAGTGTTTAAGGTTTGTTCTGACCACAGGAGGGTTCTTCCCAGCTATTTCTTCCCTGTTTCCCTCTCTGGTAAACTAGCGAGCCTATAACACCCACGAATCTATTAATCTCCCAATTACCTTTCACCACAACTTTCACTATTTTTGAAAGTGTCCTTGGGCTTGAACTTCTCTGCAATCTGTTGCAAATGAAGCAAGTTCCTTTGGTCAGAGATTTGGAACTCTCTGCTTCTATAGACTGTTTTCCCCCTGGTATAAATTTCTGAGCCAAGCCCTGGTACTAGGGGTGGGGATGATGGCGTGCTTCTCTCTGAGTGACAACTCCACTTTAGGAGCTGAGTGCTGAGTGAGTTGGGGAGGGGCCATCAGCCCCAGGTCCCTTTGGCTTGCCCTTCTCCACATGGAATCCTTGTCCCCAAGCTTGAGCAAGGGGCCCAAGTTTTCTCAACAGCACTACTCCCAAGGTAAAACCTCCATTCCATAGTTGAGGCTGGATGGAACAAGGGAACCCCCCGGCTCCCAGCTGTACTTGCCCAGAACCTGGCCTCAGCAACAGGTAGCTGGGAGCAGAAGGAGAAATGCTTATGTCCTATCCCCCCAAGGGAATATAGTCCTCCAACTTGGAATTAGCAGGAGTGAGGGCCCTGGGTTTTAGGCTATACCAGTCTGGAATATATGGTACATCTTGCTGAGCTGGAATGGGGGAGAGAGAATGCAGGTCTTGGCTCAACTAGCAAAGACTCTCATCGTTCTTATTGAGTTTATTATATTTTCTTAAATAAATGTTTTTTTTTCATTTACTATATGCTCTTAGAACCATTTCCAGAGACTTTAAATGCTTGGGAGAATCTTATATAATTTTCAACAAGTTTTGCTGGGGATGAGGTCTATGGAGCTGCTCACATCATTACGGAGAAACCTCAGCACAAACTTCAAATGATAAAATGCCCTGGAGCTCATTCTCTAGATCTCTTATTTTCTGTATCTAGACACACTCCCTTGATTATCTCATCCAGTTGTGTGGCTTGATATATCATCTATACATAGATCTAAATTGCAAGCCTGGTTGTCACCTCTGATTTATAGATTCTCATACCAACTGCCTCCTCGACTAGGATGTTAATAAGCATTTCAAACTTAAATCCAAATTTGAGCTTCTCCTATCTCTCCTAAATCTGTTGCTCCCACAGTCTTCTTTATTCCATTAAATTATTTCTATTTCTCAGGCCATGAAGTCAACTTTAGCTCTTCTCCGTCTCTGAGATTTCACATTTATTCTATTAGGAAATCATGTAGCTCCACCTTCAAAATAAATCCAGAATCTGCCCACTTTTGACCACCTCCATTATTATCACCTTATTTGCAACCATTATTAGCTCCAATCAGATTATTTAAATAACCTTCTAGTTAATAGTATAAGCTGTTTCTACTCTTGTTCTCCTCCAATTCATTCACCACAATGCAACCAGAGCAATTCTATTATAAAAACAAGTCCATTTATTTCACTTCTTTTCTCAGAACCCTCCAACAGTTTTCCATGTCACTTAAGACTTTTTAAAAAGTCATTTTAATAGTCTACAAGTCTTTCCACAGTCTAGCATCAACCCCAAATACTTGTCTGATCTTAACTACTCCTACTTCCACGCTCTGCCCCAGCTCTGCTGACCTCCTTACTATTTCTGCAATACGGCATTCATACTTGCCACTCAAGAATCTGATCTTGCTGTTTCTTCTGCCTATAATGCTCTTCACCTCTTCCTCCTCACCTCCCTCATGTCTTTAGACAACTATTACCCCTCCCTTATGCCTGGATCTCCTATCCAAAATTGTAACACTAAAGGGAAATCTTGGGGTGTTAACATGAAAAGGAAACTGTGCCTGAATATTGGAGCATGTGAGGCTTGGAAGTGCAAGGGAGCACCAAAATTTAATCTTAACCCTAATGGCCAGGCATTTAGATTTTATGCAAATGTAGGGATAGAAGATACGGCCTTGGACACATGTATGGTAAGGACCTACCAGAAATTGAGACCTATGCATGAAGTCAGAACATTAAACACACACACACACACACACACACACACACACACACACACACACACACACTAGAAAAGCACCAGTCCACAGAAGCAGAAAGATGCTACTAGAAAGGCAGTTTGTCAACGAACCAGAGGAGGCAAGGAGTCGATATGATTATTGAGGAAATTTAAGCATCTAGGAGTCAGTTGGACTAGAAGATATTACATCCATAAAATACCATGATTTGGTTTATCGTTAGACCTGGCTCTGCTCCTTACCACTTATGTGATCTTGTATATATCTTTTACATTTTCTGAACCTCAGTTTACTTATTTACAATATGAAAGAAAAAATCCTGTTATGTGGATCTCACACTTTATTTTCGAGGCAGAACATGAAATCGCTATGTAAAGTGAAAATACTATAAAAAGAGTAATTGAGATGTTCCTTAGAATCTCTGAGATGTAAGTTATCCTAACTCACCTCCTCCACCCCTCCCATATTTACATATATTTGAATCCAATCTCTTCCTTATGGTTTCCCCAAATCTCCGTTCTCATTTCCATGCCCACCATATTAATTATGCTCTCTGCCAATTTCCAAGATCAAAAGAATCCACTTAAGCCAAACATCTGGTGATTTTAGAAACTACACTGAAGATTTGAGGGTTCATAGCAGAGGAATATTATTTCTTACCTCACAGAACTCTGTCATCTTTTCAGACCTGTACTTCCTGCTGTCCTCTTCCACAGCCTGTGTTCCCAATATATGACTCTCTTTGCCATGCACAGACTCATGGGAAATGCACCTATTTACCCAGGTCCCACCGCTTGTCTCCTGGATTACTACAGTGCAACATTTTTTCCATCCCATCACATACATAATACCACAGTTTCACAACTGACAAAGTTTCAGAAGTTGACAAAGGTCAAGGGAGACCGTGCATTTTTCCTAAGAGTATAGATGCAAAAGCACAAACCACCAGAGTTGAGAGCATGTTGGTAAAAGAAAAAAAAACTACACACACACACACACACACACACACACAATCACATACACCATTTATTCTTTTGTAGTAATGTAACTTCAAAAATGATATGCCATACCCAAAAGTGCCAGACATTGTATGAGGTCAACTGAAGCACAGGTGCTTCACATCCCATCACATCATTCATTCCTAGGTAACATTTCACCACAGATCACTGCATTCATGTAAGTCATTCGTTCTAGATTAAGAATCTATGTGGTATAACCGTGTGTTATAATAAACCTTCAACAAACTTTTCAACAAATGCTTTACAATGCAACCTCATTAAAGAGTACTAAAAGATTTGCAAAACAGACAATTCGTATTTTCACAATATTTGGCATGTAGCAGGACTTAATTTGCTGCTACAAAAACAGAAATATTCTTTTTTTTTTCTTTGGAGATAGGGTCTCACTCCATCACCCAGGCTGCAGTGCAGTGACATGGTCAGGGCTCACTGCAGCCTCGACCTCTCGGGCTCAGGTGATTCTCCCACCTCAGCCTCCAAAGTAGCTGGAAATATAGGTATGCGCCAACACACCTGGCTAATTTTTGTGTTTTTTGTAGAGATGGGGTTTCACCATGTTGCCCAGGCTGGTCTTGAACTCCTAGGCTCAAGCTTGACCTTCCAAAATGCTGGGATTGCAGGTGTGAGCCAATGCACCTTGCCCAGAAACATTTTTACAATGTTGCTGATGTTACTATTTGGCCACATGATTCCTAATTACGACTGCTAACCTGGATCATCAATGACTTGTACCCAACTAAGAGCCTTTTCATTACCTCATTTAATCCTCATAGCTCCCATGTCTCAAAGGTACTATTGTTTTCATTTTACAGATAAGCAAACTGAAGTTTAGCCAAGGGATATCTCTTGCCCAAGATCTCCCAGCTAGTGAGTGGCAGGCCCAAGAGTTGAATTCAGAGTGTTCCTGACTCGGACATCTATATTCTAAACAGACACCCAATGGCACTCTTCTGATTTTCAATATATTACGCTTTCAGCAAGCATGATGTATAACTAATCCTTCTGGGGGCAGAAAAGAAAGGCTGTGAAGTAGAGGCTCAAACTTTTGAAAGTGATTTTGCTTTCCCTGTCTGAGATAACCCATCTGTAGAACAGGAAGATACACTTACTTTTAGCCAGGAAAAAAGTATATTTTATTTCCAACTCCCTTCTTCCTTCTAAGAAGGGTGTTACATTGTCAAAGGTGGTGAGGATGCAAATTGTAGCTAAGATGGAAGAAAAAGAACTAACATTAATGAACTTGGAGAGATATGGTGTCTGGGGAAGATAATTGAGACCGAAGGGGAAGAGAGACATAGGCAGTATGTAGCCAGGGGAAGAGATGTTATGGAAAAGAGCATGGTCAACTAAAAGTGTTTATGAAGTATTTTGGGTGATGTGTGATATAACCTAACTTTCCCTTCCATCTCCAATATAAAATATTCAACTAAAAAATTTAAAACTCACTAAGAATGGAGCTGATGTGGGAAGGGAGAGAGGTGGAGTGAAGAGAGTTGCTAAGCCCTGCTTAGGTGATGCAGACACAGGATTAGAAGTAGGGATGAGAATAGAAACAGCACCTATGGAGAAATTGTCACATCCAGGTAACATGAAAATGAAGGAAGGAGCTATAGAACTGTCACCCTGTCTTCCAGCACTATGGCTAGATCAGCCCTCAACAGGTGGTAAGCTGTGTTGCCTCAGTCTGGGGAGTCTCAGGCTAAGTTCAGGCCGGACCCTAGAAGAGTTTCAAGGAAGGAATTAGGATTAAGAAAAGAGCAGACCATGATCTCCACAGAAAAAGGATGTGTTTTGTGCATTTCTATAACTTCCATACTTAAAGTGTCTGATTAATTGCCTGGACTCAATGAGCTTTTGGTGAAGGAATTAATAAATGAATCAAATAAACACATGAGTTAATTGTTTAGTTTGAACAAAAGTGGCCTACCTGTCCATTGGCTTCAGAATGGTTTCATGGAGATGGACAGCAACCCAGAATTCTCAGAAATGCAGCCAGTGTGGCTGCCTGCGTCACCTCTTTGGTTTTGGAAAGATTACCCTTCCTAACACTCAAGAGTTTGATTTTAAATTCCCTGTACACATATGGGGAGATAGTACATAAACATACTGATCAACTAAGCTAAGCACCTAAGATTCAGAAGGGATTTACTGTCCCAGAGGCTAACACATTTAACCGAGAGCTCTCATCCCATCCTAGGCAGCTTTCCTAAGGATCAGATAACATCCCACACAATTTGTAGAGCTTCTTCCTTAAACGTGCTGTGAATCCCACCCACCACACATGCCACTAGCTATAAGACTGTGGGTAGGTCACTTCTCTTCATCATGCCTCAGTTTTCCGGAGCAATGTCCCCCATTGCTCTAGTAGTCTATGGTTCTGTGAAACTTCATTGGGTTCTTTCTGCTGCACTAAACTACAGAATCTAACCTGTGGTCTGAAGATTCCAGCCCCAGGAATAGATGTCACTTTTTAACCCATAAAATCACTGTGCTTCCATAAAATCATTTTATACACTGATATTCGGAAGAGTAAGTGTCTGTTTGGAAAGGGTTGTCAACCACAAATGTGGAAAACAGACAAAGAAGGTAATTTGTATTAAGTACTTTCAGCCAAGCACTCTGTCAGGCAAGCTGTACACATCATTTCATTTAATCTCTCCTAATAGCTCTGCAAGGTTGGCATAACTGTTTCCATTTTACAAATTGGAGAAACTGAGGCTGGCAGCAGGCAAGAAGCTCGTCTGAAGTCATAACAGTTGAAAAGTGACAAAGTCACTTTCAAGCCAACTTCACTTGGCACAAAGACGGTGTTCTCATAACTACAGCAAGGAAAACGTATAAAAATAAAGTTTCTCAGAATGTGATTAGCAATGTGATAAGCAGCATCCTGTGAGTACACAGGCTGTATCCCATTATTCTCCTACCCTCACTCAGTTCCGCAAGAAGACAATCGGCCTCCTTTAGTGTGACCACAGAAATAGAAAAGGCCATATTTCCTAATATTTGTGTTAGGAGCTGATGATAAATGATCATGCAACTAATAACACATCGATCTTACTTCACATGTCTCGATTTATCTCGTAATTTGGTTAAAATAAGAGATGGTTCAGGAATATTTCTAAAAATATCAATAAGCCCTGATGTTCTGACTAATAATCAAAAAACCTCATAAGATGAGTTTAGGACCAAATGCTTTTGTGCTACTTTCCAAGAATTTCAAGATTAAATCTTCTTGCAGGAGTATCATCAGTAGTTCCAAAAAATATTTTTTTTTGGCTTGAATAAAGCCAGTAAAGGAAAGTTTTCAAAAATAAAAACCCCTGGCATGGGTACATGATTCTACAGTTTACAAAGTCTTCTCATGCTGATTATCTCATTTGAGTCCCTCCAAGCTATCTAAATCTGTCAATCTAAACAATCTGTTAAAAGTACAGGAATTAATGACCCCTGATATATTTGAATACAGTGAGCAATATTAATTGAGAGCCTGGTGTGTGCCAAGTTCTTTGCTAAGGGCTGTAGACACAGTAGTGAACTAAACACACACAGTCCCTGCTCCCACAGAGCTTCCAGTCTAGTCATTACACAAACATTACACACAGTCGTTACACAAATAAATATACGAATGAGAGCCAGCATATTATGAAACTCATCCAGTAGAAAAAGCTGGCAACCTCCAGTAAGCAAACCTCCAGTCTTCTGTCTTCAAGATTACTAATGTTACTTACATGGTTATTTCATTTATTAGAGTCTTGATTTTTCACATTTGTAAAACAGCATGATGTTGGTACCTACCTTATCTGGTCATGGTGGGGATTAAAGAAGATAACACATGTGAACATTCACCAAACAGTAGGGGCTCAAGAACTGTTTCTTCCCTTCTCCACCCTGACCTCCCCCTTCCCTTCCAAAGCTCAACTTTGGTGACAGGACTTCCCTGCCTACCCCATCCCTCACCTACTGAGATATCTTTTCTCTCAACTGCAATAGATCTTGAGATCTTGATGTCTACTTCACTCCTTTAAGAATTAAAAAATAACTTATTTTTATTGTTTTCTTATTTTTCTTGTTATAAAAGCAATACGCTCTCATTGCAAAAAAAAATATGATACTATAGAGATGGCAAAAAAAGGAAGATAGAAAAATGAAGCAATTGCCTTCAACTCAGAGATAACCACTCTATTTGTATTTTATGTATTAATACAACCTAACATATTTCTAAGCATATTTTCATTAAAAATGTTTTCATAACGATTTTATAATATGGTTTTCTGCTACCTACTATATCATAAGCATCTTTCCACTGAAATAAATATGCTTTTGCATTATTTATACTATTCCATTGCATGGATGGAGGCTATCATTTTCTTAATCAATCTTAATATTTGCATGTTTAGGTTGTGTACAACTAATGTTGCACTGAATATTTATTCTCATAGCCATTTTTTGTTTACATATTCTGAATTCTTTTTGTTAGTATTCACTCAGCTCTTTTGACACAAAGCATTGTCCTGATCATAAATTCCATTAATTTATGGTCCATCTATGTCTTGTACTGCTTAAATTCTTCCTAGAACCCAGAATGATTCCTCGAAAATTAAAATTTATCAAGTTCAGACTGATGAACCTGAATATCCCATAGACTTTCTCTTTGAAGAGCTAAAGCTGTGCTGTCCCATGTGCTAGCCACTAGCCATGTGTGTGACTGTTTAAATTTTTAAAATTTGAAATTAAATAAAACTGAAGATTTAGTTCTTTGGCCACACCTGTCACATTTTGAATGCTCAATGGCCACATGTAGGGGTGTGCCACATTGGACAGTGCAGCCGTAGAACATTTCCATCATCCCAGCAAGTGCTGCCGGATAGTGCTGGTCCACAGGGATAGTGGTTATAAATTTGCTTTGAAAAAAAACAGATTAAAGAAGTCACTCCTGCTCCCCCATCCAATTCTCTTTTAGGCAGAACCATAATGACTCTAAAACATAGATCCAGCTCTCTGTGATCTCTGTTTATAACTCTTCTATGGGATAAAACCCATGCTCTTCCTCTTGCCTCTCCCATCAGCTGAATCTCCTTGTCTCCCTCCTCTCCTTCTCCTCCACCACATTGAACAACTCCACTCACACTTCTGTGCTTAAGCAAATCATGCCATCTGCCCAGAAGACCCTTCCTTTCTGTCTGTGATTGGCTAAATTCCATTTGTCCTTTAAGACTTGGCTTAAGCAAATGCTTCCTCTGGCAAGTCTCTCTGGACACTTCCAGGCTGTGCTAAGTTCCCTTCCACTGCAGTCCACAGCAATGAAGACATATTTACATTACGCTAAAGAAGTTTAAGCCTTAGGCCCGTTCCACGTTTCTGGCAGAAGCTCTAACAGTGCATTCGCATACTTGTATATTTTTTGTAAAATTGGCAAAAATAAGATATTTTAACTGGAATCCTTTAGGAAACTCTTCCCTCTCATTATATTTCCCTTCATGTCAATGGCATTGCTATGGCTGCAGCATTTGCAGGATAGCTTTGTGGAAGGTGAGTTGGTAATGTGTCTCTTTATCTGCAAATGGAGAGACATTTCATGTCAATTAAATAAGTAAGAAATGACAGAGTCCTGATGATAATATATATATAAAGGTACCTTTGTCATTTTTAATTTAGATATTAAATAATGGATACAAAGTTCACATAAAAAATTGAATATGAAATAACAGCAATTCATAAGAGTGACAAGAATTGGTACAAATTATTCTGACCTCAAGAAGTAAATTGCCAGAAAAAAAAAACAATCAGACCATACCTAAGGTAGTAAATTCACTAAGAAAACATTTTTAATAGAGTAATCAATAGGCTCTCAGATAGTTTGGTAGTCCAATTAATAAAGAGGAGTGAATCCTATAAACACATTGGAAAAATATTTATGTTCCCTCCTGGTTTAACTGACACTGACAAAGCAATAAATTCATAATACACCACTAAACAAGGCAACAAGGACAAACTTGTTAATAAATGTCATCAGTGAAAAGAGCGTGGTAGGCTAAATTGGCTACCCCAAAAAGGTGCTCATTTTGTAATGCCCAGAACCTGTGAATATGTTCTCTTACATCACCAAAAGACCCTTGCAGATGTTATTAAGGTTATAGCCTTAAAATGGGGAGATTATCCTGGATTATCTGGATGGACCTAATCTAATCACATGAGTCTTAAGAATGGAAAACAGAGACAGAAGAGTAGGTCATGAAAGGATACATGAAAGAGAACACTGTGGACTTTAAAGACAGAGGAACAGGATCTCTAGTCAAAGAATGTGGGTGGCCTCTAGAATCTGGGAAATGCAAAGAAATGGCTTCTCCTCTAGAGCTTCCAGAAAGGAATGCAGCCCTGCTAGAACACTGATTTCCCTCCAGTAATATCTGTGTTAGACTTCTGACCCACGGGACTAAAAGGTAATAAATGTGCATGGTTTTAAGTCATTACATTTATGGTAATTTGCTAAAGCAACAGTAGAAAGCTATTAAAAAGAGAGTTTAGAATTTGTCAGTACATAGAAATGCCCTGAAACCTGATTGCTCATGTAAGAAGAAAACTTCAGAAATTTTTCAAAATTGGATAACAATTCTAAAAATTTACAAGACTTATTAATGGGCTCCGAGGCTGAAGCTTTTCTAAGCTATTAGTTATGTAAAATAAAAATACCTTGTGCATTGATTTAAAGGAAGGACTGAATTATCTTTCCATTTTTCTCCAAATAAAATATTACAAAACTATTACATGTAGAAACAATCAGAGAATATACAGTCAAAAGTAAAGAAAAAATATTATAAATATGGGTCAGGCATTTAACTGATAAAAATACAGTATGATATGGTCTGGCTGTGTCCACACCCAAATCTCAACTTGAATGGTAGCTCCCAGAATTCCCATATGTTGTCAGAGGGACCCAGGGGAAGGTAAATTGAATCATGGGGGCTGGTCTTTCCCGTGCTATTCTCGTGATAGTAAGTAAGTCTCACGAGATCCGATGAGTTTATCAGGGGTTTCCACTTTTTCTTCTTTCTCATCTTCTCTTGCTGCTGCCATGTAAGAGGTGCCTTTCACCTCCTGCCGTGATTCTGAGGCCTCCCCAGCCATGTGGAACTGTAAGTCAAATTAAACCTCTTTTTCTTCCCAGTCTTGGGTATGTCTTTATCAGCAGCGTGAAAATGGACTAATACACAATCTCTGTCTTCATCTGGGAGATTTTAGGGCTATCCCTGTATATTAGGTTGAGTTTCCCCAGAAGCAAATCCTGAGACAGGGAGAATCCAAACAGTTTGAGACAGGATACCAGCACCAAGAACGGCTCCACAAACAAGCAACCTATGCAGTTGCCCGAGGCCTGTGCTCAAAAGGGTTTTGCACTTAGTTTAATGCTCTGCTATTACCATTTCGAAATTCTTAATAATTTTTCAACAAGGGCCTCACAATTTTAATTTGCACTGGATCCTGAAAATCCTGTAGCTAGTCCTGACCACAAAATACTAGCAGGAGGGTGAGAAAATGACAGAAAGGAAGATAACTTCTAGAATGTGTTATTGGGCAAGTTGTTGCTGTGGTATCTGGAGCCCAATCACAGTGGGGAGCTCTAGGAGTTTGCGTGGGAAATGTTTGACAGTTGTCCCATGCAACAGGTGTTTATCCTCCAACAAAATATTCATCCTTCACCACCTAGGGGTGGCAGGCTCCCAGAGGCATTAACTCCCCCACACTTCCATCCCACTACCTTCAAACATTGGGAGGAGAGGTGCAAGAGCTTGTAGTAGGAACCTGAGGCATTTACTAGAAAACTGAGTGTCAAGAAAATGTGGTTAGGTCCCCACATTGAGTGCTTCTGTTGACTTTTTGTAATTTTTAATTTGTTGTAATATCTATTCTTATACCAAATAAATATTCAGTTTTATAAAGAATTTTCTATTTCTAATTGTCTTTTTTCTTTTAAAATACTCATTATGTATATAAGCTTCAGGTCCCATGAAACTGAATCCATCTATACCTTCATGATAAAAATTACCAGTACAATTAAAATTATTTCCTTTGCCATCTATTTCATTGGGCCAAACATATTCCTCTAGAAGTCCTTAGCTCTGAGAAGATCATGTTTTCAGCCATCACCTCCCTCACTTACAATTCAATATAAAATAACATTAGTCAAAATCAGTGCCTTCAAAGCGTCTGGTAGGGCCTCAGGGTATGGATTTGGAAGTTGTACACTGCACAATTCTAGGGCCCACCATTTATATCTTAGTTTCTTTGAAGAGTACCTTCTGGAATTGTGCAGTACACAATATGCATGATAGCCCTGCAGACTTCTGATACCTAATGTGGCCATCAAAGTCCACTTTATTTTCTGACATTAAATGCTTATCCATTTTATTTCTGTTCCAAATATTTCCATCTCTCCCTCCACTGAGCTCTCATTGTTTTTGCGCTTCCTTTGGTAGAGTGTTTACTATACTATTTTTTAATCAGTGATTTTCCCAGCTAGACTGAACTTCTGGAAAATATGGGATTTTCCGCTATTAATCTTTACATCCATAATGCTGTAGCGTCTAGTATAGTTGCCTATGTTATCTTACTCATCATTGCATTATGCCTGAATCATAGTAAGTATTCAATAAATATTAATATCCAATAAATACTAGTTGACTGAGCATACAATAATGAGTGAATGAACAAATGAATCTTTACATTCTATGTGTCTGTATCATTTTACCCTATTTTCCTACCTAGCACTTCTGACCATGTTTATTTAGTTATTTATTTTTTCTCTATACCCAAAATTCATGTTCCATGAGGGTAGGGAAACTTAATGTTTTGTTTATTTATGTAATCTTATAACTGTTTGGTGCCTGGAACACTAGAAGGTGCTTGAAAAAAAAAGTTTGTATTAAATCAATAAATGAGAAAACAGACTACCCAATAAACTACAATTATTCCCATTTTATGGACAAGGAATGAGGTTCTTGGAGTTAAGCAGCTAGTAATCGTCAGCACCCTTATTCAATCTCAAGTTGGTTTGACCCCAAAATGCATCCTCTTTCCATTATTCCATCCTCCCTCTCATTACAGTAAGAGTCCTCTTAACTGTACTCTCTTATTTAAGACTAACTTGGTCACTCTTAACTTGTGCACACATGTTGGCTGAGGCCCACAAACCTGAGAGCTCTAGCTAATAAGCTACATGCTATAAATCACATACTTCTGGACTCATCCATTCGGTTACATGTTCATCAAAAGTCACCTGTACATGTCTATCAAGCCAGTTCCCACCATTTTCTCCCCTGAGAAATGGGGGTAATCATATCATTGTCCTTACAGGCTAGTTGTGACAATTAATAAGTGAATTTAGGTCAAGCACTGAGAACAGTAGAAGCCCTCAGAGTTAGCTAATATTGCATGTATGTATTTAATAAAATAATCTACAACCTGTGGAATCCGAGTATTAAAAAGGAAATTAGTGTTTCTATGAAAACTAAGTTGAATTCATTGAAAATTTTTGGTAAAGGCAAGTTGATTTTTTTTTTTAGCCACTTAGGTTTTTTTTTAACTTTTATTTTAGGTTCAGGGGTACATGTGGAGATTTGTTTTATAGGTAAATTGCATACTCAATGTTTGTTCTCACTTATAAGTGAGAATATGCAGTGTTTGGCTTTCTGTTCTTGTGTTAGTTCACTTAGGTTAATGGCCTTCAGCTCCATCCATGTTGCTGCAAAGGACATGATCTTGTTCTTTTTTATGGCTGGATAGTATTCCATGGTGTATATGTACCACCCCAAAGAAATATACCATTTTCCTTATCCAGTCTGCCATTGATTACTTAGATTTTTAACATGCTCAATACATAGTTGTTATTGCTTATTAGTGTCCATACATTTTGTTGAAAAGACTCAAACAGCAGTTTTTGTTCATTAGAGTACAACCATCCCATTACTGGGTATATACCCAAAGGACTATAAATCATGCTGCTATAAAGACACATGCACACGTATGTTTATTGCGGCACTATTCACAATAGCAAAGACTTGGAACCAACCCAAATGTCCAACAATGATAGACTGGATTAAGAAAATGTGGCACATATACACCATGGAATACTATGCAGCCATAAAAAATGATGAGTTCATGTCCTTTGTAGGGACATGGATGAAATTGGAAATCATCATTCTCAGTAAACTATCGCAAGGACAAAAAAACCAAACACCGCATGTTCTCACTCATAGATGGGAATTGAACAATGAGAACGCATGGACACAGGAAGGGGAACATCACGCTCTGGGGACTGTTGTGGGGTGGGGGGAGGGGGGAGGGATAGCATTAGGAGATATACCTAATGCTAAATGACGAGTTAATGGGTGCAGCACACCAGCATGGCACATGTATACACATGTAACTAACCTGCACATTGTGCACATGTACCCTAAAACTTAAAGTATAATAATAATAAAAAAGAAAAAAAAATTGTACATAAAAGTCATTTCCTGAACATAAGTCAGAAGTCTCAATAATAAAAGGTTTTTCTGTAAACTAACATTCAAAAGAGCCTCAAACCCAAGAATGGTCTCTATGTGTGTACTCTAATGGGCAAGTTGATTTTTTAAAATTTTTGCTAAATTAATTGTTGGTAAAAACAACCATAAAATATTAGAGGAAAAAAATTATGAATAGAAGTCTAAAGTCAAATAACTTCAAAAGTATCTTTAAGCTCCTGATCCACTTAAAGGAAACTAGAACTAGAAACATGGATGATGTATTATGGGTGTTTTTGTTTGTTTGTTTTTTGTTGTTTGCCTGTTTGTTTTTGGAAAAGAAGACTAAAACCAATAAACAAACTTGGCTTTGTATCAGAATATGGGTGAGTAAATATGCAGACATAAGTTTTAAGTTAAAAAAATGTAGGTGTACATGTGTACTTTTATTAAATGCTTATTTCCTTTTCAAAAAAAACTCTTTTTGATTAACTTATCAAATACAGATCCTGTTCTTGATAAATACAGGACTTCTAATACGGATGGATGCTCTAACAATCAAGTGAGTGAATAAATGAATGAATGGTTATGCATAAATGAATGATGAAATGAATGTCTAAATAAATTGGTCAGTTCTCTTAACAAGTGACCTATTTTATATCCCACAGTGCTAACCAAGGATGAAGACTTCTGCTATTTGGCATTCACAGAGCTTGTTGGAGCTTATAAGTAAACAAGTGTGGGGACAGCTTCTTTCGGTTTTCTCTTTCTTTTCAAGTTCCTAAAGCTCTTCTCTTCTCTGCTATCATTTTCCCTTTCTTCACCTGCTTCTATGGATGAAAGAAACTTAGTGAAATAAAAAGCTCAATGAGATGAAAATACATCTCATAAAAACCCCCGTTAAAGAGTTTACTGAAGGGGCTTACACTCGCCTCGCTTAAATGGCCATACTTTATTCCTCCCAAGGAAATTGAACACGCTTAATCCAAAAAGAATGTAATAACAATCAAAGAGCAAGAGGCAGGATCAGGTCGCAATCCTTTATTTTTGAAAGAGTGTTCAGGGGAAGGGATGGGAAGAAATTTATCACTAGCTGTTCTAGAGCCTTGTGAATGTCAACGTTAAATCTTCTGCCTGACTTCCTCGACCTCAGCTTGATGAGCAAAGCAAGATTCCCTGTTGAAGGGGAAACCTGTGTAGGACTGAAAATGAAAGGACTGAGGTATAAACAATGAATTTAGAATATAGCTTTACAAATAATAAGTATGTCGCATTAATGGATTTTTCTTAATTGGATGAAGCAATGTAGAGAAGGAGAAAGAACATGAGACTGGGGATTGAACAGAACTGGGTCCAAATCCTGACTAACCCATTTAGTGTTCTCGTGTTCCTAGGCAGGTTATTTAGTCTCTTTGAGACTCAGTTTTCTCATCTGTTAAATTAAGATAATAATACCTGTTTGGAAAGGCTACAGTGAGGACAGGATTATATAAAATATTGAATATAAATTATATATTATGAGGCCAGTCTCAAAATAGGTCCTGTTTCTTGGAAAGTCAGCATTCCTTGATTTTTTTTCCGTAATTTTAATTTTTATTTTAGATTTGAGGGTACATGTGCAGGTTTGTTACCTGGGTATATTACATGATGCTGAGATTTGGAGTATAATTGATCCCGTCACCTAGGTATTGAGCATAGTGCCCAATAGTTTTTCAACCCATTCCTCGCTTCTTCCCTCCCCTCTCTAGTAGTTCCCAGTGTCTGTGGTTGCCATCTTTATAACCATGAGTACACAATGCTTAGTTCCTACTTGTAAGAGAGGACATACGGTAGTTGGTTTTTTGTTTCTGCATTAATTTGCTTAGGATTATGGCCTTCAACTACATCCATGTTGCTGCAAAGGACTATGGCTGCATAGTATTCCATGATATATATGTATCACGTCTTCTTTATCCAATCTACCATTGATGAGCACCTAGGTTTATTCCATGTCTTTGCTATTGTGAATAGTGCTGCAATGAATATATGAATGCATGTGTCTATTTGGTATAACAACTTATTTTCTTTTGGCTATATATCCAGTAATGGGACTTCTGGGTCAAATGGTACTTCTGTTTTAAGTTATTTGAGACATCTCCAAACTGCTTTTCACAGTGGCTAAATCAATTTACATTCCCACCAGTGGTGTACAAGTGTTCCCTTTTCTCTGCAGTCTCCCAAGCATCTGGGTTTGTTTGTTTTCTTTTGGTTTTTGTTTTTTGGTCTTTCTAATTATAGCCATTCTGACTTGTGTGAGATGGTCTCTCATGGTTTTAATTTGCATTTCTCCAATGACTAGTGATGTTGAGCATTTTTTTGTGTTCTTGGCCATTTGTATGTCTTCTTTTGAGAAGTATGTGTTCATGTCCTTTGCCCATTTTTCAATGGGGTTGCTTTTTACTTGTTCAATTGTTTAAGTTCCAAATATTAGACCTTTGTCAGATGTCAAGTTTGTGAATATTTTCTCCTATTATGTAGGTTGCCTGTTTACTCTGTTGATAGTTTTTTGTTTTTTGTTCTTTGGGGGTTTTTTTGCTATAAAGAAGCTCTTTAGTTTAATTAGGCCTCACTTGTCAATTTTTGTTTTTGTTGCAATGGCTTTTGAGGACTTAGTCATAAATTCTTTCCCAAGGCTGATGTCCAGCATGGTGTTTTCTAAGCTTTCCTTCAGGATTCTTGCAGTTCGAGGTCTTACATTTAAATCTTTAATTCGTCTTTTGTTAAATTTTGTATATGGTGAAAGGGGGAGTCCTTTCCCCACTGCTTATTTTTGCCAATTTTGCTGAAGGTCAGATGGCTGTAGGTGTACAGATTTATTTCTGGCTTGTCTATTCTGTTCCATTGGTCTATCCATCTGTTTTTATACCAGTACTGTGCTGCTTTGGTTACTGTTGCCTTTACCATAGTTTGAAGTGGGATAATGTGATGCCCTCAACTTTATTCTTTTTGCTTAGGATTGCTTTGCTCTTTTTTGGTTCATATGAATGTTACAATAGTTTCTTCTAATTCTGTGAAAAATGACATTTGGTAGTTTGATAGAAACAGTGTTGAATCTGTAGATTGCTTTGGGCAGTATAGCCATTTAATGATAGGGAGTCTAACAATGTTTTTCCATTTGTTTCTGTCATCTACAATTTCTTTCATCAGTGTTATGTAGTTCTTGTAGAGAACTTTCACTTTCTTGGCTGGATGTATTTCTAATATTTTTGCAGCTATTTTAAATGGGATTGCATTCTTGATTTGGCACTCAGCTTGAAAGTAATTGATGTATAGAAATGCTACTGACTTTTGTACGTTAATTTTGTACCCCAAAACTTTACTGAAGTTGTTTATCAGTTCCAGGAGCTTCTTGGCAGAGTCTGTAGGGTTTTTTCTGGTATTGCATTGTATCATCAGTAGAGAGAGCTCAACTTCTTCTTTTCCTATTTGGATGCCTTTTATTTCTTTTTCTTGCCTGATTGCTCTGGCTGGGACTTCCACATTCCTTGATTAGGATTTTAATTTCATCCTGCATCCAAAATCTTACCCATATTGATAACTTAAGGAGTACTGAGGAGTATTGGTAATTTTAAGTAGGCAAGTCTTTGCCCTTGCAAAATGCATTTAATCTGTTCTTTATATGGGTATATGTGACCCACATATAGCAACAATATTATGAAGAATCTGAGGTTTAGAGTGGTTAATTAACCTGCCTAAGACCACAGCCAATAAGAGACAGAATTAGAAATTGAATGCATATCTGTTTCACTTCCCTATACTTCTATACTTTTCTGGATTCCCCAGTATTGTATTATATATCAAACAGATTGTATTTGCAAATATAAGCAAAAGAACACAGTCTTTCTTTTTCTTTTATTTTTTTTTTTTTTGAGACAGAGTCTCACTCTGTTGTCCAGGCTGCAGTGCTGTGGCACGATCTCAGCTCACTGCAACTTCCACCTCCCAGGTTCAAGCGATTCTCCTGCCTCAGCCTCCCTAGTAGCTGCGATTACAGGCACACACCACCATACCCAGCTGATTTTTGTATTTTTAATAGAGATGGGGTTTCACCGTGTTGGCCTGGCTGGTCTTGAACTCCTGACCTGAGGTGATCCACCCACCTCGGCCTCCCAAAGTGCTGGGATTACAGGTGTGAGCCACTGCACCCAGCCCAGTCTGTCTTTTTCTAATCTGTCTAATCCTGGCAGTCAAGCTGCAAGCAGGAGCTGCAGTCATCTGACGGCTCAACTCGGTCTGGAAGATCCTCTTCCAAGGTTCACTCACATGGAAAGCAGTTGGTGCTTGTTGTCAGCCAGGTTGGCTGAGTTTTCCCCCATGTCAGCTCTTATCCTCCTGGGCCTTCTGCTGCATTTGGCCTCTCCTTCAGAACAACCTGGACTTCTTTACATGGCAGCTGTATTCCAATAGAGTAAGAGCTAGACAACCTATCAACATGTGAGAAAGAGCACCCAAGACAGAGGCCACAGTCTTTTTATAACCCAATATTGGAGGTGAGATCCCATCACTTTTGCAGTGCTGAATTCATTGCAAGTGAGTCGATAAGTCCATCCTACACTCAAGAGGAGGAGATTATACAGGATGATGAATATTAAGAGGTGAAGATTACTGGGCACTTCCTCAAGGCTGTCTACCAGAAATATATAATTACAAATCAACAAAAACCAGATATAAAATTTAACAAAAAATAAGACAAGAAAGATGCAGGTGCTTTAGAGAAGAATAAACTGGAATGGTTAATACACATGAAACAATACCTAACCTCACTCACACTTAAAGAAATGCACTTTAAAACATTAAGATGCCAGTTTTCCCTTATAATATCAGCAAATATTAAAAAGTCTGATAGCACCCAGTATTGATGAGCATGTGAGGAAACAGCTATTTGCTGTAGAGGCTATTTACTGTCAGAAGACAATTTGGCAATATCTCTCAAAAATAATAATGTACATACCATTTAACCAAGAAATACTGCTTCCTGAAATATACTATACAGATATGTTTGCAAATAAATACACATAATAATATTCACTGATGCAAATTTTAATAGACAATTACTGAAAACAAAAGAAGCTTGGTGAAATACATCACAGAAAGCTATGCAGCTGTTTAGAAGAGAGAGTCAGATTTTTACAGGCTGATAATAAAGAGCTCTTTGTTACTTTATTAAATGAAGCATAAGGGACAGAGGATAATTTATAATATGATTTATTTTGAAAAGAAGAAAACATATGGACATTTATATATACAGAAGTCTTTCTGAAGGATATGTAAGAAAAATGTAACAGCACTTCATTCTGGAGAGAAGAATAATCATTTTTACAAGGGTTAATTTTTTAACAGGATGAATTTAATTATTATATAATTTAAAATACTAATTGGAAAAATTGAAGTCTTAACTATAGTCGATATACTAAAAAAAAAAAAAACCCAGCAGGCTGACAATGAACCTGATTTGACAGAGAAGCATCAGCCGAGGCTTAGGGAAAGGGAAAGAAAGGAAAAGAATACTGATTTAGTCATCACCCACTAAGCTCCAGGCACTTTTGCTTATGTCACCTCGCACCACCTACAGTACACTGTAACCGCAGAGAATGACACACTGGCCTCTGACTACCCTACAAAATTCCCTTCCCTGCAAAAGTTGATTCCTTGGCCTGGACTATCCTTCCTTACTCTTTCACATGCTGAAGTCAAAGAAGATGCTATAAATGTCTCCCTAGAGATTACAACTTCGAGTTTATCCTTTTTTATAAAAAATTGGATTTCTAGTTTGTAATTAAAAAAAAAAAACACTGTGAATTCCAAACCAGCCTAGGTGAACCCCTGCTCAGTCATCTCTGTTCCCAAAGGACACTCTGAGAGCCTTGGCTCTCCATGGATGGAAAGCAGGACTCATGAGTTCAGCTGACCTCAGTCTCTAGGGCTATGGTCTTACTTACAGGTATGCAGGTCCTTGTCTGGTTGACAGTGATAGGCACATAGCATGCCTTCAGTAAATGCTTGTTGTAAGATAATGGGACTGAGCTGGTTTGAAAATTACCACCTCTGCATGGATTCTATCCAAACCAACATCATCAGCCAGCACAGAAGCACAGGAGGAGCAATGACGGGAACAGGATCATCATTTCCATGAAACTCCTTGGAAGGAGCCATTAGTTTCTCCCTCTGCAATCCTCATCAGCCCCCACCCCAATTCTTTGCTATGGACAAGCATAGGGTGGTGTGAACAGATTTGTGATAAATCCCCTGGTTCCTTCATCCTCTTTTCACAAAGGTTGATGCCTTCCTTGAATCCTTTCCATGATGAAAACTCAGGAGCTACTTCTGATGCAGGGAATAAAGACACCAGGATCCATTTTGTACATGTTGAATTTGAGGTGCCTGTTGGACAGGACAAGGAAGAAGAGTAGGAAAAGGATAATTCTTCCAGGCAGGGGGCAAAGGGGACAGCATGAACCAGAGCCATGAGGGTGAGAGGACCCCAGGGAAATGGCTGGGAGCAGGGTCTGGACATGAAGCAGGGACAGCCACCCTGACATCCATTTGTAACGGCAAGAACCTCGCTGGTGCAGCAGCCAGGAGAAGGCAGCCAGCCTGCAACGGAAGGCGCCCCTCCCACCTTCTCCACCACAGGACAAAGGGCCATTTTGATTTGGGGCCTCACTATTTTAACACCAAAGATTTTCATTTGGCAGTCACTGTTCATACAACGCACACTCTCTTTCCTCTGACATAAATTCTTTCTTTAAGAAGAAAAAGAAGAAAGGCCCCATCATCACAGCCTGCGGTGCCAGACAATGGCGGGAGCGTGGCTGCCAGCGCCCATGAAGGGGCCAGTGTGCTCGCAGCAGCCTCCTTATCTCCTATCTCCTGCCCGTGCCACAGCTCTTGCTTTTCCTGGGTGTTTTGACCACTTCTCTCCTTCAGCTGCTTTGACAGAATTTGCCGGCTGCCGGCTGACGCAAAACAACCCCCTTCTTGTGCCTGGGCCGCTCTGTCTTCACTCCAGGCCGCAGGGGAGAAAACGTGTCTTTGTGGCTTCCCTTCAATAGCTCTCTGAGTCCAAACCCCTCGTGGGCTCTGGCAGGCCAAGCCTAAGACCCTGTGAATAGATGCTGTTGTTTGCTTCTCTTTGCAAAGCCGGCCTCTGGGCATCCAGAAATGCGTCCACAGCCCAGGCTTGGTAGTTTGGGGACAGATTCATCGGCAAGCTGGCAGATGCCCCGGCCCGTGAAGAATGATGATCACTCGTGTGTGCAGCTCATTCAGGTCCATCCACAAAATGCTTTCAGGCTGCTGATGATTCAATTAACATTTACAGCGGACCTACTCTGTGCCCAGCACAGCCTTTACTGTTTATTATCTCCTCGAGCCCTAAGATTACTCTCCACCACGGGTGCTGTTCTAGTCTCTTCATTTTACAGTGGAGGAAACTGAGTCTCAAAATGGTCAAGTGATTTGCACATGGCCACACAGCTAAAAAGTTACAGAGATCCATTGAGGGGCACCGATAGCTTCAGAGATGTTCAGAATCCCCTGAAAGACATGGTATTCCCTTTTAAGGCACAGAGAAGGAATATAACTTCCACAGACCTAGATGCCGAGTGCCACACCCCCTCATCTAGGGAAAAGGGGGGAAATAACCAACTCTGCTTTCTCTCCCTTCAAGTCCTTCCTTCCCACACTCAACATTGAAAAACCCCTCCAAATAGAAGTGGAGTTTGTCATAAGACTGACAGGTCAAGGTGACCCAACTCTGGTCCTCTATACTACACCATTCTGAACCTAAGCATCTCCAAAGTGTTCAAGGTGGCCTCCACTGGACCATGTCAGGGGGCCTAGGAAACTCCCCAGGCTCAAGTAGCAAGGTTCAAGGTGAGAATGCTCTGGTACTGTGAGCCACGTGGCCACAGTAAGCCACTCCTCTGTGCCTCAGCTTTTCTCTAGCAAAATAGAATGCTGACAATACTGCTCAGGGTGTTGTTGGAAGGATTAAATGAAAGAAAAAAATAGCTGTCAGGGGACAAAACAGCACATAATGGTTACAGCATAGCAGCAAAAGCCACAGTGCATAAATGCTAGTAGCAGAAGCAGGAGCCACGGTAGTAGCAGCAATCTTACCAACAGCCCTGGGGGCTGGAAGTCATCCTCTGTTCTATTAATCATACAACAATCATTTCAGGTGTGTTTACTAGGAACAATGCCTTATTCCAAAAGCCCTCACAGCTCCCTCATATGCACAATTTTTGGTGGTGACAGCAGAGTGGCAAAAGGTGGCCTCATTGATGGCTACCAGCTAGCGAAGAATATGCAATCTGGCTACCAACAATAGACTGATCCAATAGATGTGTTTCATTTGGCACAGAGTTTTGTTTTGTTTTGTTTTAAGGGAGCCAGGATTTTTAAATTGGAAGTCTGACAATACTGAGCCTATATTTCTACAAGGCAGTGATCAGCTAGAGGTGAATAGAGGTGTCCTTTTACACGGCAGGCGTGCTCCAGTTCACCACAGGCCCCACCACTCCCCATTGCTTCATCAACACTGCAGGTCAGTGTCAGTTCCATTCGTTACTGTGATTATGTTGTTGTTGTCCTTATGGTAAATAGTTTGTCCATGGGTATTAGTTAGGGGAACACTAGCTGCTGTAAAAGCAGATCCTCACATATCTCCAAAACTTAATGCAATACAGGTTTATGTTATAGTCTTGCAGCAGTTGATGGTGGTGGTTTTCCTCCACATGAAGACTCAGGGACCCAGGCTCCTTCCATCTTGTAGTTGTGTGATTTCCTTGGGCTTCAATATTTTGCCTTCACCCAAAGAATCGGGAAAGGGAGAGTAGAAAATCCCCATCTGTTTCTTAAGAGCCCTGGGCCAGAGGGGACTGTATTAGTCTATTTTCACACTGCTGATAAAGACATACCCGAGACTGAGCAATTTACAAAAGACAGAGTTTTATTGGATTTACAGTTCCATATGGCTGAGGAGGCCTCACAATCATGGTAGAAGGCCAGGAGGAATAAGTTACATCTTACGTGGATGGCAGCAGGCAAAGAGAGGGCTTGTGCAGAGAAACTCCCATTTTTAAAGCCATCAGATCAGATCTTGTGAGACCCATTCACTGTCATGAGAACAGCATGGGAAAGACCCACCCCCATGATTCCATCACCTCCCACTGGGTCCCTCCCACAACATGTGGGAATTATGGGAGCTACAAGATGAGATTTGGGTGGAGACATGGAGCCAAATCATATCAGGGACATACATCATTTCCTTTCACACTTCATTGGTAGGAGCTAGTCATATGTCTATGCCAGATGCAAGGTGGACAGAGAAATATAAATTCCAAACAGATATCCACCTTTGACAGTAACTGTAGTGTATGAAAGGGAGAACACTTATTTTTTGTTGCTATCTATCTCTCAAAAATTATAGCTCTATAAAAAGCTGGGGAAAATAAATTACAGACTAAGAGCTATATGATTTTTCGTACACTCACCTATTGTACTCATTTATATTCTATCCCTTGCATGTACCTTGATTTTCAGTGTCTGTACTGCAAGCCCAGCAACAGAGCAGGTTCTGATTCTATAGCTCTGAGGTCGAGCCTGAGATTCTGCATTGATAACAAGTTCCCGGTGATTCCAGTAATGCTAGTCTGTGGTCCATACTCTCAGGAACAAAACCCAAGAATTCTAGCCTTCCCAGACTACCTGCCACTTCTCCCAAACTTTAACCCCTCCTATCTGTGCTCCTGTAGCCCTCTTTACTACGCCTGTCATGCTCCAATGAAACTATGTTTATTAATCAGAGGTTATGTCTATTAGTCTGTCTTCCCCAGTAGGTTGTGAGCTTCTCAAGGGCAAAGACTATTATTCATGCTCAATATATGTTTGCTGAAAGAATGCATGAACGTTTCCTAAGAATCTAGCTATATTCTAGGCATGTGATGCTGTATAATCCAGGATACATCCCAGGATACACTGAACAGCCTCTGAAGTGTTTTCTTGTTCCCATCATGGTGAAACATGAGCTCAGAGCTACAAATGTGGCCAAAACATGCTGGCCTCAAAAGACATTAAATCTAATTGGGGAAGTGAGACTTAAGATGGGACTTAAGCCAGATAAAATCTGGGATGCAGGGGACAGCCAAGTACCACTTGCCTGTGGCTCACTCAGAGAATTTGGAGAAGGGAAGACACAGAATTACATGTTCTTCTATATTCAGAATTTTCACTGGTGCCAACCAGGCTCCACCTGTGTTATGGGCTGAATTGTGTCTCTCCAAAATTCAAATGTTGAAGCCCTCCCTATCCTCAATACCTCAGAATGTGACTTTATTTGGAGATAGATTCACTAAAGAGGTAATTATGTTAAAATGAGGTCATCAGGGTGGCCCTTAATCCAGTATTATTAGTGTCATTATAAGAAGAAAAGGCCGGGTGCAGTGGCTTATACCTGTAATCCCAGCATTTTGGGAAGCTGACGCAGTAGGATCACTTGAGCCCAGGAGTTTGAGAACCTGGCAAGATGAGGTCTTGCTATATTGCCCAGGCTGGCAACATACCAAGACCTCATCTCAACAAACAATTTAAAAATTAGCCAGGCATGGTGGTACATGCCTGTGGTCCCAGCTATTTGAGAGACTGAGGCAGGAGGATCACTTGGGCCTGGGAGGTTGAGGCTGCAGTGAGCTGTGATCATGCCACTGCACTCCAGTCTGGGTGACAGAATGAAATCTCTTCTCAAAAAAAAAGAAGAGGAGATTAGAACACAGACACACACAGGGGAAAGGCCACGTGAAGACACAGGAAAAGACAGCCATCTACAAGCCAAGGAGAGAAGACTTAGAAGAAACCAATCCTGCCAACGCTTCAATCTTAGCTTTCAAGCCTACAGAACTATGAGAAAACAAAAAACGCTGTTATTTAAGCCACTCATTCTGCAGTACCTTTGCTTGGGCAGCCCAAGCAAACTAATACAACTTGTCTATTAACTTACTTGCCACTCAGTGTGCTTGCCTTTCAAGGAAGACAGAGCAGAAGAGGAGGAGGGAGGCAGCTGTTTGTCAAGCACCTGAGGTGTGATTGTATTAGGCAACTCACCTTATCTTATTTAATCCCCATCACAATCATGTAAGCAAATAGCCTTATTATCTCCATTTTTTATATAGAGGACAGTGAGGTTCACAGAGCTGAACCTTCCCTATATCACATAGATAGGAGTCGAGGAAGCAAGGTTTGTAACATGGATCCGTTTACCACAAATCCCTAATCTCCCAAGCTACCCCTTGTTCTTCCCTCAAAGTCAGCCAGTGGGCCTACTAAGAAAGTCAAAAAGTAGACTGTGAGAAGGTGCATGGAAAATATTTTTAAATGCTGTATATGTGAGCAGTATTGCAGTCACTAAAACAAATGTGATGCTATCCCTGAACAAAGAGAATGCAAGAAAATGCAGTGAAAAATGGGGCTCCAGCCTCGATACCCACATTCCTAACCTTTTAATGCCAAGCAGCCTATAAGCATGTCAAATTTTACTCATGTTCCTGCTCTTTCCACTCAAGTTGGCTTTGTGGGTTGCTGGTTTTATCAAAATTGAGTGAGAGTGTGTTCAATACAATGTTGGATTCATTAGGGAGAAAAAAGCCAAATAAAAACCTTGCTTCTTCAATGCCAGGAGCTTACAAAGACATATAAACCATGAGGAATTCCAAGGACTTGCTCAGAAGCCGTTCTGCAAATGCATTTCTTGAACAAAGGGCCAATGTTCCTTTCAGGGAAGAGCGCGGGACTGGTTTCCGGCATTTTTCTTTAAATCATTAGGACCATGCCAGCAAACAAACATATACAGCCCCTGGGAGAAAGAATCTCATTCAACACAGCTTACAAGAGTTTGATTATTAGGGAGGGGTGCTTCATGGCACGTGCCTCACCAGCCGGCCCCCAAATGTACAGATCTGTTTAAAGGGCTTTATTGATGGTGGCCGCAGACAGATAGAGCTTGTGAGGAGAACTGACATCCCATGGATACTAACATATCAGCATCATCCTGACCAGCACACAATCCAGTCAGAGAGAGCTGAAAAGTCTGCCTCATTCCCTTGAAAATGTGCTTCTTAAGACAAATAAAATATAGAAATAAGAAATTCACCTCTAACAGGGTTTACATTTCCTTCACCCAGACAATTAAAGGGTTTTGGAGGACCTGGAATGAAATGATGACTGAATCTTTAGCCAGACACATATTTCAGCTTTTAATGAACTGAAAATATTATAGGTTGGGCCCTGAAAACAAATGAGCATTGGATTAAGGCAAGCCATACTTCGAACTCCAGCCCTGCCACATGTTATCTATATGACTTTTATAACTTCTGTAAGCTTTCATATCCTTATCTCTAAAGCAAGGATAGTAATATTACCTCCTACAATCTATAGGAAGATAAAATTTGGTTATATAAGAATGTGGCCGGGTGCGGTGGCTCACCCCTGTAATCCCAACACTTGGGGAGGCTGAGGCAGGTGGATTGCTTGAGGTCAGGAGTTTAAGACCAGCTTGACCAGCATGGTGAAACCTCATCTCCACTAAAAATACAAAAGTTAGACAAGTGTGGTGGCACATGCCTGTAATCCCAGCCACTTGGGAGGCTGAGGCAGGAAAATTGCTTGAACCCAGGAGGCAGAGGTTGCAGTGAGCCAAGATCACGCCACTGCACTCCAGCCTGGGCAACAGAGCAAGACTCCATCTCAAAAAAAGAAAAAAAGTTTAGAGAGTACCTAGCATAAGGGTAAATCCTTAAAATGTGTTACCTATGTTTCCAATTCTTCCTGTCTTCCAAAGAAATTGTTTCAAATACACAGCATGTTTAAATTACACCTAAGATTAGAGCAACACCTTTAGTAGTAGTAGTTAGTGAGGGATAGATTGCTCTACTATAGCAATAGTAGCAGTTGGGAGGAAAGGACTTCTACTCTTCCATACCTTCACCTCTAAATACATTCATTTATTCAAGCAATCTTTATTGAGCAACTGCTCTATACCAGCCACTAAATGGCCACATGGTAGCCAATAGCTCAGTTGCTTTGGGCCCCATGATAGAGCCTCTCTCTAGTCCAGGTAGCATCAGTCTGTCTACTTTATTACTAATTGCCCATTGGTCTCAGAGTGACTGAGTATGTAAGAGTGTTGATGAATCTGTGTGCACTCCCTACCACCCTTGACAAACTCACACAACAATAAACATGTCTACCACAGTCTGAGCCTGGAGGCTGGTGCTAGAGCAGGGAGGGCCACAGAAATGCATAGAAAAGGGTTAACCCTAGGAGGGTAACATATGTGGAAAAATCACCATATGACAGGCAGAAGAATGCAGAGTTATAATGGAAGAGTAAACATCATGCAGAGAGAAATCTGACTGGTGCTACCTGTAGACATTGGGAAGACCTTCAAGGAAGAAATATTGGAGTTAAGACTTGTGGAACTGAGAGATAAGGAGTATTGAAGTAGAGGGAGAAAGATGGGAAGAGCTCTCCTAGCAAAAGAAAGGGTTCAAAGAGGTAAAATTTTGTGGGAGAAAGGACAAATGATCCATTTGTCTCCCCTAGGAAGCTTCTCCAGCACCACTAACTACCCCTCCTCCTATCTGAGTTCAGAGTTCAGCAACTCTTTTGTGTAGTCTAATTTTACCTTTATTATAGCACCAATCACACTGCATTAGAGCATTGTCTTTACTGTTCTGCACCTTCCAAATACACACACATACAGACACACAATATGCATGCAATCATGGGCTGGAAGCTTAATGAAGATTAGGACTTCGTTTTCTATGTTTTGTGCATTAGCATTTAGCACATTGTCTGATAAGTACTCAAATTAAGGGGAAAAAAAAAGACTGTGAGATAAGTCCATTGGTAATGACCTTCAATCAATAAATTAATTTTGATTAGAAGATGCAAGGTACAGAGTGTTACTGTTACTTAAAATAGAGAATGCAAGAATAGAGTACCTTGGTAGACAGATTCAGATACAGATACATGGGCACCCTCATGAATGGGATGCATGGTGCTCAAGAGACAGGCCTAGGCTGGAAATACAGATATGGGATCACCTAACAGAGAGAATCGTTGAATTCAAGTGAGCTAAGCATCTAGGAAGAAAAGAAAATAATGAGAGCCAGTACAGGAGCCAAAAGAACAGAATTTCTAGGAAGAGTTTACAAAGACTTCTCAGAGCACAAACCTCCATCATTGTTGAGTCAGGGTATAAATAAGGAGGGAAAGGCTGATCAGCCACTGGTCAGGAAATGCCAATGGGAAAGGCACATGGTCCCTGGGCTCCTTAGCCCTCGTGGAAAATGTTATCTTTGTACAACCACACACTCCCAAGGGCCCTTCTCCACCCTGGTCCTTCCTCAGCTATTTGTGTTGGCACTGTGGTTTTCCTTTCTGACCCTTCTCATTGAAACCTTGGGAGAAAAGGGGAAGAAAGCCAGGATGTCACAGAAGGACTAGGGTTGGCAGTGGGTGAGGGCTTTGATCCCATGTGGTCTCTGGGGAGGCAGAATGAAGCCATTAGAAAACAATCAACTTTTTAGCCTCCCACTTCCTGGTGACCTCAGCATTTCCATAACTGTTCTGTGCTTCCTCATTCATCTATCAAGTGGATACACATACACACACATCACACACACACACACATTTCACAGTGTCTCCTGGACAATGCAATAGGATTATGAACATGAAAACCTCTCATGTCATGCCTGATACAAAATACGTGCCAAATAAATAGGAGTTTCTTTTCTTTTGGACAAGTCTCATAACTGCCCAAAGTTAGAACGTCTCTGGGCATTCATTCTCTTAGCAGAGAGAGAGGATAAAACTGAGCCCTATGTCTTTCACATGGACATCATGAAGATCAAGATAGAAGTCACTGGGTATTATGTAACGTAGGGATCGCTCAATCCTGATACGCTTTTTCCTTGCCTGGTTCTCCTACCAAATTGGAGGAGCAAGATATGCGCAAAGAGCTGGGACACTAGTGCTGTCGTGTACCTGAAAGAGATTTTTCTTAAATAAGTACATGAATCAATGAATGATGGAAGGATGGAGGGTTAAGTGGGTGCATAGTGGGCCTGAGTTAACTCCTGCAGACACAGAATCTTCCATATTCAAGCTGCTTCAACCTCTGAGTGGCCTCCTGAAAAAGGGGAGGGGTATAGAAATAGAGACTCAGGGATCTGAAGACTATGAAAAGACTTTCTCCTTATTGTGTATACCCACAAACTAACCATTCTTCATCAAGTCTTGTTTAGAAACAGTTGTGCAGCCTGAGAAAATTGGGTTCGACTTGCCATGTAGAATTTTGTTAATGGAGTTGTATAAACATAGCTCTTTATTAATCTAAATTACTGGCCTTCAGGGTGAGTTTATTTTATTTGCACACATGATCTTCAGTCCCTGGGAACCCCAAAGGATAAGTGTGTTCCAATGAGACCAAGCCTTTTGTGAACCACTTAGAAATGGGCCCTTGGGAGGTGCTACATAAACAAAACGTAATGAATTGTTCCCCCTGTCAAAAGTGAACAATTCATAATGTGCCCCTGAATGGAACCAACTGGTCCTCTTGTCAAACACTCTGTACTTTGATGTGCTTTTCATCGGTTAGAAAAAAGAAGAAAATAAAAGTCTTTTTAGTGATTTTTTTCAGAGTAAAAAGAGAGAGAGAAGAAGCTATCAACTACCAAGCTACAAACACCATGCTGAAGAAGCTCTTTGGATATCCTTAATTAGGCTTCCTTGACTAAGAAAAACTTGCATAATTCAATTAAAGTATTCTTTACTTGTGTTAGAAATTATCAAGTATTTTAAATGACAATATTCCTAAATGACCAGTTGGTGCAGTGAAAATAATAACAATATTAATTACTAACACTTATTTCTCTCTTACTGTGTACCAGGTATGGCGAATGCATGGTGAATGCATGCTTTACATATGCAATATTAAGCAATATAATCTAAACAACAGCCCTATAGGATAGCTGCTATTGTTATCCCCATTTTACAAGAGAGAAAACTGAGGCAGAAAGAGATTAAGTGACATAGTCAAAATCAAACAGAAAAGTATGTGGTAAAACCAAGTGTTCAGACCAGGAGATTGTGGGCCTAGGGACCATTCTTGAACCACTATGCCATTAAGAATACTGGACTAGGAATGATGAAAGATGCTTTCAGTCTAGATCCTGCCATTAACTCACTGTATAACCTGGGGCAAGTTACAGAGAGACCACAGTTTTCCCATCTGTAACACAAACGGTTCTCATAAGATAATCTCCATATCAGCTGGGGTTCTATGGCTTCAGTAAACAGAAATCCACTTTCATTAATCTAAACCACAGAAAAAGAGGAGGAGGAAGAAGACAAAAAGGAAGAAAAAGAAAAAGGAAAAGGAAGAAGAAAAGGAATGTATTGGTAAACTATTTAGGCGGCTCAAGAATAGACAAATAGCTAGAGGCTGGAGAGCCAGGCTTGGAAACAGAACATGCATTAGGACAGGAATCAGCATGGTATTGATGGTCTGACTAAAAAGACTACTAACCCATCTCATTCAAGCACTGCTGTGGAAGTAAATGAGCCTCTAATATTTTGTTCCATTCTTATGTCTCTCTTTAACATTTAAAGTCCCTGTGGACCATTCACTTGCCCTTGCTTGAGCCCACCACCCCCTTGCCAGTTTACGCAGGGCACGTGAGTTATAATCTCACCAATACTACACACAACGGAAATGGGTTCCCAAAGAGAATCTGGTCCTGTTAGAAAGGTATAGATTTTTTAAAATCCACTACTGCATCAAGATCACTTTCAAATGAATACATAGATTAAATAAGACATATGAAACGTTTGAACTGGGCCCAATTTACAATCCAAGTGCCATAAATCCTGGAGGTTGTTATAGGAAGGTTGTGGTGGTAGCTACCGCCACTGTGGCTTTTTCTACTGTTGTTTCATTCTCAACATAGAACTGGTAGAATTCTGTGAAATAGCTAAGACTAGGTCAAGGGAATTTGTATCACCGAGTCACTGATCATATATCAATAAAATTTCTATTTTAATGGGGTGTTCCTGCTTGTCAGATATATTGATTAAATTGAGCCCTTTGATTTGATTCCTCCTGTTAGAGGTAATATGGAGTATGAACCACCTGGATGGGTTTTGCACTATTTCAGAAGAGCGATGATGTATGTCAGAACCAGGTTAAAGATAACAGGAATGGAGAAGGCAAAGCACGTTAAATACAGATTAGTTTGATGGGACTCAAAGACCTAGTAAATAAAAGAGGAAGGTTAAGAATGATCTTGAGGTTTCTGGTACAGACGATTCACTGAATGGAAAAGCCATTGACCGCGGAAATAACATGAGTAATTGGCAGTTTACAAGATAATGGACACAGTTTTGAACATATTGAATCTGAAGTCCTTGGGCACATTTCCAGAAGAGACAACTAGAAGTCAGCTGTATATAAGAAGCTGAAGGCCAGCATGAAGTCTTAAAATGAAATTTGGCAAGAATTCACAGTAGCATTAGTTTAAGCCATAGGTTTGCTTAACCCCAGAAGAGTTTATGAGCTGAGAAGGAGTGGAAGACTTGAGGGTAGGCAGGAACTCGCATGGATCCCCGAGGTAAAAGGGGAAAGAAGCACACAAAGGGGATGAAGAGGGAGAATCAGGGAGGTATGGAAAAAAACAAGCAAAGAAGGGTCATGGATGTCTAAGAATAAGAGAGAGCTATTGGCAGTAAGATCTGAAACAGAATACAAGGAAAGCAATCTCAACAATCCAGGTGGAAGAACTGCTCTTGCAAGGGCCCTTGAAGAAGGAGAGAGCACCATATATTCTTCTACATAATCAGATGGCTCATGGACCTAAAGCACACAGGGTAAAAGTGACCATAGCGGCCGGGCGCGGTGGCTCACGCCTGTAATCCCAGCACTTTGGGAGGCCGAGGCGGGTGGATCATGAGGTCAGGAGATCAAGACCATCCTGGCTAACAAGGTGAAACCCCGTCTCTACTAAAAATGCAAAAAAAATTAGCCGGGCGCGGTGGCGGGCGCCTGTAGTCCCAGCTACTGGGGAGGCTGAGGCAGGAGAATGGCGTGAACCCGGGAAGCGGAGCTTGCAGTGAGCCGAGATTGCGCCACTGCAGTCCGCAGTCCGGCCTGGGCGACAGAGCGAGACTCCGTCTCAAAAAAAAAAAAAAAAAAGTGACCATAGCAAGATGAGGCTGGCAGGTGGGGAAGGCCAGACGATGCAGAGCCCTGAGACCCATGAAAAAGCGTCTGGAATCTATACTTAAAACAGAGGAGAGCCATTGGAAGTTTCAAGCAAGAGGGTGATATGATCAGAATGAATTTATCATGTATATTCAAGGATATAAGTTGTTTTGATATGCATATACATAGTGAAATGATTACTGCAGTTAAGCAAATCATTCTATCCACCACCTAACATAGTTACCTTTTGTTGTTACTGTAAGAGCACCTAAAATCTACTGTCTTAGTGCAGGAAGCGGGAGGAAATAAGGAAAAGTAGGCCAAAGTGTACATACAGACTTTCAGTTACATAGGATGAAGAAATCCAGAGGTGTAATGTACAGCATGAGAACTATAGCTAATAATAGTATTGTGTTGTAGACAGAACAAGCTTTAAACAAGCTACAGGGTGGAGACGTTTCCTAGAAGGTCAAGAGTGAATGCAGGGAAACCAGTTAGGAAACTTGCATAAATGTTGTGATAAAAGCTCACAGCCCAAAGCATGGGCTCTGGAGTCAGTCTGCCTGAATTTGGTTGCCACTTCTGTCACAGGTTGTGGGCAAAAAAATTAACTTCTTGGTGCCTCAGTTTCTATATCCAAAGATGGGTGTGCAAATACTTCCTATCTCTAAAGATGGTATTAGGATTAAGTGTGATCATATGTGTAAAGCACTCAAAACAGTGTCTGGTACATAGTAAACACTCAGAACATCTCCCATTATTGCAACCATGCAGTGAAAAATAGAAGGGATTAGAACTGTGGCCTATAAAACGGAGAGAAGCAGATGAATTTAGGAGATTTTTTTTTTTTTTTTTTTTTTGAGACAGAGTCTCATTCTGTTACCAGGCTGGAGTGCAGTGGCACGATCTCAGCTCACTGCAATCTTAGGAGATTCTCTTTAGGCAGCAAGAACTACAGAACTCTAGTGTCAGCTAAATTCATGGAATTTTGTTTACTTATAGGAAAATGGTAGAAAATAATGTTGAAATGGTAGCTTATAAATGTATAGTATTTTGTGAATACAGTCGATTTTTAAATATTGTTACAAATTCTGATTTTGTATCATGGACCTGAAAGTGGAAGTCCAGATAAATAAACAGGCAATGTAAAGATTTGCATTTCTTAGAACGGATGCGAGAAGCAGATTGTAACCTCATCTGCAAATGGGTCTATTATGCGTGAAGCATTACCAATTGTTCTGCCTGGCTTTTTGGAGAGATTTCCCACAACAACTGCTAGAGATGCCAGTGATGAAACAGAAAAGCTTGCAAAAGCAACAGCAATATCATATTCTTCTCTTGACATCGAGGTCCAAGAATCTGGGATGTTTTATTAGGGAGGATTAAAAAAATATATGTGAAAGCAGAAAGCGCATAGCACAGTCCCTAGTTCATAGAAGCTGCTGAAAAAAATATTGTTCTCTTGCATTACGTTTGAGGGCAATAGTTACTTCTTTGTGGATCTGCTAACATCACAAACCACTAAGGTACAACATAGAACATGGAGAGCTGCATTAGCTAAAAGTGTTCAATGTACGTCACTTTGCTTGAGAAAGATAATAGCTCCTCATTTGCTACATTCATTTTCATGACCACATACTTGATTCATGACAAAAATTACATGAGTTGCATACTTGTTTTCAAACTTTTAAAAACTGTATACTCATTTATGCCGCAAGATAAAAGTCATCAAAGTCATCATCAAAAACATGCTAAAAGTCACTACTCAAAGATTGCTCCCTCATCATAACCCCCATGATCTATTCTTTGTTGTTTTTTTTTTTTTTTGACATGGAGTCTCACTCTGTTGCCCAGGCTGGAGTGCAATGGCATGATCTCGGCTCACTGCCAATCTCCACCTCCTGGGTTCAAGTGATTCTCCTGCCTCAGCCTCCCAAGTAGCTGGGACTATAGGCATGTGCCGCTACGCCTGGTTAATTTTTGTATTTTTAGTAGAGACGTGGTTTCACCATGTTGGTCAGGCTGGTCACGAACTCCTGACCTCAGGTGATCCACCCTCCTCGGCCTCCCAAAGTGCTGGGATTACCTGTTCTTATAGAGACTGTAAACTATTTTAGACAAAAGTAAGGAATAAATAGAAAAGGAGAAACAGAGAGAGGAGATTAAACGCTACCAAGCTCTCCGCACCCCAAGTGCTGCACTAAGTGCTCTCACATGTATCTAATGTGATCCTCCCCACTGTCCTGTGCAGGAGGTATTGTTATGGAAAAAACAATACAGTTCAAGGAGGTTAGAAATCAAGGTAGCAGAGCTACCAAATGGCAAAGCAGAGGTTCAAATTTAGTTCTATCTGACTGTAAGTCTCATTCTCTTTCCATTGCACTGGTATTTTATGTGACTCTTAACATATCTTCCTGAAAAAAAAAAAGAAAATAGCTTACTTTAAAAAAATCTAAATTCAATTAAATAAAAACATAGGTTTCCCTTTTCTAACAATGGTAGAATAAAAGATTCCCTGCATAAGGAAAAGTCTTTGCCACAGTGAAATTGAGAAACCATTTTGAAAAGATTGACGTTCTTCTGGTCATCAACCATATATTTATTAAGGTGCCTCCAGATGCACATGCAACTCAATGATCTCATTACTAATTTTGTGAAGTCATAGGGTAGAATGCAAGACAATTTTGCTAAGTCAAAGAAAAACAGTAATCATAAGTAGGGTAAAGTAGTGACAAGCTGGGGACATTTAGACAAAGGAAATAGGAAATAGAAACTGACTAGCAACACACACACAAAAAGCACAATGTTTTGGAGTTTAGGGAAGTGGCTGTGCTTAAAGACTTCTTTGTTATTTTACCAGACATATTTCAAGACTGTTAATTATTTATATGCCTCTTATTTCATTTTGAACTCCTTGGGCTTGGTGTGTTGTTCATCCTAGTGTCTAAAAATCTTGCACAGTGATTGGCATGTGGTAGATAATATATGTTTTTTGATGGGACAAAAGAATGAAGAATAAAGAAGTATTAGAATAAAGGAATGAATGAATATGAGTGAATTTATTAATACATTTTCATTAGGAATATTTCTCTGAAAAATAAATGCTTCACAGTTAAGATTGTCAAAATTTTATCACCCTTTCTGCCCTGTTAAAAAGCAGTAGGTCTAGACTTTTGGCCAGCGACAATGTGGACAGTGGTAGCAAATGGGTTTCATAGAATCTGAAATATGGTAGTGAGGCTCCTCAAATACAAAGGAAGGCAGTAGGTCAAGCTAGTGTTTTAATAGATTGCTGAGAATTGAAGGCCAAGAAGACTAAGCACAAACTTCACAGTGGACATTGGTTGGCTGCCTCCTTGCTGCCTACTCCCCTCCTTCCCAATGGTCTGACTTCTGTCTGCTCCCCAGGAACAGAGCTCATAACTTAGGCCATGCTTTAGGACAATTCTGTGACTTTAGTCTATTCAGAATGAATCTCAATACTTATGCCAAGAAATCTCAGGAAAGAAGTTTTTCACATCTGCTGGATGAGACCAAGGAGATGTTACTCCAGGAGCAGTTGATATGCGTCTTGGGTACAAAGACAGAAGGAGACTTAGTATGAAACCAGGCAGAAAATGGAAAGAGATCATGTCTTTGGCAACAGCACTATCTGAGACTAAAGTTTTATCTCTGAACTGTTCAGTTTGTTTGCTTTCCTTGTTATTTTTAATACAATGCACCCTTACTGACACTAAAACCACTAATCAAATAAAATCATACATGGAGCAACAGATGGGAGAGTGGTCCTGAGTAATTTCCTCACCTCCAGCTGGTGTTTACACTTGCCCTTCTAGGCCAGTGGATGTGTGATGTACAATAGTATCCAATAGCTTAGAAGATCAAGAAGGTCAGATGAAAGTGAAGATGTAGGTCTGAGTGAATTTCCATGCTCACTAGCTTGTCCTTGTGCATCCTTGGAGAACCTGGCTAGATCAAACACAGTTTACCCCTACAACCAAACTTTAGGGTTCACTGGAGAAGCTAATCAATCTCTCATCATGTTGCAGATCCAGATGACTCCCCTACTCCCCAGCTCTTTCCCAAAAATCACTCTATTGCTAAAGCAGGCCATGCAAGTTAGGTATCTTTCTCCCTAATTGCAGCTCAAGTTAAGTATCTTTCTCCCTAATTGCAGCTGCAACAAAGGCAATTTTGACAGAATGAACTAAAAATGAGAAATTTAGGAATTGTGGAAATGAGCAAAACTCTTAAGTGGCTGTCATTTTTTAAAATTTTTAATTTAAAAAATCCCAGAGCATAACAGGGGTGGGGGTAGGAGAAGATTGAGCAACAGCTGTCATCTGGAAATCTGATATAGGGTAATGTAATCAGGTTGGATTTGCAAAGTCCATTTAGTTTGCAACAGGAAATAGAACTTTTCAAGCCCACATCACTAAGTTCAGGAATATGTCATCTTCTGGATGGGAACCGAGGCTTCCAGCCACAATCACTTCATTCAGTGAGCTTTGATATAGATCTGATTATTTAGGGGGTTTCTTTGGTGGGCCAGAGCAGGCAGGCCATCCTCCAAAGTAGACATTGACCCCCGCCTCCCCCAACTCCCAGCTAGCCCATACCATGTAATCATGCTAGGAAAGTACAGGGATGATGCAATGAATTCCAACAGGATAGGGGAGGAACAAGAAAGAAAAACACGCAAACCCCAAATCTTTTCTAAGTCAGTACAGCAACTGGAGGATTTAACATGAAATTCCTATCCATGGGACCATGGCCAAACCAGGAGACAGCATAATTACAGGAGATAAGACTCGGAATAGAATAAATGAGAAGCATCATCACAAAGCTACAGATTTCACAGGAAATGAAGATGACACACACAGTGGAGTTTCTATGATCAGGAGAATCCGTCAGGATTAAAGTATGTATACTTGTAAGGATCTTCATTACCATAATATTTAAATTTATATAAATATATGCATATGAATTCATGTTCGCTAGTTCTATTTAATTCAACAAACATGTAGATTGAGCCTACTAAGTGGAAGGCATTGAGGTAAGCCCTGGGAATAGAACAAGGTTTTTCAGCCTCAGCACTATTGACATTTTGAATCAGATAATTCTTTCTTGGGGGCAGGGTGGGAGTGATCACTGTCCTATGCATTATAGGATTTTTAGCAGAATCCCTGGCCTCAACACACTAAATAGCAACACTCCCCCACAAGTTGAGACAAACAAAACTATCTACAGAAATTACTAAATGTCCCCCATAAGTGGGGGACACAAAATCATCACTGAGAACCACTGGAGTAGAGAAGTAGTTAAGACAATTATAACAGTTTAATGTGTTTACTCTGGGATTAAACGATCTGTGTTTGCTTCCTGACTCTGCCACATATTGGCTTTGTAACCCAGGGAAAGTCATTTAATATATTTCTAATTTCAGTATCCTCATACATAAAATGGAAATAACATGACAGAAAGCCAAGTAGAATTGTTATGAGGATTAATGGGAAGATTAGCATGAGGGCTACTAGGCAATAGAGACCAATCTTTCTGTCTTTTGACACCATACCAGGGCCAGTTTAAGAATGCAATAAATGGTAGCTGCTATTTCCAATGAGCTCACAGTGTAATGCAAAACAATAACAGAAAGTACACAGTTAATTTTCTTTATTATTTTATTATACTTTAAGTTCTAGGGTACATGTGCACAACATGCAGGTTTGTTACATAGGTATACATGTGCCATGTTAGTTTGCTGCACCCATCAACTTGTCATTTACATTAGGTATTTCTCCTAATGCTATCCCTCCCCCAGCCCCCCGCAAAAGGCCCTGGTGTATGATGTTGCCCACCCTGTGTCCATGTGTTCTTGTTGTTCAACTCCCACCTATGAGTGAGAACATGCAGTGTTTGATTTTCTATCCCTGTGATAGTTTGCTGAGAATGATGGTTTCCAACTTCATCCATGTCCTTGCAAAGGACATAAACTCATCCTTTTTTATGGCTGCATAGTATTCCATGGTGTATATGTGCCACATTTTGTTTATCCAGTCTATCACTGATGGACATTTGAGTTGGTTCCAGGTCTTTGCTATTGTGGATAGTGCCACAATAAACATACATGTGCATGTGTCTTTATAGTAGAATGATTTATAATCCTTTGGGTATATACCCAGTAATGGGATAGCGGAGTCAAATGGTATTTCTAGTTCTAGGTCCTTGAGGAATTGCCACACTGTCTTCCACAATGGTTGAACTAATTTACACTCCCACCAACAGTGTAAAAGCGTTCCTATTTCTTCACTTCCTCTCAAGCATCTGTTGTTTCCTGACTTTTTAATGATCGCCATTCTAACTGGAATGAGATGCTATCTCATTGTGGTTTTGATTTGCATTTCTCTGATGACCAGTGATGATGAGCATTTTTTCATATGTCTGTTGGCTGCATAAATGTCTTCTTCACGGAATTGGAAAAAACTAATTTAAAGTTCATATGGAACCAAAAAAGAGCCCACATAGCCAAGACAATCCTAAGCAAAAAGAACAAAGCTGGAGGCATCAAGCTACCTGACTTTGAACTATACTACAAGGCTACAGTAACCAAAACAGTGTGGTACTGGTACACAACAGATATATAGACAAGTAGAACAGAACAGAGGCCTCAGAAATAACACCACACATCTACAACCACCTGATCTTTGACAAACCTGACAAAAACAAGCACTGGGGAAAGGATTCCCTATTTAATAAATGGTGCTGGGAAAACTGGCTATCCATACGTAGAAAGCTGAAACTGGATCCCTTCCTTACACCATATACAAAAATTAACTCAAGATGGATTAAAGCCTTAAATTTAAGACCTAACACCATAAAAATCCTAGAAGAAAACCTAGGCAATACCATTCAGGACATAGGCAAGGGCAAAGACTTCATGAGTTAAACACCAAAAGTATTGGGGGAACCCGCCCCCGGTATTTCAACGTAGGTTCTTTCTATTTTCCATAAGTGTTGGCTGGCTGAGAAATAAAGAGAGACAGTATAAAGAGAGGAATTTTACAGCTGGGCCACCAGGGGTGACATCACATATCAGTAGGACCGTGATGTCCCTGAGTCTCAGACCAGCAAGTTTTTTATTAAGGTTTTCAAAAAGGGAGGGGGTATAAGAACAGAGAGTAGGTACAAAGATCACATGCTTCAAGGAGCAAAAAGCAGAACCACTAATAAGGGCCTAACAAAGATCACATGCTTCTGAGGGAACAGGACAAAGGGCAAAAGCAGAACCACTGATAAGGGTCCAACAAAGATCACAGGGCAAAGGGCAAAAGCAGAACCACTGATAAGGGTCTATGTTCAGCAGTGCATGTATTGTCTTGATAAACGTCTTAAACAACAGAAAACAGAGTTCAAGAGCAGAGAACCAGTCTGACCACAAATTTACCATGGCGGAGCTTTCCCAACCCTAGTAAGCCTGCAGGAGATCAGGGCTTATCTCAGTCCTTATCTCAACTGCACAAGACAGACATTCCCAGAGTGGCTGTTTATAGACCTCCCTCCAGGAATGCATTCCTTTCCCAGGGTATTAATATTAATATTCCTTGCTAGGAAAAGAATTTTGCAATATCTTTCCTACTTGCACATCCATTTATAGGCTCTCTGCAAGAAGAAAAATATGGCTCTTTTTGCCCAACCCCGTAGGCAGTCAGACCTTATGGTTGTCTTCCCTTGTTCCATAAAAATTGCTGTTATTCAGTTCTTTTTCAAGGTGCACTGATTTCATGTTGTTCAAACACACATGTTTTACAATCAATTTGTACAGTTAACACAATTATGACAGTGGTCCTGAGCTTACATACATCCTCAGCTTACGAAGATAACAGGATTAAGAGATTAAAGTAAAGATGGGCATAGGAAATTATAAAAGTATTATTTGGGAACTGACAAATGTCCATATTAAATGAAATCTTCACAATTTATGTTCCTCTGCCATGGCTCCAGCTGGTCCCTCTGTTCAGGGTCCCTGACTTCCCGTAACACAAAAGCAATGGCAACAAAAGCCAAAATAGACAAATGGGATCTAATTAAACTAAAGAGCTTCTGCACAGCAAAAGAAACTCAGCAGAGTGAACAGGCAACCTACAGAATGGGAGAAAATTTTTGCAATCTACCCATCTGACAAAGGGCTAATATTCAGAATCTACAAAGAACTTAAACAAATTTACAAGAAAAAAACAAACAACCCCATCAAACAGTGGCAAAGGATATGAACAGGCACTTCTCAAAAGCACAATTAATTTTCATAAGTTTACCTTATAAGTCATATTCAATATTTCTCCTATATTTCCAAAATCCCATTTCACCTCCAATTCATAAATGTATGATTTCCCCTTCTAGACCCAATGTCTACAGCCATGAATCAGACTCAAGACTTTGTACCAACACTGTTGCCTCAACTGTCCATTTCCAATGCACCCTCTATCCTGCTACCAAAGTTTATTTCCTGAAGGTCAGCTCTGAAAACCATATTGTTTCCTTTACTCCACCAACTCCACATAGCTTTGTCTAGTATTCAAAGTCTTCTATGATTTGAACTCATCATGGTTTTCCAGTCATTTGTCCCTTTATAGTTAGCTCAACTCCAACCTCTTCCAAAAAGTTTTCACAGATCCTCTCAGGTAGAATTTATTTATTCCCTGACACACTTGCCCCATACTTTCATACATCCATAAATTAACTACTAACAATCTGCCTCCCCCAAGAGTTCCTTATGCCTGTCTGTCTGCTTCACTAGTATAAGAGTTACTAAGGAATTGAGACCAATCTTTTCATTATTCTGTACCTTCAATGCCAAGTCTGACACAGTAGAGTAACTACACACTCCCTATAAAAGAAAATAAAGAGAACTTGCATGGCACAAAGAAAAAAATACTTTAGACAAGAACCATCCAGATTAGACAGCATTTGGTTAGCCAGTGTTTCCTGGCCCATTAGAATCAATCATCAATTAAACAGAATCTTTGGACGAGGACACCTAGCATCAGTATTTTTTAGTTTCCCGGGTGACTTCAGTTGCAGAAAACTACAGTTGAACATAATATCTGAGAACAGTTTCCTCACTCAGGATGTCCACGTTTCATTTGTTGGGCCAAGTCCAATTACTTGATAGTGGCTGTCTGGAACACTGCCTTGAGAAGGATTTAGAGGCTCCCTTGGGTCTCAGCAGAAGAGAGTATACAGATTGATTGTCAATGTCTGTCAAGAGCAAGTAATCAGGGAGCTGAAACTATCATGCTGCTAATTGGCATCTCTGTGATTGATGCATGAATGAAAAGGAACTTGGTGGACCTAATGACTATCATACATGCACACACACACACAAAGACACACATATATACACACATATTCATGACACTCATATATAATTATCATTTATATATAAACATACACATGCATATATATTTATATATGTATGTTATATATAATAATAACTCACTTTCAGAGTGTCAGCTATATGCTGAACACTGGGTTAAGCATTGGCAATATTGCTAAACAATATTAATGTGGGCTCTGCCCTCAGGGAGCAGACAGTCTAGGGGAAACAGTATTTATAAAATAATCACACAAACAGTTAATTAAAAAGTAAGAAAGAAAACTAAAGGATGCACTACAAATCTCCATGAAAGTGATACTGAACTAGTTTAGAGGAACAGAGAAGGTCCCCCTATGGAAGTGGCATTTTAGTTAGGATATAAGTGATGCATAGGATTTGGCAAGGGCAAGAGTGGAGGGAAGAGCTTTTCAGGCTAGAGGCCAACCCATGGGGGAAGGATGGGAACCCAGGCTCCCACACACAGAGCTCTGTGCTCTTGGCAAGTTACTTTAACTCTGTTTGGCTCATCTGTAAATGGAGGACTAATAAGCCATAGTGTGTGATATCGTTTCAAGGCTGCAACCAGATACTTCACGTTACATATGTAGTGCTGCCTATACCACCATGCAGCAGGGAGAAGTTGTTCCACGATGAAAAGTACAAACACTATGGAGCCTCAGATCAGACTTTGGCTCTATCATTTACTAGCTGTGTGGCTTGGTCAAATAATTTCACCACTCTGAGTCTCATTTTCCACATCTGTAAACTGAAGGTAGTTATTAGTTACAATGAGAAGACCACAGTGGTTAAGTGCCTGCCATCTGAAGTCAGACTGCCCGCATTCAAATTCTGGCTTCACCACTTTCTAGCTGTGTGGCTTGGGCAAATTAACCCTTGTGTGCCTCAATTTCCTCAACTATAAAATAGGGATAATAATTGAGTCATTGGTGAAGATTCAGTGAGGCAATGTATGTAAAGGACTTAACACGGTGCCTGTCACAAAGAATGTACTTGAAAGAATGTACTTGGCAAATATTGATTCTCTTGGTAATTTCTGATTTGGTAGAATTTACTCTGCATTAGTATTTACTCATAGGAATTAATTCTAATTACACCAAATGAAAGATACCAAAAGCTTTGAGTTTTCAAGAACTTTGAAGCTAAGAAACCCACAGCAGAGCTGCCCCACAGTATGTTCCCATCTGTGAACAAGCAGAGCTGGTGTTGGCATGGATGATGCTGTGCATTAACCTGGCATCTGCTTTCAGGACCCTCACTGCACCACCAGAGGTTTTGAATTTCACTTTCCACAAAAGCAGAGGCCCACATAGCACCTACACTCTCATGAACTGGATTAGCATCCTTATAAAAGGGGCCTGAGGGGCCTTATCTGCCCCTTCAACCATGTTAGGACACAGCTAGAAGGCACCATCTTTGAAGGAAAGAGCAAGCACTCACCAGCCACCCAATCAGTTGGTGTCTTGATCACAGACTCCAGAACTATAAAAAAAAAAACTTCTGTTGTTTATAAATTACCCAGTGTAAGACATTTTGTCATAGCAGCCCAAACAGATTATGTCAGAGGGTTTTCTTTGAAAAAGCAGTAGGCAGGAAATAGCAGGAACTGTAATGATTTCTGCCCTAGGTCCATTCTCCAAAAGTAGTACTTTTCAACTTTGTTTCGGAAGCTAATTTTTTTGTTGAAAAGCATTGAGTCACATAGTGTTGGTAGTCAGGCCATGAGACACAAGAGAAGGTACTAGAAGGGAAGAACTATTTTGTAAACTCACTCCCCTCCCAGTGGCACCCCAGTCCCACTCCCAGCTCCCAGCTCCTCTCCTGAGATATTGAATGGGTCACACTCCCGAGCAGGGGTCTCAAGAAAGGGAGAATGTGAAGGATCCAAAAGCAAATCCTAAGAAAGGAGTAGGGAAGCAGACTGATTATTGAGATGTTGTGCTTTATCATGAAGATGCTTTTGGCTGCAAGTAATAGGGGGAAAAAATCCAACGGCTCAAACACTAAGAGAAGGACTGAAGAAGGAGTGTTAACAGGGATGGCTATTTCAGAGGCTCAATGACTTCATGATGGACCCAGGTTTACTTCTAGCCTTCCATGCTGCCATGCTCAGTATGTTCTCCTAAGGTTTGCACCCTTTATGGTCACCTAAAGAAGAATCGCAGTTGCAGTCATTATATGCAGGCACGTCAGTATTCAGGAGCAGCAACAGAGCACCCAACACTCCTTCCCGAAAATGAGGAAAACCTTTCCAGGAAACCCCTGAGCAGATCTCCATTCATATCTCATTGGACAAACTAAGTTCACATGCCAATGCCTAAACCAATCACTGTGAAGTGACTGGTTCCATGATTATTGGCTTAGACCCGTCAGAAGTCACTCCCTGAGCCTGTGGCAATTGCAGAGCCCAGCCTTTCTTGATAGTCACCGAGAATGGACACCTAAGCAAAATCAGACTTCCGTGAGCAAGCAAGAAAAGGCAGGCAACAGTGTCTGCAAAAGAGTGGCACAAAGCTGAAGCCCAGTGATAGGACCAGGGCCACAAGGCAGAAACTAGGACCCAAGGAATCAGGAGCAAAGAAGAATCCCCATTATCATGGCTAAATTAAAGGGACATGATTACTAAAAGGGAATTACGAGGGGGGTAGAATGAGCACAGTATGCACACACACCTGCCCTGTCTTGAATGAAGGAAGAAGAGGCGGAAAGGGCACTAAGCTAAGTGCATGGATAGGAAAATCAGTCAGCTGCTACCCTGAGCTATTGCCCAGAAGCACAGGGCAAACCCTGCTCTATACTCCTAACCCCGAAAGCAGCCAGCCCAGGGTGATTGTCTCTATTCTTGAAGTGAGTACAAAGAATTTCACATAATGTCAAAAGACTCATATCTCAGTGCCCATCTTAGCCAATTCCTGCACTAATGACACTTCTGAGCCTTGATTTCTTCATCTGAAAAATATAAGTGATAAAAAGACCATTCTTTTCTTTTTTTTATTATATTTTAAGTTTTAGGGTACATGTACACAACGTGCAGGTTTGTTACATATGTATACATGTGCCATGTTGGTGTGCTGCACCCATTAACTTGTCATTTAACATTAGGTATATCTCCTAATGCTACCCCTCCCCCGTCCCCCCACCCCACAACAGGCCCCGGTGTGTGATGTTCCCCTTCCTGTGTCCATGTGTTCTCATTGTTCAATTCCCACCTATGAGTGAGAACATACGGTGTTTGGTTTTTTGTCCTTGCGATAGTTTCCTGAGAATGATGGTTTCCAGCTTCATCCATGTCCCTACAAAGGACATGAACTCATCATTTTTTATGGTTGCATAGTATTCCATGGTGTATATGTGCCACATTTTCTTAATCCAGTCTATCATTGTTGGACATTTAGGTTGGTTCCAAGTCTTCGCTATTGTGAATAGTGCCACAATAAACATACTTGTGTATGTGAAAAAGACCACTCTTTTCAAAGCCTCACAAGAATTACAGGAGATCATGCAAGGGCTGGGCACCAGATAAAAACGTGACTATATTAATAGTCATTTATAAACCTCTAACAATCTCAGCTTGTGCAATGTGCCTGACTCATGATACAAAATAGAAGATATCTTTTACCCCACAACCAAACTAGCCAGGAATTCAATGAAAGGAATCATATCAACATATTTCTAATCAAAATGGAGATCCTAGACTTTGGTGGCCCAACTGTAAGAATAAACAGCTCCTTTCTATCTTTCAATTTTAAGGTTTCTTTCCATTTTTGTATTTCTTTCCAAAAAACAGAACTAGTCTCTACATCATTCTATGTGCAAGCAGCAGTAACTATTCAGCATGTCAGCTCTCTGGTTAAAAGTTATAGTTTTTCATTTTTGTTCCAGAGAAAACACCATCCAGAAATATAATCATAATATTCCAAAGGAAAGCATAGTCATTTTTCAAATCTCTCAGATGTACATGATACCATGTCCCAATTTGTACGCACCCCAGATCCAGCTTTTGAAATAAAGAGGGACTTTGGTTACAAAACTCTGATGGCACTTGATTTTAGTAGCAAGAGCAAAATGTTTCCATATTAGCTTTGCTATTAGCTTACGGTGCTACCTTCACCAAGTCACTTCCCATCTCTGGGCCTCACTTTCTTCATCCAAATGAGGAATTGGACTCGTTGATTTCATGGATTCATTCGAGTATCTACCACTTAGTAAGAACTGGCGCTGTCTGAGAGATTTTTATCTCTAATACTCACTGCAGAGAACTGAGTCTCAGCAAGGTTAAGTCTGGGTTCAAACCCCAGTCTGTGTAACAATACAGCCCTTAAATAATTTACTATACTGTCTTGAAACATCTGCTCTTTCCTATTTTACCACTTTTTGAATTTTTTCAATAAGTCACTTATTTCTCACCCTTTATAGATCTGGATTATGACCTCAAGACCACGTAACTGGTTTTGTTATCTATGTGTCAGTTCGTATAGCTCCCTACAAAGGATGGGGCAGAGCGGTAGGGATGTCCCAAAGAGGCAGGGACTGGGGGCTAAACCTAAGACTGCTGGAATCCTGCACCCTCTCTCATCACCCCATTTTTGTCCCAGGCAGTTGTCTTCCAGCTAAGTGTGTCCTCTCCCCACCTAGTCATTAGAAGCAACCCAAGACCCTCTGAGCACTGAGGGTGAGAAGGGCACCGCCCATCCCCAGGCCCGCTTCCTTTCAACAACTTCATAAAGGCTTCCTCGGACACGGCGTTATAGGGGATGCAACCTCGGAGTTCAGGGGTTCCTGAGACTGGTCACCCCTCCTCTCTGGCCTTTCCCAAGCTTGTTGGGCAGCCACCTTCTCCCTTCCTGGCCTAATCATCTACAACAAAGAGTTTGATGAAGAGGGACTGTAAGAAGGGTGATATTTAAAGGGGGAAAAGATATCCATTCTAAATTCAGACAAAAGATGAGATTAAATGGTTCAGAGAATGGCCTCTCCAACTTGCTGAGAAGGCCTCTGTGAAATTAACATACTTCCCTAGCTGAGAAAGCTGCCCTCTCTTCACATCCATATGCTTGAGAATGTCAACCCAGGAACCTGGTTTAAGATTTGCTTGATGTCAAGAAGAGAAATAACTGCAGAAAAGAACTGATCTGAGACCTTCGTCTTTCTCAGGTCAACTGTGGGGCTTTGCCTGGGGCACAGGTACTCAGCAAAAACACTAATTTCCCCATTCTTACCAGCGTTAGAAATGGAAGCAATAATCTGAGAATCTGGATTCTAGCTTGGTGAGTTGCCACTAGAGAAGAAACACCACTACTTGGCAGCTGTGTGGCCTTAAGCAAGTTACTTGACCTCTCTGACCCTCAGGTTCTCCATAGATATATCACTTACCCAGTTGTCGGAGTGGTTAAAGAATGAGATAAGGTATGGAAAGTAATTAATTGGTAACAAGAGTGCTCATTTTCTCTTTCCTTCCCTCCCAAGTTTTTTCATTCCTACATTTTCTCCCTTCCTTTCTACCTACCTTCCTTTCTTGTCTCATTCAAGGACTACACTTTTCAATATCTGCTCTGGGTGAGTTATTTTGCTAAGAGCTAAGATTACCAAGATAAGTATCACACCACCCCACCTTCTTGTTTAAGGAGGAGACAGTTTCAATTGTGTGGTAAAAGCAATGGAAATTATGCACAGAATTTAATCCATAAATACTAAATACCTAGACCCTTGGAGTTTAGGTGGTGCTTCTGGAGCTCTTCTATCAGTCCCTGGGTCGACAATTCACCAAGCTATTTATCAGTTTATATTACCCCGCATGCTACTAGGGCAGATTTGGGACCAGGACTCAGGTCTGGTGGCCCCTGCCTGAAGCTCTTTCAAACATGAACCTGATGGCAAAGAATTAGAAGGTCATGAACCATGATTTTTAAATATGCCACTTAATTCATGCTCAAACAGAAACTATTCTCCTTTTTTATTTTTCTGTCTCAAAAAAAGAAATAAATAATAACTTTTAAGGTGAGATCACTTTGGTGATAACGCAAGTCTACAGAGCTACAAAATAATTCAGCTTTCAAAAATAGATGTAGACCCAGAGAAAAAACGGTCACTGGGGAAGGGAAGCATCAGCTCTTACCCCACCCTTTTTGAAACCAAACCACACAGAACCCTGAGTGGGCTACTCAAATTCCAGCTGAGACTGTAGGCTGAGACAAATACTTGTTTTTAAAAAGTCACATGCACAGATGACCTTTGTAGTGTTGTTGATTATGTCTAGAAGGGTAATGCGGAAAGAGCACTGGTCATGGCATCAAGAAAGGACTTCTGCAAATGCTGTCTTGGAGACCTGGGCTTGTCCCTCGTCTCATTGAGATGTACATTTCCTAATGTGTAAGATACTGTAAGGAACCAGTGTGCCAGAATACAAAAAGTGTTTCAAAATTATGGAAAAGTGCTGTCCAATCTAACCACTAGTCATGTGTGCCTATTAAAATTTAAATTAATTAAAATTAAGACCAGGCATGGTGGCTGATGTCTGTAATCCCAGCACTTTGGGAGGCCAAGGCACTGGGTTGCTTGAGCCCAGGAGTTCGCGACCAGCCTGGGCAACATGGCAAAAGCCTGTTTTTGCAAAAGCCAGCTAATACAAAAATTAGCTGGGCATGGTGGCATGCTTACAGTCCCAGCTACTTTGGAGGCTGAGGTGGGAGGATCCCCTAAGCCTGGGAGGCATAGGTTGCAGTGAGTTGAGATCACGCCACTGAATTCCAGCATAGGTGACAGAGTGAGACCTTGTCTCAAAAAATAAATGAATAAAAAATTAAATTGAGTAAAATTTAAAAGTCAGTTCCTCAGTTAAACTACCCACATTTCAAATGCTCAATAACTACATGTGGCTAGCTCCTCCTGTATTAAACAGAGCTGAAACAGAACACTTCATCAATGCAGAAAGTTCTATTGAATAGCACTGGTCCAGAGGAAATAGACCACCCTGATGATAATGGCTACCTCTGAGAAGAGGTTGGGTGCTGGGAGAATTTTTTTAACTTTTACTTTATAAACTTCTGTATTGTCTATGTTGCCATGAACATGTGTCTTATTTATAATTTTTTAAATAAAGAACAACAAGGAAGTGATTGTCATTGAAAACATGATAACAGTTACTTCCAGAGAAAGGTGGATGATCTGGAAGGGACTCAGGATAGACTTCTGGGATGCTGGGAATGAAATACTTGGGCACAGATACTCAGCAAAAGAAATTTATTTTCTCATTCATGACAGCCATAGGTGTGGATAGAGCTACATGCATGTACACTTTAAAATTATTTATAAAAGTTGTCTTATACACTGTATTAGTCCATTCTCACACTGCCATAAAGATATAACTGAGACTGGATAATTTGTAAAGAAAAGAGGTTTAATTGACTCACAGTTTGGCATGGCAGGAGAGGTCTCAGGAAACTTACAATCATGGTGGAAGGCAAAGGGGAAGCAAGGCACATCTTCCCATTGCAAAGCAGGAGAGAAAGAGAGTGAAGCGGGAAGTGCCACACACTTTTAAACCATGAGAGCTCATAAGAACTTACTCACTACCATGAGAACAGCATGTGGGAAATCCTCCCCCAGGATCAAATCACCTCCCACCAGGCCCCACCTTTAACACGTGGGGATTACAATTCCACATGAGATTTGGGTGGGGACACAGAGCCAAACCATATCATTCTGCCCCTGGGCCCTCCCAAATCTCATGTTCTTCTCACATTTCAAAACATAAACATACCTTCTCAACAGTCTCCCAAAGTCTTAACTCATTCCAGCATTAACTCAAAAGTTCAAGTTCAAAGTCTATCTGAGATAAAGCAAGTCCCTTCCACCTATGAGCCTGTAAAATCAAAAACAAGTTAGTTACTTTCAAGATACAATGGGCGTACAGGCATTGGGTAAATGTTCCCTTTCCAAAAGGAAGAAATTGGCCAAAACAAGGGAGGTAGAGGCCCCACAGAAGTCCAAAACCCAGCAGGGCAGTCATTAATCCTAAAGCTCTAAAATAATCTCCTTTGACTCCATGTCTTACATTCAGGGCAGGTTGATGTAAGGAGTGGGCTCCCAAGGCCTTGGACAGCTCCACCCCTGTTGCTCTGCAGGGACAGCCCCTGCAGCTGCTTTCATAGGATGGTGTTGAGTGCCTGTGGCTTTTCCAGGTGCATGGTGCAAGCTGTTGTTGGATCTAGCATTCTGGAGTCTGAAAGATGGTGCCCCACTTCTCACAGCTCCACTAGGCAGTGCCCCAGTGGGGACTCTGTGTGAAGGTTCCAGCCCCACATTTCCCCTCTGCACTGACCTAGTAGAGGTTCTCCATGAGGGTTCCTCCCCTGCAGCAGACTTCTGTCTGGACATCCAGATGTTTCCATACATCCTCTGAAATCTAGGTGGAGGTTCCCAAACCTCAACTCTTGTCTCCTGCACACCCACAGGCCCAACATCACATGTAAGCCATCAAGGCTTGGGACTTGCACCCTCTGAAGCCACTGCCTTGGATGTACCTTGACCACTTTAGCCACAGCTGGAACAGGAGCAGCTGGGATACAGGGTGCCATGACCCAAGGCTGCACAGAGTAGCAGAGCCCTGGGACTGGCCCATGAAATCATCTTTTCCTCCTAGGCCTCCAGGTCTGTGATGGAAGGGGCTGCCTCAAAGGTTTCTGACATGCCGTGAAGACATTTTCTCCATTGTCTTGGCTATTAACATTCAACTCCTCTTTACTTATGCAAATTTCTGAAGCCAGCTTGAACTTCTCCCCAGAAAATGGGTTTTTCTCTTCTATCACATGGTCATGCTGCAAATTTTCCAAACTTGTGTGCTCTGCTTCCCCTTTAAATGTAAGTTCCTATTTCAGACCATCTCTTTGTGAACGCATATGACTGTAGGCTGTTAGAAGAAGTCAGGCACATCTTGAATGCTTTGCTGTTTAGAAATTTCTTCCGCCAGATACCCTAAATCATCTCTCTCAAGTTCAAAGTTTCACAGATCCCTAGAGCAGGGGCAGAATGCCCCTAATCTCTTTGCAAAAGCATAGCAAGAGTGACATTTGCTCCAATTCCCAATAAGTTCCTCATCTCCATCTAAGACCCCCTCAGCCTGGACTACCACTGTCCATATCACTATCAGAATTCTGGTCACAATCATTCAACAACTGTCTACAAAGTTCCAAACTTTCCCTCATGTTCCTGTTTTCTTCTGAGTCCTTCAAACTGTTCCAACCTCTGCCCATTACCCAGTTCCAAAGTTGCATCCACATTTTCAGGTATCTTTATAGCAATGCTCCTCTTTCCTGGTACGAATTTTCTGTATTAGTTCGTTTTCAAACTGCTATAAACAACTATGTGAGACTGGGTAATTTATGAAGAAAAGAGGTTTAATTGACTCAGTTTTATAGGCTTAACAGGGAGCATGATAGGAGGCCTCAGGAAGCTTATAATCATGGCAGAAGGCAAAGGGAAAGAAGGGACCTTCTTCACATGATGGCAGGAGAGAGGAGAGAGAGAGCAAGTGTGCACACAAAGAAGGAAGTGCCACACACTTTTAAACCATCAGATCTCGTGAGAACTCATTATCATGAGAACAGCATGGGGAAATCTGACCCCATCATCCAATCACCTCCTACCCCAGGCCCCACCTTCAAAACTTGGGGATTATAATTCCACATGAGATTTGGGTGGGAACACAGAGCCAAACCATATCATGCACTTTTTCACGTGTGTTTTATTTTGCAGTATATTCTTAATAAGACATTTTTTAAATGGATAAATTGTTTGGCTGTCCTTCTCACCAACAATGAGGTGTTGTTCTTTGCACTAATAAGTGATCTCCAGTTTGTTGAAAAAGAAAAAGGGCTCAGTCCTCAGCTGCAACTTCTCCCTTTTAAGCTGCCCTTAATCGTGACCCCCCAGCTAATGTTTGCTCCTGCCAGGAATGCTCATGAGAAACCAGCAGAAGGTATCAGGTAATACTGATAGAACTTACCTAGGAGGCAATTTGGCAATATATACATAAATACATTTAAATGTATATTAATATGCGTTATGCTTTGATACATCTATTTTAATTGGATTTTACTCTAATAAATTACCTGAACAAAGATGTAATTATTAATAGAGGGATGCTAATAAGTGATTTCCATAATAGCTAGGAAAAAATAACTGGAAAACAACTTCAATATCCAAAGCAACAAATGGGCTAAATTCTGATATATCCAGACAACCAAATACTGAACATATTAAAAAGTCATACTGTCAGAAAATATTTGATGTGGAAATCCATTCATGCTATATTAGGAAGAGAAAAAAAGCAGATTACAGAAAAGCAAATATAGTAATTTTTTTGGTTGAGAAAAATTTATACTAAAAACTACCTTTGCAAATACAGTCATGTATTGCTTAATGATGGGGTCATATTCTGAGAAATGTGTTGTTAGGTGTTCTCATTTTTGTGCAAACATCATAGAGTGTACTTACAAAAACCTACATGCTATAGCCCATTACACACCTAGGCTATATGGTATAGCCTATTGCTCTTATGCTACAAGCATGTTACTGGACTAAATAGTGCAAGCAATTGTAACACAATTGTAAGTATTTATGCACCTAAAAATAGAAAAAATATAGAAAAAAATACAGTATGAAATATTTTGAAAGAGCACACCAGTATAGGGCACTTACCAGGAATGGAACTTGCAGGACTGGAAGTTGCTCTGGGTGAGTCAGTGAGTGAGTGCTGAGTGAACATGAAGGCCTAGGACTACTATACACTATGTAGACTTTTTTATTGTTTTGTAATAATACTTAGCTTAAAACACAAATACATTGTACAACTGTAAAAAAAATTCTTTATGTCCTTATTCTATTTTTTCTATTTGAAAAAATGTTTTTTATCCTTTAAACTTTTTTGTCAAAAACTAAGACACAAATGCACACATTAACCTAGACCTACAGAGGATCAGGATCAGGATCATCAATATCACTATTCCACCTCCACATCCTATTCCACTGGAAGGTCCTCAGAGGCAATAACACACATAGAGCTGTCATCTCCTAGGATGACAATGTCTTTTTCTGGATACCTCCTGAAGGACCTACTTAAGGATGTTTTACTATTAACTTTTTTATGCATAAGTAGAAGGAATGCACTCTAAAATAATGATTAAAAATATACTTTAGTAAATACATAAGCCTGTAACATAGTCATTTATTATCAAGTATTATATACTGTACATAATTGTATGTATTATACTTTTATAGGAGTGTCAGCACAGCAGGTTTGTTTAAAGCAGCATCACAATGAACACGAGTAATGCATTGTGCTATGACACTACACTGGCTATGATGTTACCAGGTGATAAGAATTTTTCAGCTCCACTATAATCTTATGGGACCACCGTTGTATATGTGGTCTGTCATTGACCAAAGCATCATTATGCAGCACATGACTGTACTTCTTTATACTTTTTAGAGAATACATTTTATTCTCTAAATTCCCTAGAGTGGATATGCATTAATTTTTAATCAGATAAGAAATTTATTACATAATCAGAAGTTACTTAGGAACTTCTCTTCCACATTTCAAAGCTATGTGAATGCCAGGAGGAGTTTATCAGATAATTATAAAAGCAAGTCAGTGCAGTCATTTCACCAATTGGACATTAACTGCAGATGACCCAAGATGGGCCAGTCAGAGCACTTCCCTGGTTTTTTACAACTAGGGACCTAACAGACAAAGTCTCAGTTGCTCCCCAGTGATGGAAAGTAGGACTCTATGGAAAGTGGGACTCTAGCACTATGTTCCTTTACCAGGTGGAAAATTCAGACTAAGGTAGGAGGTGATAAGGCTGGTACACAGACAGGAGAGAGAACATGGTAGGAAAAGCAAACCTTGGCGATGTTTCTCTTACCTTTAGCTTGGCCTAAAATTGCTGGAGTTGGGTTTCTGTCACTTGCAACCCAAAGAGTCTGGCCTTGGCTTTTACAGAGAGAAACTCCCTGACCTGATTCAAGCCTGCTGGAAGTCAGTGGCACATTTACCTGGTTTTTAGCTAGTCATTTTCAAGTGGATCAGATTAGGTGAGTGATAAATGATAAGTTGAATTCTTGAAATGACAAAGTAAGAGATGAATGATTAGTGGTTGCCAGGGGTTGGGGGTAGTGGGGAGGGAGATCCTTGTGGGGATGGGACAGTTCTTTATCTTGATTGCAGTGGTAGTTACACAAATATACATGTGACAAATGATGTTGGACTATCCACCCACATTGCACCAGTGTCAAAGTCTTGGTTGGAATACTGTATTATAATCATGTAAGATGTAACCCCTGAGAGAAACTGGATGAAGGGTGCAGGGGGCCACTGTCTTTACAACTTCCTGTGAATCTGTAATTATTTCAAAATATAAAGTTAGGAAAAAAAGAAAGCAACAGCTGTAAGTCCAGCATGGCATCCTAGATTGTATCCCAAAGCAGAAAAATGACATTGTTGGGAAAAATGGTAAAATCCAAATAAACTCTGTAGTTAATAGTAAAAAAAAAAAAAAAAAAAAAAAGATACGCAGAATTGAACTGAAATAAAATGAATCAGATTTAATTGAATTGAAAAATTACAAGTAAGGTAAACATAGAAGGTATTAAATTAATATCATTTAATTTATTTTGTCACCCCAAAAGTAAAGACTAGACGTCTCTTTGTATTACTATGAGGGTAGGAGATGAGATGAGAAATGTCCCAATTACTACATTATCCTTAGTGTCTACTATAGGGCCTAGCACATACTTGCAACCCAATGATGAGAAAATAAATGAATATATGTTCTCTTCTCTATCCATAGGTTGCTAGAAATATATTGTACCCAGTTATATGGGATGTGAACATCACCATGTCCTCCCATGGCTTAGTAAATTATGATTGAAGCTAACATGATACCTAACTGCTGACTGCATAACTTTACTGATACTCCCTATCAGCTGCATATGCAAAGTGAATGTAGTACATTACCTGCAACTTCCTCCTTAACTGAAGGAATATTAAGGCCTCAAATGACTCTGTTAATGGAAATTGAATAGCACAATGGCTATTTAATTTTCTAAATAGCTTCTCTTTCAGTGCTATGGATGCCCGCTATTAGGCAAAATCAGAAATATGTTAGACTCATTGGACTCACTGAGAAATCCAGTGAGGGAGAGAAAGAAAAAAAAAAGGAGTGTGAGTGACTAGATGTCACAGAGGATCAATTTAATACACAAGAGGGAAACATCATTCTTACATCACAATAGAAAATTTTAGGCAAGATTCTTTCTGAAAAGTGGGAAACCCTATGTTTGAGCACCCTGCCTTCTACGTTATATTCCGTTAGGTCCATATGATTCCTTCAGTAGCATTTATTGATTACCTACTATGTGTCAAGTACTGTTTTCTCAAGGAAACCCTTCAATAACATTGTTAAGTGAGAGACTATTATTATCTTTGTGTTACAGATGAAGAAACTGAGGTACTAAGAAGCTAAATGACTTGTCTATGATCAAACAGATTGCCAGGAGTACACCCGAGATTTGAACCCAGGAACTACAATATATTGCCTCTTAATCATAAAACTTAAAACCCCCTTCAGTAACTGTTTACCTATCAATGTCCTTCACAAAACTATAAGCTCTTAAAGAGCAGAGACTGTGCTCAATTGATTATCCAGCACCTAGTGTCTCATGCAGAGTTTGTGCTCAATGAATGATTAAGAATGTGAGCTTCTTAATTTACAGATTTTTCTTGATTTTTTTATTCATAAGAAACCAATACAGAATTGAATGAGCTTAGAATGCAGAATTTTAAAATACAGATTGTTCATCTCTGTATCTTCAAGTTCTGGCACTGTATCTTCAAGTTTTTTGATGTGTTCTCAAAAAAAAGAGACTGAATGAAGAAGTTTTTTGAGTAGCCTTCATGTCCATGATCATAAGAGCACTTCAGTTAATACATAAAATCTGGAGTGAAAGACAGATGGAAATGAGCCTGTCTAATTGAGCCATGAGTGACTAACCACACTAACACTCAAAGCCATCCCTCAAATTTCTTTCTATATAAGAAAAAAAAAAATCGAGGCCAGGCATGGTGGTTCACACCTGTAATTCCAACACTTTGGGAGGCTGAGAAGGGAGGATCACGTAAGGCCACGAGTTCAAGATGAGCCTGGTCAACATAGCAAGATCCCAACTCTACATAAAAAAAATATACTTTTTAACTAAGTATGGTGGGACTTGCCTGTAGTACTAGCTACTTGGGAGGCAAAGGTGGGAGGATCGCTTGAGCCCAGGCTGCAATGGGCTGAGATCCCACCACTACACTCCAGCCTGGGTGACAGAGCAAGACCCTGTTGCTAAAACATACACACACACACACACACACACACACACACACACACATATATATACACATATATATACACATATAAATTTTTTTAATTAGTGTGTTCCTAATAATCAGAAATTTGCTTATCTTTCCCTCAAGTTACAATAAAATTAGACCTTTGTGTTATTAGTCTTTGAAATTTACTATATATTGGTCACTTACTTTGGAAAAAATAATTAATTAAGGTTTGAGTTATCAGAATAGGTGATATATAAACAAAGCGCATTTAAAAATAAAATCATAGAGGACTGGAGTTTATATAAAGAAAAAAGGATGACAATACTGTAGGCCTCTCCATTCAAACCTAAAAATAAACCTAACATGGTCATATCCCCTTCTTTAGATCTTCTTTGATGTTTGCATATCTTTTACGTTCTTCTAACCTTCAACTGTTAGGTGTAGGAGGTGAATTCCTCAGAACACTTCTGTAAGATCAGAAGCCTGCATGGGTGGGACTGTGTCTTGTTTGTCTCTGCATTCTCAGGCATGAAGCACTTGGCCTTGGGCATACTAGCTAGTCAAGAATTTGAGGGCTGTTAAGCACTTCTTGGATAGTTTCTACATTCCTGTAACATAGCACAGTGCCTGCAACACAAGAGGTGCCAAATCAGTGTCTGTTGGGCTAGTTGATTGAATTGAACTGAATTGTCAAAATGGTGGTATCTATACTTTGGACTTCATTGCACGCTGTTCCTTCAAGCTCCTTCATGAAAACTAAGTGTAGTCTTCCTCACATTCCATATCTTGACTAGTCATCCAAAGTCAGTCAATGTTATCCCTGCGATGTTCACTGGAACCATGAAAGGTGGTTCCCAGTTTCTCCTTTTTCAAGATGAAAAGACAGAGGCAAAAGAGGTTGACTGTGTTTCCCTAGCCCATACAGACACTAAGTTACAGATACGGGTTTGGAACAATAATCTGTATGGATGTAGAACCTCATATTGTCCATTTTGCCTCACTATTTTCTCATTCCAGAACACACAAATGGACATATGCATGTGAACATACATATAGTACCCAATTCCCTTTTGTCTGCAAGAAATAAGGGTCAAAAGACATCCACAACTAGAGTCAAAACCAGTCACAATGTCCTGTGTTCCTTCATTGACTAAGTTCAGTTGACAAGTATTTATTGAGAACCACCATGTGCCCAGAACTGTACTAGGTGCTGGGGAATTAGCAGTGAACAAGACAGTTAAGTAGTGGAGGGAGATAGAGCAGGTGTCAGTAAATTTTTCTGTAAAGGGCCAGATACTAAATATTTTAGGCTTTGCAGTCCAGATCGTCTCTGTCACCACTATTCAGTAATGCCCTTATAGAGCCAAAGCAGCCATTGACAATGCATAAACAAACAGGCCAGGCCATTTTCCAATATAACTTTATTTATGGAACCAGGCAGGCTTGATTTGACCCACAGTAGTCTGCAAACCCCTGAAATAGAAAATAAACAGGGAAATAAATGGAAATAGACAAAAGCATAGAGATATAGGTAAGTTCTATGAAAAAAATAAATAAAGCAGTGTAACAGGATAGAGACAGAATGAGAGGCAACTTTAGATAGGGTAGCAAGGCAGGAGATGATATTTGAGATGAGATCAGAAAACTGATGAACCAGCCAGGCCAAGATCCTGAGAAAGAGTTTTCCAAGTAGCAAGAAGACCTAGAACAAAGAGCCTAAGGCGAAGTGTGTGTGAGGAACAGAAGGAAGTCCAGGATGTCAGGAATAGGAGTGATAGGAGATCAAGTCAAAGAGTTGACAGGACCAGATCACAACAGGCCTTAAAGGCACAGGGAGGAGATGGGAGAAAGCATTTAAAGGTTTTTAGCAGCACTGTGGCATGCTTTAATTTATAAGTTTGAAAATGTTAATTCCAGCTCCTGTATGGTGAATGGGCACTAGAGACAAAAGAGTAAAAGAAGAAAAACCAGAAGGGGACTTGCATAGAAAGGTAGCAGAGCAGAGAGTAAGAAGTGGTTGGATTCCAGAGAGGTTCTGGAGGTGCTGGCACCACCAAAACTTTCTGGGGACTGCATGCAGAGTAAAGACAATGGAGGATTCCAGCGTGGGTTCATTTGGTTTCACATATTGACACAGAACAATTGCTGGGCATTGGAGAGACTTAGGTCAAAGGGAAGTGGTGCAGGTGAAAAACACTATTGGGTTGGGTGCTCTGAAGGTTGACCCTAACTGACCTACAAGGTGGCTTTACTCAGCACAATCTGATAAGAGATCACTGCAGAGCCTACCAAGTAATGCCTATTGTATCATATAGGTTTCTGCAACATGGTAACCAGACAAGGAAGAACTATTTTAAAAGTATTCCAATTTCTTATCACCAAAACACCAAACTGGGGAAGCAAAAATACATGGCCCAGCTCAGCAGGGACCGATCTGATGAAAGGACAAAACCTCAAATATTCTAGTGCCTTCTCCACCAGACATTCCTCTTTGGGCTCTGAAGGACCACATATTTAGATGTTAAAAGTGTTTCTGAGGAATGTGAATATCAACCATTCCCTGGGGGAGGGGGTGCAAAGAACCATGACCGGGGAGACAGTCTGAGGCTTTCTGAGGAAATCAGTCAGGTACTCTAACGCTCTAAACGGCTGAAGGCCAGGCTCATTCTCCTGCAAGAAGCTTAAAGCCTTTCTCTCAAAGACAGGCATACTTTCTGTTCTCCTCATTATCAGAAATGCTGTCAGGCACATAGTAAGAGTTATGTAATAGGAAGCAATACTTTCCGGCCATTTCTCCATCCTCCTGTTATATAATAGTCATGCCAAGATGAAGTGGCCAACGTCTAAGCCACAGAGATGCAACCCTGTCAAGGAAATTTATAGTTTATACTTCCTTTTCTTTTTTTTAGCAAGTACCCCACCACCACCCCTCTTGGTTCCCCTTCCCTCGTGCCTTCCCAAGATGCCAGTTCCCAAGTTGACTTTTTTTCTCATTAGGTAGACCTCTTCCATTCATGAAAAAAGAGAGAAAGTCTACTTTAATATACTGACTCACTTATTCATGCAACCAATCAGTTGACAACTATTTAATAGCCTACCATGTAAAAGATTCTGCAACAAGGTGGAAAGATAATATGCATTAAACAATGGATTTGGACCTATCGATGAGGTGACCTGGGAAAAAAGACTCAACCTTTCTGAACTGCGTCTCTAACAGTCTAAGAAGGCCAACCTAATGGGGTTTGGGGGAGCATTCGAGATAATGGAAGCAAAGTGCCTCTCTATAGCTATTATTGTTCTTCTTAATATTTTCATGCATTTGGCACCAGGCTTCCCAAAATGACAAAGACAAAGTCTCGGCTCTTAGAAAGCTCAAATCAGTCAGGCAGATGCTAAGATAAAAAAAGGAAAGCAACAGTTGTCATTTGGTGTAAAGGGTACATTGCTAAAAGTAAGAAGAGGGTGCCATGGAAAAAATGATAAGCAGTACCCAACTCAACCAGGTCACTCTTATATCACATGGCAGCATCTCATGTCTGGTGTGCAGTTGTAGGGTCCAAGAAATAAGCAACCTTATAGCTGAATCAAAAAGAATTCAGGGCCAGGCATGGTGACTCACATCTATAATCCCAGCACTTTGGGAGGCTGAGGCAGGTGGATCAGTTGAGGTCAGGAGTTAGAGACCAGCCTGGCTAATATGGTAAAACCTCGTCTCTACTAAAAATACAAAAATTATCTGGGTGTGGTGGCACACACTTGTTATCCCAGCTACTGAGGAGGCTGAGGCAGAAGAATTGCTTGAACCCAGAAGGGAGAGGTTGCAGTGAGCCAAGATCATGCCACTATACTCCAGCCTGGGTGACAGACAAAGACTCTGTCTCAAAAAAAAAAAAAAAAAAAAAAAAGGAAGTCAGGACCCCAGCTCAGCTCAGGAGAAATTTAATACAGTATATACAAACTGTGACTCTCAGGAATTCAAAGCACCTTTGAAGTTCAAAATTAATTAATACAACTTACCATATCAACAGAATAAAGAGAAAAAACACAACCAACTCTACTGATACAGAAAAAGCATTTGACAAATGTCAAAACCTCCTCATGATAAAAAAAGAAGTCAACAAACTGGAAATAAAAGGAAATTCATCAAGCAGATAAAGAACATCTACGAAAAACCTACTCTAACATCATACATAATAAGACTAAGTGTTTAATGTGGAAAAATAAAAATCCCTTAACATCTACCTAACACTATTCACAAAAATTAACTTGAAATGAATTATATACCTAAATATAACCACTAAAATTATAAAGAACATAGGAGAGAGAATCTGTGGCATTGATTGGGTTAGGCAAAGATAGCTTATGCGCAAGAAAATGAAGCATAAAGAAAAACCTAATACGTTAGATTCCATTAATATTTAAAAACTTCCATATTTCAAAGACATCATTGAGAAAATACCTGGAAAATCCTCGAAGAAAACTTCACAACACATATATCTGATGATGAATTTGTATTCAGAATATAGAAGGAAATTGCAACTCAGTAATAAGCAAAATAGCTAAACCAAAAAAAGAACAAAACATTTGAATAAGCATTTCACAAAGTCTACAAATGGCCAATAAGTATTTTTTAATGCCCAAAAGTATTAGTTATCATGGAAAAGCAAATTATGATCACAATAAGATACTACTACACATCTGATATGGTTTGGCTGTGTCCCCACCCAAATCTTATCTTGAATTGTAGCTCCCATAATTCCCACATGTTGAAGGAAGGACCTGATGGGAGATCATTCAATCATGGGGGTGGCCCCCCCATACTGTTCTCATGAGAGTGAGTAAGTCTCATGAGATCTGATGGTTTTATAAGGGATTTCCCCTTTCACTTGGCTCTCATTCTCTCTCTTGTCTGCTGCCATGTAAGACGTGCCTTTTGCTTTCCACCATAACTGTGAGGCCTTCCCAGCCACATGGAACTGTGAGTCCATTAAACCTCTTTTTCTTTATAAATTGCCCAGTTTCGGGTATGTCTTTATCAGCAGCATGAGAACAGACTAATACAGTAAATTGGTACCAGGTAGTGGGGCACTGTTGTAAAGATACCTAAAAATGTGGAAGCGACTTTGGAACTGGGTAACAGGCAGAGGGGTTGGAACAGTCTCAAGGGCTCAGAAGACAGGAAGATGTGGGAAAGTTTGGAACTTCCTAGAGACTTGTATGGTTTTGACCAAAATGCTGATAATGATATGGACAATTAAATCCAGGCTGAGGTGGTCTCACATGGAGATGAGGAACTTGTTGGGAACTGGAATAAAGGTGACTCTTGCTATGTTTTAGCAGAGAGACTAGTGGACTTTTATCCCTGCCCTAGAGATTTGTGAAACTTTGAACTTGAGGGAGATGATTTAGAGTATCTGGCAGAAGAAATTTCTAAGCAGCAAAGCATTCAAGAGGTGACTTGGGTGCTGTTAAAGGCAACCAGTTTTAGAAGGGAAACACAGCAGAAAGGTTTGGAAAATTTGCAGCCCGATGATGTGATAGAAAAGAAAAAGCTATTTTCTGAGGAGAAATTCAAGCCAGCTGCAGAAATTTGCATACGTAACAAGGAGCCAAATGTTAATCACCAAGACAATGGGGAAAATATCTCAACAGCATGTCAGAGACCTATGTGGAAATCCCTCCCATTACAGGGCTGGAGGCCTAGGAGGAAAAAATGGTTTCATGGGTCAGGCCCAGGGTCCCCCTGCTGTGTGCAGCCCAGGGACTTGATGCCCTGCATCCCAGCCACTCTAGCCATGGCTAAAAGGAGCCATGATACAACTCAGGCCATGGCTTCAGATGGTGCAAGGCCCAAGCCTTGGCAGTTTCCATGTGGTGTTGAGCCTGCAGGTGCACAGAAGTCAAGAACTGGGGTTTGGGAACCTCCGCCTAGATTTCAGAGGATGTATGGAATTGCCTGGATGTCCAAGCAGAAGTTTGCCCCAGGGTCAGAGCCCTCATGGAGAACCTCTGCTAGGGCAATGTGGAAGGGAAATGTGGGGTTGAAGCCCCCACACAGAGTGCCCAGTGGAGCTCTGAGAAGAGGGCCACAATCCTCCAGACCCCAGAATGGTAGATCCACTGCAGCATGTGCTGCAGACACTCAACACCAGCCCGTGAAGGAAGCTGGGAGGCAGGCTGTATCTTGCAAAGCCACAGGCATGGAGCATGGAGCTGCCCAAGGATGTAAACACCTACCTCTTGCATCAGTGTGCCCTGGATATGAGACATGGAGTCAAAGGAGATCATTTTGGAACTTTAAGATTTGACTGCCCCACTGGATTTCAGACTTGCACGAAGGCTTTAGCCCTTTCATTTTGGCCCATTTCTCCCATTTGGAATGGATGTATTTATCCAATGCCTGTACCCTCCATTGTACTTGGGAAGTAACTAACTTGCTCTTCATTTTACAGGCTTATAGGTGGAAGGGACTTGTCTTGTCTCAGATGAGACTTTGGACCGTGGACTTCTGAGTTAATGCTGAAATGAGTTAGGACTTTGGGGGACTGATGGAAAGGCATGATTGGTTTTGAAATGTGAAGACATGAGATTTAGGAGGGGCTGGGGCAGAATGACATGGTTTGGCTCTGTGTCCCCACCCAAATCTCATCTTGAATTGTAGCTCCCATAATTCCCACATGTTGTGGGAGGGACCAGTTGGGAGATAATTGAATCATGGGGACAGTTCCTCCCTACTGTTCTCGTGGTAGTGAATAAGTCTCATGAGATCTGACGGTTTTATAAGGGATTTCCCTTTTCACTTGGCTCTCATTCTTTCTTGCCTGCTGCCACGTAAGATGTGCCTTTTGCCTTCCACCAAGATTATGAGGCCTTCCCAGCCACATGGAACTATGAGTCCATTAAACCCCTTTTACTTTATAAATTACCCAGTCTTGGGTATGTATTTATCAGCAGCATGAAAATGGACTAATACAACATCCATTAGAACGTCTAAAATTGGGCTAGGCATGGTGGTGCATGCCTGTAGTCCCAGCTTCTTGGGAGGCTGTAGTAGGAGTTCAAGGCTGCAGTGAGATATGATTACTTCACTATACTCCAGCCTGGGTGACAGAGCAAGAATCCATCTCTTTAAAAAAAAAATTTATCTAAAATTAACAAGGCTGACAATATGAGTGCTGGCAAGGAAGTAACTGATATTCTTGCACATTGTTGGTGAGAATGTAAAATGATACAAACAGTTTGGAGAACTGCTTGGCACTTTCTTGTAAAGCTAAACATACACTTATCATATAATCTGGCAGTTTCATCATATAATCTAGCAGTTTTATTCTTAGATATTTACCTAAGAAAAATGAAAACATGTCCACACAAAGACTTCTGCCTTGGAGTTAATATCACCTCTATTTATAATAGGCAAAAACTGAAAAGAACCCAAATGTCCATCAATACATGAATGAATCAACACATAGCAATAACAAGGAATAAACTATTGCAACAAAATGGAATAATCTCCAAAACAGTATTCTAAGCAAGAGAAGCCAAACATGAAAGAATTTGTACTGTATGATTTTATTAATATGAATTGCCAACAAAGATAGATCTAATCTAAGGTGACAGAAAACAGATCAGCCATTGCCTAGGGCTGGAATTGAGTAGGAAGGGGAATAAGGAAATATTTTACAGTATGGAAATGTTCTATATCTCAGTTGTCAAAATGGTTTTATGGGCATATATATTTTTCAAAACTCATTGAACTGTACCTTTTAAAATAGAAGCATTTTCTTGCTTTAAAACTTTCCCTCAATAAAGTCAATTTAAAATAAAAAGAAGGGAAAGAAAGCTAGGTTTGGTTAAGCACTGAGCACAGGGTCTACAAATTTCCAATCCCTTAAGAGTTAGGGAGAACTGTAAGATCAGCACAGAAGCCCAAAACTGGTTGAAAGTTCAGCTACAAAAGAGGTTCTCTAAACAGTTCGATGAATTTAAACTGAGATGTAATACTGAGAAGTTATATGATGTCTGTGTAAACCAGTCTATTGGATGGCACACTCAAAAGACAAATGGAAGAGAGTTTCATGGAGGAAGTGTTTGTAAAGCTGTAGCCAAAGTTAGGAGAACCAGAAAAGGATGGTGTAGAACCCAAGGACAAGCAGCAGTGGGGAGCCATTGCCATATTGAGGCCTGAGCAGGGACAGTTACCAAATCTAGTGAAAGTAAAATCCTGGGGGAGAACCTCCAACAGGAGCTATAGACTTAGGTGGTGAAAAGAGCTCTGGCCAACCTGGCCCAGCAAGGAATAGGCAAGTGGACCAGGTACCCTGACTTCTCTCTCCTTCTCTCATCCTCTGATTCACATGTTCCTTCCATTGGCCAAACCCAACTAGAAACCAGAGAACAAAAAAGCCCATGCAATACAGGTGCTAGAGGTCAGTTTCATTGGGCAGAGGAGGTGGAGAAGGGTAGAAAATGGATCTGGAGGGCAAACTATGATTATCCAACACAAGATCCAAGTTGTGCTTCAGAATTCAGTGAATCAAGCACATGTTTATCATATTCTTGTTTTATGCCCATCTTAGTACTTGGCTCTGCAGGAGATATTTTTAATGGAATAAAAGGATAATACTTTGTTATATAAAAATGCTTTTTGATCCCACGTTTATTGGATTCTCACAAAAGCCTCATGAGAAAGGAAGAGCAGGGATTATTACAGATCAAGAAAGGAACTCTCACGAGGAGAAATGTTTTGCCCAAGGTAACAGTGCCAACAGCTGTCCTGATGCCCGCACGGCTATCCAATCTTATCTACTGACTGAGCAGACCACAAGTGAAGAACTGAGTGTCCCTCTAGTCACTTTGCTGGTCTGCTTGGGAACAAAGGAGACATTCTGGAAAATGGACAGAACTGTCAAATATCTAAATATACTCATTCCACCCTCTGCGCTGTGATGGCCAAAATGCTTATTCTAAATTGTAGATCTGACTCCTTCACTCCCCTAACGTCCTTCAAAGTTCCCTTACCATTTCAGGCCCTCCATGATGTGACCTCTGCTATCATCTCCAGATTTATCTACCATGCTCCCTGGAAGCCTAGCTGAAGCCATAACTCACTCTCCAGATTGCTTATATCTCACAGCCCCTTTCTTGTCTTCAATCCCTTGTTCTCTCTGCTTTCTCAGGCTCCAAAGACTCCTGACCCATAGAACGCTTCTGCTTTGCCTCTTGACAGCAGCTATCTTTTCAGACAGAAGTATAAGTAATACTTCATTAGTCTAATTTTATCAAGAAAAAGATATTTCTGATGAATGATTTCTTTCAAACTAAAATAAAAACTTTTAAGTATAATTAAATATCTTGGCTATTTTGGAAGGAAAAGTGTCTCACCTCTCTTATCTTTGTAAACTGAGATATTAAGACATAATTTTAGTCTTGTTCAGTGACCAAGGGTCATTATTAATTACACTGCAAAAGCCATGGGAACTACTGAGCTATCATACACTATTGTCCTTGCACAGAATGCCAGAAGCTTGGCACCTACTGAGTCTTCTCTACTTCTTGCTAGTTGTTGTCTGCCAGGCTCTCTGGATTTTATGCAGCTTGCCTGAGCAAAACCTTGCAGCCCCTTCCTCTTCACACTTTTAAAATTTTCTGTATCTAATCTGCTATGTCTTAGGAAACCAGATTGCCAAGTGAGGACTGTTTCTAAGAATAAATAAGTTCTATTCCAAAGCCAGAAACACGTTGCTGTATTCCATGGGATTTTTTTTTCCTTAGAGAAAGAGTCTCCCTGTGTTGTTCAGGCTGGTCTTGAACTCCCGGGTCCAAGCGATCCTCCCACCTCACCCTCCTGAGTAGCTGGGATTACAGGCTCAAGCCACCACACACCTGGCCCTCCACTGACTTTTTGACATTGACACCGTCATCGTTAAGTCTTTTTTTTTGCCCATTTCCTGGTTCTCCATGTTTGTCACAAAGCTGACAAGTGGCCTTTGAATAAGGAACGTCTTATCAACATCCCAGTACATTGCTGGGAGTGATCTTCAGCGCTGGCTCATTAAACTGTTCAGACTAATGTTCACATCTGGTCTCACACCTCAGGGGCACTTTGCAGAAGGTTACTCTCTCCTTTTCTGCCTTCTTAGCAAAACTGAATTATTTCAGGACAGAAATATGTTGAGGTAGGCACAATCTTGTCATCCTGCAAAAAGGAGCCATTCTTAATCAGGGTCATCTCAGCTTCTGTAAGTTTCCAGGGTTTTCTCTCATGGACAACTCAAAAAGGACATCCATTGGTCTGCATCCCCCCACAGGCCAGGGTGTGTATATGCTGAAGAATATAAAAGTATCCTCCCTGGAAAAAGCATAATTGACCCTTCAGGAAAAATTATAAGGGGAATGTGTTTGGGACTAGTAATGATGAAGGGAGGGAGGAGATCAATTTTTTATTGTTTTTTAATTTATTTATTTATTTATTTATTTATTTTTGAGACGGAGTCTCACTCTGTCGCCCAGGCTGGAGTGCAGTGGTGCAATCTCGGCTCACTGCAAGCTCCGCCTCCCGGGTTCATGCCATTCTCCTGCCTCAGCCTCCGGAGTAGCTGGGACTACAGGCGCCCACCACCACGCCTGGCTAATTTTTTGTATTTTTAGTAGAGACAGGGTTTCACCGTGTTAGCCAGGACGGTCTCGATCTCCTGACCTCGTAATCCGCCCGCCTCAGCCTCCCAAAGTGCTGGGATTACAGGCGTGAGCCACCGCACCCAGCCGGAAATCAATTTTTTTCAGCATTCACTGTGTGTTAGACTCTCCAATCTCAGTTTCAGCTTCACTCTGAATCTTTCCTGAATGCAATCTGCAATTCTTCCATTTGCAATTAATTCTTCCTCTCATTTGCCCTCCCTGTCATCTGTAAACCCAAACCACTAGGATGCCTTCTTAAATTTATGTATTCAATACTCTGACTCTCCCACTAGTCTCTGAGCCCCTTTGAAGGATAAGAATTGGATCTTGGTCATCATTGCATTCCCAGAACCAGCACAGTGCCAACATACATAGATGTTTAATTAATGTTTAAATTCTGGAAAGAAGCATGCTTTCGTAAAACTTAAGCTGCCTCCTTGTTTCGTTTACTTGGTCTAAGCAGCCTGGATGAGTTAGTAACTCGGAGCGCAGATCTTCTGGTTACTATTGTCTTCAAGCCCTTCTTCTATCTTCTGATTTTTAAGAAAATCTTTCCTGGAATGATTATCATGAGCTACTATAATTCAATGTCAATGAATTAGGTTTGAATGCCTGAAAGACTCTTGAAATTTTATAGGGGACAGAAAACAGAAGAACCTAACTTTTATTTCATCTCCTCTGTTTACAAGCCTTGTGACCTCAGACAAATAGCTTGAATTCTCAGAATCCTAGGGGTTTGTTTCACTGTAAAATAGAGATAATTATATCTTCCCTAACCTTACAGAATTGAGAGGATCTTATTAGCTAACAAGTGCTAAAGCCATTTGTGATAACTAAAATTTTATATAGCTACAAAGGATTATCACTCTATAAATCATGGGTAAAGCTAAACAAATCAATAATTTGCCCAAGGGTATGGAAAATGGCAAAATGAGATTCTTGAACCAAGTCTTCATCTCTATCATACTGCTGTCTCACCTACAGCCCCTGTGGGGGTAGAAGGGAATGAAAAGGAGAAAAGATGGTACACAGCAGAGAGGCTCTGAATCTCACTGTTTTGCCTTATCTCATAACTTTGCCCCCATCTGCCCCACTCTCCAGTTAACTTCTCAAAGAATCATGCCATGCAACCAAATGGACACAAAGCTACCATGCACAAGGACCATCTCTTCTTCCAGGATAATGGGCACCAGGCCAGGATGGAGAGACCAAAGCCAGTACATATTTGCATGGTCCATTCACCCTTCATTATGACGAACTCTTCTCTCAAGGGTCAAGATGTGAGCATTCATCTTTTTGGGTTCTTCAACTATTAGTACTTGGACTCTCCACAGGTCATATATCATGGCACTGAAGGCAGCAGGTACAGACAAAAGTTGTCACTTGTATTGATATGGTGTGAAGAGGATGATTAATGGAAGTCACACATGACCGCCCAGCTTCTAACTTACCCAAGCTCACTGGAAGTGCTGACTTCGTTATTCTTCATGAGCCACCTTTCCCACCCCGTTCCCCACTGCTGCTTTCAATAATAACATCAGCTTTAGGAGTCTTATTTTGATGGAAGGGAGGGAAAAAGTCATCACCCAAACCATGCCAGTGTGTCTGACAAGCCTGCATGGGTGACTTTCTATTCTCTCATTTCTGCGGCTTTTGTTGAATTTGAAATTCATTCACTCATTCAACAAATATTTAGGATTTCCTACTCTCAGTGCTTGGGGATACAGCAGTAAGTAAAACAGACAAAAATCCATGCCCTGGTGAACCTTACATTCTTGTAATAGAAGACAGGTGTTTCTAAGTAAATTGTAAAGTATGCGACAGGGTGTCAAGTGTGATGGAGAACACAGAGCAGAGAATCGGGGAAGTACCAGGGTAAGGGATTTGTTGCAATTTTAATCAGAGCAGTCAAAGGAAGCCTCATTGATCAGGTGACGTTTGAGCAAAGCTTGAAAGAGGTAAAAGGATTAGCCGAGCAGCTATCTGAAAGAAGAGAACTCAAAAGATGGGAAATGACCATTGCAAAAGCCTGAAGGTGGAAACAAGTCCAAATTGCTTGAAGAATAGCAACAAAGCAAGTGTGGCAGGAGAAGCAAGCCTGAGGAATGTAAAAGGGTGGGTGAGGTCATAGAGGAAAAGAGGGGCTGGATCACAGAGGACCTTGTATATCATTATCATGTCACCAACTTTTTTTCTGTATAACATAGGAAGTCATTGGAAGGTTTTGATCTAGTTTGTGCTATAAAAGATCCACCCTGGCTGTCATTTGAGAATACATGACAGATTGTAAGGGAGAGGCAGGGAGACCATGGCAGTCTTCCAGGTGAGCAATCAGGGTGACTTTGAACAGGTGTTAATGTGGAGGGCTGAGAAATGGCCAAATACTGGATGTGTCATAGTTCACTGAAGCCAACATGCCTCTGCCTGTGGGCCACATCCCTAATTTGGATATATTATTATAAAAGGTGACATAATCTCTATCTTGGTATTGAGGAACTATGGTATTTCAAAGTTGAACTAAAGGGTTTGCTGGCAGAACAGAAGTGAGGGTGAGAGATAGGATGACTCAAGGACGCCTACAGAGTTTGACATCTGAGCAACCAAGGATGGAGCTGCCCTCAGCTGGGATGGGGAAGTGCTGGGAGGAACCAATCAGAAAGAGTGGGTGAGGCTTAGGCCAGAGTACAGTTTAAGACATGTTAAGTTTCCATGTCTATTAAAAATATAAGCGAACAGGCCGGGCACGGTGGCTCACGCCTGTAATCTCAACGCTTTGGAAGGCCGAGGCAGGAGGATCACGAGGTCAGGAGATCGAGACCATCCTGGCTAACACGGTGAAACCCCATCTCTACTAAAAACACAAAACATTAGCTGGGTGTGGTGGCGAGTGCCTGTAGTCCCAGCTACTCAGGAGACTGAGGCAGGAGAATGGTGTGAACCAGGAGGCGGAGCTTGCAGTGAGCCGAGATCGTACCACTGCCCTCCAGCCTGGGCGACAGAGTGAGACTCCATCTCAAAAAATATATATATATATATAATATATATATAATAAAATATATATATAATGTATATAATATATACTATATATAGTATATAGTATATACATAAAATATAAATATTATATATATTATTATATAATATATATAATAAAATAGATATATAATATATAATATATATTATATATAATATATATAATAAAATAGATATAATATATATTATATATAATAGATATAATATATTTTTATAATATATAATATATATGATATTATATATGTGTTATATATAATATTATATATATATATATATGAGTGAAGAAGCCCTATAGGTACTTGAATATGGGCATTCAGGCAAGAAGTTTGGGACAGATATAAATTTGAGAGTCATAAGATGTAAATAATAATTGACACTCAAAGACTGAATGAGATCACCAAGGGAAGGAATTTAGATAAAGAAAAGAGAATGCGGTGTAGAGCCCTGGGTCTTCCCATGTAAGAGGTCTGAGAGGAAAAAAGAAACCAGCAAAGGAGACAGAGCAGAAGGTACCAGTGAGATAAGATAAAATAACACAAATAATTGAAAATGGCCAAGAGTTCTGGGCTGATTTGGAAAGAAGTAAAAAACAACCTACTTACAAGCTTCTGAAATAAATATCATAAAAATGGCTCCTATCTATGCTCAGTTAATGACTGAGCAGCCAGAATGGGGTTAATGTGGAAATGACCATAACAAAGAGATGGTAAAGAGTGGAAAGAATTTAAGATAAAAAGATAAGGGGGGCAGGGTGCAGTGGCTCATGCCTGTAATTCCAGTGCTTTAAGAGGCTGAGGTAGAAGGATTGCTTGAGGCCAGGAGTTTGAGGCCAGCTTGGGCAACATAGCAAGATCCTGTCTCTATAAAAAAATACAAAATATTAGCCAGATCTGCTGGTGTGTGCCTGTAGTGCCAGCTACTTGGGCAGCTGATGCTGGAGTATCACTTGAGCCCAGGAGTTAGAGGCTGCAGCGAGCTATGATTGCCACTGCACTCTATCCAGCCTGGGTGACAGAGTAAGACCCTGTCTCAAAAATAATAATAATAATAATAATAATAATTAAAGATAAGGGAATCATATAAATGATTGTACTATTTATTTATATATGTAATGTGTTTCTTTACAAGCTGCCTTGTTCCAGGAAATAGTTGAAGTGGTTTGTGAGAAATTGGCTTGTTTGCATCAGATATTTTCAACTTTCCAAAGCAATTTTACCTTCCATTCAAATGTACTCCCTATCGCCCATTCGGCACTTTCTGTGCCACATTCATTCATTCATTCATTTGTGCCACCAATACTTATTCACAGCACAGTAAGCCAGTGTTCCTGGCAGGGTGTCCTGGGCCAGCTTGAAGACACATGGCTCCAACCCGCTTTTCAAGCTTGAAGCCAACCCAGGATAAAAGACTAAGTATTTCACAACTAATTTGTCGGGCACTCACGAACCCTATTTTTAAATCTGAAAAAAGCAGACACACAATGGATAGGTAGCCAGGCTAGCAGACGCCAAAACCTCCCATGCTAAATCAGGGTCCACATGGCCACTAACTCACTTCTCCTTTCAGAGGTACGCAGGGAAAGTAGGAAGTCACCCAACAGTAATGACAACCAACGTGCTCAATGCCTTTCAGGTTGAAACTCCATGTTCTCATCTTGCCTTTACGTTAAACAATACAGCAGTGTTAGTGGGTGAGCACAGCTATACCCCCAGTCTTGGATGAGGAAGCAGAGGCTCTAGGGAGGTGAGGTGGCTTCCCCAGGGAATAGCCAGAAGGCAGCTCAGCTGGAACTCAAGCCCAGGTCTCCAAATCTTTATAGCCAGCAGTGGGTTGGGTGCTTGGGGGAAGCTCCAAACGGATAAACGGTAAAAGGCCTGACACGAAAATAAGAGCAACTATCATTAGAGAAAGCAGGCAATTGAGGGGGCCAGGAAACAGCTGGAAGGAGACAAGGCTCAGAGCAGTTCCAGAGAGCAGGCACTTGGGGACAGATAGGGAGGAGCATAGCAAGTCCCTAAGGGGGTGCGGCAGGGAGCCCAAACCATGTACTGCTGCCAAGAGAGGGGTCAAGGGAGCTTCTCAGTTTGCAGGGCACAGCAGAAAGAACCCAACAGACCTGGATACTAGGCTGGCCAAACTTCTCGGCTTACCCAAGACTGAAGTGGTTGCTGCGATAAGGAACTTTCCATCTTAAAACCAGCAAAGCCCCAGCCAAGCCAGGATGAGTTGATCACCCTAGTTAGAATTCCAGCCCTGTCACTTCCTAGCTATGTAAACCTTGGGCAAACTACCTCCCCACTTCTGATCCTAATCACCACTAAAGTAGGGGTAACAATGTGACCCTGGCAGGTTGATCATGAGATTTAAGTGAAAAAAAACTCTAACATAACCATCTGGCACTTGGAAGGCATTCAATACATGGCAGACATTATTATTACTACGAGGTTATTAAAATGAGATTTTCAACTGTACTTTTCTCACCATTCTTGAAGTTGAAATGCAGTCTTCGGCATTCTCCCAGAAATGATTCTCAGGAGTTGGGTTTGCAGCCAGCTGTTATGGATCTTCATAAACACCAGAAACTTTGAGAAGCTGAGGCAACACTGTACAAGGATTAAGTGAAAACCCAGCTGTGAGCTCCTGGGTCCTGTTGCTACTTCTTGGAAGTTTCTATAACTTGTGAGATTGACATATCCTAGATAAACTTGGCTGCTGAATTGGTGTGTGCATCACACCAGGTTGACCCTGAGAGTAACAGTGAAGCCTTTCCTCATGACCTCCCAGACACCAAGCACTAGGTGCTCTTAACCTTCCCTGTTTATCCCAGACTATGCCCACGCCCATTGCCCACCCAGCCATCCCCATCACATTCCCCAAGGGGGCTGAAAGGAGTCATTGACTAATCTGGTAACATCACAACTGACCCCAGCATACAAAATCTAAGTATCCCCTCTATGAACATCATTTTAATTTCCAGGAGTACTTGATGCATTAATCATAGCTCTATTATAAGCAGAAAATTCAGGCTCATGCTCTCTCTTGCTCTCTGTCTCTCTCTCTCTTTCTGTTAAAGTCCTTACTTTAAGACTCTGCATTATACTGTAAGCTATATGCTCTTTGAGCATCAACTGTCACTGTACTTATTACACTGTAGTGTCATAATCTGTCTATGTGTCCTGAACTCAACAGAACTCTTGAAAGACAAAAACCATGTGTCATCCATGGAAACAATATAGTATAGCTATTAAGAATACCACGTCCCAACTGTTAATGGGTACAGGTTTATTTTGGGGGGATGAGGCATGTTATGAGACATGTTCTAAAATTGACTGTGATGTTTGCTCATCTCTGTCAAATATACTAAAAACCATTGAATTATACACTATAAATAGGCAAATTATGGAGTACATGACTTATCACTCAGTAAAGCTGTTTTGAAAAAGAAAAAGGATGCTACTGCCTCCCTTTAAATTCTGGCTTCACTACTTACTGTAGCAAGTTACATAATTTCTCTGTGCCTCAGTTTCTTCATCTGTAAACTGGGTTAAAGCAATACCTACCTCAAAGGGACACTAACTAAGAGGAATTAAATTGGCAATTATTTTTAAAGCCATTAACAACAGTTTCTGGAACATATAGAGCAGTATGCAAGGATAGTTATTTATTTTTCACCTCTATTCTCAGAACATGGTTTAGTGCCTGACACATACTGAGTAAATGATAAAGATTTTTAAAATGTATAACCCAGCTTATAAGTACCTACAGGAACTCAAATATGGGGCACGTTAGTTGCTATGCCTTACTCAATAGAAAGAGGACTGAACTAAGTTGCCAAATGACTTGGGTTTGAGGCTGGGTACAGTGGCTCACACCTGTAATCCCAGCATTTTAGGAGGCCAAGGCAGGCAGATCACTTGAGGTCAGGAGTTCGAGATCAGCCTGGCCAACATAGTAAAACTCCGTCTCTACTAAAAATACAGAAATTAGCCAGGCATGGTGCCTGTAATCCCAGCTACTCAGGAGGCTGAGGCAGGAGAATTACTTGAACCCGGGAGACGGAGGTTACAAGATCATACCACTGCACTCCAACCTGGGTGGCAGAGCAAGGCTCCATCAATACATACATACATACATACATACATACATACATGACTTGGGTTTGAGTTCTGATCACCACATTAGAGCAGGCTGACTTGAAAAAACCACTTTCCCATTTACCCTGAGACTCTGCATCCTCATCTGCCGAAACTGACAATTTTGCTTCTACCGAACTGAAAGGGTAGTTTCAAAGATGAAATGAATCAATGTGTATGAAAGCTCTTTTAAAACCATCATGTGCAAATATAAATTCCTCCGAGAAATTGGTCTTGTCCTAAAGATGGCCCGGGTTGCCCTCTTACCCTAAAAGTCTCCTTATTCACTCCCAGCCCGCCTCACTCGTTCATCATTGCAGGAAAATGTGCCAAAGATCAAAAACAGGTGAGATCCGACCCCAGGGACAGAGCAAAGAAGTAACTGGACTGTAGGCACCAGCTGGTCCTGTTCTGCCCTGCCCTCGTAGAACTGTGAACAGCTAAGAAGTGCTGTTCCTTTAAACTTTGCCCCTTTGTGGCTCACAGATGAGTAGATTCAGGCAGCAGCTGTCAGCTCTGCAGGCAGCAGAGAATCTTTCCAGAGCAGCATTCCCAGCAGTGTCAGGATGGGAGGATGAAATTAGGTGAGCCAAGCAACCTGAAAGTCCTCATTCAAAAGCCTCTACTGCCATCTACTGCCTCTCTGAAGAACTCATTGGCAAAAAGCCAAGAAAAGACTGCAATGGAGGTGGGGTAGAGAGAAGCCTTAGCAATAGACTGAATTGTCTGGATCAATTAGTCCACCCTTCATTCTCCAGCTGGGGAAAATGAGACCCAAAGAGGTAAAGAGGCTTGTCTGAAGTCACTCTGCTAGCCCACGGCAGCCCATCATCTCTTGGATACACATATTAGCTCTGCCCCACAACACACTGTTTCTGTCTGAATATATAAACTATCAATAAAGCTGGCTTAGAGCAAAGAGGTTTGTGTGGTTGTTATTATTGAGACAGGGTCTCACTATGTTGACGAGGCTGGTCTTGAACTCCTGGCCTCAAGTGATCCTCCAGCATCAGCCTCCCAAAGTGTTGGGGTGACAGGCGTAAGCCACCACACCCAGCCAGAGGAAAGAGCTTCTGCCAGCTATCCTTTTCCTCGCCATTTTTTGGTTCCACCTTCTCTGCTTTGCACAAGAAGCCCCAGACTGGACCTGTTGTCTTATCCATCTAGAACCCAGTGTCTCATACTGTCCAGCAGTCCCTTTCAGGGAGAAAACATTGAGCCGTTCACTTGAAAGCATTTGCTTTCTTTTTTTTTTTTTTTAAAGAACATGAAGAATAGCACAAATCCTGTTTAGTAGACACTCCACACCCCCATACTACAGAAAGCAAACTAAGGCTCAGGGACATCAAAGAATTGGCTTCTAATGTGCCTGACATTAGGATCACCTGGGTATCTTTTACAACCTCCAACGCTCAGGCCACACCCAGACCTATTGAATCAGAATCTCTGGGTTAGAAAACAGGCATCAGTAGTTTTTGAAGCTCTCCCACACCCAGGTGATTCCAACATTTAGGTAGGCTTGGGAACCACTGACTTACGTTCTCCTAATTAGTAGGTAAAATGGCAGGGACCCAAGTCTTTCAACTTCCAGGCCACTGAAGAAAAGTGATGTCCATATTTTAGCTGTTTGCATCACCCTTTGAAGATTTTTGCCACTTCCACACACTAACTATATTAATATGTGAAGTGACCCCATTTTTTTACTTAAAGCAATGTATTTTTAAAAGAACACTGTTACTCTCGGGAATGGAAAAACAATCTCTTGTCACAAAACAAAAATCAGCCTTTAAAGACACACACTAAAACCCAAAAGTTAAAATGAAAATGTACATCCATGTATGAAATAAAGTTATCTCACTTTCTAATTTGGGGGAGCCATTACAAAGAAAGATACCCTCTCTGCTCCTGATTAGACTGAAAGAAATGTGGCAAAAACACATTTTGGGACAGAGAGTATCTGTGCTCACTCCGCGCTTCTCCATGTGTACGCACCATTTTCTCTCTCTGTCATTCTGTCTCTCTCTAGCCTCGCTACTAAGCTCGGGAGGAACTCCCATCAGCTTTCCCTGTGTTGTAAGACCTAAGCCCAGGACTGCGGGTTCTGGCCAAATTGTAATTGTGACAGCATCCTGCCCAGGACTTACCCGACAGCGGAGAACTGTCACTCATTACCAAGAGCAACAGACGTTCTTTCGGCATTGTCCTGGCCCTCTCTTGATAGGCTGGCCCGCGTGTTGGGGTGGAACCGTGGCACCACCAGCTCTTTGTGACCCCACCTGTGACTGCAGCCCAACTCCATGACCCCATTTCCGCTTCCTACAGGTGAGTGTCATCACGCTGTTTGCTCAGAACACAGCTGTTTGGCAAGGGCACGCAGTAGATGTGGAGTCCGGGCCCCAACTGCTCTGGGCAGTGTCCTTTTCAATGCCACGGACCCACTGGTGGCTGACTGGGGCTGTCTTCATTGACAAAAAAAAAAAGTTAGTTAACAATTACTCCTGAAAACATCATTTGTGCCTGTTTTTAAATTATATGGTAATACATCTTTTGAACAACCATTTGAAAGAAAGCTGGTTATTCCATTTTTTCCCACTTAGAATCATCACCTTTACTCCTTTAAGAGAAAGAACTTTTTAAAACTGATTACCACATTAATATATGGTCAATTTAGATATTTAAGTAAAAGAAGAAAAGCAATAAGAAAAAAATTGAAAGCACTTGTAGTCCCACCACCTATAGAAGACCACTGTTAACCATATGCAATCATTCTTGTCTCTTTATTGTGTACTTTGTGCATTTTTATACAAATTAAGTTCATACAAAACATACTACTTGTATCATTTGTCTAACATAGCAATATATTACTATCATCTTTCTATCATTCAATGTTCCTAAATGAAATCATTTATAAGGAATGTAGAATATTGTTTTCAAATGACTAAGATGAAGAGAGTGAACGAATTAATGTATTGAGGACCCTAAAAGTTAGATATTATAATGCCCATTTTAAAGATGTGAAAATGAAGGTAAGTGAGCAGCCAGTTAACTGTAGAACAGAGATGCCCACCAGGTCTGCGTGGTTTCAGGCCTAAACTCCTTCTCCCTTACCCGTGTTTCCTCCGCATGCCTTGTCATAAGACTCACCTTGGAAATCTGCATTATCAACATGTAATACATTTTATTATAAACTGAATTCCAATTGAGAACCTACAAAAAGCTACCTGAGGTCAGATCATGATTCAGAAGAAACAAGTTAACAAGATTGTGCCTCTGATGGAGCCCAGACATGGTCAGATATGGTTTCTCACAACCTTACATGTCAAGAGGAAAGAATTCCAGACTAGATGTCAGGAGATCCGGGTTGTATTCTCACCTCCTCCAGTCACCAGCCAAAAAGTCATGGCCACATCATTCAATTTATCTGGGCCTCAGTTTTCTAATCTATATATTGGGATAACACAACCTTCCCTGTCAAGCTGAATAGATTCTAAATAGCAAAGGAAATAATGAAGCAATATACAAACATAAGAGACCTTTATGAATCCTACTACAGATCCATCAGCGGTGAATTTTCCAGCCCTCTAAAACACATCAAAGAATTGTAAACAGAGAAGGAAACTCTGAGCCCAACTAATTTTAGAGACAGAGAGACTGACTTCCTGAGAAGGTAGGCAGCTTGCCCAAAGATTCAGAGTGAGTTAGGAACCCAGCTAACACTAGAAGCCAGTGTCTGGATTCACACAGGAATATTCCTTTTATAAGACCACCTTTACGGTGATAAATGTCCCAGACGCGTTCACATAAACACGTTGACAGCAATTCAGTTTAGTTCCGTTTATTTCAGTTAAGTAAAGATAAGCTGAGCATTTGTTTGCCATGTACAATGACCTCTTCAGTCAAGGAATTCCAGCTCTTGTTTTTGTCTTAACTTCTTTCAACTTTGAGGGTTTCTTTGCATGTTCCTTACCTAACAAGACCAGCCTGAAAAGAGTAGAAAAAAACATAAAGAAACTTGGAGTCTGAATTTTCCACATGCTGGGAGCTCTCACACCCAATTCCAGATACAGCACTCTCCTGAATGTGACCTGAAGTGGTTTCCTCAATTGATCACATCCCAGGAATCTGGAGAGCTTCCAGGGCAGGGAAAATTAGTTACAGAGTCACAGAGTGGTGCGGCCTGTCACATGAAAGTCACTTCCAGCTTGGAACGGATTGCACATTCCTGCCTTCTGAGTGGTGTTTCAGATGACTGGGATCTGGCCTGTCTGCAGACAGGCCCCAAAGCAGCAGAAGGAAGCCAGCGGGCAGGGGCATTCCAACACCGTTCCCGAGACCCGCAGTCACAGGAAAGGAGAACTTCCTGAGGCTCCTCCAAGCCTTGCCTCAACTTAATGGTGTTTGAGAAAAACATCAAGTTTCCATTTACCTCCATTTTGAAACACTGAAAGCATTTGTCATTAAATAGCATGATGACTCTCCTGCCTCAACTCAGAGCTTTGTCAAACTGCTCACATGGCATAAACAAGGATGATGGGGTTTCCTACACATATATCAGAACTTCTAAATGCTTCTTATATGCCAAGTACCATTATATACCATGCCTTGGCTCATCTAATCCTTACAGACAACCTCAGGAGAGAGGTGCTCTATATCACTACCACAGCCAAGGAACCTGGGGCTCAGGATGGTTAAGTAACTTGTACAAGGTCAAAAATTGGCAAATGACAATGCACGAACTTAACACAGATCTGTCTGACTCCAAATCCCAGGTCTACACTGGCTGGATAAATATGAGGCAGAGGCCACATGTAGTAGCTCACGCCTGTAATCCCAGCACCTTGGAAGGCCGAGGCGAGTGGCTAACCTGAGGTCAGGAGTTCAAGACTAGCTTGGCCAACATGGTGAAACCCCGTCTCTACTAAAAATACAAAAACTAGCTGAACGTGGTGGTGCATGCCTGTAATCCCAGCTACTTGGGAGACTGAGACAGGAGAATTGCTTGAACCCGGGAGGCGGAGGTTGCAGTGAGCCAAGATCGCACCATTGCACTCCAGCCTGGGCGACAAAAGCGAAACTCCATCTCAGTAAAAAAATAGGTATATATGAGGCAGAATGACTTTCAAATAATACACAATGGTTTCAGAATCTGGCCTCTGTTTTGTTGATTGCAAGGCCCTGTCATATTTCCAAGTCACCTATTGCTGGGTTTCACAGCTTTAATGGTTTGAAAAGTCTTCCTTATGTCAAAATGTTTCAACAGGCTTCGTTCCCGCCCTCTGCACCCCACAGTCCTCTTCCTTCCCAAACTCTCCTCTGAGAAGTCTGTCTCATCCCCCATTCCCATGAAATACATCTGCTGACATCACAAAGGGATTCTTGTCTAACTTCCATCTCTCTAATTGAAGTTTAAGCAAAATGTTTCTTGACCTAATCCAAGTAAAAGAGCATGATTGTCCTCTATTTCATGTTATTCTCACAGTTACAATATGTGCTTACATCTGCTGGTGCAAAATATGATTAACTTTTTTTTTCTAAAACCCTAGGGCTAGGAGGAGCTTGGAAATTCTATCTTTTACTTCCCCTTGCCTTCAGACCGATCCCTGTATGTCAACAAAACATGAAAACACCCTGTGAAATCCATTAGTAGCCTCACTTTATATACTAGGAAATCGAGGCAGGGTGATGGATCTGAAGTCCCTCAAGCAGATTGTGGCTAGAGCAAGAAGGGAAGCATGGACCTGGGTCTCTCAGAGGAATCCCTGTCTTCCCATACAGCCTTTTTCCATAGCATCTATGCACTAACTATAAGCTATCGACCCTATAAAGGTCCACGGACATATGAGAACATTATCTTCTTCCAGGCATTCAGTTTCATTTATCCGACATTTCCTGCACTATCCTAAAGATATAGAGGCAGGTAGATTAATTCACTATGCCCTAGAAGTCCTGGTCAAGGTCTCAGAATCAAGAACTACCTCTCTAACAGACAGGCATTGAGCACCCTCTGTAGGCAAGGCAGAGTCTTGCAAGCTGGCACCAATGATTGTCCTGCATCTGCCTGGTCCACATACTCCCTGGACGTCTGTGTGACAGGCTCTGTAGAAGACAAGCATAAAGCAGACCTGAGGGTGAGTCCCAGCCCAGCTCTGCCACTCACCAGCGGTGTGGCCATGGGCAGGTTACCTCCATGGACTAGACCTGGGCTTTCTCATCTTTAAGTTGGTGTTAATAACAAGTTGGGGTTAAATGCTGTCCCTCACTCAATACCTGTGTCCACATCTTAATCCTTAGGACCTCTGAACGTGACCATATTTGATAAAAAGGTCTTGGCAGATGTAATTATGTAAAGGTTCTTGAGATGAGATCATCCTATATTATCTAGGTTGTCTCTAAATCCAGTGACAAATGTCCTTATGACCGCAGAAAGACAGACACCAGGAGAAGAAGAAAAGTCCACGCAAAGAAAGATGAAGGTAGAGGTAGGAGTTATCCAGCCACAAGCCACAGAATGCCTGGAACCTCCCTAAGCTGAAAGAGGCTAAGACAAAGTCCCCTCTAGAGCCATCAGAGTGAGTGTGGCCCTGCCAGCACCTTGAGTTTGTACTCTGGCCTCCAGGACTCTAAGCAAAAAAATTTCTGGGGGATTTTTTAAGCCATGAAGCTTTGTGGTCATTTGTTAAAACAGCCCTAGGAAACTAGTATCCACCTATTTCATGGTATGTTAAGCATGGAACCTATTCCAGAGTAAGTACTTCATCATATTATTGGTGTTATTCTTGCCCTTGCCATGCTCCAAGTTAACTTAAGACCCCTTTTATTCTGACGATACCTCCTGGAGACCACCCACCCATCCAAAGCTCCAGAATCAAGGTTTTAGTATTTTGATTTGGGGTTGCCTATTTGTTAGGAGGAGGGGCTGCACATACCTATTTCCTATTTTTCAAAATAATAGCCCCAAATTTTGATTCAAGTGAAGCTGGATAGACCCTGAAGGGTGTATTTGTTAAAAATTTCACAGCTCATTCTGACACAAAACTGGTACTGATATTCAACCAATGCACACTGACCAGCATCCTCTCTGATTTGTCTGGGACTTGGTCCTTTGGTGAAATATTTGCCCTCTCTCCGCACACCAGCACTGCTCTCCCATCACCACTGACCTGGGGAAAATCAGCCAAGCTGACTGGTAGGCCCAGAACACAAAGCTGGGGACAAAGCTAGTCCAGAGGGCTTAAAATGTGTTGGGGAAGCCAGGTTTGCATGAACATGTCCCGGGGAACAGAACAGGCATGGCAGCATGGAATGACAGGAAGGACCTGGGCACAGGCCCCTGGTGGCCCAAACTCCTCCATACAGGACTGTTCTTTTTATCTGTTGTATCAACTGGGAATATGCATACAATTCTTTTTGGAAAAAAAAGTTCTAAAGCATTCTGATGATTTTTTAAATAATTAAAAATTTAAAACCACTGATAAGACATACTTATTTTCTAGGCAAGAAACTGGGTTCCAAAGAGATTAAGTGACATGCCCAGGATCACACAGTGAGGAACTGATGGCCAAGACCAGAATCTTGAACTCTGGGTCTTATCCAGGGCCCGTCAACTCCACCAGTAGCAGCCTCAGCCACCAGCCCCACCACTGAGGCCTCAAAGCACTGATTTCTCAGGCTCCAGTGCCTCTCTCTAGGTGCAGTAGCCCCCACATCCCTCAGAAGGTCCATGCCTGGCAGGGAAGAGGATGCCTGGGCAATGCTGTCAGCCTCTCCTTTGGGAATGGCCTTGGTCTCGGTCTGCACCAAGGCAGCCCAGTTTCTAGGCCATTGCTGCCAGAGGCGGTGTCGTTGCTTGGGAAATCTTCCTGCTGATCAGAACTTCCTCTCCACTGTACCTTTTTCCCTCCTTAGAGCCAACATCCAGGCCTTATCTCAGATGAGGAAATGTTTAGGGCACAGGACCGTTGAGATATTTCTCAGAACACAAATTACGAGGCACATGTTTTCACAGAGAAGAAAATAAGGAGAAGACACACAGTGATCACCATGCTGGTTCTGAGAACAAGCCCTTATCTGCTCTGACCCAGCTCTGGACTCACAGGCTGGTGTCAGCCTCACAACTGGTCAATGAGGCAGCCAGGAAAAGTCCAAAGCTTTAGGTGGGGGAGTCCATCGCCCAAAGGCAAAGGTGCAAAAAATAAACACTTAAGAGAGAGCTGCAGCCTCAAAGCCCTGGGCTGTACCAGGCCGACATACCACAGCAAAAAGCCTATGAAGTCCTACAAAATGTAAGCACCTCACCAAGCTGCTAGCATGGAGGGATTGCACATTAAAACTCTGGTCACGTTACAAATGTCTGTGCAGGGTCTTCCCGCCAGGAAACCCCAATGCAGTGAGGAGGATACTATGCATGTTTAAAAAACTAAGCAGTCATAAGATTACAGTAATCATTCCAAGCAGGACAAAAAGAAAGAAAAGATGAGGTGATACAAAGTACTACATGGTCAATGAATGACCAGATAAATGATGGAATCAATAATTACTAGAAGAGTTCAGAGGGAAAAGTTCAGGTAGGAAGGACTAGCTTGGCTTAATAATATCTATCATTCATTAAATACCTACTATCTGCCAGAATTTGAGAATTTTTCTTTCAATGACTTCACAAGGTCTGTGTTAAGTATCTGCACTTCACCAAGGGGAAGGCTGAAATGTGGAGAAGCCAGGTGACCTCCCACAGTAACTCAGCTGTAGGAACCAGGGTGAGTTCTGTCTCGTTCTCCTGAACAATTACCTGAGTTTCCTTAGCCATAGAGGTCCTGAGAAATTGCTTGAGTTTCCTTAGCAATAGAGGACAAGGAGAGCTTGGATAAAGCCAAAAGGAAAGAGAGGGATCATTGCAGGCAGGTGAAAGGAGCAGCTGAAATCACAGAGGCAGGAAAGTCAAAAGCACATGTGCGGCTGTTAACAGAGATGAATTTAGCTAGGGTGGAGGTTTCTGGAATGGATAGAACTTATTGAGTACTTACTGTGCTAAGCAAAGTTCTAAGAACTTTATATAGATAATCTCATTTAACCCTCACAATAACCCTGTGAGGTATGGAGTATTATTATTCCCAAAGTATGGATAAGGAAGTCAAAGCATAGAGAGGTTAAGTAACTTGCCCAAGATCACATAGCTGATAGGCAGCAGAGGTAAGACTTGAACATAGTCAGGATTGAAAGTCCATGCCCTTAATCACTACAATGTACTTGAAGGAGTTTGTCATAGAAAGCTGGAAAAGCTGGATTCCCTGAGGGGTTGCCTTGAATGCCAAGTGTTTGCACTTAATCTTTCTGCAGAAAAAAAAAGGAATTATAACGAAATACCTGTTTCTATATAAACAAAGCAAAGCAAGGGCAGAGAAGCTCTCAAGACAAAGTCCAGCCAAATAAAGGGCTGCAGCCTCCTCACCCCTTGGGGTTCTCTGCATGTTTCACTTCCACGGCAATCATGTGATCAAAGCAGAAACGTTCTTTTAGTTGTGGTGAGAAAGGTGGACTGGAAGAAGGGAAGAACAGTCGGACGCTAGCGCCAGAGGCAAAGCAGGAAGTGACGAAGGCATGCAGTACGTGGGAGCTGCAGGAAGGCTGGAACAGTGGAGGTGGATGGTAGAGCAATGGAGAAGGAAGGGTCAAAAGGCTTTGATGAACCATTAGAGAAAAGTAGTCGTTACTGGTTGTGGCTTAGGTTAACCTACCATGAACCCATTTTCTGACCCAAGAACTGGGCTGACAGGTCCCCATAAGAGTGAGGCAGAATGTCTGAAGCTATCTCTGCTCCAGAAAGCCAAGGACAGTCTGTCTTTGTGTTTGTGCCTGTCACCTTCTGCATGCTTCTGGGAAAGGAGTTCCTTTGACCAAGGAGCCCTCCTGGGGAAGGCCTGTCCAGAGACTTAGAACCAGAAGAAAGACAGGACACTAGGAGAGGCACAGATCCTCCCAGAGATCAGCCTTAAGAGCCCCCCCAGACTCTCCTATGTAGAAATCTACATGGGATTCCCCTGGCATTTATGGAGGGCACTTCCTATTTTAACGAGATTTCATATGTATTACCATCCTTGATTCCATTCACCCCTTCCAAGAAAAAACAGAGCCATGGGAGTGTGGGACAAAGAATGAGCATTTGTTAGAGGCTGACTCTCTTCCAGGTAGCATGCTCTGTACTCTCCTGCAGCTGTTTTAGATCATCCTCACACTCCGTGGGACAAGCTTTTACTCCCCCCACATTAAAAATGAGGACTTGAGCTCCAGTGTGATGAAATGACTTCTCATGATCATACAACCAAGAAGGAATAGGCTAGAGATGGACACTGCCTTTGCCTTTTCCCTGGGACAGGAAGGCAGACCTAACCTCACCATCTCACAGGTAAGGAAATATTCAAGGCCCCAAAACACCATGGAGATCAATACCAGAGCGAGACTAAAATCCAGAGCTCACAGTTTCTAGTCCTGTGTTCATTTTGCGTTTCATTATGTTATTTGAGCACATTTGTGTTTTGGCAAGTTCAGCTCCTTAAGGAAAGGGTCCAGGTCTTTACAACTTGACATCCCCACAGTGGCCAACACCATGGATGGCCTCTGAAGACATGAAGCATGTATCGCTGATTTGTGGAATGAACCAACTGCTATAACTCATCTCTTTGGTGCCAACGTCTCACTTCTTCAATTCATTCTTCATGCCACTTCTAAAAGTACGGTGCTAAAGCGTTTCTCCTCTTATTCAACAAATGCAATCCTTTTCCACCTTAAGACTCAGCTCCAGAGCCATCCTCCCTATGAAGCCTTCTTCAATCTCACCGTGATAATGCCCTGTCTCTGCCTCTCCCACGCTGCTTGACTAGTCCCTCTGCTATACATTCATGGGCGGCTCCTCCATGACATCATCCATTCCTTGAGGAACTGTCAGTCATCTCTGTACTCTGAATAAACATTGATGAGCAAACACATAAAGGAATGCATGAATGGGTGGATGGACTCGTTAATAAATAAAGACATAGAGAAATGACAAGATGGAGAGGTGAAATATTGGGACTTAGTAGTTAAAAGCAGTGGACTTTATGTCAGAGCATCCAACCCTACACAGAGCTTTACTCCTGACTTGCTGTGGGATCTAGATAAAGTCACCTCCCCTCTCTTGGCCTCTTTTTGCTTGTGTTTTAAAAGAAAGAGTTAGAGTAGAATTGCTGCAACTCCCCATTCTCTAATTCTGTGAATGAAAAGTTCATCCTTGGACAAACCCCATTAACGGATGTTTTGTATCTCCTCCCTTGAAAACAACAATTGTCCCTCGACTAGCATCTTATCTGAAGCAAACCTTCTCTGCCTCATCCCCACCAGAAGCTTTGCTATCTCTTAAGGGACCTCCTCAGGGTGTTTGTGAACAAAAGCGAGTGTCTTATCTGGTCACTCTCTCCTGCACTATCCTGCCCTTGGAAAACATGAATGGATTTGCCGAAAACATAGCCTCTGATAGTCTTTCCACCCCAGGAATGGCTAGAAAGGCAGCCTCGGCTTTCTTGGAAAGACTGTGTAATTTCATGCTACTATCAGGGCTGACAAGGAGGCAACCCCTAGCCCTGGACCCTTCAGCTAAGTTCAACTCCAGGTCAAGTCAGGGGCCCCCAGCAGCTCAGGGGCACAGGATCCACAAGGAAGAAATTCCAGGATGTTGCCAGAAGCTAACAACAGTTCCCAGCTGTTCCCAGTCGCCTCTTGCCATTGAAGTAGTTTGGAGTGGGGGTCTTCACACAGACACAGCAGAAGGAAGGTCAAATGAATGACTGTGCCTCTGGGCCAGGGTGGAGGACAGGCCAGTGAGAACAGAAGCCTCTTTGTTATTGGCAGCTCCTGCACATGGCCCCCTAGACCCTTGACGGAGACCTCCCTCTCCCCCCAGATCTTGGGGACCTTGACATCGGTGGTATTTATGCAGCTCTCCTCATGTCATCGTGGTAAAACTGCTGCTTGCGGCTTGCCTACGGCCTGGAGCCTCGCTCTGCAATTCCTTTTGGAGCACATGCTGTGAAACTCTCTTATTAAAAGGTAGTTCCAGAACTGATCTCCCTTGAGTGGAACAAAAACAACATCTATCTTAGAATTGATTTTGTGCGGAATGCCTGCTCCCGCCTCCCCACACCTCCCCACCCACCCCCATTCCCCCAACCCCACTCTTTGTCTGGCAAGCTCCTGCTCATCATTCAGGTCCCAGTTTTGATGTCCCCACTCAGAAATGCCTCCCCTGCCCACCTTTCACAAACCAAATTATGCCCCTCCTCTTAACACATTCATCCATTTTGCCTGGTTTTTTTTCCTTCCTAGAACTCACTACAGCTTGTACTTGTGCATGTGTGTGTCTGTGCAGTGATTATGTCTGCAACTAGTACTTCAATCTCCTGATGGTAGAAGCTATGTTTGTTTTTTCATCACCAAGAACCCGCACACCGGCCTAGTACACTGCAAATGATCAACAAATAGTTGTTTTTTTTAAAAAATGAATAGATACATGAATGAATGAATGAATGAATGAATGATTTAATATAGAAGAGTATTATCTTCAGAATCCTAGAAGAGATATTTTACATTTATTAAGAGTTATGAAGCCCTTAATACATGGTATCTTAACTGTTTCTTTATTTTTATGTAAAAAATATATATAAATGAAGATGAAGAAGATACTTGGTCCCCAAGGAGTTCACAGGCTACTAGGGGGGCCGGACATGTAATTTGTCAATTCCAAATGCTGTGTTCTCATACATCCTCACCTGTGGGGTAAGCATTATGATTTGCATTTGACAAGGAAACATTAAGATGCTCAGAAACATTAAGTTTTTTGCTCAAACCACAGAGCTAGTGAGTGCCAGACCTAGAAGCCAGGTCTCCTGAATCCTGGGACAAAAGGTGTTCCACCAGCTGTCCTCCTGCCTTCTGGACTTGGCCTGCTTTTCAATTCTTGCATTTGAAAGCAGACAGGTCCAGAATTCTGGGAAAACACACTATTCACCAGGAGTGACTCTGGCAGGACCAGGAGGTGGTCTTGCTTCAGGAGTCTGACACCCTTCTCCCTGTTCCAAGCTAGGTACTAACTCATTCTGAGAGGGAAGCTTGGGCGACAGCTGTGAATGCCCATTCTCACCCCCACTGAGCTGGTTTTCACATCTTTCCTGGGTCAAGGGATTTTAGAGGGCTTGTGCTGAAGAGGTTTCCTTTGAATGTCAGCAACCATCTGAGGGGAGAATGTTGGCCATTAGCCAATGACTCCAGGTCTACTCTACTTGGTTATGTCAACACTCCAAAGAGAAGATAAGTTCTGGATGGATGCAGTGGCTCACGCTTATAATTCCAGCACTTTGGGAGGCTGAGGTGGGTGTGGGTGTTCAAGACCAGCCTGGGCAACATGACAAAACCCTGTCTCTACAAAACACACACACACAAAAATTAGCTGGGCACAGTGGTACATGCCTGTAGTCCCAGCTACTGGGGAGGCTGAGATGGGAGGATCACTTGAGCCAGGGAGGCAGAGGTTGCAGTGAACAGAGATCACACTACTGCACTCCAGCCTGGGTGATAGAGTAAGATCCTGTCTCAGAAAAAAAAAAAAAATGTTCTGACTTAGAAACTGCTCCCCCAAGAGCCAACTTGATGAGCACCTATGAACAAGTTTTCTATACTGCAAAGCACAAACCTTTGAACTCACAAAACCATGTTATTTGGGGCAAGTTACTCAAATTCTTTGAACCTTACCTTCCTAATCTGAAAAATAAATTCTTATGATACTTGTGAAGATTGAATTTGATGAATCATATACCACCTTGTATCATGTGATAGCTCTCACCATCATCCTCTGGTTTTTTAACCTTCATTTTCCTTCTCTATTTCTTACTCCATCTTTCTCTTGGTCCTTATCTCATTCTGTTATTTTTTGGACATTTCTCATATTGTGAAGGTCCTTTAGGTTCAGATCATCTCCTCTGGAGAGTAACTTCCCACCTCCCTGTGGTCAGCATGCAGGAGAGTCCAAAATAAAGCACAATTAGAATTTCCTGGAAGAGTTGAGAACAGGGAATTTTTAACTCATTCTTGACAATAGAGTGGAAGGTTTCTGGTTTGAGGAACATGCAAGGGCTCTCTGAGCATAGTGTTGGGGTGCCCCATTTACGTAGTGGATCTTGAGAGAGGAGTTGGGCCATGGAGCTGGGCAGAGGAAGATGAGACTCACAAAGTTTCACAGGGCCATCATGGAAGCTCTAGCTAGCACCTGGAACGCCCTCCCATGGCTATGGAAGGAGTTTAAGCACAAGAGTGTAATATCACATCTGTGTTTGATGAAGATGAATCCCATGCTGGCCATGGGAAGGATGGATAGGAGACAAGAGAAGCTAGAGACAAAGACACCAATTAGGAGGTTTTTAAAGTGAACGCTCACAACCATGGCAAGGCAGAGAGCCCAGACTAAGGCAAAAGACAATGAGGATAGACATATGGCAATGGATCAAGAGTCACACCTAAAACACCAACACCACACACGGGACTTGGCAATTGATTTATGCAGGAGGCAATAGAAAGAGCATAAAAATGCTCCTGAGGTTTCCAGCTCGGGAGGTGAGGTTTCCAGTGTCCCTGTTAAGAGAGATTTGGAATGCCAGAGACACACCCACAACAGGAAGAAACAATGAATTTAGTTGGTGACATGTAGTGTTTGAGTTATTTATGGGACATCCCGGTGATGTCCAAAAGGTGTGCAGCAAGTGGATCTGGAGTGGAACCGAGACATCTGGATTGGAGATATAGTTTGGGGGCCATTTGGCATGAAGGTAATAAGATAATATATGAGTGAATAAGAACACCATTAGGATAGAGTCCCTACTTTAAAAAATAAAAGTAAAAAAGCTGAAACACTGGCATTTAGAGAAAGACAAGCCAGCCAAGGAAAGCAGGAAGGAATGGACAGAGAGAGGGGAGAAGAAGTAGGAAAGACTGAGAGGGCCGGGTGAGGGTAAAAGGAGGAGAGAAAGCAGCCATATGGCAGTTATGCAAATTCATATGTTGAAATTCATAGAACTGTACACCAAAATAAGTCAAATTTTTGTACAATAGTTTTAAAAAATAAAATTAATAAAATACCAAAAGAAGTTCTTTATGAACCTACTTACCAGTGGAGGAAACCACTGTCAATACTTTGGCAGATTTCCTTCTAGTCTTTTCTATTATACACTTTTTGAAATGAAATTATATGTGCTATTAACAAGTACAAATGTCACCTTTCTCAATTTATATTAAATTGTTCTAAAATTCCATGTGTTAAATAAATAAAGTGGTACAAATACGGGAAAGGAAGGAAGGAAGGAAGGAACGAAGGAAGGAAGGAAGGAAAGAAGGATTGGAGGGAGGTGGGAGAGAGGGAGGGAGGGAAGGAAGGAGGAAGGGAGGGAAGGAGGGAGGGAGGGAGGGAGGGAAGGAAGGAGAAAAGGATCATAGATATTGCTGAACCCAGCAGAAGGGAAAGGTATGAGAAGAGGATATGGTTTCTTTCAAATTCATTTTAAATCTTACCTAAAGCTTGGACATATACATCCATTTAGAAAGCTCTTGCCCCATTTTTCAAAGAAGGAACAAGAAAAAACTTACTTTTTTTTTTGGAAAGGGAGGTGTGGCACTTCAAGTCACTGTCTAAAACTCTCTTACATGTAGTAACATCTCCATCTGCAGGACATGAACGATATCACCGTACAACTTAAGGAGGTTGTTCAACTTGGCAAACGTACAACCCCAATAAACATGGAGGTTTGAGGAGCCTCTCAGTCCAGAACCATGTAGCAACATAACCCAGCAGTACCTTCACCCTGTCCCCTCCCCTGTTAAATACTCCACTATCCCTGTAGCTATAAAGACTTAAATATTAAACATACTACCAGGGAATATTGTGTTCTGAACCCCATTGAAAGCAAGGGGGACTGGATGTGATTTAAGCCATCTTATGGCAAAAGGGCAAGTTGGTATATAACAAGCGTTGGTAGAAAATGAAGGACTCCCAAGTTCCAGGCCCAGCCCTGCCGCTAGAATGGTGAGGCCCAGAGATCCTCCTAATGAGATCGTGGGCTTTGCCAGCATTTAGATGACGATGTGGGGTTTACAGCATGGCAGTGCTCCCCCACGTAGCCTTCATAGTAATTATGTTGATTTGTTTTTCACATCCAACTCCCTGTCTCATCTCCCAGTTTGTCAATAACAAAGTAATAAAAGAGGTGTGATTAATTAGCATCTTCAAAGTTTGCATCTTTCCAGAGAGTGTCTGCTCAATAAAGAAGGCATGGCCAGGCAAAGCTCATTAGGGAAGAGGAGGGGACCTCTCAGACCTCACTGGAAGAAGCTGCTTGGAGTGACCCCATTTTCCCTTACCCCCTCCTGTGACCCCACATATGTGACCACAAACCTGCTTACACAGAGATGAAGCCCCATAGCATTTCCACTTTTGGGTCTTTGACTGCGGCTCTCTCATCACATGAATCACCCACTGACATTCTCTCTCATCATATGAATCACCCACTGACAGCCCCAGGAACAGATGAGGCTGTGAGATTCTCAAAGAGAAAAATGAGCTTAGAGCCCCAAACTCCTGGGGTTGGTCCCATGTAAGCACGACACTAACATGGTTCTTGGGCCCAAACTGCAGCAAAGTAAACAGATGTGGGCTTAACAGCCTCCAGGAATGGAGGAGGCAAGGGGAGAAGGGATAAGCAGTTGTCAAAGGCAAGGATGAGAGACAGAAGAGAGACAAGGGACCCTTGCTACCCACTGATTTAAAGGGCCAGGTCCCAAACCCTAAGCACCCATCATGAGTCATGATCATAATCTCACACTATCCTTAGAAATGGACAGTAGCACCTGAACCACCATTGATGAAAGCCCAGAAAAGCTGGATCCTTTAAATAATCAGCTCTTTGGGGTAAGGAATGGAGGTTGCCATGTATTTTTAATGGATAGAGTATACAACTGTTGAGTGCCTACTGTGTACTCTTGCTGCCAACACTTGAAATGAATATTTTTATCTTATATCTTATACCTACATGAAGGGAGAACTTCACACTAGACGCTCTATTCACCAAAATACTCCATAGAAATTTTTAGTAAAAGAGAAAAAGTTTAATTTCCTGCTTACTAGAGAGGTAAGCAAAATGCCAGTTCGTTTAATTCTTGGGATCGATCATCTTTCTAACATACCTAATTCCTTTTCTCTCAATAAATTACTACACTCAGATAAACTAACAAGTTGTTGATTTTTGATGTTCTATGCTTTCATTAATATAGTGTGTTTATTTAGTTCCTAGAAGTGCTTGGACACTATATAGACATACACAGCAAGTACAATGGTCAGTAAAACATTCCAGCTCTGTCCTTCTGGAGCTCAGAGCCATGGAAGGTGGCTTCATGGTGAAGGCCACAGGCTCTGGGACCAGACAGCCAGGGTTCCCATCTGCTACTTCCTAAGTGGGTGATCTAGGGCATGATGCTTAATCTCTCTATGCCATATTTTTCTTAAGTGGAAAATGCACATAATAACAGTACTGAGCTCATGCAGTATGGTATGTATTAACTGTGGTTGTGGTAAAGAGCCTAAAACTGTGCCAGATACATGGTGAGCATTTAATAAGTGTAAATGATTATCATCAGGTAGCAAGCTCTGAGGGTCGTTCCAAATTAATAACTGTACTGAACAGTGCAGAATATCCAGTTTAAAAGGGGAGGAGATTACCCTGGAGAGTGCACTGACTCAAAATTCTCCTTGCATGTTGGGGTAGGCTGAACAATGCCCCTCCAAAAGATGGTCATGTCTTAATCCTTGGAATCTGTGAATGTCACTTTATATATAGACAAAAAAACTTTGCAGATATGGTTAAGGATCATGAGGAGACTGTCCTGAGTTAGCCAGGTGGATCTAATATAACCACAAGGGCCGTTATAAGAGGCAAACAGATCAGAGTCAGAAATAGAAGAAGGGATGTGACAGTGGAAGCAGAGGGAGAAAAGGTCATGTGATGTGGGGCTATGAGCCAAGGGATGTGGGTGGCCTCTAGAAGCTGGAAAAGGCAAGGAAGCCTACAGATGGAATTCAGCCCTATAGATACCTTGATTTTAGCCCCTCAAGATTCATTTCAAACTTCTGATCTCCAGAACTATAAGAGAAGACATTCATGTTGTTATAAGCCACAAAGTTTGCGGCAGCAAATACAAATGCAAAGGTGAATAAGAAAGTAATCTTATTTCCTTTTACTATATCTCTTTCGAAAGGCAGCATGATAGAGTTGAAAGAGCACGGGGCCTGGTGTTTGAAATCTGTTTCTACAAATTACTTTGTGTCTTTAGATAAGTTACTTAACCTCTCTGAGCCTCATTGCTCCATCTTGAAAAGGAAGATAAACATACTCATTTCAAGTGATGGCTGCAAAAGTAGGCCCTCAATAGTCGTATCACTCTTACCATTAAAAATATTTGGCTCTCTCCACTCCTTCCCCCAAAGAGCTGACTATTTAAGAATCCAGCTTTTCTGAGCTTTGTTTAATGGTGGTCACAGGCCACTGTCCATTTATAAGGATTTGACTTCTCATTGTTATTTGAGTTTGGGACTGAAAGTTTAGATCTATATTATCATTTGCCAGAGATAATATTTTAATTTGTTACTATGTCCTGCTGATACCTTAGCTCTACCCAACCTCGCTTCCCACCCCCTACTCATGAGAATCAAAGACCCCCTGGATGACCACCTGTTCTCTGTTTTAAGCCACCTTGTCATCAGCACACCAGTTCACCATCTCCTCACTGGTAAATTAGAGAAATATGTTCAGAATCTTTCTTTCGTTGGCGACAGGGTCTTGCTCTGTTTCCCAGGCTGGAGTGCAGTGGCATGGCCACAGGTCACTGCAGCCTCAAACTCCCCAGCTTAAGTGATCCTCCCGTCTCAGCCTCCTGAGTAACTGGGACCACAGGTGTCTGCCACCAAGCCCAGCTAATTTTTTAATTTTTTGTAGGGACAGCATCTCACTACATTGCCAGGGCTGGTCTCAAACTCCTGGGCTCAAGCGATCCACCTGCCTCAGCCTCTCAAAGTGCTAAGATTATAGGCATGAGCCACCATGCCCGGCCAACTTCAGAATCTTAACCTGCCCTTGGAGATATTATGATGATGACCAGTGTGATGGCTACTGGGCACTGCACTAGAGCCTGTGTAAGAGGATGGAGTCTTTTTATCCCTCCCATTCTTTTCCTGGGAGGGTGTTTCCAGGCTTAATATAATAACATGCTAGAATTGAGTAACAGGAGGTAATCAATATTAGAAAAAAAAAAACATAAAATTTCTTGTGTAGATGTTCCACTCTTAGTCAAGGGAAAGTCTTCTCCTACAATGCCCCTACCCCTTCTCCCTCTTTGCCCCCGACTCTAGCTGCAAAATGGCCTTACATGAGCTAAGGCTCTCATCCTAGCCTAAATGTCAAGGAAGAACGAGATGGAACCAGTGGACCCAGAGGATGAACTCTTAGTGGGGAGTGGGCAGAGGCAGAGAGGTGCGTCATGGGGCTGCTGGGGGAGAAAGAATAAAAGAGATAGCTCATGGCAGAGGGCCTCAGGGATGTCCATACCTGCGTGAGAAGGAGAGCTCCCTCTCACCCTTCCTCTAAACTCTGTCTCCGTGCATGGTCATGAAATAGTATGGTTTTCATCCTGGTAATGAAGTGCACTTTTCCATCTTTGCAAAGGTTACCGGCAAAGCAAAGACACTGCCAGCATGCACATCATTTCATTTAATCCTCACAAGAACCTGTGGAGAGGGTTATGTCATTCTCATAACGTAGTTGAGGATTGATATCCAAGGACCACTGTGTCCAAGATAACCAGCTAGTCAGAGCCAGGATCCACACCAGCTCAGCCCAGCTCCAAAGCTCATGCTCTTTCCAGGCCTGGCCCCACCACTGCTGCTGAACCTTGCAGCCCTTCCCATACCACCCCGCCCCCACCCAATAACATGGCCTCCAGAGCTGAAAGCATTTCCAGGGCCTCTTCCAACAAGGCCCGAGAAACCCTGGGTGGTCTAGAAACCTTGAAGTGAACATTGAGTTTTATCCTGGAACAAATGAAGAGCTGGAAGTAAAAGGTCCTTCACAAACTGGAAACAGCTGGGCCCAGCTGAGGAGTAAGATCAAAATCACCTCTCCATGCTGCACCATGCTTCAGGAAGAGGCGTATCCATCACAGTGTCTTGGAAGTAGGCCAGGGGTGTCTGCTGAGAAAGGGTGCCGCTGGTCTGCACAAGTGTGGGGAAGGGGGGACTCAAGGATCCTGGGCAGCTGCTCAGGGGAAGCTATGTTTAACAGCAAGGACTGCAGAAATGCCCCTGGAGCTCTGTGGACAGCTGGAAACAAGGCCAATTTGCAAACATCCAGGGTCATCCCTGCACACACATGGAGATAGAAGGCAAGGAAAGAAATGGCTGTTCCTGGAGCACCTACAATGTGTTGTAGGCGCTAAGCCATGTGCTTTCACAGATGCTGTCTGAGATAGTCCCAGAGCTCTTCAGGGTCAAAAGCCCCTTCTTTCCCAGCCTCCACCAAGACTGAAGCACCCTCCACGACAGCCTGTTCTTGAGCCAAAGTTCAGTTCTGTCCTGTACTTTTTCTTTAAACTGAGCTGGACCACACCACCCAGAAGAGGCTATTTTGTCCTGAACCTCCTAGGTTCATATTTATGATCTTTAGTACACATAGGAATCCCGCTTTCCTAGGTCTAGGCAGGGGGCTGATGATCTTTAGTACACATAGGAATCTTTAGTACAAATCTTTAGTACACATAGGAATCCCACCTTCCTAGGTCTAGGCAGGGGGCTGATGATCTTTAGTACACATAGGAATCTTTAGTACAAATCTTTAGTACACATAGGAATCTTTAGTACACATAGGAATCTTTAGTACACATAGGAATACCGCCTTTCAAATCTTTAGTACACATAGGAATCCCACCTTCCTAGGTCTAGGCAGGGGGCTGATGATCTTTAGTACACATAGGAATCTTTAGTACAAATCTTTAGTACACATAGGAATCTTTAGTACACATAGGAATCTTTAGTACACATAGGAATCCCACCTTCCTAGGTCTAGGCAGGGGGCTGATGATCTGCATGTTTAACAAGTATCCCCAGGTGATGTGTTTAAGTGGGTTGTCCCCAGAGCACACTTTGAAAGCATTTCTTCTTTTCTAGGCCATTGTCTTAAAGCCACTTTTTTGGGACCAACACTAGCATGTGGCCCTACTGCCCTCTGCCCTCAGAACTCCCTGCTTCTGCCCTGATATCCAGGCCAGCTTCCAGCATCTTCATTTCAATAGCCCCTTGGTACAGCCTCCATGCACAGAAATGTGGGTTTTGTACCTCCCAGGTCACCTGACTATATTCCATCAGCCAAGCCATACACACTGACAGGTATGCCTGCAGGAGGACCCTTTATAAATTTGTCTTGCCCCTGTGAATTTCTCTTCTTGGCCTTCTGGATCCCAGCTCTCCTCTCAACCCTCAGTGCTTTTCCCCTAGCCCACCCCACGCCCTCCTACTCCACCCTTGGCCCCAAAGAACTCCATCATCTGAGCTGACTCCTTGTCCCCTAAGACTACGTGGCAAGGGAGAGAGTCTTAAGGTCTCCAGAAGTTCTCAGGTGTCATACACAAATGCGGTCTGGCAGGAAGGAGAAATTGAGCAAGTAAGTGCTTTTCAGAGTTTACAAAGGAAGTAGGCCAAATGGCAGGAGAAAATTCAATGATGATGGAAATCTGACATGGAAGCCAAAATTAGCCTTCTGGAAAAAGGATGCTCCTTTAAGTTTCCAGTCTTAGCTTAAAGTTTTCTATGGATCATGCATCCTACTCCATGCTAGAGCTGTGTTAGCTTGAATGTGAAATGAATGTCTTAAATAGGTTATGGCTAAAGTGGAAAAATGAAGAAAACCTGTGCCTTTCTCTATGATATGCTTAATTCTAGAGGTTAGGTTTTCATACTCCGAGACAGAATAAAAAACCTCTAATCCATTTCTCAGAGATGCCTAGGAAGAAGAAGGCGAGGTGAATTTGGTTGTAGAGAATGGAGGGGCGAGAGCCCAGTGCATGAAATGAGCCAGTGTTTCAAGGGCTCAGTGATGAACTTGGGCTTCGAAGAAAAGGACATGACAGGAAGCCAGGTGATATGGACAGCACAATCTGCCATCGCTGGTCCTGTTAAGGGAGCACAGATGCAGTAGAAGATCAGAGTGTTGTGTTATTCACTAACAATAATTAGCACAGAATAATGTTAGTGCAGAAAAAAATGATACCCCCCCAAAAAGAAAATCATCTTGCTCAGCCCCACATTTTACAGATTGGAAAACTGAGGCCCAAAAAGAAGGAACCTACCCAAAAACATTGGCCGGGCTGGTCATCTACAGCAAAGATGAGAACAGCTGCCCAGTGAGCCCTGATGCTCCCCAGCCCTGAGCATCTCCCTTAACAGTATCTGGCTTCTAATTCATCACGAGGCTTCAAGGGCTTCTGTGTTTGGCACAAAAGTGCAGCACTTTGACCTGCAATAAATCACTGCAGCTAATGATCTCCTTGCTCCTTGTGACTGTCTGTGGACAGCCTGTTCTCACTCACTCATGCAGTAAGACAGCTGAGGCCACTGCTTGCCTTGAGGGAACCAAGAGAAAGGGGGCATCAAAAGGAGGAAGCTAGATTTATATTCTTTTCCCCTCTCCCTCACCTCCTGTTCCTTCCTTCCTTCCCTCCTTCCTACCTCCTTCTCTCCTCCCTTCCCTCTGTCCCTTTTTCCTTCTGCCCCTCCCTTCTTCCCTCCTTTTTTCCTGTGTCACACAAATATGACACTATAAACAAACAATTTCTATGTTAAACCCCGATGCCACAACCTTGATCATTTGGAACAGCCCCCTAATATGCTCACTTCAAGGTTGGAGTCTTATGCAGTGTGGAAGCACTTGGAGGCAAGCTTGGCCATTATCTCCTGCCACACAGGGGACTGCAAAGATGCCCATGACCTGGTCCCCAGGCCCTCCAACCTGGAGGTTTCTGCTGCTTCGGGGCCAAGCTTTGGTCACAGGAATCCTTTGTCAGGCTGCCTCAGATCCCATCTGAATTGACGACCACCCAGCACCCTTTCCTGTGGCTCTTGCCAGCTCCCTAGTATTCAGTTCCCTGAATCTTCACTGCTGTGGAACCTACAGATTCCGCTTGATTCCCCCAACCTGAGGGAATCTCATGCTGGCTTTAGGGTCTAAGTCAAGCACTTTCATTGCTTCTCATAGACATTTTGTCCATTTGTGAGACATGGCTTCTTCTAAGGACTCAGGCCTAAACCATTTACCTCTCTGTGCTTCAGTTTCCTCTTCTATAAAAATAACTACCTACTCATAAGATTGTTAAAACGATTAAATAACTTAGTAAATGTAACTTATTTAGAACATTGGCTATCATATAGAAAATACCATATAATCAATTACTATTATAATGAATGATGTGTTGCAGCTGCCAAAACAAAAGTAATCATTCTTTAGGCTGCATTAATGGAAATATAATAAGTATAATAGTGGAGGTGATAGTCCTTGTATAATCGCCACTAATGAGACCACACACAGTATATCTCAATTTCAGAGGAACTATTTTAAGAGAAATTTACATAAACTGAAGAGTATTCAAAGGAGATGGACCCAAATGGTGTAGAAGAGTAACACCTTCTTATATGAAAGGGGGCTGTATTAGTTCATTCTCATGCTGCTAATAAAGACATACCTGAGACTGGGTAATTTATAAAGGAAAGAGGTTTAATTGACTCACAATTCAGCATGGCTGGGGAGGCCTCAGGAAACTTACAATCATGCCAGAAGGGGAAGCAAACACGTCCTTCTTCCTTCTTCACATGGCAGCAGCAGGAGAAGTGCCAAGCATCAGATCTCATGAGAATTCACTCACTATCACGAGAACAGCATGAAGGTAACCACCCCCAGGATTAAATTCCCTCCGACTGGGTACCTCCCATGACACATGGGGATTATGGGAACTATAATTCAAGATGAGATTTGGGTGGGGACACAACCAAACCATATCAAGGGCTGAAGATCAGAGATGGTTAATTGGATGCAGAGAAATGTGGAGTGAAGGGGAGGAGTAGAAGAGAGGGGGCATAGAATTTGTCTTCAAATATAGGAAGGGCTATTTTGCCATCTTCATCTTTGTGTCCCCAGGTCCTGGTAGGATGCTTGGCACTAAGGTCATGCTTAATAAATTTTATTGGTTCTACTTGGTTGAAAAGTCAATCAGGTAATCAATCAATCAATATATTCATATGGATGAACAGTGACCTGATATTGGAAATTATAGGGAAATAATAGTAATTAACATGAAGAAATTTTAAAAATAAATTTAAAGATAGGAAGGGAATTCCCTTGCCCTTGGAATGATGACTCTTAGTGTCTGTTTAGGAAGGTGATGCTGCTGGAGGAGGGGCTCAGGTGTAGAGGAATTGAAACTGGTTGATGTGGATGCATTCCAGATTTTCTATTTCTCAGACCAATACAAATTTTCTCCACCAAAAAAAGTCAGAGGAATTACAGAGGGTTGCCAACTTTTTGCCAACAATGGATATTACCACTAATTCAATTATCATCCACTATTGCAGTCATTCTGCAAAAACAAAAATCAAAAAAAGCACATTTTAACAGAAGGGAAGAAAAGGAAAAACATGATCTCAGAAGAAAGGAAATGCTTTAAAGTCATAACCTTGGCTTTCCAAACATCACTCTCTTTTCCTCACTTTTCTGTAAAGCAGTGAAAATATCGCCGAGCAGCACCAGTTTGAGGGTCTGTATTTGAGAACTACTGAATTCAATGACTTTAAAGTCCTTTCCTGGCCCAGATACTTGCCATTTCCAGTCCAAAAATGGAGCCAGGCACTTAGCAGGCATTCAGTGTATATCTGTGGAAGGAATGATGGAATCACTTGCAGGCATTTGATTTTAGGCAACATTCCTCATCCTCAAGATGGAAACCCCATGCTACAAGCACAGAAGCAACTCCCCAAAAAGTTCATGGAGGAAAAATATCAGTTAAAACTCATGAGGACAGAAGAGAGGCTACATTGCTCTGCTCCAGCTGACCTTTGGAAAGCCATATTCTCTCTACCTCCTGTATTTCCCCCACCATTAATGAACATCCTACTATTTCCATAGTATTCAGCTGTCAATAGGGCACTTGTGTGCATTACACCATTTGTTCATTTATTAAACGTTTATGGAGCATTCACTGTGTACCAGGCACTGTGCTAGGTTCTGGAAAATAGAGAATATTTAATAATAAAGTGTTCTCTCTCCTCCAGACATGGTGGTACCCCCATTCTGTGCTCCCCAGCCATCATTACCTGTCACTTCCTCTCACGGCACTGTAAGCTTCTCCACAGCAGGGGTTGCATCTATTTAACTCTGGATGCCCAGTGCCTGGAAGGATGAAGTGATCAGATGGAAAGAACCAAAACAAGCTCTGCCATATTCTCAGCCTGGATAGAAAAAAAAAAAAAAAGCCCAGATAAGTAATGTGGCTGGTGCTGATCAGGCATCTAAAAAATATTTGATTGGATAAGCCCTGAATGCAAGGATGGCTGCACAATCTGCAGGGCCCAATAGGAAATGAAAATATAGAGCCTCTTGTTCAAAATGCAGGGAAAACATGCCCTCACAGGAACTAAAATATGAAGATTTTTTTCTTCCTTTCATGGTTTCTTTTTCAGTTAGGCATGGTGAGGGTTTTGTATTTGTTACTCAATATCATTCTAAGGAAAAAATGTAAGTACCATTAATTTTACTGTTCTTCTTTATATTGTGCCATGCCAGTTTTAAATGCAAATATAAGAGCATTTAACTCAAATGCAGAATCACCAAAATTATATAATTCAAAATTGGTAGTCTGTATTTCCTTCTTACCAGAACAATGGAAACAGCTCAAAGCTATTCTTACCAGAACAATGGAAACAGCACAAATGTTTTTATTACATTTCTTGATACACATATATTCTACCAATGCTTTCTACCTTTGGTTTACTGATGAGTAAGGAAAGACTTCAAGGAAAGGAAGCTATGGCTCATCTTATCTTCGCTTTTCATCAACCATCATTCTTGGCATAAGTGGTTGACTAATACAAGGAAATAGCACAAATAAAAACAGAGATAAGAGGATAGAATTCTTTGGTGGTTCATGCTTCTTTGAATGCCATTGCTTTCTTTTCGCACTCAGAGTAAGCTCTAGTCCAAATGGCCTGTCTTGTATGCACTTTAAGTCATGCTGATCTCCCAGGCATCGTGAGTCCACCAGAGTTCTGTGCTCCTGGGCATCATGAATGTCCCAGTGTGAATGGCATGGTGAGGTACTGTGGACACCCATACTGTGCATCTCTCCTCTGTTCAAGTGTGTGCTTCACTGTCCCGTTGGACTCCACTTACAAAACGTAAGTTCAAAGATAAAAAGACTAAGAATTTAAGACTGTGGCAGCAGGGCATTAAGCCAAGAATGAGTCATGGACAAGCTCATAAAGCCGGCTCTGCTTAGAGGGGCCCCAGAGTTCACAGCCAAGGGAACAGTTCCTGAAGGCTGACTGAGATGCTGAGTCCAGAGCCCTAAAGACCCAGGCTAGTTAGGCCAGGTAAAGAGGGCAGATTGGTTGCTTATGGGAGCTGCCTTAGCAAGGAGAAAAGCATCCCAGGCTCTGCAGAGAAAATGGCAAATGCGGCTCTGTCTCCCTGCAGGACTCAGAGAGTAGTTTGGGATGAGAAGCAAAAGAAAGCAGTTACAGTCCTCCTACACTCAGCCTTAAGGAACCTCCTAGAACCCAGAAAGGGAAAAATAGCCAAGACAACATTCTTATATTCACCAGGACTCTGAGGCCTGAGCAATTTCACTGCTAGCCATAGAAGGGCCATCTTTCACATTGGTGATAGTTGTCATGGGAACGGAAGTCAGGGGCAATGGATTCGGCACTGGCCACGCAGCCAAGTGGGTTTTCTCCTAGGACAGGGCCCACTCCTGGACTTTATTCAAGCCTTGCCAGATAGAAATTGGGAATGCCGTCCTTAACTAACAGCAAACAAAACAGCTGAAATGCCTCTTCTAGCACCAAGTCTTCTTCAGCTGTAGGTGAACCATTGGTTTTCTCTCTGGTTCACCAGCCAGATGTTGAAAACCTTTCCAACTCTGGACAATGGCCCATGCCACCTACTGGCTGAGTGTCCTTGGCTAGGTACCTTTATGGGCCTCAGTTTCCTCATCTGAATATAGGGGAAATAATGCCTTCCTCAAAGAGATGTGGAGGTTAAACGAGGTAACACATGAAGAAGGGAGTATTCTCTTTGTTTTTCCTTACACGTCCCCCTTCATTTTGTATATTCTATCTCCCTGTTCAGAAGTATTCCTGCTGTCTGTGTCCAAGAAAGTCCTGAACAAATATTACCCCATCCATGGCACTTCTATTTCCAGCTGTCACTGAATTCCCCCTTCTTTTTTTTTTTTTAATGTTTATCTATCCCACACATTGGAGCAATTGGTTACATTCAGCTGGCTGAATGCTACTGTGAAAAAGGGATGAATGGCACTGGAGGAATTTCTAAACTCAGTAAGTCTCAGTAGTGTTTGTTTACTTTATCATCAGAGTCTTCAGCACAAATCCTGACACATCAGAGGCACACAGTAGATTGAATTACGACAGTGTTCAGCTTCAAACTCTTTTAAAAAGTTTCCTTTTGGCCTCAAAAGGTAGATGATAGATGGCTAGATATAAATAGATGATAGATGATAGATAGATAGACAGATAATAGATAGATGATAGATAGACAGATGATAGATGATAGGCAGATAGTTGATATAGATAGATAATAGATAGATAGATGGTAGATGATAGATGATAGATAGATAGATGATAGATAGATAGATAGATAGATAGATAGATAGATAGATAGATAGATATGGAGATAGATAGCTATGTATCTCCACACTTCCATCATGGCCTGCCAAGGCTCTCTGCATTATCTGACCCCTTCCCAATTCTCTGTCCTCATCTCTTGTCATCCTTCCCCTCCATCATTACTTTCCAACCCCATTAGCCTGTTTTCAAAATGTCTCCTCAAAAATGTCAATCTCTTTCCTACAATAAGGCTTCACGTATGCTCTTCCCTCTGTCTGAAATGACCTTTCCCCACTGGCGGCAGCGCTAGTTCTTTCTCACCATAGAGGTCTCAGCTTTATTGTGGTGTTCTTTGATCATCTCATCTAAGGTGGTCTTTCAAGTTTCTGTGATGGTAGAAACTATGTCTTTGTTGTTCATCTCTGGGTACCAGCATTTAGCATTGTGCATGACACACAGTTGGTAATTAACAAGTTGAATGAATGAATGCAAGCATAAATGATAAATGAAGTAAATACTATTTTTTTCTTCTCTTCATGCACGTATTTTTTTTCTGGGTGCTTTGCAAATGCAAACAGTATCTTCCACTAGAATGCCAGCAGGGTGAGCATTATAGATTTCTTTTGTTTCCAGTCTAGCATGCAGCACAGTACAGTGCTTGTATACAACACTCAAAGAAATTTTGATGAATGAATGAATTATTGAATGAATGAGCAAATGGGCACGTACCCAAAACTTGCTGGACTGAACTGAATTAAGTAGACCTGCCGGCATAAAGGAAGTGCCACATCCTTGCACCGGCCAACATGTGTTCTGCATTTGTCAGTGATGCTTTCTTGTGTTTGGTGTGTTCACATGGTCGTCACCATCAGCCTGCTAATGGGATCATAAAAGAAGGGGAATCAGGGTCCTGGGCTTTTTCAGAGTCATCAGCTCAAAGCCCTTTTAATGTGAGTTCCTGATTCGATTGGGTGTGGAGAGAAGAGAAAAGGTGACGAATGGCCCAAATACAAGGAAAATTCAAATACCTGACTTTGTTCTTATCTTGAGAAGAATGTGACAGCCTGAAAGAGTCAGCAGCAGGCATACTGAGTCATGATGAACTAAGAAACTCAAGAATGTCCCTTGATAAATGTTTGCTGGATGAATGAATGCTTCTGTTGCTTATTACCTTTTAAGTGAATAGGGTCAAAGGTTGCTATTAACCCAAGGCTCATGGGGGAAAGATATTCTTTGTGACCTGGCAGGAATTATTACCAAGGGCAGACGAGGCCAGCAAATTCACATGGCTAATGAAGACAGGGTCACAAGTTTGAGGCCCCCTAGAGACTAGTTATCTGCAGGCAGAGGGAAAATCTGCTTCACAACCATATCACATGCCCTAATGCTGGGCAGCCGTCTTGCAGATTCATGCATTCCTCCTGGACCATCTTGTCCAGGAGGGGAAGGTCTAGGACGGATGCCTTTGCTGAAACCCCTTATCAAAGGAAAACAACCAAATATTTGTTTACATTTGATTAGGACATGCTGCTGGTGTTGGTGATGATGATTATAGTAGCATTTATTGAGTAGTTACTCTGTGACAGGTGGTATGCTAAGCTCTTTACATGAATTTTTTCACTTGATCTTTACATGCGTGTACAATCATGCCACCTTACAAATGAGAAAACTGAAGTTAACAAAATTACTTCACATCCACTCTCTTATCCATGTCATCTAGTTGAATTGATGGCAGCCTTGCAAGGTAGAATTTATTCTCTTTCTTTTACAGATGGGAAAACTGAAGGTGGAAGAGATTTGTTGATTTACCAAAAATCACACATTTGGGAAGGAGCAGAGCCTCCTACCAGATCCCAGTATTCCAAAAGTCAGTTCCATTATCTTAGCTAGGACAAAACAGAGACCATTTTTTCTTGATAAGCAGATTAATAACATGGTCTTTACACATGAAGTGTGATGAGTTCAAGACTAAGGAAAGCAAGGCTGACCGTTGCAAAGAATTGCCATCTAAGAGGTGACCCAACCCAAACCCAGGGGTTTCAAGGCTGATGAGGGGGCACAATGAGATACAAAAGGAGAGACCAAAGGGTCCTTCCTGCAAGCCCAGTTCTGCCACTTACTGTGTGCGCTGGGCAAGTTACTTGACATCTCTAGGCCACTAGGCACTGTTCTAAATGTTTTAAACGCATCAACTGATTTAGTCCTCATACTACCATTTGAAGTGATCATTAGTTAACCTCATTTTATGAATGAGATAACTGAAGAACAAAGAGACCAAGCAGCTTATCCAAGATACCCAACTAAAACGAGGCACAATTGGGATTTCGATCCAGGTAGTCCAGTTATAGTGCCTGTTCTCTGAAGAGTCACAGCATGCTACTAGAAATAATAATAAAAGGGCCTGGCATGATGGCACACATCCACAGTACCAGCTACTTGGGAGCCTGAGGCACAAGGATCACCTGAGCCCAGGAGTTTGAGGCCTGCCTGGGCACCATAGCAAGATCCTATCTCAAAAAATAAACATCTTAATTAATTAAGAATAATAATAACAATAATAATACCTAGTTCATAGGCTTTGGGGGATAGAATGCATGCAAAATGCATAGCAAAGTGTCTAACATGTAGTACTTATTCAATACGTGGCATATTTTATCATTGAATACATTTCTACCTTAGAAGTTTTATTTTTCAATAGGTATACAGGAATATCATGATTAGCAGCAGTTAGATGATACAGACCGATGGATGGTCCAGGATAGTCTAAGACTTGAAATTAAACATTTCGTGCATGGGCCAAGCTACAATTCCCAGAAAAGCATCTAACTCAGCAGGCCAGTTCTGGTGCTAGGCCTATTTCCTATGATGGGTTCTAGTTCAGGGTTACCAGCAGTCACAGGAATATAAAGCAGCAAGAAAACAGGGGCAAGTTGTACTCTACACAAGTCTATATCTAGGAGGTCCATCATCAGCCACCAAGACCCGAATCATTGGGCTGCAGCTCCAGGACAAGGCTATAAATCCTGGAAAGGAAGATCCCATGAGGGCAAGGCAGGTCTGGGAAGTAGATATGTTATGAAAACAAGGGCTTGGGCATAGAGACTAAGGGAGAGATAGGTGGCTGGGATCAAGATAAAGTTTATCCCAGTTACCAGATAACTGGACAGATGATAAATATTAGACAGGCAACCCAAGTGAGACCTGAAATTAAGTTTCATTTTACCCATCTAGAGTTTCTTAAAACTCTCCTGCCTTGGGGCAGCAGGGAGGCTCAGAGCTTGGCATGAGGTGAGACATAGACGAGGCTGAGAGGTTCCAGCTGGCAGTGAAGAGCTCACCAAGGCTGGGATCCAGGCAGGGTCCAACACATTCAGACTGAAGCTGGATGAGCAACTGTCAGGGATGTCGGGGTGAGGAGGCTGGCCTCTGGTAAACGGTTGGATCAGTGATCTTTGCTATGCCTTTAACTCTGCAATCCCTCGAATGCAACAGACTCACGCACTTTTGCTCCTCACTCCTCCCTGGATCCTCATGAGCTCACTATGGACTAAACAGAGACTTGCTAGAACTGCTTTACATGATAGCACTTTTGTTCCAAATGTGGAGACAGCACAATGCTCCAAGAGCTGAACCTGACAGAGATGTCTCTGAGAACAATCTCCCTACAACAGCAAAGCCATCCTGAAACCTACAACTTCACAGCTGTGTGTCTGTTTTCAAAGGTGATGTGACTGGCCGTGGGGAGGCAGGAGCCCCAAGAATGGTGCTGAGGCTCTCAAGGAGCAAGGAAGGGACAGTCCCAGCCATCAATGGAGCCTTGTGGCCTCAGTGAAAGGGAGGAACGCCCTGTCTCAGGAATGCAACCTCCAGAGTGCAGAAGACAGCCACGCTTTGCCATTATGAAACCCCAAACACTCTGGGTGTGGTGAGACTTTTAAAAGCCTATTCTGCTGTCACTGAGGAGCCTTGGAAATGTGGAGAGCATACCACCCAAGGCCATTAAATACCCAGACAGCTCCGGACAGAGACAAGAACAAGGATCCAATGAGCTTGAGGCAGAGTGTCTCAAAGAAATAAACATGCGGTGAAGGTATTTCCATAGCCAGTAAATACTGTCTTTCAGGGGGTTCAGAAGGAGACCAAACAGCCTGCCCCCACCATCCCCCAATAAAAGAGTGACACTGTGTAACTAAGGAGTGAGCGGCCAGGCACAGAAGCCAGAGTTCCCAACCACCCTTTAATTTATAGGCCATAAATGATGGAGCCCATGATCTATTGCCCCTGACTCAGGGGGGATTTATTCTGACTAAGAGCACACACAGAGCCCACTGATATAACTAATGGCCTCGGGTGGAAAAAGGTCGGGCTCTCACTAAATGCTAAGTAAAGATGTTTGGAGCAGACAGTTATAATACTGAGAGATGATTCCAAACATCACATGAAGCAGCAAACACTACTCATCTCAGCTGAGGTCAAGCTGCAGGGGAGAAAAACCCGGGATGCTGCAGACAGGGAGTGACAGCCTAAAGCAATTGGCAACAGAGCTTCATCTCTCACAACCCTTCCATTTTACATCTTTTCAAGTGTGCCTCTTACCCGAGCTTTCACCCATCAAAGCCCACTCTCAGGTAAAGGTTGGATCCACTCCTTCACACTGAGCTGCCAGTGCTGGGAGGGCCTAAACCTCATCTGTCCCATGATTATTGCCGCTCCAGAGATAGTTCAGTGCCCATCACAGAATGTGGGCTTAATAAATCTTTATTCAATGAGTAAAAAGACAGAAATAGTCTGTTTTTATTAATTCACTCATTCATTCATTCCTCCGTCCATCCATTCATCCAACCAGTGTTTCTCAAAGGGAACTTGTTACAAAGAGAGAGCTTCTTTCATGACCAGTGCCTGGGAGGCAAAAGAGACTTTAATAATGTTTTATTTTCACTGTGTATCTTATTGTTGTCATCTATCTATAGCAAGTGATACTGATTTTCCATTTATGGTAGTGATTTCAAGTTTCATTTTGTCCAAATTTCTTCCTCCAAAATAAGAAGTCGATTTAAATTTAAAAACTTCAGTAAATAAACACACAGATTTTATAATTACATGGCCAAAATCCTCTAAAATGAAGACATTCTCAGATGAAAGATGGCTAAGAGGATTTGTCACCAGCAGACCTGCTTGAAAAAAATTGCCAAAGGAAGTTCTTCAGGCTGAAGAGGAATTATATCAAAAGGAATAAAACTTTGGAATTAAAAGAAGAGTGGCATAAATGTAAATAACTTGATAAATATAGAGATGATTTTTCTTCTCTTAAATTCTTAAAAATATGTACAACGATTGAAAGCAAAAATTCTAACATTGTCTGGGAGGTCTCCAATGTAATAGACATAATATACATGTCAATTATAATACCAAGGGTAAGGTTAAAATGACCTGAATGATGGTAAGGCGTCTATGCTTTACCTGAAGTGATAACATATTAACTCTAAATAGAATGTGAACATTTAGGTGTGTATATTGTAAAGCTCAGAAAAACCACTAAAATAATATAAATATTAAGACACAGGGTCATAAACAGTGTCTCTTCCCCAACCTAGATGTGAAAGCCTTATGATTTTCTGGGCAGTAGACAGAATACTCAGAGGGTCTTCTTAACTCAGTAGTGGAAAATAATCAGTCCTAGACTAAACACTGTTCTGGCCCAGCCTATAAAAAAGACATAAAAGCAACACTCCAAAAAATCTGTTTCCAAGTAACTTAACAGTGTCCCAGAACAAGACTCTGTAATATAGGAACACAAAAATATCCAGCATCAAACAGGGTAATTAGAGTCCCTAAATGAGAGTGATAGGAGACAGAAAAAAAAATATTTGGAGAAATATTTCTCTAAAATGTCCAAATTTGATGAAATCAGTAAACCCACAGAACAAGAATCTCAAAACCCTGAGTACAAGTAGTGAAAGAAAAACTATCAACCTAGAATTCTATGCCTACCTTAAATGAGTTTCAAAATCAAACTAAAATAAAGTCAAAAGAAAAACTTTTACAGATATATGAAAACTAAACAAATTTATTCACCAGCAAAGCTGCATTACAAGAAATACAAAAAGACATCATCATTTAGGCAGAAGGAATATGATATCAGACGGAAATGTGGATCTACGCAGTTGAAAAAATACCCCTGGAAGTGGTAACTGCATGAGTAAACATATAAGATTTTTTATTATTTAAATATCTTTAAACAAACTAATCTGTTTAAGCAAAAATAATAACAATGTAGTACAGGTTTTATAATACATGTACAAGTAGAATATATGTCAAAAATATCATAAGGTTGTAAGGAGAAAAATAGATAATGCCATTGTAAGTTTTTTATACTGTACATGAAGTAGTATAATATTACTTGAACCTAAAGCAACTTCTAAAATAACAATACAAAGTTATAGCAAATAAGCCAACAAAGAAGATAAAAAGGAATTATTTGTTTAAAAAATTACTCATTCCGAAAGAAGGCAAGAAAAAGGAAACAACATATGGGCAATTTTTTTAAAAAGTGGCAAGATGATAGACTTAAACATGCCATATCAAGAATCCCATTAAATGTAAGTGGTCTAAATATCCAAATTAAAAGGCAGAGATTTTCAGAATGTGGGAAAAAGCAAGACACAATCATATGCTTTCTACAAGAAATGTACTTTAAATATGAAGACACAAAGAGATTAAAAATAAAAAGGTAAGAAAAGATATAATGTATTAATACCAATCAAAAGAAAGATGCATTTGGTATTTTATTCTCTTTGTAGCAATTGTGAATGGGAGTTCACTCATGATTTGGCTCTCTGTTTGTCTATTAGTGGTGTATAGGAATGCTTGTGATTTTTGCACACTGATTTTGTATCCTGATACTTTGCTGAAGTGGCTTATCAGCTTAAGGAGATTTGGGGCTGAGACAATGGGGTTTTCTAAATATACAATCATGTCATCTGCAAACAGAGACAACTTGACTTCCTCTCTTCCTATTTAAATACCCTTTATTTCTTTCTCTTGCCTGATTGCCCTGGTCACAACTTCCAATACTATGTTGAATAGGAGTGGTGAGAGAGGGCATCCTTGTCTTGTGCCAGTTTTCAAGGGAGTGCTTCCAGGTTTTGCCTATTCATTATGACATCGGCTGTGGGTTGGCCATAAATAGCTCTTATTATTCTGAGATACATTCCATCAACACCAAGTTTATTGAGAGTTTTTAGCATAAAGGTGTGTTGAATTTTATTGAAGGCCTTTTCTGCATCTATTGACATAATCATGTAGTTTTTGCCATTGGTTCTGTTCATATGATGGATTACATTTATTGATTTGCATATGTTGAAGCAGGCTTGCATCCCAGGGATGAAGCTGACTTGATCATGGTGGATAAGCTTTTTGATGTGCTGCTGGATTCGGTTTGCCAGTATTTTATTAAGGATTTTTGCATTGATGTTCTTCAGGGATATTGGCCTGAAATTTTTTGTTGTTGTTGTGTCTCTGCCAGGTTTTGGCATCAGAATGATGCTGGCCTCATAAAATGAGTTAAGGAGGAGCCCCTCTTTTTCTATTGTTTGGAATAGTTTCAGAAGGAATGGTACCAGCTTCTCTTTTACCTCTGGTAGAATTTGGCTGTGACTCCATCTGGTCCTGGGCTTTTTTTTTTTTTTTTTTTTTTATTGGTAGGCTATTAATTACTGCCTCAATTTCAGAACTTGTTATTGGTCTATTCAGGGATTGGACTTCTTCCTGGTTTAGTCTTGGGAGGGTGTATGTGTCTAGAAATTTATTCATTTCTTCTAGATTTTCTAGTTTATTTGTGTAGAGGTTTGTATTTCTGTGGGATCAGTGGTAATACCAGCTTACAAGGGATGTGAAGGAACTCTTCAAGGAGAACTACGAACCACTACTCAAGGAAATAAGACACAACACAAACAAATGGAAAAACATTCCATGCTCATGATAGGAAGAATTAATATCGTGAAAATGGCCACACTGCCCAAAGTGATTTATAGATTTGATGCTATGCCCCTCAAGCTACCATTGACTTTCCTCACAGAATTAGAAAAAAACTACTTTAAATTTCATATGGAACCAAAAAAGAGACCATATAGAAAAAACAATCCTAAGCAAAAAGAACAAAGCTGGAGGCATCATGCTACCTGACTTCAAACTACACTACAAGGCTACAGTAACCAAAACAGTATAGTACTGGTACCAAAATATACATATATATACCAGTGGAACAGAACAGAGGCCTCAGAAATAACGGCACACATCTGCAACAATCTGATCATTGACAAACCTGACAAAAACAAGCAATAGGGAAAGAATCCTCTATTTAATAAATGGTGTTGGGGAAACTGGCTAGCCATATGCAGAAAACTGAAACTGGACTCCTCCCTTACACCTTATACAAAAATTCACTCAAGATAGATTCAAAACTTAAATGTAAGACCTAAAACCATAAAAATCCTAGAAGAAAACATAGTCAATACTATTCAAGACATAGGCATGGGCAAAGACTTCATGACTAAAACACAAAAAGCGATGGCAAAAAAAAGCCAAAATTGACAAATAGGATCTAATTAAACTAAAGAGCTTTTGCACAGCAAAAGAAACTATCAACAAAGTAAACAGGCAACCTACCAAATGGGAGAAAATTTTTGCAATCTATCCATCTGACAAAGGGCTAATATACAGAATCTACAAGGAATTTAAACAAATTTACAAGAAAAAAACAAACAACCCCATCAAAATTGGGCAAAGTATATGAACAGACACTTCTCAAAAGAAGACATTTATGCGGCCAACAAACATATGGAAAAAAGCTCATCATCTCATCACTAGTCATTAGAGAAATGCAAATCAAAACCACAATGAGATACTACCATCTCACACCAGGTAGAACGGTGATTATTAAAAAGTCAGGAAACAACAGATGCTGGAGAGGATGTGGAGAAATTGTAACGCTTTTACACTGTTGGTGGGAGTATAAATTAGTTCAACCATTGTGGAAGGCAGTGTGGAGTTTCCTCAAGGATCTAGAACCAGAAATACCATTTGACCCAGCAGTCCCATTACTGGGTATATAACCAAAGGATTATAAATCATTCTGTGATAAAGACACATGCACACATATGTTTACTGCAGCACTATTCACAATAGCAAAGACTTGGAATCAACCCAAATGCCCATCAACGATAGACTGGATAAAGAAAATGTGGCACTTATACACCATGGAAATACTATGCAGCCATAAAAAAGGATGAGTTCATGTCCTTTGCAGGGACATGGGTGAAGCTGGAAACCATCATTCTCAGCAAACTAACACAGGAACAGAAAACAAAACACCACATGTTCTCACTCATAAGTGGGAGCTGAACAATGAGAACACACGGACACAGGGAGGGGAGTATCACACACCGGGGCCTGTCAGGAGGTGGGGGGCTAGGGGAGGGACAGCATTAGTAGAAATACCTAATGTAGATGACGAGTTGATGGGTGCAGCAAACCACCATGGCATATGTATACCCATGTAACAAACCTGCATGTTCTGCACATGTATCCCAGAGCTTAAAGTAAAATAATAACAAAAAAAATCTTGAAAAAGAAAGATGCATTTGGCTATATTAAATTCAGACGAAATGGACTTCAGAAGACACAATATTACCACAGATTATAATGTTCATTTCATAATAATAAGAGATCAATTCATCAAGCAAACATAACAATTCTGAATGTTTATGTACCTAATAATAGAATTTCAAAATACCTGAAGTAAAAACTGATAAAACCAAAAAGAGACGTAGAAAAATTTACAATTATGGTGTAAGATTTCAATATCACTAACTCAGTAATTAATCAAACAAATTGACAGAAGATTGGTAAGGAAACTGAAGACTTGATCAATACTATCAACTAACTTGACCAAATTAACATTTATAGAATCCACCACTCTATATAAGCATAATACACATTTTTTTCCAAGAGTACATGGAATACTTACGGAGGTAGATCACATTTTGGGTCACAAAATAACTCAATACATTTAAAAACGATTCAAGTGGCCAGGTACAGTGGCTCACACCTGTAATTCCAAAACTTTGGGAGGCTGAGGCAGGCAGATCACTTGAGGCCGGGAATTTGAGACAAGCCTGGCCAACATGGTGAAACCCCGTCTCTACTAAAAATACAAAGATTAGCCAGGTGTGGTGGTGTGCACCTGTAATTCCATCTACTCAGGAGGCTGAGGCACAAGAATCTCTTGAAATCAGGAGGCAGAGGTTGCAGTGAGCCAGTATCACTTCACTGCACTCCAGCCTGGGCAACAGAGCAAGACTCCATCTCTAAATAAATAAATAAGTAAATATCCAAGTCACATAACTACTCCAATAACAAGTGTTCTCATCCATAAATGGGAACAATATCTACCCTTTAGGAGTCCCTATGAACAATTCGAAACAATATGTAAAAGAATATGAACAGAAAAGACACTCAATCATGTAACTATTATAATGTGCTCAAGGTAGCCAAGCTAGAAAGTAGACAGGATCCAGAGTAGAAGCCCTAGTCTGCCAAACATCAAAGTCAATACTTCCCAATATACAAATCAGATACCCTCACAGTGTTTTGGTGAGAAGAAATAGAATAGTGCTTGTGATCATCCTTTGTAGGCTAAAGACCACAAATTCACATGTAGCAAATAATTACTATTATTATCAACATTTGAGGTTATGAATTTGAGTATGTACAATGTCCTGATATCAGGATGTATCAAAAAGTTTCTTTTTTTGTCTAAATTCTCATTTAATAGAGTATGTTTTAAAAGCCAATAACTTGATTGTCTCCTGAGTACTGTAATAAACATATACACGTTCACATCCACATAAATATATTGTGTATGAATATACATATAAGAATAATTCCACATACATAAAATATTAATGTTATTCTATCTGTATATATACACGTTTTATTACATATTACATGTTCATGCACCTGTGTACAAATAGTATCTACATTTGCAATAATGTCAATATATATAGTCAATAACAGATTTGCAATAGTAATGTCAGCTTATACTTACATGTTAATTTATAGTTTCCAAAGCAATTTCATATACATCATCTCATTTGATGTTTCCAATTGTCCTACACTGTAGGTAGGCTAAAAATCATCACAACAAATCTTAGTGGGAAAAGCATGCCTTCTAGAATCAGGAAGATTTGGTTTCAAATTCTAGCCAGGTCTGTTGCAGAAGCAGATTCAGAGACGTAGTGAAAATAAAATGGGATAAGTGCAGTGGGAAACTGAAATAGATACTGGGAAGCCCAACCTCAGGTGCACAAGATGGACAGGCAGAGAAGATGGGCTGGAAGAAGTTCTATCTGAACTGTCTTACAGAAGTGACTGACATAAGAGTAATGGATCCCAGGGGATCAAGGCCCCACATGCAAAGGCACTGGGACAAGAAACCATTTTTGTTGGTTTCACTTTTTCTTCCTGAATCCTAAACCTGGGTCTTCCAATGGCCCATTTTTCTTACCTATTCACCATGTTCTCCCTTCATGATTTTACTGGCTACATCATTTTTAATTATTGCCTCCCACTTTAGAAATGGTCTCTCTGCATTGACTCAGTCCCAAATTTTCAACTACTAGGTTAGATGCCCAGCTATCAATAGCAACCCAACATGTCTACAGTAGGTTTCACTCCCACCCCTTTGCCTTACTCCAAATCATTTTCCTGACTTCTTTGTTTCTGTTAAGAACAGACAGCACCATCTTCTTAATCATCTGGCTGAAGCTGGCAAATCCTACTGCCTTACTCTTCTCTCCTTCATCTACCACATCTTCTTGTAATTCTTCTCAAAAGCATCCTCAATTTTAATTATTTTACAACTTTTAGTGTTAAAGACTTGATACTGCTCAATATTCTAGTGTATTAGCCCATGATCTTCTTGTGGAAATGGTAGAAATTCCAACTCAAATTACCTCTCATAAAGATAATAATTTGTGGGAAAATGTAACTGAAAATTAGACTTCAGACAGGGCTGGATCCAGGTCCTCATTACTACCAAATATCACTCTCCATATTACTGCTCTAGTTCTCTCTGACTTGACAGCACTCTCAGTCACTTTTTCTTATGTAATAGCAAACAGAACTTTGGGTTTACATCCTACCAACTGGCAACCCCATTGGTAAGAGGATACCTCACTCATGGTTCCAGCAAACACTCTATGAATGATCGTTGTGGTTTCAGAACAATGCGCTGTATGTTTTCTCCTTGGCCAGACCTAGTTCACTAACCCCACCCTCAGAGTGGGGGTTAGATTAGCCCCACCCAAATCACAATGACTTAGAGTGGAAAAGACGGTCCCCAAAAGCAGAATTGAAGAGCTACTACCCTAAACTGAGAAAGGACAGCTAGTTGGCCAAAAAAATTAAAAACATATAAAATATCCCTCCAGTATGTTCCTTTATGGTATTTCTTAATTCCAATTTCATTCCAGTTTAAGTCACTCTATTCCCTGTTTGCAAATTAATCTTAAAGATACATTTGATTATTTCTTCCCACTGTTGATGAGTGTTCAATGACTCCTCACTAGAAGCCCTACGGTGCTCGGGGAATAGCAATTTGCAAGCAAGTGTGAAAAATTTCAGAGCCCTCCTTGAATGAGAGGGAGAGATTTTGAAAGAGGTGAAGCTTTAATGAATAATCAATGTGGGTGAGTGAAGGAGTTACAGTTTTATTTCTGGTAGCCCAACTGGACACCTTGGGTTAGTGTAGCTTATAAACAAGTCTGTTACATAAGAATTCACCTGTCATGGATGGGATTCATAGAAAAGCATCCAGAAAGGCAGAATTTGGCAGCTCTGAGTTTCCTGTGTAGCTGTCAAAATCCTTATTTCACCTACTGGAGTCCTTTGGCCCTTCTACTGCCCCAGGAGAGCTACATGAGTTTTTCTCTCTTTCTCATATGTCATGAGCCCCACTAGAATGCAATACTATGAGGACAAGGAATGTGTCTATTTTATTGATGTCTATATCCCAATGCCTAACAGAGCACCTGGAAAATTGTACCTTTAATATTTATTGAATAAATGAATGAATGAATGGTAAATGCCAAACAATGTCTTTCTCACTTCAACATATGTTAACCCAGAGTCTTACATATAGCATAGTCTTGCATACAGATGGATTTAACTTTTTTCAAAACACATATTTAAAAAGGATTCTAGTCATATGTTTTTGTTTGGGGCCAGCGAAAATTTTGAGAATTAAGCTGATTTGAATTATCTACGCACCAGAGTTCTAAAATTGATAGATTCTAATCATAAAACTGTAGAATGTTCACAAACAAGAGGGAGGTACTCACCACATTCTATTTTTCTGTGCCATTCCCATTTCAGTGTAAGCACCACTGAAAGCAAACACCAAAAACATTTTCAAACAAATGTTATCTATTCTTAGATGTGAATCATGCCACTGTTAGCCAACCATGAGTAAAACTACCATCGTGCATGCACATCCTTCCTCCCAACCTAGAAAAATTCTACCCGTCCCAGGGTCTTCTGACCTTGACACTCACCCTCTGCACTGCTAGGTGGCCATCCGGGCTCAGCATCTAGCAGTTTTTTTGTTTCTGTTTTTGTTTTTTGAGATGGAGTCTCTCTCTGTCGCCCAAGCTGGAGTGCAGTGGCATGATCTCGGCTCACTGCAACCTCTGCCTCCCGGGTTCAAGCTATTCTCATGCCTCAGCCTCCTGAGTAGCTGGGATTACAGGCATGTGCCACCACGCCTGGCTATTTTTTCTTCTCCTTTTTTTTTTTTTTTTTTTTGTATTTTTAGTAGAGACAGGGTTTCAACATCCTGGTCAGATTGGTCTCGAACTCCTGACCTCATGATCCACCCGCCTCGGCCTCCAAAAGTGCTGGGATTACAGGCATGAGCCACCGCGCCTGGCCGCATCTAGCAGTTTTTTACTGCTTGGGAAACCTAGTGAATTTTAATGCCATTGATCAACTCTGCTCAAACACTCCTGGCATGAACTGAGCAAAGCCCTGGTTCCTAGGCAGCCATTACAAAAGCACAAGGATTTCCAAAATAAAAAGAGACCCAGAGCACACTTGAATCAAGGGCAGTTGCACTGTTTATTTGCAAGTGATTGGATTGCACCCCTACCTTGGTTAAATGGTTTATTTCTCTATGAATTACTCTAGAAAATACTACTACTCTAGCCCTTCCAATTTTTAACTAAGCTGAAAGTATTTTTACTTTTTCCAGACTCTCAGTGAGGAAAGAATGAGGTATGTTTTAATGCTGGAACTTCTAGCAAATAGTAAGTGTTCAATAAATACTTGTTGAATTAACTAATTAATTAATATGTGGGCACAAAAGCTTGCTTTTGCATCCTAAAGCAATCATGGCCTCTGGGGAAAGCCAGGCTTGCTGTATCCTGAGGCAATCACTCACTCTGGAGAAATCCAGCCTCCATGTTGAGAGGGCACTCAAGCCATCTATGGAGAGACCACATGGTTAGGAACTAAGGCCTCCTGCCTACAGCCATGCAAGACAGCCATCTTCAAAACAGATCCTCCAGCCTCAATTAAGCTTTCAGGTGACTATAGCCCTTGCCAACATCCAACTGCAGTCACATGTAAGACCCTAAGCCAGAACCAGCCAGGTAGGCCATTCCCAAATTCTTAACCAGCAGAAAGAGGAAAATATAAGTTAAATGTTTATTATTTTAAGCCATTACGTTTTGGGGGTGATTTGTTATGCAATAGATAATACAATCTATTTGTTTATCAATAGATTATATTGATAACACAATAGATAATACAATAACAATTTGTTTGCAATAGATAATACAATCTTCTTTCACCTTGTCTGAGATGACAGCTTATTAAAATACAAACTCCTGGAAGGCAGGTTTTCTGTCTTATTCCCTCCTGTATTCCTGGTATCTTGTATGCATCCAATAAACAATGAGTAACAACTCACTTAATGACAAGCTGGTTCCTAATTTTGTATAGAAAACTATATATGTTCACACACAGAAACAGAAGTAGAATTCTTCAAAAAAATGATACTTTTTAGCGAAAAAGCGTTAGATAGCATAATTATCCAAAAAGGAACTATTGGAAATTATGGAAAAAAATGTTATTAGAATTCACATAATCCTCCTCCCTTACTGGGGTGGGAGGGAGCTACCTATAGAAGGAATACAGGGCCTTGAAGTATTCAAAGAAATAACAATTAACAAAGGGCATAGTTTGAGGAGCCCAGCTTCTCATGAGAAGAAAAAGGCATTGCAAGGTGGCACAGAGGGACTAAGATCTCAAGCTCTACTTGGAGGTTTTCTTGAAGTGCTCCTGAAGCAATATCATAAAAGGAATTTGAGAATACAAGGCCAGTTGAACAAGTTAACCCTTCAGCCCCTTTCTAACTTGAGCTGTTGTGATTGCTCCTGTCCTCTGCTAGCCTGAGAAAGCTCAAGAGGAAGACCATGGGGCCACCATTTTCCACATTCACATTCACACATGCCCTCTCTCCATCAAGTATCTTATTAGACTATCTGTTGGAGTACAGGCTAAATAAGTGTCCTCAAATAAGTGATGGTGAATAATGGCAGCACGTCCCTGTCCTGTTCCCTGACAATAAAGCTGGTATAGATTAAAGGCAAGATTTATCCTCCCTGGAACCTCAGGTAATGAACTGACTACCTGTATTCAAATCAAAGACACACTCATGCGTTCTTTTCTTTCTAACAGCTCAATTTCCAGAGTTGATATTGTGTACTCTGCCACATGCTGTGAGGTATGTAAGAAAAGTGGCATGTGGCCTGGCATCTCAGTTACTTATCACCCCCCTCCAGAGCCAGGGAGCAGTTTCAAATGTGTTCGATTGCCCAAGATCTAAAAATTAAAAATAGTAATTTAAATGTCCCAGATCAGAAAATCATATTCTTCTCTTCTTTCCATTTGTTGCTTTTGAGTCTCGCCACGACCACAATATCAGGTACACAGCAGGCCTCTAAAACTCAATATTACTATTGCTGTTAGTTCCATTGATTCAAGAAAAGCTTGTTGGGCATCAACTATGTGCTAGCACTATACTAGGTTCTTTATATACACTATTTAATTTATGTCAATAGCAATCCAATGCGCTGGGGAAAATGAAGCTCAAAGATTTTGAATTATTTACCGGAGGTTGCAAAGTTAGGGATCGGCCCAACTCCAAACCCAGGTTTTTCTGGTTAGCCCTGCTGCCCTAATCAATACAGTCTTTTAAATGAAGAAGAACTTTGTATCCACCAAGATAATGAATCCCAAGATTCTCACCACCCCTGCTTTCTTATGTGTTAACCAAGATTCCAATGTTTTGAAAGACTTTAATTGCCTGGCTGAATTTATTTAAAGAGAATATTCCTCTGCTTATGGAAAAATATTTGAAACTCCCAACCCAGGTCTTTGCTCAACATGAGACAATCAGATTTATCACAGAATCCATAATGATCCTAGCATAAGCAGTTGACATTTTACCAAGGCATGGCTTTTCTGAAATATTGACAATTGTTCTAAGTTCCTCATCATTCTGGTCTTACCTCCCAGAGATTTTTAAGGGAGACATTTAATACAATCAATGTAGTGTTTCAAGAAGGAGGTTCTATTCTGATATTAATATAAAAGGAGACCAGTGTTAGGCCCTCAGTTGATGCCCCACTTCTCCCAGCCCACTCCATGTTAACCCAGCAAGGAGAAAGACATGGAAGAGGGGAGGCAGGAGGGCAGGGTGTGAGAGAGAGGAGATGGCCTTGAATTCAGTAGGTCCGGAAGCATATAAAGGAGAGTGGCAGGCAGCACCAAGCATCCTGCTGTTTGACAATGCTGCCACCTTCTGGCATATATTGGAAATTTACTAGAAAAATATTACTAGTCACTGTCATTTTATAGATAACCCAGAAAGATGTGATCGGATATACGAATAAAGTTTGTTTTAATTACCTCCAAGGTATTCCTGGTATCTATTGAAACTAGAATTCAATACACTTACTTTTCAAGCTCCTGTCTTTTAAAGTATTCCATACTGTGCGTGGACGATTAGAGAAACTTCCTGGATGTCATACTTACCTCCATGCAGGCTCCCTTCCAATCCAGTCCCTCCCCCCACCCACCCCCTGCCTCTAGCAGTCAGAGTCTCCATGACTTAATTTCACTTGGAACAAATTCAAATGTGTTTCTCTGGCCCAGGAAGGATCCCAAACTGGTAGCCTGCAAGCCCAGTTACAGCAGCTCAGCTTTTATATAAATGACCAGAATAGTGTTTTAAATGACTACAGTGGGATACCCCCATGTCTCAGTCTTCCAGCAACTTCCCAACCACACCCAATACACATACACACACACACACACACACACACACCTATTCACATACTCATTTACGCACATGGCCCCTGAAGTCAACAAAGTTTACTTGGAAATTTACATTCATCCAGAACCTCAGAATGTGCCCTTATTTGGAAATAGAGCCCTTGCAGATGTATTTAGCTAAAAAGAAGTCATGCTGGATTAGAGTGAGCCCTAAATCCATGACTTACGATGGACATATAAGGACATATAACTTATGTCCTTATAAGAAAAGACAATTTTTTTTCAAGATGGTGGATTAAAGCCTTTTAGTGTGTGCTCAGCCACTTGGAAATAGCAAGACAGTGCATAAAGATCAACTCTGTGAGCTTAATTCAAGAAGGAAAATGGGAATCCACCAGAATTGTGAAGGACATTCCAAATCCCAGGGAGGAGAACGCCGGCAAACAGCCCCCATGACAGTGTATGGCTGATAAAAGTAAGTGAAGCCCCAGTACGTGAGAGAGAAAGAGAACCTCCCTCTGTAAGTCACATTTCCGTGGGGATCCGAGAAAGACAGGCCGAGGGAGAGCACTTTGTTTCTCTCAAGCTGTGGAACTAAGTTGGGGAGAGGTTTGAAGCCACTGTGAAGGAATAGGAATGGGAAAAGCTACAGACATATTCCCAGACTCAGGACTGAGATCAGGATGCCATTTTTAATCTAGGCACATACAAAGTCACCCATTCTTTGCTGACCCGGTAGCATGACTGCGCAGGCATTTTAGTCTTGGGTAAGAGATTGGAGCACCTGCTCTGGAGTAGGGTAGGAGCCTCCACAGTCAGAACTGTGCAAAGTGCCTCAGCAGTAGGTGCTAGAATTGTATTCTCCCCCATCACAGGTCTGGGGCAGAAGAAAAGCTGCTACAGCTGCAGTTTTATGTGGGCAGCAAGACTTCAGCCAGGGCCATCTTGGCAACCTGGAACCCCCCTGCATATGCCATTGCTGGGTGCCCAGACTGCTCCTCTGAGATCATGGTGTAGCAGGGCCCTCTCCACTCCACCCCAGACAGAAATCCAGGCATTCAGAGCACACTTGGCCGGGACCAGCAGCCTAAGCTGCCCCATCCATCCTGGACATAGACTGTGGTGCAGCAAGGTCTTCACTGCTCTACACCCAGGCAGATCTCCAGGCATTCAGAGCACCGGCTTGCCCAGATCAGCAGCCTGAGTCTCCTCACCCCTCTTGTGCAGAGATCTTGGTGCAGGGGGCCCTCTCTCCTCCACACTCAGGTAGATCTCCAGGCATTTGGAACACCCACTCAACTTGATAAGAAGCCTGACCTGCCCCACTGTTTCTGTGCAGTGACCCTGGTGCAGAGGAGTCCTCTGCTACACACCCAGGCGGATCTCCGGGCATCTGGAGCATCCACTTTCCTGGATTAGAGTTCAGGTTGTCCCCGCATCACCATACAGAGAATAGGGGACTGAGGAAGTTTTCCAGCTCCACACCTAGCCACATCTCTGGGTGCTTGGTGGCCACCCACTGGATTCTCCCTCAGCACAGGTGCTTGTGCCTGCCATCATGGGACCTGCAGGTGTACCCCCAATGAGCACCACCTCCCCCCAGGGGCTAAGCAGGGAGCTCAGACCACTATGCATTCCACGAATCAGTTCATTGTCTAGGGCAACACAGAGCTTCTGCTAGTAAACAAGGATCAAGTATATACCCAGCCACACTGGCTGCACCAGCTCTTACCTATAAGCACCATCTACTGGCTTGTAGATCAAACTGCACAGTGCGATATAAAACTTGCCGAGGGCTCTGCCTGGTGGCTCTGGTCCCACAGGGGCCGTTGGCCCAGGCGGACGGACCCTGAGCTGAGGTAGCCCGCTGCTGGAGAGGCTGTTCGCCTGGGGCGGGCTCTTGTGGACCTTCCTCAAGCACCAGGCAGGGTCTGAAGCCCATTTGAAGGTCAGGAGGCCCGAGGTGGTGGCGGTGGTCAAGCTGCTGAACGAGAAGGAGCAGGAGCTGCGGGAGACCAAGAGCTTGCTGCACGATGAGGATGAAAATTTAAGGAAATGTGCAGAGAATGAAATAACTTTGTGTCAAAAAGAAATAACTCAGTTGAAGCATCAGAAGAAACAGATGAAAATGATCTGATCCTGCAAGTAACTGCAGGAGTTGGAAGACAGGAGGCAATGTTGTTTACTTCAGAGATATTTGATATGTGTCAGCAATAAGCTGCATTTAAAAGATGGCATTTTGAGACCCTGGAATATTTTCCAAGTGAAATAGGTGGACTTAGACATGTATCTGCCAGTATTGGGGGTTCAGAAGCCTATAGGCACATGAAATTTGTTTTTTTTAATTATTATTATACTTTAAGTTCTAGGGTACATGTGCACAAGGTGCAGGCTTATTACATATGCAGACATGTGCCATGTTGGTGTGCTGCACCCATTAACTCATCATTTACATTAGGTATATCTCCTAATGCTTTCCCTCCCCCCTTCTCCCACCCCACAACAGGCCCCAGTGTGTGATGTTCCCCTTCCTGTGTCCAGGTGTTCTCATTGTTCAATTCCCACCTGTAAGTGAGAACATGTGGTGTTTGGTTTTTTGTTCTTGCGATAGTTTGCTGAGAATGATGGTTTCCAGCTTCATCCATGTCCCTACAAAGGACATGAACTCATCCTTTTTTATGGCTGCATAGTATTCCATGGTGTATATGTGCCACATTTTCTTTATCCAGTCTATCATTGATGGACATTTGGGTTGGTTCCGAGTCTTTGCTATTGTAAAAAGTGTCGCAATAAACATATGTGAGGCACATGAAATTTGAAGGAGGTGTGCACAGAGTACAAAGAGTGCCAAAGACAGAAAAGCAAGGCTGCATCCATGCTAGCACCATGACTGTAAGCAGTATTGCCCCAACCTACTGAGATTAATCTGGTGACTAATCCAAAAGATTTGAGAATCAACACTAAGCGAGCCAGTGGAGCTGCGGGGGCAGCATGTAAATACCATGGACAGTGCTGTCCGGATAGTTCATCTTCCAACGGAAGAAGAAAAAGGATGAGAAGGAAAAGGAGTATTCCTTGAAAATAAGTAAAGAAGATTTTTCTATTAAAACTTTTTAATTCTTGTAACACTATTCAGGTGTTTCTGAATGCCAACAAGAGAGATCTCACCCGAAAAAATAAAGAGCTGGCTATGAAAAAGTTATGTGTAAAACTGTACAACATGTATCTAGAAGAAGAAATGAATAAAAGACACGATGCTAGAAAAATTCAGATTGGAAGTAAAGGAAGATCAGAGAAAATAAGAACATATAATTTTCCACAGAACCAGGTCACAGATCACAGAATAAGCAAGTCACTGCATGATCTTGAAACTGTTATGCAAGGAGATTATCTACTGGATGAACTTGTACAGTCATTGAAGAAATATGCTGATTATGAATCTTTAGTAGAAATTATTTCCCAAAAAGTTTAAGTTGATTTTTTATTCATACACTTTTGTAGCTTAGAAAAATTCTACTACAGCACATCCACATAGTGTAAAAATACCATTATTCTCTTAAAAAACATGAGTTAACACAGTTGGAAGAAATATGCGTATTCTGAAGTCATAGATAATTTACACAGATCTCTTTCAATGCATTAGTAAAAATCACACAATATACAGATGGTCCTCAATTTACATTGTGGTTAATTCCCAATAAACCCATCATAAGTCAAAAATACATATAACATTAGCAACACAGCAGTCTCCTACTTAATGACAGCTTGACTTAACAATTTTCCAACTTTACCGTGGTGTGAAAGAGGTATGATTCATAAGTCCTAAGGAGCTCCTCAGCTTGAAATGGGGCTACAGGCCGATAAACCCATCATAAAGTCAAAAAATCCTAAAACCATCATAAGCTGGTGACCATCTGTAATCATGATGTGGTGGTAAATCTTGGACGCTTCTTTACAGTAAGTAGACAAAGGAAAATCATCCTTTGTCCTGTTCTATGTAAATATTTAATGAATTATCAAAAATTCAGTTTAAATCTTCATTATGAAAAACTTTAAACATAAAGTGGTAGAAATATGACAGTAAATATTATATCCTAATACCCAGCCAGGAGACAGAAACCATACCATTAACTTGAACAGGGATAATTTTAATATAAAAAAACTTTTAACTGATAATGGTATTAGCTATTAAGAAGGATAAAAAAGAGCTACAATGTCCTAGGACTGAGTACCCAAGGAAAGAATATCCTTGGAAGGGGCTCCTCTTCCCCATGGTGAAGTCAGACCTAATGGAAAGAGTGTGACTACTCACTACTCAGTGATAGGGTAGTTCCCTGCCTTGCCCTGGGCCAGAGCTGCTGTGCAGCTAGTGGATCAGGTCTTGCAAGCAAACAACCTCACACCCTCAGGACTGGTAAGCCAGGAGCCTCCTGCTAGGGTGTGAGCAAAACTTGGACAGGAACTCTCAGTAGATGTTTGTGTTTGTCAAGGTTCTCCAGAGAAACTACCTTAAAGGGATTGGCTTCTGTGATTATTATTAAGTCTAACAAGTCCAAAACCTGGAGTGTGAGGCAAGAGGCTGGCAACCCAGGAAAGCTGATGGTGCGGGTCCAGTCCAAAGGTATCTGTTGGAGGATTCTCTTTTTCTTGGAAGAGGACAGTCTTTTTTCTCTTCAGCCCTTCAACTGACTGGATCAAGCCCACTAACATCGAGGAGGGCAGTCTGCGTTATTCAAAGTTCACTGATTTAAATGTCAATCTCATGTAAAAACACCCTCACAGAAACACCCAGAATAAAGTTTGACCTTATAACTGGAAAGTCAGAGCAAAAGTTAAATATCTAAAATTTTAAAAAAATATATGACCAAATAGTTGGGCACCCTGTGGCCCAGCCACATTGACACCTAAAATTAACTGTCACAGCATCCTCTTAGAAGCAAGAGGAGAAGCAAGAGAAGCCCCTTTATTCTGCAGTGTCCCTCTACCACCACCTACTGACAAAGAACGTGGTGCTGTCTGGCAAAAGGGAAATGTTCAGTTTGCCATGACTTGAATGTGTCCCCTCAAATTCAAGTGTTGCCAATACAATAGCATCAAGAGGTGGGGCCTTTAAGAGGTCACTGGGCCACAAGGGGTTCTCTCTCAGGACTGGGATTAAGGCCCTTATAAAAGAGCCTTCAGGGAGCATCCTGCTAGCTTGCTTTCTGTATGTGAGAACACAGCAAGAAAGCCCTAGTCGAACAAGTGCCAGATCATTGATCTTAGATTTCCCATCCTCCAGAACTGTGAGAAATATATTTCTGTTCTTTATAAATTAAAAAAAAAAAAAACTTGCTGAAAGAAGTGCAGAGGGCTATAGAAGGAAAGCCAAAAGACCCTACCCAGCATTCTCTACAGTTACACCCCCTAGGGAGGGGGGAAAAGGGAAAGAAAAAATAATACTATTATAGGGAAATAAAAAGAAAAACTCCTACCCACACTAAAATAATTACAAATATTAGAAGTGCCAAGGTCTCCAGATGAGAAGGAACCAGCACAAAAAATCTGAATGTAGTGACACCACCAAATGATCACACTGGATCTACAGCAATGGTCTGTAATCAAAATGGAAACTCGGAAATGACAGATAAAGAATTCAGAGTATGGATTGCAAGGAAGCTCAATGAGCTCCAGGACAAGGTTGAAAATCAACACAAAGAAACTTCTAAAGGATTCTCTTCCAAGATGGCCGAATAGGAACAGCACCGGTCTGCAGTTCCCAGTGTGATTGATGCAGAAGACGGGTGATTTCTGCATTTCCAACTGAGGTACCTGGTTCATCTCAATAGGACTGGTTGGACAGTGGGTGCAGCCCACAGAGGGCAAGCTGAAGCAGGGTGGGTCATTGCCTCATCCAGGAAGTGCAAGGGGTCACGGGATTTCCCTTTCCTAGCCAAGGGAAGCCGTGACAGACTGTACCTGGAAAATCAGGACACTCTCTCCCAAATACTGTGCTTTTCCAATGGTCTTAGCAAACAGCACACCAGGAGATTATATCCCGCATGTGGCTCAGCAGGTCCCACACCCACGGAGCCTTGCTCACTGCTAGCGCAGCAATCTGAGGTCAACCTGCGAGGCAGCAACCTGGCAGGAGAGGGAGGTGTCCGCCATTGCTGAGGCTTGAGTAGGTAAACAAAGCAGCTGGGGAAGCTCAAAGTGGGCAGAGCCCACCACAGTTCAGCAAGGTCTGTTGCCTCTGTAGATTCCACCTCTGGGGGCAGGGCATAGCTGAACAAAAGGCAGCAGAAACTTCTGCAGACTTAAACATCCCTGTCTGACAGCTCTTAACAGAGCAGTGGTTCTCCCGGCATGGTGCATGAGCTCTGAGAATGGAAAGACTGCCTCCTCGAGTGGGTCCCTGACCCCCATGTAGCCTAACTGGGAGACACTTCCCAGTAGGGGCCAACTAACACCTCATACAGGCGGATGCCCCTCTGGGATGAAACTTCCAGAGGAAGGATCAGGCAGCAATATTTGCTGTTCTGCAGCCTCTGCTGGTGATACCCAGGCAAATAGGGTCTGGAGTGGACCTCCAGCAAACTCCAACAGACCTGCAGCTGAGGGACCTGACTATTAGAAGGAAAACTAACAAACAGAAAAGAATAGCATCAACATCAACAAAAAGCACATCCACACCAAAACCCCATCTGTAGGCTGCCAACATCAAAAACCAAAGGTAGATAAAACCACAAAGATGGAGAGAAACCAGAGCAGAAAAGTTGAAAATTCTAAAAACCAGAGCGCCTCTTCTCCTCCAAAGGACGACAGCTGGTGAGGACCAGCAATGAAACAAAGCTGGATGGAGAATGACTTTGATGACCTGACAGAAGTAGACTTCACAAGGTCAGTAATAACAAACTTCTCTGAGCTAAAGGAGGATGTTCAAACCCATCACAAGGAAGCTAAAAACCTTGAAAAAAGATTAGATGAATGGCTAACTAGAATAAACAGTGTAGAGAACACCTTAAATGACCTGATGGAGCTGAAAACCATGGCATGAGAACTACGTGATGCATGCACAATCTTCAACAGCCGATTCAATCAAGAGGAAGAAAGTGTATCAGTGATTGAAGATCAAATTAATGAGATAAAGTGAGAAGAGAAGTTTAGAGAAAAAAAGTAAAAAGAAATGAACAAAGCCTCCAAGAAATATGGGACTATGTGAAAAGACCAAATCTACATTTGATTGGTGTACCTGAAAGTGATGGGGAGAATGGAACCAAGTTGGAAAACACTCTTCAGGATATTATCCAGGAGAACTTCCCCAATCTAGCAAGGCAGGCCAACACTGAAATTCGGGAAATACAGAGAACACCACAAAGATACTCCTCGAGAAGAGCAACCCCAAGACACATAATTGTCAGATTCACCAAGATTGAAATGAAGGAAAAAAATGTTAAGGGCAGCCAGAGAGAAAGGTCAGGTTACCCACAAAAGGAAGTCCAACAGACTAACAGCAGATCTCTCAGCAGAAACTCCACAAGCCAGATGAGAGTGGGGGCCAATATCCAACATTCCTAAAGAAAAGAATTTTCAACCCAGAATTTCATATCCAGCCAAACTAAGCTTCATAAGTGAAGAAGAAATAAAACCCTTTACAGACAAGCAAATGCTGAGAGATTTTGTCATCACCAGGCCTGCCCTAAAAGAGCACTAAACATGGAAAGGAACAACTGGTACCAGACACTGCAAAAACAGCCAAATTGTAAAGACCATTGATGCTAGGAAGAAACTGCATCAACTAACAAGCAAAATAACCAGCTAACATCATAATGACAGGATCAAATTCACACATAAAAATATTAACCTTAAATGTAAATGGGCTAAATGTTCCAATTAAAAGACACAGACTGGCAAATTGGATAAAGAGTCAAGACCCATCAGTGTGCTGTATTCAGGACACCCATCTCACATGCAGAGACAGGCTCAAATAGAGGGATGGAGGAAGATCTACCAAGCAAATGGAAAGCAAAAAAAAGCAGGGGTTGCAATCCTAGTCTCTGATAAAACAGACTTTAAACCAACAAAGATCAGAAGAGACAAAGAAGGCCATTACATAACAGTAAAGGGATCAATTCAACAAGAAGAGCTAACTATCCTAAATATATATGCACCCAATACAGGAGCACCCAGATTCATAAAGCAAGTCCTGAGTGACCTACAAAGAGACTTAGATTCCCACACAATAATAATGGGAGACTTTAACACCCCACTGTTAATATTAGACAGATCAACGAGACATAAGATTAACAAGGATATCCAGGACTTGAACTCAGCTCTGCACCAAGTGGACCTAATAGACATCTACAGAACTCTCCACCCCAAATCAACAGAATAGACATTCTTCTCAGCACCACATCGCACTTATTCCAAAATTGACCACATAGTTGGAAGTAAAGCACTCCTCAGCAAATGTAAAAGAACAGAAATCACAACAAACTGTCTTTCAGACCACAGTGCAATCAAATTAGAACTCAGGATTAAGAAACTCACTTAAAACCACACAACTACATGGAAACTGAACAACCTGCTCCTGAATGACTACTGGGTAAACAACAAAATGAAGGCAGAAATAAAGATGTTCTTTGAAACCAATGAGAAAAAAAACACAATGTACCAGAATCTCTGGGACACATTTAAAGCAGTGTGTACAGGGAAATTTATAGCACTAAATGCCCACAAGAGAAAGCAGGCAAGATCTAAAATTGACACCCTAACATCACAATTAAAAGAACTAGAGAAGCAAGGCCAAACAAATTCAAAAGCTAGCAGAAGGTAAGAAATAACTAAGATCAGAGCAGAACTAAAGGAGATAGAGACACAAAAAACCCTCAAAAAATCAATGAATCCAGGAACTTGTTTTTTGAAAAGGTCAACAAAACTGATAGACCGCTAGCAAGACTAATAAAGTAGAAAAGAGAGAAGAATCAAATAGACACAATAAAAAATGATAAAGGGGATATCACCAACAATCCCACAGGAATACAAACTACCATCAGAGAATACTATAAACACCTCTACTCAAATAAACTAGAAAATCTAGAAGAAATGGATAAATTCCTGGACACACACATGCTCCGGAAGAAATTGAATTTTTGAATAGATCAATAACAGGCTCTGAAATTGAGGCAATAATTAATAGCCTACCAACCAAAAAAAGTCCAGGACCAGATGGATTCACAGCCGAATTCTACCAGAGGTACAGAGAGGAGCTGGTACCATTCCTTCTGAAACTATTCCAATCAATAGAAAAACAGGGAATCCTAACTCATTTTATGAGGCCAGCATCGTTCTGATACCAAAGCCTGGCACAGATGCAACAAAAAAAGAGAATTTTAGACCAATATCCCTGATGAACATCGACGTGAAAATCCTCAATAAAATACTGGCAAACCAAATCCAGCAGCACATCAAAAAGCTATCCACCACGATCAACTCAGCTTCATCCTTGGGATGCAAGGCTGGTTCAACATATGCAAATCAATAAACGTAATCCATCACATAAACGGAACCATCGACAAACAACACATGATTATCTCAATAGATGCAGAAAAGGCCTTCGACAAAATTCAACAGCCCATCATGCTAAAAACTCTCAATAAATTAGGTATTGATGGGACGTTATCTCAAAATAATAAGAGCTATTTATGACAAACCCACAGCCAATATCATACTGAATGGGCAAAAACTGGAAGCATTCCTTTTGAAAACTGGCACAAGACAGGGATGCCCTCTCTCACCACTCCTATTCAACATAGTGTTGGAAGTTCTGGCCAGGGCAATCAGGCAAGAGAAAGAAATGAAGGGTATTCAATTAAGAAAAGAGGAAGTCAAATTGTCCCTGTTTGCAGATCACATGATTGTATATTTAGAAAACCCCATCATCTTAGCCCAAAATCTCCTTAAGCTGATAAGCAACTTCAGCAAAGTCTCAGGATATCAAATCAATGTGCAAAAATCACAAGCATTCTTATACACCAATAACAGACAAACAAAGAGCCAAATCATGAATGAACTCCCATTCACAATTGCTACAAAGAGAGTAAAATACCTAGGAATCCAACTTACAAGGGATGTGAAGGACCTCTTCAAGGAGAACTACAAACCACTGCTCAATGAAATAAAAGAGGACACAAACAAATGGAAGAACATTCCATGCTCATGGGTAGGAAGAATCAATAGCGTGAAAATGGCCATACTGCCCAAGGTAATTTATAGATTCAATGCCATCCCCATCAAGCTACCAATGACTTTCTTCACAGAATTGGAAAAAACTACTTTAAAGTTCATATGGAACCAAAAAAGAGCCTGCATTGCCAAGACAATCCTAAGCCAAAAGAACAAAGCTGGAAGCATCACGCTACCTGACTTCAAACTATACTACAAGGCTACAGTAACCAAAACAGCATGGTACTGTTACCAAAACAGAGATGTAGACCAATGGAACAGAAAAGAGCCCTCAGAAACAATACCACACATCTACAACCTTCTGATCTTTGACAAACCTGACAAAAACAAGAAATGGGGAAAGAATTCTCTATTTAATAAATGGTGCTGGGAAAACTGGCTAGTCATATGTGGAAAACTGGCTAGTCATATGTAAAAACTGAAACTGGATCCCTTCCTTCCACCTTATACAAACATTAATTCAAGATGGATTAAAGACTTAAATGTAAGACCTAAAACCATAAAAACTCTAGAAGAAAACCTAGGCAACACCATTCAGGACATAGGCATGGGCAAGAACTTCATGACTAAAACACCAAAAGCAATGGCAACAAAAGCCAAAATAGACAAATAGGATCTAATTAAACCAAAGAGCTTCTGCACAGCAAAAGAAGCTACCATCAGAGTGAACAGGCAACCTACAGAATGGGAGAAAGTTTTTGCAATCTACTCGTCTGACAAAGGGCTAATATCCAGAATCTACAAACAACTTAAACAAATTTACAAGAAAAAAACAAACAACCCCATCAAAAAGTGGGCAAAGGATATGAACAGAAACTTCTCAAAAGAAGACATTTATGCAGCCAACAGACAGACATGTGAAAAAATGCTCATCATCACTGGCCATAAGAGAAATGCAAATCAAAACCACAATGAGATACCATCTCACACCAGTTAGAATGGTGATCATTAAAAAGTCAGGAAACAATAGATGCTGGAGAGGATGTGGAGAAATAGGAACACTTTTACATTGTTGGTGGGACTGTAAACTAGTTCAACCATTGTGGAAGACAGTGTGGCGATTCCTCAAGGATCTAGACCCATTTGACCCATTGATCCCATTACTGGGTATATACCCAAAGGATTATAAATCATGCTATAAAGACACATGCACACATATGTTTATTGTGGCACTATTCACAATAGCAAAGACTTGGAGCCAACCCAAATGTTCATCAATGATAGACTGGATTAAGAAAATGTGGTACATATACAACATGGAATACTATGCAGCCATAAAAAAGGTTGAGTTCATGTCCTTTGCAAGGACATGGATGAAGCTGGAAACCATCATTCTCAGCAAACTATCACAAGGACAGAAAACCAAACACCGCATGTTCTCACTCATAGGTGGGAATTGAACAATGAGAACACTTGGACACAGGGTGGGGAACATCACACACTGGGGCCTCTCGTGGGGTGGGGAGCAGGGGGAGGGATAGCATTAGGAGAAGTACCTAATGTAAATGACGAGTTAACGGGTGCAGCACACCAACATGGCTTATGTATACCTATGTAACAAACCTGCACGTTGTGCACTTGTACCCTAGAACTTAAAGTATAGTTTTTAAAAAAAAGAAAAAAAATACTTCTAAAGCAATCTAGGAAATGAAGGAAGAGATAAACATCTTAAAAAGAAATCAGTCAGAGTTTCTAGATTTGAAAAACTCACTTAAGGCATTTCAAAATAAAACTGAAACCTTTATCAATAGACTGGACCAAGAAGAAGAAAAAGTCTGAGCTAGAGCTTGAAGACCAGTTTTTGAACTAATCCAGTCAGATAAAAGTAAAGAAAAAAGAGTTTTTATTTTTTTTTATTATACTTTAAGTTCTGGGGTTTGTTACATAGGTATACATGTTTGATGTCGGTTTGCTGAAGACCTGAAGGAAGTGGGTGGCAAGCCATGTGCACGTTCAAGGCAGGTCATTCCAGGCAGAAGGAACAACAGGTGAGAATGCCCTGAGATGGGACTGTGCCTGAGGGCTTAAGGGACAGCAAGTATGCCATGTGGCTGGAGGGAGCAGCTAAGGAAAAATTATGAAGCGATGGGGACAGAAGCAAGCAAGGGCAAATCCTGTGCACTATTAGGATTCTGCTTTTTACTTTGAACTAGAGGGGAAATTATTAGAGCATTTTGAGTAGAAAAAAATGCAGAAAAGTTCATTTGTATCTCTCCTTTTGAGAAATGTCTGTTTGGATCCCTTGCCCATTTTTAAATCAGATTATTTGTTTTCTTGCTATTGAGTTGTTTGAGTTCCTTATATGGTCATGCATCATATAAAGACATTTCTGACAATGACAGGCCACACGTATGACGGTGGTCCCATAAGATTATAATGGAGCTGAAAAATCCTATCGCCTGCTGACGTTGTAGCTGTCCTAATATCCTGGCAGAACTCATTCTTCACATGTATGTGGTGATGCTGCTGTCAACAAACCTACTTCACAGCCAGCCATATAAAAGTATAGCACACACAGTTATCTATAATACAGAATACTTGCTAATAATCATAAATGACTGCATTACTGGCTTATGTGTTTACTATAGATTGTTATTTTAGAATGTATTCATTTGTCATATTTTTTTAATTTAATATAAAACAGACTCAGGCATGTCCTTCAGGATGCATTCCAGAAGAAAGCCTTGTTATCCTAGGAGATGACACCTCCATGCATGTTATTGTCCCTGAAGACCTTCCAGTGGGACCAGGTGTGGAGGTGGAAGAAAGTGATATTGCTTATCCTAACCCTACGTAGGACTGGGCTAATGTGTGTGTGTTTGTGTCTTCATTTTTAACAAAAAGTTTACAAACTAAAAAATAAAGAAAAAGAAATTTTACATAGAAAAAAGCTTATAGAATAAGGATATAAGAAAATGTTATGTACAGCTTTAGAATGTTTGGGTTTTAAGCTAAATATTATAAAAGAGTCAAAAGGTTTGCAAAAAAATAAAAAGTTTATAAAGTAAAAAGTCACAGTAAGCTAAGTTCATTGTTGAAGAAAGAAAAATATTTTTTGTAAGTTTAGTGTAGCCTAAGTGTATAGTATTTATAAAGTCTACTGTAGTGTATAGCAATCCTAGGCCCTCTCATTCACTCACCGCTCACTCACTGACTCACTCAGAGCAACTTTCAGTTCATAGTAAGCTATTTCTGCAAGTTCCGTTCATGGTAAGGGCTTTATACAGGTGTACCATTTTTAATTTTTATACTTTATTTTTACTGTACCTTTACTACTTCAGATTTGTTTAGTTACACAAATTCTTATAATTATGTTACAGCTGTCTATAGTATTCAGTACATTAACATGCTGTACAGGTTTATAGCCTTTGAGCAATAGGCCATACCATATAGCTTAGGTGTGCAGTAGACTATATTGTCTACGTTTGTGTAAGTACACTTTATGGTGTTCCCACAACTGAAACCACCTAATGATGCATTTATTAGAATGTAGCTCCATCATTAAGCAACTGATTTATACACGACTATATATTTTGGATATTAGCTCCCTAGCAGATGTATGGATTGCAAATATTTTCTCCTAATCCATAGGTTGTCTCTTCACTCTGTTAATTTCTTCCTTTACTGCACAGAAGCTTTTTAACTTAATGGAATCCATTTGTCTAATTTTGCTATTGTTGCCCGTGCTTTCGGAGTTCTACCCAATAAATCATTGCCCAGACCAGTGTCATGGAGCTTTTCCCTATGTTTTCTTCTGGTAGCCTTGCCGTTTCAAGTCTTACGTTTAAGTCTTTTATCCGTTTTGAATTGATTTTTTTTTATGGTGTGAGTATAAAGGTCCAATTTTATTCTTCTGAATGTGGATATCCAGTTTTCCCAATACCATTTATTGAAGAGATTGTTCTTTCCCCATTACGCATTCTTGGCACTTTTGTTGAAAATCAATTGACCCTAAATACTTCGGTTTATTTCTGGGCTTTTTATCCTGTTCCATTGGCCAATTTGTCTGTTGTAATGCCAGTACCATGTTGTTTTGATTATAATATCTTTATAATATATTTTTAAAATCAGAAACTGTGATGCCTCCAGTTTTGTTATTTTAACTCAAAATTGTTTGGCTATTCACAGTCTTTTCTGGTTGTATATGAATTTGGGGGTTTTTTTCTATTTCTGTGAAAATGATATTAGAATTTTGATAAGAATTGCATTGAATCTGTAGATCACTTTGGGTAGTAGGGATATTTTAACAGCATCAGTTCTTCCAGTCCATGAACATGGGATTTTTCTAATTTATTTGTGTCTTCTTTAATTGTTGTCATCAATGCTCAATCATCAGGGAAATATTCTAATCATCAGGAAAATGCAAATTAAAATTACAATGAGCTATCCCCTCACACCTGTTAGAATGGCTATTAGCAGATAAATGAAAGATAAGTGTTGGTGAGGATGTGAAAAAAAGGAAAGTCTTGTAGGCTGTTGCTGGGAATGTAAATTAATACAGCCATGTTAGAAGACAGTATGGAGGTCCCTCAAAAAACTAAAAGCAACAGAACTACCATATGATTCAACAATCCCACTTCTAGTTATATATCCACAAGAAGTGAAATCAATAAGTTAGAGAAATATCTGCACTCCCATATTCATTGATGTATTATTTACAATAGATGAAACCAATCTAAGTGTTCATAAACAGATGAGTGAATAAAGAAAATGTAATATATATATATATATATATATACATGAAATAATATTCAGCCTTAAAAAAGAAGGATATGCTTTCATTTGTGACAACACAGATGAATGTGGAGGACATAATGCTAAGTGAAATAAGCCAGGCACAAAAGGAAAAATACTGCATAATCTCACTTATATGAAAAATTTTTAAGTTAAACTCATAGAAATAGAGAGTAGGACGGAGGTTACCAGATACTAGGGCGGGACTAAGATGGGGGTTATTGAAGAGATGTTGGTCAAAGAGTACAAAGTTTCAATTAAACAGAAGGAATAAGTTTTTGAGATCTATTGTACAACAGGGTGACCATAGTTAATCGCTGAGAGTAAATTGCAAATGCCCCATCACAAAAAATGATGAGAAAGTGAAGTGATAGATATATTAATGTGCTTGATGGAATCATCCCCTATTGTATACATATATCAAAATATCACATTTTGCCCCATAAAAATATACAATTATGATTTATCAACTTAAAGTAATATTCATTTTAGAAACAAAAAATCTGTTCAATAATCTAATGATATCTCACTTAGTCAACACACAATTGCAAGCCATCCAACCAGGGTCATTCTACAGGTCTCTAGGGTTTTCTCTCTGTACAACTCTTTCTTCTCTGTACTCTGTCCTGAAAACTCTAGCTGCCTTGGCTTCCCCAGACTCTCACCTTCATCCATTCAACTCGAGGAGGTTCTTAGGCTGTTCTTGGGTTCCTCCTTCCTGTGCCATGCTGGAAACTCTCTCAAGACAGTAATCTGGGGCAATCAGAGGGCTCACCTTGGTTTTCTTCCATTTCTCAAGGCTCACTGTCCTTTTTAACTGCTGTCCAATTACTTGAAAACCATTATTTCATATATTTTGTGGGTTTTTTAGTTGTTTCCAGCAGAAGGAAAAATCCAGTCTCTGCTACTCCATGTTGGCCAGAATCAAAAGTTTACTTTCATTTTTGAAAGTTATTTTGCTGAAAATTATTGTCAATTCTAGATTGATAGTTTTCCTTTATTTTGCTTTGCTTTTTATCATGGATTTGCATTATAATCATCAATAATTGTAACCTTTCTTTCTCTGAATGCATTGGGTCTTTCTGTGCCTGCTTTTAAAGTTATCCCTTTATCATTGGTTTTCAGGAATGTGATTATTGTACATCTTGGGATAGTGTTCTTGTGTGCTTATCCTGTTCAGAGTTCACCAAGCCATTTGGGTCTGTGGAGTTTGGTTTTTATTACATTTTCATTAAATTTTCAGCACGTATTTCTTTTAAGTATTGTTTTTGCTCACTTTAGTTATGGGGCTCCAATTACATGTGTTATATCGTATCACAGGTCCTTGAAGGTCTTTGCACTTTTTGTTTTTTGTGCTTCAGTTTAGCTTCTATTACTATATCTTAAATTTCATTTATCATTCCATCTGCATTACCTATTCTACTAACAAGCCTGTACAGTGTATTTTTATTTCACACATGATATTTTTTAGCTCTAGACATTCCATTTCGTTATTTTCAATTTATTCTTTTCTTTCCTCAATAGGCTTCTGTTTTCTTTTAAACACTTGAGCATATTTATAATAAGCTGTTTTAAAGTCCTTATCAGCTAACCCACCATCGTCATCCCATCTGTCATTTCTGTATTCTGTTTATTAACTAATTGATATGTTATAGATCACATTTACCTGCCTCTTCCCATGTGTAGTAATACTGGAATTGTGAATGTTGCATTATTGAATGTGTCTGGATTTTGTTGTATTCCTTTAAGAAGTGTTAAATTTTGCTTTAGCTGGCAACTAGTTATATGCAGATCCACTTGATTCTTTTGAGGCTTGTTTTTATACTCTGTTAAAATGGGGTTTATACAGCCTCCACTCTACATCTTATCCCTTCTACTAAGACATGATCCTTCTGGGACTTCTAATGAATGTCCTGAGTGTTCAATGAGTTCTGTCCATGGTAGCTGGTTGAAACCCAAATATCTGCCAGAACCAGTCAAGCTCTAGAAATTTTGCAGGCTACAGCTAGCTGATAGCTTTTAAATCTACTATTTTGAAGCCTTATGCTATACATGCACAAGTTAAGTATTTAGACCAAGGCTCAAGGTACCCTATGTAAGTTACTGGATAATACTCCCTCTTTCCTAGAACTCTGCCCTAAAAATGTTAGTTCCTTTGGCCTCCTCAACCTCCTATCTCTGTGTTGTTAACTCAGAGAGACCACTCCACCTTATACAGGTTTCTCTTTCTGAACTGTGGTTCAGAATGTGCTCCAGGCAGAAACCTGGGGCAATCTTAGGACTCCTGTTTGTTTGCCTGTGCTTCCTATTACACAATATCTGAAAACAGTTGTTTAGTATATTTTGGTGAGGTTTTTATTTATTTGCAGAAAGAGAGCAGATTCACTAAAAGCTATTTAATCAAGCTAAAAGTGAAAGCCTACTCAATATTTTAAGAAATATATCTGAAGGTTGATGTCTGCTCTAGAGATGGAGGTTAGGTAATTATTTGAAAAATAGACAGCAAATGAAATAGTAACTGTGAACAATATTGCCCAGGAAATGTATAACAGTTAGAATTGGGTTGAGAGAGAAGTAATGCAGATCCAACATAATGGTAATTTCAACAAGAAATTGATTTTCATTCATGCAGAAGTAAAAAGTAGGCAGTGTAGGGCTGACAGCGCAGCTGTGTTTCACAAAGTCCTCAGGAACTTAGTCTTCCTCCAACTCAATGCTCTGCCCTCCCATCTGTATTCCAGCAGACAAATGAATAAAGGGACTAGTAAGAGACAAGGAAGGCACACACTAACCGTCTTTAAGAATGGTTTCTGGATATTAACTCAGAAAACTGCTGCTTACATCCCCCTTGTCATATGGCCAACCTAGCTGTATAGGAAACTAGAAAACATACTATTTCTTCTGAATGACCATGTGCTCATTTAACAATGCTATCATACTGGTAGCAGTGGAAAATGGATATTGGAAGTCAATATTTTGTGTAGACACTCGTTTCTCTGCCACAAATGTATAAAGAGAATAGATGAGACCTAGAGAGGTCCACTGTTTAAGGATGAATAAGTATAAACATAGCCTATAAGGGATAATGGGTTGCCTACCCTGACTGTCTCTCACGGATTTCTTCCCACTCCCTCTTAAATCAATTCCAATCAAGTTTTCTTACTACAAGCCCATGAAAATTGCTTTTGTCAAAGTTATCAATGACCTCAATGTAGCAAAATTCAATAGTCAGTCCTCAGTTCTCCTCTCAATCTATTAGCACCATTTGATCTATTAGCACTGTTTATATCACACTTAATGAAGTTTTTGAAACCTTTTTCATATGGCTTCCAAGTGTCACATTCTCTCCTAGTTTTCTCCTTACTTTACATTCAGTCTTCCTCATCTTCTTTGATGTTCTCTCCTCTTCACTCAACCTCTAAACAGTAGGGTTCCCTAGGGATTCGTCTCTGGAACTTCTTACTCTCTCATAGTGATTTTTCACTGCTTCCTAAGTGGTCTTATCCAGCCTCATGACTTTAATACATCTATAGTGTCTGTGCTCAAATGATTGTCTTCAACTCAGGCATCTTCCCGAATTATATGCTACAACCTTAATATCTCTACTTGGATAAATAATGACACTTGTTACTTTCTAATATACTATATAATACATTTATTTATTTTCTCTTTTTTTCCACTGAAATATAAAATCAATGGGAAGTGGAACTCCAGGTGCATAGAATAATGACTGGAACATACTAGGCCTTCAGTAAATAATGTTTAGTGAATAAAAAGAAATAGGTGATAGGGAAAACAAGAGCACTACTTCTCTGCAGCCACAAAAGGAGGAAATTTGAAGAAGGAGTGAGTAGTTCATAGTGTATAATTCACCACAGAGAATGTTTAAAATCGTAGAAGGTGAAAGAGAGGCCGGGGCAATCATCCAAGACTGCCCAGACCCCCAGGTGAGCCCTCCTGCCGTTCTACATGCCATGACCTTAAGCACTGGAAAACACAGGTTTCAATCCATAGTTTGCAGAGGAACAGAAACCATCTCATTTAATTGATAAAAGAGTTGAGAAAAACTCATTTACCCTATTGTCTTTGTGCAAATATAATTTGGACAGAGCTGCCCATGCTGAGGATGAGCATGGTGCGGGGTAGGGGAGAAGGTGGGAAGTGACAGAGATTCCATACAAGCACACTACAGGAAAAGAAGAGAGTGGAGGAATCAATTCAGGTAGAAAACATAGCTCAAGAAAAAGAACAGTTTTATGCCATGGAAGAATCTAAGAGAAATACTTTAATAAGGTAAAAACCTCAAAGCTGCAAAGATACAACAACAGAAATATGTGAAAAGAGAGACTGTAAAGCTAAGGAAAAGAACTGAAGGTCACAACACAATATCTGAACTGATGAATTGGAAAGTAATTATAGTTGAGAGTTGAGTTATAGACATAGAGGAAAGAGCTGCCGTGATCTCAGAGAATGCAGACGAAAAAAAATCAAAGATGCAAGAATTAGACAAGATAATGTATGGAGAATCCTAAAGGACAATTGGTATCTGTGAGGTAGGGAACCTAACAAATAGAATATAAAAGATATTTAATTATTATAAGAGGAAATTTTCCTGAAAGGAAAAAATGAATCTGTAGCTCCCAGGAAAAGTGACATAGAGTGACTGAGACACAGGTATTGCCTGGTTAAAGTGCTTAACTTCAAGGATGAAGAAAGAATTCTTCAGGCATACATTTAGATGTATATGCAAAGAGTTTGGGAAAATTTGACTAGCCTTGTTCTTCTTCAAAGCATCAATAAGTCAACGGGAGACCTTTGCATGGCTACAAAAGACTGAGGGCAAGAAGGTGTTACCTGCTACCTAAAAATATAATCTCTCTCCAAGGAATTCTTCAAGAACAAAGGCAAGAGGCAAAGTTTCTCAAATATGAAGGGACTTGGGGAGTGAAGCACTACTGAAAAAATTATTTGATCACAGCCATTCAAGGAATAAAACAAAATGACTGATACTTACCAATGAATAAATTTAAACAGACTGGGAACGGTGGCTCACACTTGTAATCCCAGCACTTTGGGAGGCCGAAGCAGGCAGATCACTTGAGGCCAGGAGTTCAAGACCATCCCGGCCAACATGGTGAAACCCTGTCTGTACAAAAAAAAAAAAATACAAAAATTAGCCGAGTGTGGTGGTACATGCCTGCAATCCCAGCTATTCAGGAAGATGAGGCACAAGAATCACTTGAACCTGGGAGGTGGAGGTTGCAGTGAGCCGAGATCGTGCCACTGCATTCCAGCCTGAGTGACAGAGCAAGACTCTGTCTCAAAAAAAAAAAAAAATTTGATAAAGAATTAACACTAAACAGCCATGAGGGATACGGTTACACTCCTTGGCAATTTACAAATAATAAAATAATTGGAGATAGGAGATGATAGAAGAGCAAGATGGGAGAAGAACTCATTTTCTTGCCTTTTTTAGCAGAAAAAAAGTAAACACTGTTTAAAAGTGAAGACATGATGTGAGCAATAGGGATTACTGGAATACACTAGAGTGAAGTGGTGATTAGTCACTTCATTATTGTCATGTGAAAATGTCAGCCAAGGTGATTCTGATGAGACGTCATATTTAAAATCTTGGTTGATAATTCTAGATGACAGGGAGCATCTAAAGGATTTTAGGCAGAGGAGTGACATACAAAGGTTGCATTTTTAAATTATTCCCCATGCCTGCTGTGATATGAGCCTCCAGGATTCAAGGAAAATTTGAAGAGAACAAGATGGTGGCAGGACAACCAGCTGGGAGCACGAGACCAGCTGTCCAGGTGAGAAGAGGAGGGCTATGGTGAGTCGGCTGGACTGTGTTGATTGGGGATTAAGGAGAGGAGTCAAGGTGGACTCCCAGGTTTCAGCTTAGGAGGCGAGGTGGCATTAGCAAATGACACAGAGAGCACAGAATGAGACAGATACATGACCAAGAAAATGTGACAAAATATTAATAATTGAGGAATATGCACATACACACACACACACACGTGGGGGCTAACATTTAATGTGAAACAATTTCGGACTCACAAAATGTTTCCAGGAAAAAAAAAATCTCTTCTATATCCTTCACCCATATTCCCCAATTACTAATACTTTATCACATTTACTTGGTCACTTATCTGTCTATCATCAAGTCAACTTACTTTTTGTTGCATTTCAATGTAAGTTACCGTTATCGGTACACTTCACCCAAAACAATTCAAAATGCACACCATTAACTAGAGTCAGTATTTGTTTTTATTATTTTGAAGTAAAATTTATACATAGTGAAACGCTTACGTCTTTAACATACTATTTGAGGAGTTTTGACAAATATATAAACTCTTGTCAATATATAAACTCTTGTCAATATATAGAGTATTCCACCACCCCAAAACATTTCCTAAAGTCTCTACCCATTACTGTCTCTACTCCACCTGGAAACGCAGAGAGGCACAGCCCTATCTCTTGCACCCATAAGGACACTCACAGCATAGACTGGGCGAGGGCCAGCATCTCTGGACTGACTGCCCATCAGGGAGGGCTTAGGCCTCAGCCAGCTGCTGCAGCAACGAGAGAGTCCCATAGAGGGCAGACAGGGGCATCTTTGCTTCTACATCCCAGGTTGACCTGGGGTTATCCAGCTCCATCCTAAGGCCACACTCCTCCAGCAGGCCATAGGTGATGGCCAAACCCTCACTCTGGAGTGGGGCGAGGAGCTCAGGTTTGAGGGTGAAGGGAATGCTCCAGGGGTATCTGAAGTTTGGCTCCAGGATGCTCCTTACCTAGAAGAAAGATGATCAGGTTCTACAGACCAGCCTTTAAGATGAGGAAGAGAAGGCTTCTGCCCCAGTATCCAGGGGCCATGCAGGATAATAAAAGGAGCAAGAGCTTTGGGATCCAGCGGACCAGGAGTAACATGCTGGTCATACCCTACGATCCAAAGATCAAGTTATTGGAAATCAGGGAGCATTGGTTCCACATCTATGAAATGGTGAAAATAAAACTCCCCTTGTAGAATAGTGGTGTTTTTATTTCTAAATGTATATGCATATATGTATGTATATAGTATATGCATATAAAGGTATGTATTTATATACACATATACTTGGAGAGAGAAAAACAGAGAAATTAGCAAATCATAACAGTGTAACTAGAGCAGAAGTAATTAGCAAATGGTAACAGTGTGACTAGAGCAGGAATATTATATCCCCTTAGACCTCAAAGTCCTGTGCTCCTATATGGCTATTTTAGGCCTGTTGGGGAATGCTGCAGGGATTGCCATGGAAACTAAGACCCTCCTGAGGGAGGCTTATACCCACTGGACCAGGTCTCCAGAAGGACACTGCAGCCAAGGATTCCCCAGTGGCCACCCTGTGATCTGGACTCCCCTCCCAGCAAAAACCTGTATCATCTCTCTTTCCTCAGAATCATTCTTCTTACCTCTGGTTCCCTCACCCTCTTCCCTGAACTTCTGGCCCCTGGGAAGTTCTCACCAGCTCCTGTTGCTGAAGCAGGATCCTCTTCTCCATGGAACAGGCCAGCAAATCGTGTTGGAAGTCACTCAGCACTGAGGGTGGGGGACATGTGGGGAAAGACAGTAGTGAAGAATCCAGATTTTTCCTCCCACCATAAAGCAGGAGACCCCCTGAGAGAATAACTCCAAGGCAGAGGAATAAAACCCATTAGACTTGAAGGTCAAGCTCCCTGCCCTGGGAAGCCCTTCAGAATGGTCTCCAGGATGCTAAATAAGAGGGACCAGAGGACGGGATTCAGGGGCTGAAAGCTGGAATCACCCACCTCCAATGATTTGTGGATGAACATAAACTGGTAACTCCCTAGGCCTTAAACTCAATTCTGTGTCATACGGCAAGTTATCACAGTGAGCCCTCTGACCTTAGAGAGAGCTGTGATGTAAGGACGAAAGATCATGGCATTCAAAGGGCTTTGGAGACACAGCATCTAACACAGCTTTTTGCGGGTCCTGGGGACCAATCTTGTGATTCTCCCATTCTTCCCTTTAATTACTCTTACCCATTATGGCTTCAAGGAGATAAAGAATGGGGTCCTTTGGGTTAAACCATGCATGGTTTGAATCCTGTTGAAGTTTCTTTAGGATGGCACCACCAGGGCCATCCAAATGACCTGAGCTGTCCAATTCCAGCTATAGAAGACAGGTATTATTGTTAATAATAATACTAATAACAGTAATGTTATATAATTTGCCTGTGTCTACTGGTGATAACCAAGGGGTAGGCATGAGGGTTCTCTACCTCCCCCAGGGGATTCCAAGCAGCCTCAGTAGTGGGGGCGACACTTCCCTGGCCCATTGTGCCCGGCACCAGAGTCCCCAGTCTTTCTCATTCCCCTGGCATCTTGCTTATTCTTCCTCCTCCATGTAACTTGGGAGTCATATCTCCTAACCAATCCCATTTACAGCTTTTACCAGACCTATGCAACTGTGGAGCCCCTCACCATGTTCATCAGGTCCTGTAGAGCCCCTCTGTCTCTGAGCATGGCCAGGATACTGTAGAACATGACATCCTGAACATCCTTTGAGAGCTGAGCCAGTGTCTTTATTTTCTGGAAAACCTCCTCTTGTAGATGCTTGAAATCTGCTCTCAGGCATCAACGCCGACCAGAAAGTGGGGACAAGTCTTTGATTAGAACATCCTTGGAATGACAGCCTGTTTGCACGAATATGAACCAAACTCCTCTATCCCTTTCAGCTGCTAACCAAAATTGTCTCTGCTAATGGCATGCTTGAGCTTTGTGGATAGAGCTGGCATAAGAAGGAAAAAGATGGACAATCCAGTGTTCTGAAAAGGGGAAATAGGGTACTGGGAGCAGAGATTGAGATTCTGAAAAGACATCATCACAAATGGAAGAGAATGGCAAAGTGGTCATTTCTGGGACATGTCAGGAATACTGTAAAATCTAGCATTGGGCCTTAGAGGCAAAAAACTTAGATGCTCTGGAATCAGTTTCCATATTGGTTAAATGGGATGTTATGAGGATTAAAAGAGTTTATGTAGGCCAAGCATGATTGCTCACACCTGTAATCCCAGCACTTCGGGAGGCTGACATGGGGGGATTGCTTGAGGCCAGGAATTTAAGACCAGCCTGGTCAACATAGTGAGACCCCATCTCAAAAAAACAAGAGAGAGAGAGAGAGTTTATGTATGTAAGGCACTTGGCACATATAAGCTACCCTTATTATCATGCAATTTTGCCAGTATCCTCAATGTTTATGAAGAATTAACCAAGGGGTGGATGCTGGGGGCCCTCTGTCTCTCCCAGGAGACATCTGGCTCCCTCAGGGTGTACTGCTTGGGATGAGAGATCACTGGATTGGAAGCTCCAAAGAGGCAAGAATTTGTCTGCTTGGTTCACAGCCATAACTTTCAGGTTCAAAATAATTCTTGTTGTCCAATAAGTCCTCAATAAATGTTTGTTTGTTTCATGAGCAAAGTGCAAATTTGGAAGTGGACCTCAGTTTCTGACTTGCATAGAAACCACCAACTTGGGTGCTCAGACTTGCAGCTCCCACCCAGAAGCCCCAGGTTCCCCCTTAATAAATACTTACTTTGCCAGAAGGGTTCCTCTATTCTTCCTAGAAGGAGAATCAAGTCATCATCTCACTTCCTCATCCCCCCAAATTTGCTTTTCAGATGTTTTGGAGGGTTCTGCTCTCCTACCACCTCCTCCCTCTTACTCAACTTCTTCCTGCCCCCATTCCCATTCATCCTCCATGTTCTCAGCTTTCTGGACCCTTCCCATTCCACATGACCAAACGCCAGGCCCTAGGGCGGTGGTGGCAAAGGCGAGGCAGGGGCAATCTGCCCTACTTACCCCATGTGTGCAGGATGGGATCCCCACCCCCACCTCCAGCAAACTCACACTCACCTACTGGGAGGATGTGAACTTGTTCGTATTCTAAAAAAAGAAATGAAATTCCTCACCAAAGAGGCTCAAAGACTAGATTTCTCCAACCTTCTGCCCTTCTTTCCCTGAACCACTCTTCTCTATCTGTTCCTGCCCTTTTCCCCAGAGGCCAGACCCCAAGACTTTGGGTAATAGCACCAAAGGCAATCAGGTGGTTTTTTGTTGTGCAGATTGTCCTGGAAGGGGAGGGCCAGATTCCACTCACTTGGCAAATGCCCGCTCAAAAATTGCTGTGTCAGAAATAGCTCTGGAAAGAGAAAGAAAAGTGTTTACTCACCAAACATTAGTCTACCCCTACTTTTCCTCCTCTACTTCTTTCCCTCTTGGTCTCACCTCTAACTCCTCTATCCTCCCCTTATTTCTCACATGTTCCATCAGTTCAGTTAAAAAACTTCCCCAGAGAGATGGATCCCCAGGCAGCCTCTTTCCCCAACAGACTCACACCTATCCCAATGTTCAAAGGAGAAAGCCTGGTTTCCCTGTGGCCCCAGGGGACAGTGGCTGGGTCAGAGGAAGGGGACAGTTGCAGGAAATGGAGGAGCATGACTGGGGGAATGTTCTCTGTGGGTTTGTGTGGGCTGAGCCCAAGCAGGGCTCTTGTGGGAATCCAAAGGGGGTCAGGGATCAGCAGTGCCTAAGTTCTAAGCAAAAAAACACTGCCAGAGGAGGATGAGCAAGATGGTGCAATAGAAGCCTACATGGTTCATACACCCCACATAAACACCAAATTTTAACAACTATCTGCACAAAGAAAAGCATCAACATAGAAGTAAAAATAAAGTGAGCAATCACAGTACCTGGTTTTAACTTCATATCATTGGATGAGGCATTGAAGAGGGTTGGAGAGATGGTATGAAATGATGGTAGCAACCCCTCACTCCTCGCAGCACAGTAGCCTACCATTTCGGAAATTTCGTACTCTTGGGAGAGAGGGAGAGCAGAATGACTGGGTAACTTTACATTGAACTCAGTACTGCCTTGTCATAGCAGAGAGCAGAGCCAGGCTGGGCTCAATCAGTGCCAGTGCACGAAGGGAGCATTTGAACAAGACCCACTCAAAGAGGAATTGCCCATTCCTTCTTTCAGAACTCAAGTTTCTTGGCAAGCCTTGCAAATGCCAGCCAAAGAGCTCTGGAGTCCTAGGTAAACTTAAAGGTCAGTCTAGGACAGAAGGACTGCAATGTTTAGGCAATTTCTAATGCTGAGCTAGGCTCAGAGCCAGAGGACTAGAGTGACATGTGACCTAAAGAGACACCAGCTGGGGTGACTAAAAAAAGGTGCTTGCGCTACCCCACCCCCAATCTCAGGCAGTGCAGCTCACAGAAATGAAAGTGTCTCATTCCCTTTGTTTAAGTGAAGAGAGTGAAGAGTACAGAGGATTCTGTCCCGCATCGTGGATATCACCTCAGCCACAGTAGGACAGGAGACTGGGTAGAGTTGTGAGGCCCCCATTCCAAGCCCTAGCTCCTGGACAACATCTCTAGACACCCCTGGGTGAAAAGGGAACCTACTGCCTTGAAGGGAAGAACACAGTCCTGGCAGAATTCATCATCTGCTGAATACAGAACCATTGGGCCCTAAATAACCAGCAGCAGTACCCAGGTGGTATGTAGTGGGCCTTGGGCTCTGAGATGTGCTAACTAAAGGTGTGACTCAGCATATTCCCAGCTGCGGTGGCTATGGTGAAAGACTCCTTCTGTTTGAGAAAAGCAGAGGGAAAAGTAAAGAGGAGGCTTTGCCTTGCATCTTAGGTACCAGTTCAGCCACAGTGGTGTAGTGCACCAAGCAGGCTCTTGGGGCCCTCAAGACCAGGCCTAGGGTCTTCAACAGCATTTCTGGACCTGCCCTGGGCCACAGGAGAGCCCACTTCCCTAAAGGGTGAGACCCAGGCCAGACACCATTTACCACAAGCTGACTCATGAGCCCTTGGGCTGTCAGCAAACATATGCAGTGGCCTGGCAGAACCCCTCATGGGCCGGTGGTAATGGTGGCCACAGAGAGAGCTCCTCTACCTGTGAAAAGGGGAGGGAAGAGTGGGGAAAACTTTGTCTTGTGATTTGAGTGACAGCTTAGCAGCAGTAGAGCAGAACATAAGGTAAATTTATAAGATATTTTACTTCAATCCCTAGCTCCCAAACAGCATCTCTGTACCCACCCAAGGCCTGGGAAAACTCACTGCTCTGACGGGAAGTGAAAAAATCTCACTGGCTTTGTCACCTGCTGATTGTAGAGCCCTAGGGCCTTCAGTGAACACAGGTAGTAGCCAAGTAGTGGTTACAGCAGGCCTTGGGTGAGACCCAGTGCTGTGCTGGCTTCAGGTCTAACCCAGTGCAGAGCCAGTGGTGGTGGCCACAGGGGTGCTTGCATCACCACACTCCCAATTTCAGGTGGCTCAGTACAGAGAGAGAGACCCCATTTGTTTGGGAGAAAGTAAGGGGAAAAAACAAGAGTCTCTGCCTGGAAATCCAGGTAATTTTTCTGGATCTTATGCAAGACCACCAAAGCAGAACCTCTATGAGTCTGCAACAACCACAGAGATATCAAACAGGAAAACCAAGTCCCTTTGAATACCTGGAAAGCCTTCTCAAGGACAGGCACAAACAAGCCTGAGAAGACTAAAATAAATACCTAATTCATCAATGCCTACATACCAAAAAACATCTACAAGAATCAGGATCATCCAGGAAAACATGACCTCACCAATGAACGAAACAAGGCACCAGGGACAAATCCTGGAAGAAAAAGAGACATGTGATCTTTCAGATGAAGAATTCAGAATAGTATTTTGAAGAAACTCAAAGGAATTCAAGATAACTTGAGAAGAAATTCAGAATTCTATCAGGCACATTTAAAAAAGAAATTGAAATAATTAAAAAGAATTAAGCCAAAATTCTGGAGTTGAAAAATGCAGTTGACATACTGAAGAATGCCTGAGAGTCACTTAATAATAGACTCAATCAAGCATAAGGAAGTATTAGTGAGCTTGAAGACAGCCTATTTGAAAATATACCGTCAGAGGAACCAAAAGAAAAAAGAATAAAAAACAATGAAGCACACACATATGATCTAGAAAATAGCCTCAGAAAGACAAATCTAAAAGTTGACCTTAAAGAGGACACAGAGAAAGAGATAGGGTAAGAAAGTTTATCCAAAGGAATAATATTAAAGAATTTCCCAAACCTATAGAAAGATACCAACATTCAAGTACAAGTAAGTTATAGAACACCACGCAGATTTAACCCAAAGCAGACTACCTCAAGGTGTCTCATAATCAAACTCTCAAAGATCAAGGATAAAGAAAGGATCTTAAAGCAGCAAGGAAAAAGAAACAAATAGCATACAATGGAGTTGCAATATGTCTGGCAGCAGACTTTTCACTGGAAACCTTACAGGCCAGGAGAGAATGGCATGACATATTTAAATTGCTGAAGAAAAAAAAACCTTTTATCCTAGAAGAGTATAACTGGCAAAAATATCCTCCAAGGATGAAGGAGAAATAAAGACATCTCCAGACAAACAAAAGCTGAGTAATTTCATCAACACCAGACCTGTCTTATAAGAAATGTTAAAGGGAGTTCTTCAGTCTGAAAGAAAAGGACATTAATGAGCAAGAAGAAATCATCTAAAGATACAAAACTCACTGCTAATAGGAAGCACATGGAAAAACATAAACATTATAACACTATAATTATGGCATGTAAACTATTCTTAAGCAGAAAGACTAAATGATGAATCAATCAAAAATAACTACAACTTTTCAAGACATAGTACAATAAGACATAAAGACAAACAACAAGAAGTTAGAAAGCGGGAAGGTAAAGTGTAGAGTTTTTACTTTATTAGGTTTCTTTTTGCCTATTAGTTCATTTGTTTATGCAATCAATGTTAAGTTCTCATCAGTTTAAAATAATGGGTTATGAGACAGTATTTGTAAGTCTTACAGTAACCTCAAATCAAAAGACTTACAATGGACACAGAAAACAAAAAGCAAAAAAAAAAACACCATCAGAGAAAATCACCTTCACTAAAAGGAAGGCAAAAAGGAAGAAAAGAAGGCCAGAAAACAATAACAAAATGGCAGGATTAAATCCCTATTTATCAACAATAACATTAATTGTAAATGGGCTAAACTCATCAATCAAAAGATGAAGAGTGGCTGAAAGGATTAAAAAAAAAAACAAGATTCCATGATCTGTTACCTACAAAAAACACACTTCATCTATAAAGATACACATAGACTGAAAATAAAGGGATGGAAAAAGATATTCCATGCTAATGGAAACCAAAAAAAAAAGCAGAAATAGCTATACTTACATCAGACAAAATAGATTTCAAGACAAAAACTGTAAGGAGAGACAAAAAAAGGTCATTATATAAAGATAAGGGGGTCGATCTAACAACATGATATAATGATGGTAAATATATATGCACTCAACACTGCAGTACCCAGATATATAAAGCAAATATTATTAGAGCTAAAGAGAGAGATATTATTAGAGCTAAAGAGAGAGAGAGCTAAAGAGAGATTATTAGAGCTAAAGAGACAGTAATAGGTGGAGACCTCAACACCCTACTTTCAGCACTGAACAGATCTCACAGAAAGAAACTCAAGAAAGAAGCCTGAGACTTATTCTGCACTATAGAGCAAATAGAGCTAATAGATACTTAGAGAACATTTCATCTAAAGGCTGCAGAATACACATTTTTTTCTCCTCAGCACATGGATCATTCTCAATGATACATCATATGTTAGGTTATAAAACAAGCATTAAAACATTCCAAAATATTGAAATAATATCAGCCATCTTCTCTGACCACAATGGAATAAAACTAGAAATCAACAATAAGAGGAATTTTGGAAACCATACAAATACATGGAAATTAAACAATATGCTCCTGAATGACCAGTGGGTCAAGGAAAACATTAATAAGGAAATTGAAACATTTCTTGAAACAAATGAGAATGGAAACACAACATACCAAAAGCTGTGGGACAAAGCAAAGCAGTACAAAGAGGCATATTTATAGCTATAAGTGCCTACATCAAAAAAGAAGAAAAACTTCATAAAAAACTACCTTATGATGCATCTTAAAGAACTAGAAAAGCAAGATCAAACCAAACCCACAATTAGAAAAAAAGAAATAATAAAGATCAGAGTAGAAATAAATGAAATTAAAGTGAAGAAAACAATACAAAAGATCAATGAAACAAAAAGTTGGCTTTTTGAAAAGATATACAAAATTGACAAAACTTTAGCCAGAACAATAAAAAAAAAAATGGAGAGGACGCAAATAAAATCAGAGATGAAAAAGGAGACATTACAACTGATACAGCAGAAATTTAAAGGATCATTAGTGGCTACTATGAACAACCATATGCCAATAAATTGGAAAATCTAGAGAAAAATGATACATTCCTAGACCCAGAGAACCTACCAAGATTAAACCATGAAGAAATTTAAAACCTGAACAGATCAGTAATGAGTAATGAGATAGAAGCTGTAATAAAAAGTCTCCCAGTAAAGAAAAGCCCAGGACCTGATGGATTCACTGCTGAATTCTACCAAATATTTAAAGTAAAATATGAATACTAGTCCTACTCAAACTACTCCAAAAAATAGAAGAGATAATACTTCAAAACTCATTCTATGAGGCCAGTATTACCCAGATACCAAAACTAAATTAAGATACATCAAAAAAAAAGAAAAAAGAAACCCTATAGGCAATATCTCTGATGAATATTGATGCAAAAATTTTCAACAAAATACTAGCAAACCGAATTCAATGAAACATTAACAAGGTCATTTACAGCCAGGTGTCATGATCACACCTGCAATCCCAGCACTTTGGGAGGCCAAGGTGGCTAGATTACTTGAGCTCAGGAGTTTGAGACCAGCCTGGGCAACATGGTGAGACCATGTCTCTACAAAAAGATACAAAAATTAGCCAGGCATGGTGACACATGCCTGTAGTCCTAGCTACTTGGGGGCTGAGGTGGGAGGATCATTTGAGTATGTGAGGCAGAGGTTGCAGTGAGCCATGTTCATGCCACTACCACTACAGCCTGAGCAACAAAGTAAAACCCTGTCTCAAAAAAAGAAAAGAAAAGAATTCATTATGAGCAAGTAAGATTTATCCCAGGGATGCAAAGATAGTTCAACATACACAAATCAATCAATGTGATACATTATATCAACAGAATGAAGGACAAAAACCGTATGATCATTTCAATTGATGCTAAAAAGGTATTTCATAAAGTTAAATATTCCTTCATGATAAAAACCCTTTAAAAACCAGGTATAGAAGAAAGATACCTCAACATGATAAAAGCCATATATGACAGAGCCACAGCTAGTTTCATACTGAGTGGGGAAAAATTGAAAGCCTTTCATCTTAGATCTGGAACATGACAAAGAGGTCCACATTCATTATTGCTGTTTAGCATAGTGCTGGAAGTCTTAGCTAGAGCAATCAGACAAGAGAAAGAACTAAAGGGCATCCAGATTGGAAAGGAAGAAGTCAAATCATCCTTTTTCGCAGATGATATGATCTTATATTTGGAAAAACCTATAGGCTCCACTAAAAAAACTATTAGAACTGATAAACAAATTCAGTAAAGTTGAGGAATATAAATTCAACATACAAAAATCAGTGGCATTTCTATATGCCAACAGTGAACACTCTAAAATAGAAATTTAAAAATTAATCGCATTGACAATAGGGATAAAATAAAACATCTAGGAATTAACTTAACCAAAGAAGTGAAAGTTCTCTACAATAAAAACTATAAAACATTGATGAAAGAAATTGAAGAAGACACCAAAAAAGTGAAAAGATATTCCATGTTCATGGATGGGAATAATTAAAATTGTTAAAATGTCTATACTCCCCAAAGCAATCTACAGATTCAATGCAATCCCTATCAAAACACCAATGACATTCTTCACAGTAAGAAAAAAAAATTCTAAAATTCATATGGAAGCACAAAAGACCCAGAATAACCAAAGCTATCCTCAGCAAAAAGAACAAAACCAGAAGAATCACATTACCTGACTCCAAATTAAACTGCAGAGCTATAGTAACCAAAACAACATGATACTGCCATAAAAACAGACCCATAACCAAAGGAACAAAATAGAGAACCTAGAAACAAATCTATGTACCTACAGTGAACCATCTTTGACAAAGTTGCCAAGCACATACAATGGAGAAAGGACAGTCTCTTCAATAAATGGTGCTGGGAAAACTGGATATCCGTATCCAGGAGAATAAAACTAGACCCCTATCTCTTACCATATACAAAAATCAAATCAAAATCATTTAAAGACTTAAATCTAAGGCCTCAAACTATGAAACTACTAAAATAAAACATTAAGAAAACTCTTCAGGACAATGGTCTGGGCAAAGATTTCTTCAGTAAATACTCCACAAGCACTGGCAACTAAAGCAAAAATAGACAAATGGGATCGCATCAAGTTAAAAAGCTTCTTCACAGGAAAGGAAACAATCAACAAAGTGAAGACACAACCCACAGAATCTGAGAAAATATTTGCAAACTACCCATCTGAGAAGGGATTAATAACCAGAATATTTAAGAAGCTCAAATGACTATATAGAAATAAATCTAATAATCTGATTGAAAATGGGCAAAAGATGTGAGTAGACATTTCTCAAAAGAAGACATACGAATAGCAAACAGACATATGAAAATGTGCTCAACATCACTGATCTTCTGAGAAATGCAAATCAAAACTACAATGAGATATTATCTCACCCCTGTTAAAATGGCTTATATCCAAGACAGGCAATAACACATGCTGGGGAGGATGCAGAGAAAAGGAGACTCTCATATGCCGTTGATGGGAATGTAAATTAGTACAATCACTCTGGAGAACAGTTTGGACCTTCCTCAAAAAACGAAAACTAGAGTTACCATATGATCCAGCAATCTCACTGCTGGGTATATACACCAAAAGGCAGGCAATCAGTATACCAAAGAGAGATTTAAGAACAAACATTGCAACACTGTTCACAATAGTCAAGATTTGGAAGCAAACTAAATGTCCATCAACAGATGAATGTATAAAGAAAATATCAAACATATACAAAATGGTATACTATTCACCCGTTAAAAAAATGAATGAGATCCTATTATTTGCAAAAACATTAATGAAACTGGAGTTCATTATGTTAAGTGAAATAAGTCAGGAATAGAAACACAAACATTTTATGTTTTCACTTACTTGTGGGATGTAAAAATCAAAACAGTTGAACACATACAGATATAAGTATGCTACCTGAGACTGGGAAGGGTGGTGGGGGGTCTGGAGGAGAGGTAGGGATGGTTAATGGGCACATTTTAAAAAGCTAGAAAGAATGAATAATACCTAGCATTTGATAGCACAACAGGGTGACTACAGTCAAAATAATTTAATTGTACATTTTTTAAAAACTAAAAGAGTATAACTGGATTGCTTAGAACATGAAGGATAAATGTTTGAGAAGATGAATACTCCATTTTCCATTATGTGATTATTACACATTGCATGCCTGTATCAAAACATCTCATGTACCTTATAAATATACATACCTCCCATGTACTCATAAAAATAAAAAAATAAAAAGACCAGGCTTTGGAACTCACCATCTTGAAAGGTTCTCTGTTCATCATCATCTGAGATGAGAATGGCTGAATGGAAAAGAAGAACTTCCATTAGGAGAGTTGAGGTTATTCCTGCCTGAACCTAGACCAGGGAACTCCTTATATCAAAACCACTGGGATGCCTGTTAAATCTGACCACTGGCCTCACTCTGTGCCTTCTGAATCACTTTGAAAGGTGCCCTGGAACCTGCATTTAAATAAGCAATTTAGGTAATCACTTTGCCATCCAACTTTTGGAAATTACCTTGATAGAGTAAAGGAACTCAGCTCCCTTTGACCTTCACTAGGTAGAATTGCCTCTTGCTGCCCTTTTCTTACTGATCTGCCTTACTTACCACTCTCAATTTGGCATCTTCTTGGATGATTTCACATTCTGTGTAGAGAAATATGCTGAGGTCTGAAATTCACCTAACACTAGAGTGCAAGTGTTCAACAGGGGAAAGAGCCTATGAAGAAGACAAAAAGTTGTATAAGGGTTGAAAAGTGTGAACTGAATGAAGTTAGAGGAAAAGCTAGCCTCACAGCAGTGACTGCAAGTCATGTTCTGACTACTAGCGGGGAGAGTGGCGCTCCTCTATGTCAGACGCCTCACTGTAAAATGGAGATGAGATCTTCTCTCCCTAGCTGATGCAAGGAGTGGAGATACATGCCCAGCAATGTAACTGACACCAATTCATCTTCACCCTCTCCAGTTCATCAGGATCTTTCCCCTAGCTTGACAACGGGCTCAAGTCTTCACCATCTCATAAACCCCCTTCCCAAAGCTAAGTGTCCTCCTTTAGTTATCACCTCCTCCCACCTGTTGTCCCCTCACAGCCAACTTCCTTCAAGAATCAGCTACACACTGGGTCCTCACTTCCCCTCTTTGCATTCACACTTCAACCACTGTAGTTTATTCTCCAAAGAATCCACCTGGCTTCAGTCACCAACGAATATTGACCTGATTCTATCTGGATACTACCACATCATGTTCTGTAGGGTCTTCTTTTATCTGACCACATCATTTTCTGTTTGTTGTTGATGATGATGATATTTTGAAACTAGAGCTCCTTTTCTTTTCCTTCTATGTTAAAATCATCTTATCATTCACCATGACCTTTGATAGTGCCACCATCTCCTGTTGCCCTCAGCAGGACTCTCTGACCTCTCCTGAGAGTGGGAATCCCATTCTCACCCCTTCTCCTCATTAGAGAGCTGCTTTGGATATGGTCAGTCTTTCCAGAAGCCAGAGTCCTCTAACTGAAAGACTGGAGACAGTTCAGCCTCATTCTGTCTATGGCCACTGATGGGAGGTAACTGACATCAGGACACTCCCGTGACCATGTTGCAGTGAGGATACTATAGGCAGTAGAGTGTGAGAGTGAGTGTGGGAGAAGGAGGAGCTGAACTCGATCTGTATTAAAATGAGCTCTAGCTGGGACTCAGCATTTGGGAAGGGAGAAAACAAGGACTCTGAGAGCCAGTTGTGTTCCCAGCACTCACTGTCACACCTAGGTATGCAACTGACACAGATGCTTCTGCCCACATGGAGTCTAAACCCAAAGTGTGTGTGGTCAGGAACTGTGCATTTTGAGGCTGATGAAGGAGGGAAAGATGTAGATAAAATTCTGACTTATGTTCTTAGGACATCGTGTCTGCAGTTTTGTTTGTGATTGTGATGTTGTTACCTCATAGGACCTTAATGTGGGGTTATGGGTAACCTTGGGTAAGCCTCTGTGGCTGATGAGTTGCTGAGGGTACTTAAATGAATAAGGATGGTCAGGATTAGGGTTGGAATTTGCCCAGAGCTAACAACACTCCAAGATGAACAAGTTGGATTATTTTCCATGTACCAGACTGTCTGTATCTGTCAATAGCAGCATTTCACCCAGGCCATGCTTGGAGGTGCCTCTGTGTGGTGAGATGGGTGTGTGCCCTGGACAGTAAGAAATGTGCATGCTTCTCCTTGGATAGGCAGAGCATCAAAGGTTGCATACTATGGTTATTTTCCTCTCATTTCTCTCATAGGAGAAGCAGACACCCCCTCCACTGCCATCTGCCTTGCTGAGCTCCGCTGCTCCCACCTTTCTCCTTGATAACCAGCTGCTTTCTCTTATAAGCCATCACCATGCCTTTCTGAAGAGTCAGCGCCTTCTTCTTCACTCTGAGACTCTCTCCTTGGCCTTGACCCTGGGGAGAGAAACCAGACAATACAGTATTAAATGTATGTAATTTTAAAGGTCAGATGGCTCTAGAAAGCTCATTAGGAAAAACATCAGCATTCCCTGCTCTCATCCTCCCTACTGCTGACTTCTGATTTCCAATCACTGCTCTTTCTTCCTTATTTCATCCTGTGCTCATCTTCCCATTTTTCAATTTCATGTTGATATTGCAATGTTTTTATTTCTTTCCAGATTTAACTATTTATTCTCTCTTTTTGATTATGTTGAATTCGTTTTCCTTCTCTTTCATCATTCCTTATTTCCCTTCTCCCATCTTCCTAAAATATTAACATCCCCATGTTCAAGTTAATATTCACTGTTTATACTTGGGGAAAACTGCTTTTCCCCACTCCCGATCTTTCCTTTATCAGTTAATGTGATGTCCCTTTGCCTTGTCTGTCTCTTTACTCATTCTCTCCAGAGGAGATGGGGGACACATTTTTTTGAGACCTTGTACATCTAAAGACATTTTTATTGTACCTCTCACACTTGATTGATATTTTGACTGGCCATAGAATTCTTGGCTGGAATTCTCTGGAATATGACTTTATTTCCCTTTTAGAAATATTTATGGTTGTCTTTTTGAGGTAAGTGTTCTGAAAATTCACAGTTATGTTTTATGGGGTGGATCTATGTTGACTCAAGAAACCATGCCTTCAGTGGACACTTTCATTCTGGAAACACATTCTTTGGGTCTCAGAACCTTCCTTGTATTTCCTCCTGAAAGATTTTCCACATTGCATTATGTCTTTGTTCTCCCCTTCTGGAACTCGTATTATTCAGGAGTAGTTAAATCTCCTCGACTGATCCTCAAGTTTTGTTGTTTTAATTGAGACAGTGTCTCATTCTGTCACCCAGGCTGGAATGCAGTGGCACAATCATGGCTCACAACAGCCACAACTTCCCAGGCTCAAGCAATTCTCCCACCTCAGCCTCCCAAGTAGCTGGAACTACAGGTATGCACCACCGCACCTGGCTAATTTTTTGTTTATATTTTGTAGAGACAAGGTCTCACTATGTTGCCCAGGCTGGTGTTGAACTCCTGAGCTCAAGCAATCCACCTGCAAGAGCCTCCCAAAGTGCTAGGATTACAGGCATGAGCCACTGTGCCTAGCCTCCAAATTTTTTTAATGAATATTCTCCTGTCTTTTTGCTTACTTTTTCCTGGAAATTTCTTCGATTTTGCTTTTTGACCCTTCTATTTAAGAAAAAGAATAATAAATTTCTACTACTCTATTTTTAATTTCTAAGAGCTATAAATATCCTTTTTGCAAAGCATTATTCTTCCATGAAAATAAAATATTATCTCTTAAAGAGGATCAAGTATTTCTTACCTTCCTATGTTGTTTTTGTTTCCTCTAATTTCCTAACTTCAAAGTGTTTTTGTTTTGGGTTTTAGGCTTTCCTCAAGTGTCTGTGATTTTTTTTTTCTGTTTTGTTAACGAGTGAAGCATGAAAGCTGTTAAATGTGCATAGGCAGGGCATGTTGAGTAGATGTTTCACTTTGGGGCAACCAGGCAGGGATTAAACTATCTCTTTGGGGTCTCCAGTGGTTGGGGTTTTTTTAGTTATTTCTTTTGTACTGGTTAATTTTCTTAGGAAATAATTCTTCAATCTCCCGCCTAGGCTGTGTGTTGTAGGGGTAGAAAGGGTAGAGATGTGATGCCTGGAGCTGAATGGGGAAAGGGGCTCAATGTCCCCACTCTCAATGAGGACTTGCACTTATTTTCCTTTTCCATTATGGCTTCTCACTCCCACCCTTCACTGTAACTAGTCTTCCTAAATCTAGAACCCACAGGGAATAAGTTTTCCAGAAGGTCTTCTGCCAGAGTGGGTGAGGGTAGGTGCCTGGCTATGCAGAGGTGGGAAGGGATTTGGGCTCTGAGTGTTCCTTATAAAAATTCTCTGAAGTGATTATTACACATCGTATGGCTGTATCAAAATATCTCATGTACCCCATGAATGTATACATCTACCATATTCCCACACACATTTTTTAAAAAATTAAAAAGATTTCCAGTCGATATTCTTACTTGCAGTCCCACCTATCTTCAGAGGTAGCTAGTGCCTCCGATTCCTGAACCTTTTGGGGGTTCTTGTTTCTAGACTTTCTTCCCTGCTGCAGGTGGGGGTCCACTATTCCTGCTTTCCAGGGTCTGTTACCATTTGTCCACTTTTTAGCAGTAACTCATTGGCATTGGGAAACTTAGTACACATATCGGGTTTCTTCTTTAGTTTTTAAAGCTCTTAAGTAAAGACAAATTACACAGACATATTGTAAAAGCACATTATAACACATATAAACTTTATAAGCCCTTGACCCATACTTAATCTGAATAGTTGATAAATGAATTTATTTATATTAAAAAATATTATACTTGGTTATTGTGAATGACTCATGTCAGTCACATGTGCTTGAAGATACTCTGATCTCACTCCTTGAAATATTTCTTATCAGGTTACCTTAGAGTTTAAAGTACTTTAACAACCGGGGTTTGGTATTAGTGGTCCCTCATTTCTTCCAGCCATAAAACTAGACTGTATATAACACAGTGGCCACTCATTTGAATTCTGCAGAATTTATCATTTACCCAAAGCAAAACACAATACTAAATAATTAAATATATTTCTGATTTTGTCAATACTGTATGACCCCGTATAGTAAAACACTGTAACGGAGGATATTAGAATATACTCTCAGATCAGAAGTCAGGATACATCAACATGTAAGAAGGGGGAAATAATGACTCCATCCCTTGTAATCCCTGGAAATAGAGTCCAGAGCCCCCTAGGAAATGAAGCTTGGCTGCCAGGACTGGCTGTATTTTTTTGAATTTCAATCCCACTTCAGGACAACTTTATACCTTGCCATAGGTAATCCAAAGAGCAATTTTCCCTAAAATATTCACACTACTGCTATCGTACAGCACAGTATTGTTGATCAGTTCAACAGCCTCTGTCACCACGTACAGGTTGTCCCCTCTCCTCCGGCACTCCTTCAGAAATGATGGCTCTGGATCCAACAGTTTCCTGGGGATTTAAGGAAGGAGGACAAGAGTCAGAGTGGGAAAGTGATGGCTTTTCAGGTTACTCTGGGTGCCCTTCTCCCCAAGACCTGGGAGGGGTGCAATGGCTTTGGACCCTGACAGGTAAGTCACCAATGGGTGGTAGGGCAGCAGAATGTTTTATCTGACATACAGGATAGAGGAGATCCCAATGATGGTGGTTCGGGTGTGAGAGTATATGTACCATATTGTTAAAGGCATCTGCATTTTACTAAATTATACTGGTCCTGTTAAGGGGTAACTTATAGAATTTTAGCACTAGGGTCTCTCAGAAAAAAAAGGGCTAGAAGCAGACAGGTCCAGATGATTGAGAACAGTCTTTAGGAGGTCCTGTTGTCAAAGCTGGGTATTCACACCGAACGTGTCAATTAGCACAATCAGGGTGGGCTGGGGAGCAGACAGATAAAGTGGAATGAAGCGAGAAGACTCTGCATGATTTCATGACCGTTACGGATTTACTGTCCTTGGTGGGTGGATTGGTAGGGCTGACTTGATGATGTAGTTTCCAGGGATATATGAATGGTTTGAAGTACTGAAGGTAGATTTCATTTCTATTTCAGTTCTTTCTGAAGTTCAACCTTGATTCTACTCAAGGCACCCATGGAGTCAGTGTCCTAGATAACAGTCATGTGGAATATTGAGGGATTCTTAATTGGCTTTTCAGTAGAGAAGGTTACTGCGCACACAATATTAGGTTTTGTCATTGCTGTCTTCTTACCATGTCCTTAGATGCTATGTTATGTGACATCTACTTATCTTCCAAGCATCATGTTTTATCTCCTTTATCTTGGTTGTCTAAGCTTCCAACTCACTGACCTTGCCCCTTATCCTGAAAACACCAAGCTCGGTGTTTCACCCTTCATTAGAAGGGTAAGAGTAAGAGTTTTACTTTGGCAGCATCACCCCTCCCCCAGGCGCCACCGCAACATGAATGGAGTTCCCCTGGGCCAATGAGCTCTTCAACGGGAAAAAGAGAGCCAAAGTAGATATCCAGCTTCAAACAGCGTTCCAAAGCGCATCCTAGGAGGTCCAGCTCTGTCCCATGTCACAGAGAACATTGAGGGCATCGGCAGGACTAGACCACCTGCGGTCACCTAGAAGCAAAGAAGTGGTCAAGGCTTCAGCAATCACTGCATGGATCTTGGCAGTGACACTACATTCCTACTAGCAGTGGCACCCAATCAGAGAGACCAGCCAGCAACTTGCCTGCCTGCAGACCCAAGCCAACAAATTTGTCTGGCCAGGAAGTATGGTAGGCAGTTTCTGTCTGGCTTGCATCCTTAACCAGTGGTATAGCCTCCCTGTGGAGGTCAGCCTCAGAGCCCAACCTAAGTTCCTTGTGAGACAGGAAAGCCAGCCAGCAACCCTGCCTAACTGTGGAGCACAGCCTCTGGCCCCAACTGACCAAGGATCCTCCACAACAACTCTGCCCAGCCTCAGGGCCAAGCCTAAGACTTTGCCCAAATAGGGAGGCCAGCCAGCAACCACACCTAACTGCAGAGCACAGCCTCTGGCCTGGCCTGACCAGGAAGTCCAAACAGTGACCCTTTCCAAATTCAGAGCCCAGTCCCAGGCCCCACTCAAGCAGAAAGTAAAGCTGGTGACTCTGCCTAACTGTGGAGCATAACCTGTTACCCTGCCTCATGAAGGAGCCTGATCAAGAACCCAACACAGCCTTGAAGCTCTGCCTGCAACCACACAGAGCTACACATGTGGGCTCTGTGGGACACAGGCTACAAACCCAGCCAATCTGGGAGTTCATGGTGACCCTGACTGACCATGGAGCAAACTGAGTAGCCCTACCTGGATCAAGTTCCCAGCCAGTGACCCAGCACAAACACACAGTTCAGCCTGTGTCCCTACCCAAACACGGAGCCCAGCCTGTGGCCTGCCCAACTACAAAGCACAGCCTGAGACCACCACCAATTACAAAACCTAGTCAGTGGCTCCATCTGAATATGGCATTCAGCCAGCATCACACCCAGTCAGGGAGCACTTCATGGGCCCCTACCCAACCAGGGAAAATTTCAGAGCCCAGCCTAAAGCCCTGCCCAATTATATACCCTGAACAACAGTACCACAAGGAGCACAGGCTGCAACAACATCTGACAAGAGGTGATTGTGGGGTCCAGCCAGTGGTCCTACTTGACCACAAAGCCAGTCAAAATCCCCACCCTATGAAGGAGCCCAGCCAGTAGCCCCGCCTGAATGCAGAGCCCAGCCAACAGCTCATCCTGATCATAGAACCCAGCCAGTGATCCAGCCCGACCATGGAGCACAGCCAGCAGTTCCACCTCAGAGTACGGGCAGTGGCCGCATCAACTAGAGAGTGTGAGCAGCAAGCCACACTTATTCATGAACACTAACAGCCAATCCATCTAGAACCAAAGGTTGGACTGACTGGTGAAGGTCTATCTCTACTGATATGAACCTGTTAAGGCTAGAAGAGGTGGCTGCTGCCTCAAAAGCACAAAAAGAAATGCAAGATACAAGGATTATGAGGTATTAGGAAAATGTTATACCAACAAAGGAAACTAATAAAGCTCCAATGACTGACTCTAAAGAAATGGGAGATCTATAAACAAACTGACAAAGAATTCAGAAGTTCAATGAACTACAAGAAAATACAGATAGACAACTAAACAAAATTAAGAAAACGATACACAAAATTAGTTCCACAAAGAAATAGAAACCATTTTTTAAAAATCCTGCAGATAAAGAATACAGTAACTAAACTGAAAAAAGTTTAGGAAAGTTTCAACAGCAGATTCAATCAAGCAAAAGGAAGAATTAGTGGACTCAAAGACAATTTGAAATTAACCAGTCAAAGGGATAAAAAGAAAACAGAATGCAGAGTGAAAAGAGATATATGGCACTTATGGGACACCATCAAGTGAAACAAAAAAATATTCTCCAGAAACATAAGAGAGTGAGAAAGAGATAAAAAGCTTATTTGTAGAAATAATGACAGCCAGGGCCAGTGGCTCATACCTATAATCCCAGCACTTTGGGAGACCAAGGTTGGAGGATCACTTGTGTCCAGGAGTTCAAAACCAGTCTGAGAATAATATTGAGACCACATCTCTCCAAAAAATAAAAATTTAAGCAGGTTGGTGGCACACACCTGTAGTCCTAGCTACTCAGGAAGCTGAGGTGGGAGGATCACTTCAGCCCAGGAGGTAGAGGCTGCAGTGAGCCAGGATCTTGCCACTGCACTCCAGCCTGAGTGACAGGGCAAGACCCTGTCACAAAGGAAAGGAGAGGAGAGGAGAGGAGAGGAGAGGAGAGGAAAAAATGGAAACTCCCAAATTTTGAGAGAGAAGTGGGCATCAAAATTTGTGACACTAAAAATTTCCCAAATAGGTCGAACCCAAAAGGGTCTACACCAAGACACGTTATAATTAAATTATCAAAAGTCAAAGATAAAGAGAAAATATTGAGAGTAACAAGAGAAAAGCTACTCATTACATACAGGGGAGTATCTAAGAGACAATCGCAAATTGCTTAGGAGAAATCTGGCTAAGAAAGGATGATATATTCAAGATACTGAAAGAAAAAAACTGTCTTAGTCTGTTTTCTGTTGCTATAAGAGAATATGACAGACTGGCTAAATTATATATAACTGAAGTTTATTTGGCTCATGATTTTGGAGGCTGGGAAGTCCTCAGAGCATGGCACCAGTATTTGGTGAATGTCATCTCATGGAAGATGGTGAAAAGCAGAAGCAAACACATGAGACAAAGAGAATACAAGGGCTGAACTTCACCCTTTTGTCAAGAGCCCACTCCCACAAAAACTACCCAACTCCCACGATAATGATATTAATCCATTCATGAGGGCAGAGCACTTATGGCCCAATCACCTCTTAAAAGCCCCACCTCTTAATACTGTTACAATGGCAACTAAATTTCATTAGGAGTTTTGGAGGGGACATTCAAACCACAGAAACTGCCAAACAAGAATAAAAAACTCAGTTGTCCTTCAGAGATAAAAGAGAGATAAAGACTTTCCCAAACAAAAGCTGAGGAAGTTCACCACTAGATCTGCCTTACAAGAAATGCAAAAGGGAGTTCTTCAAGTTGAAATGAAAATATGTTAATTAACAACGTAAAACACATGAATGTGTAAAATTCATCAGTAAAGGAAAATATATAATCAGAGTCAGAATTCTGTAATATTCTAAATGTGGTATATAAATGATTTTCAACTCTGGTATAAAAATGTTTTACGTATATTAAAAATAACTCTATAATAATTTCTTATTAGATATACAATATAAAAATATGTGAATCTTAATATCAATAACCTAAAATATCAATGAGGGGAAGAAGTAAAGCTATAATGCTTTTTATGCAATCAAAATTAAGCTGAAGGCCAGGCTCATGCCTCATATTATAGACTCATGCCTATAATCTCAGCACTTTGGGAGTCCAAGGCAGGCAGACTACTTGAGGCCAGGAGTTCAAGACCAGCCTGACTAATATGGCAAAACCCTGTCTCTACTAAAAATACAAAAAATTTACCAGTTGTGGTGGCACACACCTATAGTCCCATGTACTTGGGAGGCTGAGGCATGAGAATTGCTTAAACCTAGGAGGCAGAGGTTGCAGTTAGCTGAGACTGTACCACTGCACTCCAGCCTAGGCAACAGAGTAAGACTGTCTCAAAAATGTCCCAAATAGGTTGAAACCCTCAAAAAAATTAATCCCCCCAAAATTAAGTTGTTATCAGCATAAAATAGGATATTATAACTATAAGATATTTTATGTAAGCCTCATTGTAACTACAAAGGAAAAACCTGTATTAGATATGCAAAAGATTAAGAGAAAGGAATCAATCATACTACCACAAAAAGTAATCAAATCACAAAGGAAGATGGCAGGTGAGAAAGAAGGAAAGAAAAAAACTATAAAAGTCATAAAACAATTAAAATGACAATAGCAAGTACTTACCTATCAATAATTATATTAAATGTAAACAGATTAAATTTTCCAAACTAAAGACAGAGTGGATAATATATATAAGAAAGCAAGATCCAATGACCTGCTGCCTAAAAGAGATTCATGTTAGCTTTAAGGACACACAGGCTGAAAGGAAAGAGATGGAAAAAGAAATTCTAATGCACAAGATGACCAAAAAAGAACAAGGGTGGCCATACTTACACAGACACACACGCAGACACATTTTTTTATATATATATGTATATGTATATATTTATATATATACATATATGTCAGATAAAATGGACTTAAGTCAAAACTGTAACAAGATAGAAGAATGCCATTATATAATGATACTACTATAAATATGCACCAAACATCAGAGCACATAAATATATAAATCAAATATTAACGTAACTGAAAGGAGAAATAAACAGCAATACAATATTAGTAAGAGACTTTAATACCCACTCTTACTAATGGCCACGTCCCCCAGAAAAAAAAAATCAATGCAGAAATATAAGACTTGAAAAACATTATAAACCAAATGAACCTAACAGACATATACAGAACATTCCATCTAACAGCAGCGGAATACAAATTCTTCTCCAGAGCACATGGAACATTCTCCAAAATAGATCATATGTTAGGCCACAAAACAAGTCTTAACAAATTTAAGAAGACAGAAATTATTTCAAGTATCTTTTCCAATAACAATGGCACAAAACTAGAAACAATAACAAGGAATTTCAGAAAATTCACAAATATGTGGAAATTAAATTGAACAACCAGTGGGTCAAAGAAGAAATCAAAAGGGAATTCAAAAAATATCTGAGACAAACAAAAATGAAAACACAACATATCAAAACTTATGGGATACAACAAAAGCAGTTCTAATTTAAGAAGACAGAAATTATTTCAAGTATCTTTTCCAATAACAATGGCACAAAACTAGAAATCATAACAAGGAATTTCAGAAAATTCACAAATATGTGGAAACTAAACTGAACAACCAGTGGGTCAAAGAAGAAATCAAAAGGGAATTCAAAAAATATCTGAGACAAACAAAAGTGAAAACACAACATACCAAAACTTATGGGATACAACAAAAGCAGTTCTAAGAGGAAAGTTTATAAACACCTACATTAAGAAAATAGAAAGAATTCAAATCAACAACCTAACTTTATACCTTAAAGAACTAGAAAAGAAGAACAGGCCAGGCGCAGTGGCTCACACCTGTAATCCCAGCACTTTAGGAGGCCAAGGCGGGCAGATCATGAGGTCAGGAGATCGAGACCATCCTGGCTAACACGGTGAAACTCCGTCTCTACTAAAAATACAAAAAATTCGGGCATGGTGGCAGGCGCCTGTAGTCCCAGCTGCTCGGGAGGCTTAGGCAGGAGAATGGCATGAACCCGGGAGGCGGAGCATGCAGTGAGCGGAGATCGCGCCACTGCACTCCAGCCTGGGCGACAGAGCGAGACTCCGTCTCAAAAAAAAAAAAAAAAAAAGATTAGAGCAGAATAAATTAAATGGAAAATAGAAAAACAATAGAAAAGAAAAGGTAATAAAACTGAGGGGTTTTTTGAAAAAAATTAAAAATTGACAAACCCTTAGCTAGACAAACCAAGAAAGAAGAACTCCAACAAATAAAATTATAGTTAAAAGGAGACATTACAAATGATGCCACAGAAATAAAAAAGATCATGAGAGCCTATTATCTGTAATTAAATACCGACAAACTGGGGTAGATAAGAGAAATGGATAAATTCCCAGAAACATATGATCTATTGAGATTGAGTCATGAAGAAATAGAAAATATAAACATATCATTCACAAGTAAGGTGATTAAATCAGTAATCAAAAAAGCTCCGAAAAAACATGCCCATGACCAAATGCTTTCACTGGTGAATTCTGCTAAACATTTAAAGAAGGTTAATATCAATCCTGCTCAAACCAAAAAATTGAAGAGGAAAGAATAATTCAAACTCATTGTGCAAGGCCAGCATTACTCTAATACCAAAGCCAGATAAGGACATTACAAGAAAAGAAAATTACAGGCCAATATATCTGATAAACATAGATGCACAAGTCCTTAACAAAATTTTAGCAAACCAAATTTAACAGCACATTAAAAGGAACATACACCACAAACAAGTGGAATTTATACCTGGAATGAAAGGATAGTTCAACATTTGCAAATCAATAAATATAATACACCATATTAACATAATCGAGGACAAAAACCATATGTTCATCTCAGTAGATGCAGAAAAAGCATTTGATGAAATTCATCATCCTTTCATGATAAAACTCTCAGCAAATTAGATATAGAAGAAATGTACCTTAACATAATGAAGGCTATACATGGTCATAATAAAGTCCACAGCTAACATTATGCTCAATGTTGAAAAGCTGAAAGCTTTTCCTTTAAAATAAGGAACAAAACAAGAATGTCCACCCTCACCACTCTATTCAGTATGGCACTGGAAATGCTTGCCAGTGAAATTAGGGAAAAATAAATTAATAAAAGGAGCCTAATAGGAAAGAAAGAAGTAAAATTGCCTGTTTACAGATGACACTATCTTATACATCGAAAATCCTAAAAACTTCATTTAAAAAATGTTAGAATTAATAAATAAATGCAGTCAAGTTGCTGGATACAAAATCAACATTAAAAATCAGTTGTATTTCTATAAATTAACAATGAACTATCTTTAAAACTCAATGTATAGGCCGGGCATGGTGGCTCTCACCTGTAATTCCAGCTCTTTGGGAGGCTGAGGCGGGTGGATCACCTGAGGTCAGGAGTTCGAGACCAGCCTGGCCAATATGGCAAAACCCCATCTCTACTAAAAATAGAAAACATTAGCTGGGCATTGTGGTGGGTGCCTGTAATCCCAGCTACTTGGGAGGCTGAGGCAGGAGAATTGCTTGAACCTGGGAGGCAGAGGTTGCAGTGAGCCGAGATCACGCCATTGTACTCCAGCCTGGGAGACAGAGTGAGACTCTGTCTCAAAAAAAAAAAAAAAAAGTCCGTTTATAATAGCATCAAAAATAATAAAATACTTGTGAATACATTTCACCAAGGAGGCGAAAGATCTATATACTGAAAAACTACAAAATTCATGAAAGAAATTAAAGAAGACAAAAATAAACAGCAAAATATTTGTGCTCATGGATAAGAAGAATTAATATTATTAAAATGTCATACTACTCAAAGCAATTTACAGATTCAATGCAATTCTTATCAAAATGCCAATGACAATCTTCACAGAAATAGAAAAAATAATCTTAAAACTCTTATGGAAAGACCCAGAATAGCTAAAGCAATCTCAAGAAAGAACAAAGCTAGACACCCTATACTTCCTGATTTCAAAGTATATTACAAAGCTATAGAAGTTAAAACTTATGGCACTTGCATAAAAACAGACATATAAACTAGTGGAATCAAGTAGAGGGCCAAGAAATAAACTCATATGTGTATGATCAACTAATATCTGACAAGCGTGACAAGAAAAGACAGTGAGATAAAGGATAGTGTCTTCAAAAAATGGTGTTGAGAATACTGGATACTCACATGCAAAAGACTGAAACTAGGTCCTTACTTTATACACAAAGATCAACTCAAAGTAGATTAGAAACCTGAATATAAGACCTGGAACCTTAAAACATTTTTAGAAGAAAATACAGGGGGAAAGTTCCTCAAGATTGGTTATGGCAACAATTTGTTTGATATGACACCAAAAGCAACAGCAGCAAAAAAAAAAAAAGAAAAGAAAAGAAAAAATAAGTGTTACTCTAGCAAACTAAAAAGTTTCTGAACAGCAAAGGAAACAATCAACAGAGTGAAAATGCAACCTACAGAATGGTCAAAAATATTTGAAAACCATATGCCTGATAAAGGGTTAATATCTAAAATATATAAGGAACTCATACGGCTAAATTGCAAAATCAAAAACAAAAACAAAAATCTTGATTTAGAAAATGGGCAAAGGACCTAAATAGATATTTTCTCCAAAAAAAGACATAGAAATAAGCTAACAGGCACATGAAATTGTGCTCAAAATTACTTATCAGGGACGTACAAATCAAAACCACAATGAGACATAATTTCGCATCTGTTTGGATGGCTTTTAACAAAAAGATCAGTGTTGGCAAAGATGTGAATTAAAGGAAATCCTTGTATGCTATTAGTGGGAATGTAATTGATATAGCCATATGGAAAACAGTATGTTGGTTCTTCAAAAAACTAAAACTAGAACTACCATATGATCCAGCAATCTCATTTCTAGGTATACAGCCAATGAAAATTAATCAGTAGCTCAAAGACATGTCTGCACTTCCATGTTCATTGCAGCATTATTCACAGAAACCAAGACACCAAAACAACCTAAGTGCCTGTCAACAGATGAATGGAAAAAGAAATTGTGGTATGTGTATACGACGGAATATTATTCAGCCATAAAAAAGGAAGAAACCCTGTATTTGCAACAACATGGATAAACCTTGATGGCATTATGCTAAATAAAAGTCAAACAGAGAAATACAAATACTGTATAATCTCACATATATGTGGAACCTAAAAAAGTCAAACTTATAGAAACAAAATAAAATGGTGGTTAGCAGGGGTTAGGAAGTCAGGGAAATGGGGCACATTGGTCAAAGGCAACACAGACTATAATTAACAATACTACATTGTGTATCTGAAATTTGCCAAGAGAGTAGATATTAAACGTTCTCACCACAAAAAAAATGATAACTAGGTAAAGTAATAGATATGTTAACTGACTTTATTGTGGTCTTTTCACAATATATACATACATCAAATCATCACATTGTACACCTTAAATTCACACAATTTTATTTGTCAATTATATCTCAATACAGCTGAAAAAAATAAAAATAAATCCCAAGACAGCAATGTACATGTTATTTAAATAAACAGTTTTAAAGTCTTTGTCTCACTTAAATTAACACTTTGTTAATTTATTTTTTATTGCTTATTTTCTTACTCCCTGCCCATCCCTTGTCTCCACTAAATGTAAGCTGCTTTATGACAGGTGTTTACATCTGTCTTGTTTTCATTGTATCCCCAACATATAACAACATAGTAGTGGGTAGTTACTGCTCTAATAAGTATTTGTTAGGTAACTAACAGCTATTACTTGAGTAAAGGGAGGTATGAATACTCAAGAAGAGTAGCAAAATCTGGGCTGTCATCATCTTGATTTTCATCCCTACAACAAGACTTGCTAGATGTATTTTTGTGTTCAAGGAAAACACCCCCTGGGATACTGATGATCCATCCCCTTCCTCTCCCATGGCCTCACCTTTTTTGAAAGTCTTCCAGGTTTGGTGATGGGATGGTAACAATTTGAAACTCGAGGGAGCATCCATGGTCCACAGAGGCCTCCCCTGACACACTCACTTCTATACCAACATTCACACCCATGTCAGCCTTATGCTTCTGGATCATAATGTCACTGAAGTGGAACGGTCCTGTCACAACAGTTTCTGGGGAAAGAAAAGACGACCATAGGTTTAGCCAAGAATTCATTCAAGAATTCAAAGGTTTAGCCAAGAACAGCTGGTGTGCAAAATGAAATAACAAAGACCTATTTTGCCCCAATCCTCCCACTCACTTAAACTCTGTTGAAAACTAATCCATTAATGTTTGAATGTAAATTACTACAGATGGAAAATATTCAAATATTTAAATGGGCATTGTGTGACAGAGATAAAATCTGCACCCTGAGAAATAGTGGTGTCAAATGTACAGTGTCCAGAAGACCCCTGGGATCATCCTTTCAGGCACACTGTCTCCTCTGCAGCAGGCACAGCACCCAGCAGCAGAGGGCAGCACACAGGGGCAGAAAATGTTTGGGATGTGGAGCCAGACAGACCTGGGTTTGGATCCCAGTTCTACTAGTTCCCAGGGACATAACTGTTTTTTTGTTTGGTTTTTGCTGTTGTTGTTGTTGTTGTTGTTTTTGTTGTTGTTGTTGTTTTGAGACAGTCTCACTCTGTCATCCAGGCTGGAGTGCATTGGTGCAATCCCAGCTCACTGCAACCTCCGCCTTCTGGGCTCAAGCAATTATTGAGCCTCAGCCTCCCGAGTAGCTGGGACTACAAGAGTGCACCACCCATGCCTGGATAATTTTTTTTTTTTTGTATTTTTAATAGAGACAGGGTTTCAGCATGTTGGCCAGACTGGTCTCGAACTCCTGGCCTCAAGTGATCTGCCCGCCTCGGTCTCCCAAAGCACTGGGATTATAGGCATGAGCCACAGTGCCCAGCCCCCAGGTACATAACTTTGAACAGATAATTTTATAACCTTCTATTTACTCTTATGTAAAATGGGGATAATATCCTCACCTCATGAGCCTGATACAAATATTAAATGACCTAATGAATGCCTACATCCAGATAATTGGTAGGATTCTCAATTTGTCTTCGTTTCTTGCCCCTTGCCTATAGGCAAGGCTAATCCTGAGAGCTCCTTTCTGTGTGCTCAGTTATCTTTGGATGGTGGGCCATCTTTTTCTGACCACACATGTTTTTCACCCCTCACCTCCTTGGCCTCTGGCTGACAATACCTAGGACTGAAGAACTTGGCTCCAGGATGTCATTGAGGGAGAATTCAACTGGAACATAGTCAGATTGTTCCCAAAATGATGAACGAGAATCCTTCTTCTTTCGTAATATAACAAACTGACGTAATTTGGTGGCACTCAATAGGTATTTGACAGGTGTCAGGTCTTTGCTTCCAATCTCTTTGACCAAATTTTTGCTAATGCGTTCCAACATGGAGGGCATGTTGCTAGGAGGAGATGAAAGGAGAGCATCAGTTGGGAGAGGAAGAAAATGGTTAAACTCTCACCAATTATTGATATTTCCCCTAAAGGAAAAGATCTACATATGAGATTAGCAGGTCTTTACTTAAAATAGTGACTAGATTATAACTTTCTCAACTTTGAGTTCATTTTTTTGTTGTTTTTGAGACAGGGTCTTGCCATGTTGCCCAGACTGGTCTTGAACTCTTGGGCTCAAGTGATTCTCCGCCTCAGCCTACCTAGCATCTGGGATTATAGGCACACACCATCACACCTGGCTTCCAACTTTGGAATTCTTAAGACAATTTGGGCTTCTGACAGGCACTGCTGTAAAATTCATTGCCCCTTATTGTTGGAGTAGGAAAGCCTGGGTATCTCCTCACCTCTAACCCAGGGATACTGTAAATAACAGGAAGAAGGAAGGGCTCAATACTGTCATCAACTAAAGGGCCAGAGGGAAGGCGGGGCTTATGTTAAGATGATATGAGTAGTGGTAGAGAACATGTTGGTGTTTGCAGTTTTACAGTGAAAGCCACACTGAGAAGTGACATTTGAACAATAATGTAGAGGAGGCAGGGCATAAACAATGAACATTATGTGGAGAAAAGAATTCCAGGTACAGAAATCAGCAAGTGCAAAGATTTGGAAGCAATGGATGCCTGGAATATGTGAGGTGGAAAGGAAAGAAGATGAGGTCAGAAGAAAGTGAGGGCAAGTTGGTGAAGGCCCAAGATTGCAGTGTTGGATGCATATATGTCTTCTTCATTCAATAAATGGTGCTGGGATACCTGGCTAGCCATAAGCAGAAGAGTGAAAATGGACCATTTCCTTACACCATATTCAAAAATCAACTCAAGACGAATAAAAGACTGAAATGTAAAACCCGAAACTATAAAAATAAAACACTAGAAGACAATCTAGGCAATACCATTCTGGACATAGGAACTGGCAAAGATTTCATGATGATGCCAAAAGCAATTGCAATAAAAGCAAAAATTGATAAATGAGATCTAATTAAACTTAAGAGCTTCTGCACAGCAAAAGAAGCTATGAACAGAGTGAACAGGTAACCTACAGAATGGGAGAAAATTTTTGCAAACTACGAATCTGACAAAGGTCTAATATCCAGCATCTATAAGGAACTTGAGCCAATTTACAAGAAAAAAAAAAAAACATTAAGAAGTGGGCAAACGACATGAAGAGGCAGCTTTCAAAAGAAGACATACATGTGGCCAACAATCGTATAAAAAAAAAAGCTCAACACCACTGATCATTAGAGAAACACAAATCAAAACCACAATGAGATATCATCTCACACAAGTCTGAATAGCTATTATTAAAAAGTCAAAAAATAACAGATGCTGGCAAGGTTGTGGAGAAAAAGGAATGCTTATACACTGTTGATGGGAATGTAAATTAGTTCAACCACTGTGAAAAACAGTTTGGTGATTCCTCAAAGTCCTAAAGACAGAAATACCATCTGACCCAGCAAGCTCATTACTGGGTATATACCCAAAGGAACAGATATCATTTTATAATAAAGACACATGCATGCATATGTTCATTGCAGCACTATTCACAATAGCAAAGACATGGAATAAACCTAAATGCCCATCAACTATGGACTAGATAAAGAAAACGCGGTACATATACCTCATGGAATACTATGTAGCCAAAAAAAGAACAAGATCAAGAACAGCTCCCAATGGAGCTGGCAGCCATTACACTTAGTAAACTAACACAGAAATAGAAAACCAAATACCACATGTTTTCACTTATAAGTGGGAGCTAAATGATGAGAACACATAGACTCATGGAGGGGACCAACACACACTGGGGCCTACTGGAAGGTAGAGCATGGAGGGTGGGAGGAGGGAGATGATCAGGAAAAATAACGAATGGTTACTAGGCTTAATAACTGGGTGATAAAATAATTTATGCAACAAACTCCCATGGCACAAGTTTACCTACATAACAAACCTACACATGTACCCCTGAACTTAAAATAAAAGTATAAAAAAGAAAATATATATATAATTAAAAAAAAGAAAGAAAATGTAAGTCACCAGTCCAGGAAGCCTATAAGGAAAATTATTTTTAAATTCTGTAATAAAATGTAATTTTGAATTTAAAAACAGACGATTCAGGAAAACATCACCTTACCAAATGGACTAAGTAAGGCACCAGGGACCAATCCCAGAGAGACAGAAATATGTAATCATTCAAACAAAGAATTCAAAATAGCTGTTTTGAGGACACTCAAAGGAATTCAAGATAACACATAAAAGGAACTCAGAATTCTATCAGATAAATTTTTTAAGGAAATTGAAATAATTAAAAAGAAGCAGAAATTCTGGAGTTGAAAAATACATTGACCTACAGAAGAATGCATCAGCATCTCTTAATAACAGAATTGATCAAACAGAAGGAAGAATCAGTGATCTTGAAAGCAGGCTATTTGAAAATATACAGTCAAAGGAGACAAAAGAAAAAAGAATGAAGCATGCTACAAGATGTAGAAAATAGCCTCAAAAGGGCAATAGAAAATAGCCTCAAAAGGGCAAATCTAGGAGTTACTGGCCTTAAAGAGAAGATTGAGAAACAGATAGGTGTAGAAAGTTTATGCAAAGGGAGAACTTCCCAAAGCTAGAGTAAGATACCAATATTCAAGTACAAGGTACAAGAAGATAATAGAACACCCAGCAGATTTAAGCCAAAGAAGACTACCTCAGGCATTTGATAATCAAACTCCCAAATATCAAGTATAAAGTAAGAATCCTAAAGTGGCAAAAGAAAAGAAAAAATAACAAACAATAAAATTCCAATACGTCTAGTAGCAGACTTTTCACTGGAAACCTTACAGGCCAAGAGACAGTGGCATGACATATTTAATGTGCTGAAGGGAAAAAAACTTTTACCCTAGAATAATATATCTGGCAAAAAAAATATGCTTCAAGGATGAAGGAGAAATAAAGACCTTCCCAAACAAAAACTGAGAGATTTCATCAACACCAAACCTGTCTTACGAGAAATACTAAAGGGAGTTGTTCTATCTGAAAGAAAATGATGTTAATGAGCAAGAAGAAATCATCTGAAGGTACAAAACTCAATGGTAGTAGGAAGCACACAGAAAAACACAGAATATTATAACACTGTAATTGTGGTGTGTAAACTACTCTTACCTTAAGTAGAAAGGCCAAACGATAAACCAATCAAAAGCAACTACAACTTTCAAGACATAGTACCACAGGACATAAAGACAAACAACAAACAGATAAAAAGCAGAAGACAAAGTTAGAATGTAGAGTTTTTATTAGTTTTCTGTTTGTGTTTGTTTGTTTATGCAATCACTGTTGTCATCTATTTAAAATAATGAGTTTTAAGATAGCATTTGCAAGCCTCATAGTAATTTCAAATCTAAAAACATACAATGAATAAGCAAAAAATGAAAAGCAAGAAATTGAAATATACCATCAGTGAAGATTACCTTCACTAAAAGGAAGAAGAAAAAGAAGAAACAGAAGATCACAAAACAACCAGAAAACAAAAAATAAAATACCAAAAGTACTCACTTATTAGTAATAACATTAAATGTAAATGAACTAAACTGTCCAATCTAAAGACATAGAGTGGTTGAATTAATTAAAAAAACAAGACCCAATGATCTGTTACCTACAAGAAACACACTTCTCCTATAAAGATAAACATGGAATAAAAACACAGGAATGGAAAATATATTCGTGTCAATGAAAACCAAAAAAGAGCAGGAATAGCTATACTTGTATCAGACAAAATAGATTTAGATTCAGATTAGAGCTAAAGAGATAGACCCCAATGCAATAATAGCTAGAGACTTCAGGCGAGACGCGATGGCTCACGCCTGTAATCCCAGCATTTTTGGAGGCCGAGACGGGCAGATCACGAGGTCAGGAGATCGAGACCGTCCTGGCTAACACGGTGAAACCCTGTCTCTATTAAAAACACAAAAAAATTAGCCAGGCGTGGTGGTGGGCACCTGTAGTCCCAGTTACTCAGGAGGCTGAGGCAGGAGAATGGCGTGAACCCAGGAGGTGGAGCTTGCAGTGGGCCGAGCGGAGATCGCGCCACTGCACTCCAGCCTGGGTGACAGAGCGAGACTCCATCTCAAAAAAAAAAAAAAAATAGCTAGAGACTTCAACATCTCACTTTCAGCATTGGACAGATCTCCCAGACAGAAAATCAACAAGGAAACTTTGGACTCAGTCTGTACTATAGAACAAATGAACCTAATAGGTATTTACAGAACATTTTATCCAATGGATGCAGAATACACATTTTTCTCCTCATCACATGGATCATTCTCAAGCGTAGACCATATTTTAGGTCACAGAACCAGTCTTAAAACACTCAAAAAGTTGAAATAATATAACGTATCTTCTCTGAACAAAATGGAATAAAACTATAAATCAATAACGAGAGCAATTTTAGAAATTATACAAACACATGGAAATTAAACAATATGCTCCTGAATGACCAATGGGTCAATGAAGAAATTGATGAGGAAATTGAAACATTTCTTGACACAAATGATAATGCAAACATACCAAAACCCATGGGATACAGCAAAAGCAGTACAAAGAGGGAAATTTATAGCTATAAGTGTCTACATCAAAACAGAAGAAAAACTTCAAATAAATAACCTAATGATGCATTTTAAAGAACTAGAAAACCAAGAGCAGCCCAAACCCAAAATTAGTAGAAAATAATAAACAATAATGATCAGAGCAGAAATAAATGAAGTTAAAATTAAGAAAACAATACAAAAGATGAATGAAATGAAAGTTGCTTTGTTGAAAAGATAAACAAAATAGACAAATCTTTAGCCAGACTAAGAAAAAAGAGAGAAGGCCCAAATAAATAAAATCACAGATGAAAAAGAAAACATTACAACTGATATTGCAGGAATTCAAAGGATTATTGGCAGCTACTATGAGCAACTATACACCAATAAATTGGAAAATCTAGAGGAAATGGATAAATTCCCAGAAACATACAACCTACCAAGATTGAACCTTGAAGAAATCCAAAACCTGTACAGATCAATAACAAGTAATGAGATCAAGGCTGTAATAAAAAGTCTCCCAGTAAATAAAAGCCTGGGACCCAGTGAATTCAATGCTGAATTCTACCAAACATTTAAAGAAGAACTAATACCAATCCTATTCAAACTATGTTTAAAAATAGACAAAGAGGGGATACTTCCAAACTCATTCTATGAGGCCAATATTACCCTAATAAAAAACAAGACAAAGAAACTTAAAAAAAAAAAACTACAAGCCAATATTTCTGATGAATATTGATGGAAACATCCTCGACAAAATACTAGGAAACCAAATTCAACAATACATTAAAAATATCATTTATCATGACCAAGTGGGATTTATCCCAGGGATGCAAGGATGGTACAACACGCACAAATCAATCAATGTGATACATTATAGCAAGAAAATGAAAGACAAAAACCACGTGATCATTTCCATTAATGCTGAAAAAGCACTTGATAAAACTCAATATCCCTTGATGATAAAACCCCTCAAAAAACTGGGTATAGAAGGAAGATAACTCAACATAATAAAAAGCCATATATTACAGACTCACTCAATGGGGGAAAAGAGAAAAACATAAAGGGCATCCAAATTGGAAAGGAAGAAGTCAAATTGTCCTTGTTTGTGGATGATGTGGTCTTATATATGGAACAAACTGAAGATTCCAACAACAAAAAACTATTAGAAGTTATAAATTTATTAAAGTTGCAGGATACAAAATCAACATCCAAAAATCAGTAGCACTTCTATATGCCAACAGAGAAGAATCTGAAAAAGAAATCAAGAAAGTAATTCCATTTACAAGAGCTACAAATAAAATTAAATTCTTAGGAATTAATTTAACTGAAGAAGTAAAAAATCTCTTCAATGAAAACTATAAAACATTGATGAAAGAAACTGAAGAGGACACAAAAAATGGAAAGATATTCCATGTTCATAGATTGGAAGAATCAATATTGTTAAAATGTCCATACTATCCAAAGCAATCTTCAGATTCTATGCAAATTATATCAAAATATCAATGACATTCTTCACAGAAAGAGAAAAAACAATCCTAAAATTTATATGGAAACACAAAAGACCCAGAATAACAAAATCTATCCTGAGCAAAAAGAGCAAAACTCAAGGAATCATATTATCTGACATCAAATTATACTACAGAGCTACAGTAACCAAAACAGCATGGTACTGGCATGAAAACAGACACACAGACCAAAGGAAAAAAATCGAGAACCCAGAAACAAATCCATATACCTACAGTGAGCTCATTTTTTACCAAGGTGCCAAGAACATACATTAGAGAAAGGACAGTCTCTTCAATAAATGGTGCTGGGAAACCTGGATATTCATATGCAGGAGACTGAAACTAGACCACTCTCTCTCATCATGTACAAAAATAAAATCAAAATAGATTATAGACTTCAATGTAAAGCCTCAAACTGTGAAACTACTACAGGAAAACACTGGGGAAACTCTCCAGGACATTGGTCTAGGCAAAAATTTCTTAAGTAATACACCACCAGCACAGGCAACCAAAGCAAAAATAGACAAATTGGATCTCATCAAGTTACAAAGCTTCCCTCCAGCAAAGGAAAAGATCAACAACAGAAAAAGAGAACCCACAGAATGGGAGAAAATATTTGCAAACTTCCCATCTGATAAGGGAATAATAACCAGAAAATATAAGGAGCCCACACAACTCTATAGGAAAAAAATCTAATAATCAGATTAAAATATGGGCAAAAGAGTTGAATAAACATTTCTCAGAGGAATACATACAAATGAAAAAAAGGCATATGAAAAGGTCCTCAACATTATTAGTTATCAGAAAAATGTAAATCAAAACTACAATGAGATATCATCTCACCCCTGTTAAAATGGCTTATATCTAAAAGACAAGTAATAAAAAATGCTGGAGAGAAGGTAGAGAAAAGGGAAACTTGTACCCTGTTTGTGGGAATGTAAATTAGTACAGCCACTATGGAGAACAGTTTGGACCTTCCTCAAAAAGCTAAAAATAGAGCTGCCATACAACCCAGCAACCTCTCTGCTGGGTGTACACCCAAAAGAAAGAAAACCAGTATATTGAAGAGATATCTTCACTCCCATGTTTGTTGCAGCACTGTTCACAATAGCCAAGATTGGGAAGCAATGCAAGTGTCCATCAACAAATGAACAGGTAAACAAAATGTGGTACATATACATAACAGAGTACTACTCAGCCATAAAAAAGAATGAGATTGGCTGGGTGCGGTGGCTCATGCCTGTAATCCCAGCACTTTGGGAGGCTGAGGCGGGTGGATCAACTGAGGTCAGGAGTTCAAGACCAGCCTGACCAACATGGAGAAACCCCGCTCTACTAAAAATACAAAATTAGCCAGGCATGGTAGCGCATGACTGTAATCCCAGCTACTTGGGAGGCTGAGGCAGGAGAATCACTTGAACCCAGGAGGCGGAGGTTGCAGTGAGTCGAGATTGCACTGTTGCACTCCAGCCTGGGCAACAAGAGCAAAACTCCGTGTCAAAAAAAAATGAGATCCTGTCATTCGCAACAACATAGAGGGGACTAGAGGTCATTAAGTGAAATAAGCCAGGCACAGAAAGACAAACTTTACAATGTTCTCACTTATTTATGAAAGCTAAAAATTAAGACAATTGAAGTTATGGAGATAGAGTAAAATGATGGTTACCAGAGGCTGGGAAAGATATTAGGGGGTGGGAGGGAGGTGGGGATGGTAAATGAGCACAAAAAAAATAGTTAGACTGAATAAGATCTAGTATTTCTGAATAAGATCTAGTATTCGATAGCACAACAGGGTGACTATAGTCAATAATTGTACAGTTAGAAATAACTAAAACAGTATAATTGTATTGTTACAATTAAGAGTATAATTGTATTGTTACAATTATAACAAATAGGAATAGGACTTCCTAACTACATGGAATTCAGTTTTTGAACTTTCTAAATATGTTCAATAATGAAGAGAGACAGAATTTTCAACAGTTCATGTAAAATTCCTGATGTGACCATTTCAATTCTCTGATATGGGCCATGTAAGAGGTCACTGGACAAGCAGAGAATAATGAGAATATAAGATGCTTCTTTAAGACTGGACCTGTGCAATAATGTATCGAAGATATATTCCTTAGCCTTACATGCTATCAGGAATTCTCCATTATTAAGACGAACTTAACTTCCTTTTCAGTCAAATTCTGTAGGAAAAAAAACTCTTCGACTCATTTCACAAACCCATCCAGAACATTTTTGTCGCTGATGATAGTAATCTTTTCTTTTTCATCCCCTGATCCCATTAGGACTTACCAGATTATATATCCCTTTGTCCTGTAGAGAAATAGCAGGATTGGCCGGGCACGGTGGCTCACGTCTGTAATCCCAGCACTTTGGGAGGCTGAGGCCGGTGGATCACGAGGTCAGGAGTTCAAGATCAGCCAGGCCAAGATGGTGAAACCCTGTCTCTACTGAAAATACAAAAATTAGCCAGGAATGGTGGCAGGCACCTGTAATCCCAGCTACTTGGGAGGCTGAGGCAGAGAACTGCTTGAACCCGGGAGGCAGAGGTTGCAGTGAGCTGAGACCATGCCGCTGCACTCCAGCCTGGGCAACTCCGTCTCAAAAAAAAAAAAAAGAGAGAAAAATAGCACAATTGAGTAGGGCCCCTTCCAATCTTCAGACCTCCTGCGGTCAAGTAGAAATTGTCAGACAAACTCCAGGACCAGATCAATGTGATTCTGTTCACTGTTCTCTTCTCACCAATGGGTCCCTGACTCAATTTCCAATGCAGTATCCTGGAAAAATAAGCACAGGAGGGCCCTGTTCATTTCCAGAAGAGTAAGTCTGGAACTAGTTCTGGATCACAGAACCTTAGCTCTCAAGTCCTCAGCAAAAAGTCTGTGGAACAAAATCAAGTGGCATCTAATTATGTATCTCCTGAATCAGAATTAAAAAGGCTTCCTCAGAGTCACACCCATTTCCTTTCACATACAGAACTAGCTGAGCAAGTCTTTGATTCATGGATTCCCAGCAACTCTAGCTGGAACAACTTCTTTGGCTCGTATTCCTCTGGTATATGTGCTGAATTTAGAATTCAATCACTGGACACCAGGAAAGGCAACTTCAGCAGGAGGGACAGGCACTAGCGCCAGGGCCCTGGGAAGCACCTCTGAACTGCCTACATGTGGGGCTCTGTACAACAGGAATTACTGTGCTTAATGCCTCCTCTGTGTTAAGCACCATGCATGTATTATCTAAATCCAATCTTACAACAATCTTTATTTTAAATATAAATAAAAAGGGGATTTGTGAAAGGAATTAAAAACTTGCCTGAAACCCATGTCCTTTCCAATTACTCCCTATGGGTTTCAAGATGAAGTAAAGTGCCTATAGGAGCAGAAACTGTATAAACAGGATTGCTACACCTTTAAGTTTTGAGTAACTTCCTGGAACTGACACTCAATACAGCAACATTCCTTTCAGCTGACAGTATTTCACAATGCATTTACTTTACTTTTGTTTTCTTTTAATATTCATAAAAGTCTTATGCCTTCCCTTTCCACTGTAAGAACCTGATATGCACTTCACTTGGGACAAAGCTCAGACTGTGCTTTCTGCATATCACCACCAGACACGATGTTCCAAATTAACTTTCACGTTCTATAATTTCCATTGTAAAAACTATAGACTTGAAATATAAAATTATAATTACATACATAACCCTTCTGTGTACCAACATTCTATAGGCCCCAACCTGCTATTGGGTATTCCAGAAGTCGGAGAAAAGTAACTTAGCTGTTTGGGAACAGTTATGTGAGTCACACCAACCTAAATAACAGATAAAGAAAAGCTCTCTAAAAGACAGTGATATTTATTCAAGAATGAGCATTGCAATGGGAATATGCGTGCCATCACAAACTATGTGTGTATTCAGACAGGTAAGGGAAGAAAAAAGTTTTAAAAAGAAAAATAAGAAGGATTACACAATTGTTTTGAATCAATTCTTTGCTTACAAGGATCAGTAACAAAGGTGGCACCAGTCCAAGGTTAGACAGGCAGTTGGTGGACAGATGTCCTGGCAGAAGTATTTTTTGTTTAAGGTTGCAATAGCCTTTGTGCAAAGCTGTAGTTTTTAGTTTTGTTTTGTCTTTAATTTTTATGGGTACATAGATGTATATATTTATTTATGGGATATATGGGATATTTTAATACAGGCATACAATGTATAATAATCACACCAGGGTAAATGAGGTATCTATCATCTCAGATATTTATTTTTTGTGTTAAAATATTATACTCTTTTAGTTATTTTTAAATGTACAATTAAATTATTATTGACTATAGTCAATAATATATTGTGCTATCAGACATTAGATCTTATTCCTTCTAAATCTTTTTGTACTCATTAACCATTCCCCCTACCCCTGCACACCCACCCCACTACCCTTCCTAGCGTCTGGTAACCATCATTCTATTCTCTATCTCCGTAAGTTCAGTTGTTTTAATTTTTAGCTTTCACAAATAAGAGAGAACATGTAAAGTTTGTCTTTCTGTGCTTGGCTTATTTCACTTAACATAATGACCTCCAGTTCCATCTATGTTGTTGCAAATGACAGGATCTCATTCTTTTTATGGCTGAATAGTACTCCATTATGTATACGTACCATTTTTTTTATTCATTCATTTGTTGATGGACACTTGGATTGCTTCTAAATCTTGGCTATTGTGAGTGGAACTGCAATAAACATGGGAGTGCAGATATCTCTTCAATATATTGATTTCCTATTTTGGAGGTATATACTTAACAGTGGGTTTGCTGGATCATACGATAGTTCTATTTTCAGTTTTTCTGAGGAAGGCCCAAACTGTTCTCCATAGTAGTTGTACTAATTTACATTCCCACAAACAGTGTCCAAGGGTCCCCTTTTCTCCACATCCTCTCCAGCCTGTTATTGCCTGTCTTTTGGGTAAAATCCATTTTAACAGATGTGAGATGATATCTCATTGTAGTTTTGAATGGTGTTTCTCTGATGATCAATAATGTCGAGCACATTTTCATATGCGTGTTTGCCATTTGTATGTCGTCTTTCAAGAAATGTCTATTTAGAACTTTTGCCCATATTTTAATTAGTTTATTAGATTTTTTCCTGTATAATTGTTTGAGCTCCTTGTGTGTTCTGCTTACAAATCCTTTGTCAGATGCTTAGTTTGCAAATATTTTCTCCCATTCTTTGGGTTTTCTTCTTCTGTTGTTGATTGTTCTTTGCTGGAAGGAAGCTTTTTACTTTGATATGGTTGCATTTGTCCATTTTTGTTTTGGCTGCCTGTGCTTGTGGGGTATTACTCAAGAAATGTTTGCCCATTCCAATGTCCTGGAGAGTTTCCCCAATGTTTTATTGTAGTAGTTTCATAATTTGAGTCCTTAGATTCAATTATTTAATCTATTTTAATTTAGTTCTTGTATATAGTGAGAGATAAGGGTCTAGTTTCAGTCTTCTACGTGTGGATATCTAGTTTTTGCAACACCATTTATTGAAGAGACTGTCTTTTCCCCAATGTATAGTCTTGGCACCTTTGTAAAAAATGAGTTCACTGTAGGTGTATGGATTTGTTTCTGGGTTCTCTATTCTTTTTTCATTGGTCTATGTGTCTGTTTTTATGACTATACCATGCTCTTTTGGTTACTATAGCTCTGTAGTATAATTTGAAGTCAAGTAATGTGATTCCTTGAGTTGTGTTCTTTTTGTTCAGGATAGTTTTGGTTATTCTGGGCCTTTTGTGTTTCCATATAAATTTTAGGATTGATTTTTCTCTTTCTGTGAAGGATGTCATTGGTAGTTTGATAGAGATTGTATAGAATCTGAAGATTGCTTTGGGTAGTATAGACATTTTAACAATATTGATTCTTCCAATCTATGAACATGGAATATCTTTCCATTTTTTGTGTCCTCTTCAGTTTCTTTCATCAATGTTTTATAGTTTTCATTGAAGAGATTTTTCACTTCTTCAGTTAAATTAATTCCTAAGAATTTAATTTCATTTGTAGCTCTTGTAAATGGGATTACTTTCTTGATTTCTTTTTCAGATTCTTCTCTGTTGGCATATAGAAGTGCTACTGATTTTTGGATGTTGATTTTTTATCTGGCAACTTTAATTTATTTATCACTTCTAATAGTGTTTTATGTTGGAATCTTTAGGTTTTTCCATATATAAGACCACATCATCCACAAACAAGGATAATTTGACTTTTCCTTTCCAATTTGGTTGCCCTTTACTTTTTTCTCTTGTCTAATTGCTCTAGCTAGGAGTTCCAGTAGTATGTTGAATAACAGTGGTAAAAGTGTACATCCTTCTTGTGTTCTTGATCTTAGAGAAAAGGCTTTCAGTTTTTCCCCATTCAGTATAATACTAGGTATGAGTCTGTAGTATATGGCTTTTATTGTGTTGAAGTACATTTCTTCTACATCCAGTTTTTTAGAATTTTTATCATGAAGGGATATTGAACTTATTTATTCAAATGGTTTTTCAATACCAATTGAAATGATTATGTGGTTTTTGTCCTTTATTCTATTGATATGATGTATCACATTGATTGATTTGTGTACGTTGAACCATCCTTACATCCCTAGGATAAATCCCACTTGGTCTTGATGAATGATCTTTTTAAGGTGTTATTGAATTCAGTTTGCTCATGTTTTGTTGATGTTTCCATCAATATTCATCAAAGCTGTTGGCTTGTAGTTTTTTTTTTTTTTTTTGATGAATCTTTGTCTGATTTTGGTATCAGGGTATTACTGGCCTCATAGAATAGGTTTCGACATATTCCCACCTCCTCTATTTTTTGAAATAGTTTGAAAGAATTAATATTAATTTGAAAAAAAAATCAGGAGGGAAGTTGATGGGTCCTGGGCTTTTGTTGCTGAGAGACTTTTTATTATAGCTTTGATCACATTACTTATTATTGGCCTACTCAAGTTTTGGGTTTCTTCCTGGTTCAATCTTGCTAGGTTGTATGTGTCTAGGAATGTATCAATTGCCTCTAGGTTTTCCAACTTATTGGCATATAGTTGCTCATAGTAGCCTCTAATGATCCTTTGAATTTCTGTGGTATCAGCTGTAATGTCTCATTTTTTATCTCCGATTTCATTTATTTGGGTCTTCTCTCTCTTTTTTTAGTTAGTCTGGGTAAAAATGGGTCAATTTTGGCAGGTGTGGTGGCTCACACCTGTAGTCCCAGCACTTTGGGAGGCCAAGACTGGCAGATCACTTGAGGTCAGGAGTTTGAGACCAGCCTGGCCAACATGGTGAAACCCCCTCTCCACTAAAAATACAAAAATTAGCCAGGTGTGGTAGCATGTACCTGTAATCCCAGCTACTCAGGAGGCTGAGGTAGGACAATTGCTTGAACCTAGGAGGCAGAGGTTGCAGTGAGCCAAGATCACACCACTGCACTTCAGCCTGGGCAACAGAGCAAGACTCCATCTCAAAAAATATTAATTATAATAATAGGAAATGGGTCAATTTTATCTTCTTAAAAAAAGACTTTTCATTTTTTAATCTTTTGTGTTGTTTTCTTCTTTTCAATATAATTTCTTTCCAATTTGATCTTTAATATTTCATTTCTTCTACTAATTTTGGGTTGGGTTTACTCTAGCTTTTCTAGTTCTTTAAGATGTATCATTAGGTAGTTTATCTAAAGTTTCACTTCTTTTTTGATGTAGGCCCTTATAGCTATACATTTTTCCCTTATTACTTCTTTTACCATATCCTATAGATTTGGGTATATTGTGTTTCCATTATCATTCGTTTCAAAAAAATTTTCAATTTCCTTCTTAATCTCTTTATTGACTCACTAGTCATTCAGGAGCACATTGTTTAATTTCCATGGGTTTGTATAGTTTCCAAAATTCTTCTTGTTATGGATTTCTAGTTCTATTCCATTGTGGTCAGAGAAGATACTTCATATTATTTCAACTTCTTTTAATGGTTTACAACTTGTTTTGTGACCTAACATATGGTCTTTTCTTGAGAATGAGCCATTTGATGAGGAGAAAAATGTGTATTCTGCAGCCACTGAATGATAGGTATTCTGTAAATACCTATTAGGTTCATTTGTTCTATATTGCAGATGAAGTCCAATGTTTCTTTCTTGGGTTTCTGTCTAGGAAATCTGTCCAATACTAAAAGTCGTGGGTTGAAGTCTCCAGCTGTTATTGTACTAGGGTCTAACTCTCTCTTTGCTGCTAATATTTCCTTTACATATCAGGGTACTCCCATGTTGAGTGCATATATATTTGGAATTGTTTTATCTCCCTGGTGAACTGACCCCTTTGTCATTGTATGCTGGCCTTATTTGTCTCTTGATATAGTATGTGTCTTGAAATCTATTTTGTCTGATATAGGATAGCTATTCCTGCTCTTTTTTGGTTTCCATTGACATGGTATATCTTTTTCCATCCTTTATTTTCCCTCTAGGTGTGTCTTTATAGGTGAATTGTGTTTCCTGAAGGCAACAGATCATTGGTGCTTGGTTTTTTGTTTTTTGGGGGTTTTTTGTTTGTTTTTTGTTGTTGTTGTTGTTGTTGTTGTTGTTGTTGTTGTTGTTGTTGTTTTGAGACAGAGTCTCACTCTGTTGCCCAGGCTGGAGTGCAGTGGTGTGATCTCAGCTCACTGCAACCTCCACCTCCTGGGTTCAAGTGATTTTCCTACCTCAGCCTCCCAAGTAGCTGGGATTACAGGCTTGCACCACCACACCCGGCTAATTTTTGTATTTGTAGTAGAGACAGGGTTTCACCATGTTGGCCAGGCTAGCCTCAAACTCCTGACCTCAAGTGATCCACCCACCTCAGCCTCCCAAAGTGCTTGGATTACAGGTGTAAGCCACCATGCCCAGCCTTTTTGTTGCTGTTGTTTGGTTTTTTAATCCATTCAGCTAATCTACATCTTCTCACTGAGGAGTTTAGACCATTTACACTCAGTGTTATTAGTGATAAATAAAGACTTACTCATGCCATTTTGTTATTTGTTTTCTGCTTGTTTTGTGAAATTCTGTTCCTTCTTTCCTTCCTTCCTCTCTTATTTTTAGTGAAGGTGATTTTCTCTGGTAGTATGTTTTAGTTTCTTGCTTTTTTTTTTTTTTTTTTGAATATCCATTGTATGTTTTTAGATTTGAAGTTACCCTGAGGCTTCCAAATACTATCTAACAACCCATTATTTTAAACTGATGACAACACTGATTGCATAAACAAGCAAAAATAAAACTAATAAAAACTATACACTTTAACTTTGTCTCCCCACTTTTTAACTTTTTTGTGTCTGTTTATGTCCTATTGTACTCTATCTTGAAAAGTTGTAGTAATTTTTAATCAGTTCATCTTTTGTTTTCCTACTTAAGATATGAATAGTTTACACACCACAATTACAGTTATAATATTCTGTGTTTTTATGTGTACTTAATATTACCATTGAGTTTTGTACCTTCAGATAATTTCTTCTTGCTCATTAACATCTTTTTCTTTTAGATTGAAGAACTCTCTTTAATTTTTCTTGTAGGACAGGTCTGGTGTTGATGAAATCCCTCAGCTTTTGTTTGTCTGGGAAAGTTTTCATTTCTCCTTCATCCTTGAAGGATATTTTTGCTGGATATACTATTCTAGGGTGAAAGTTTTTTCCTTCAGCACTTTTAATATGTCATGTCACTCTCTACTGGCCCGTAAGGTTTCCAGTGAAAAGTCTGCTGCCAGATGTATTGGAGCGCCATTGTATGTTTTTTTGTTTTGTTTTGTTTTCTTTTCTTTTCTCTTGCTGCTTTAGCTTTGCTTTCTTTATACTTGACCTTTGGGAGTTTGATTATGAGATGACTTAAGGTACTCTTTTTTGGATTAAATCTGCTAAGTTTTATATAACTTTCTTGTACATGAATATTGTTACCCTTCCTAGATCTGGGAAGTTCTCTGATATCCCTTTGAGTTTGTTTTTTTTTTTATTTCCATAGTTTTTGGGGAACAGGTGGTGTTTGGTTACATGAATAAATTCTTTAGTGGTGGTTTCTGAAATTTAGTAGTGATTTCTGAAATTTTGGTGCACCCAAAAGCAACTGCTGTTGCTTTAAAGTTTGTTTTGTCTAATATAAGAATAGCTACTTCTGCTTGCTTTTGCTGTTCATTTACATTGAATATCTTTTTTGACCACTTTACCTTAAGTTTACGTGAGTCCTTATGTGTTGAGTCTCTTGACACCTGAGCAGTGTACACTGTACCCAATGTGTACTCTTTGGCTCCACACCCCCTCCCACCCTTCTATATTAATTTGTTTAGAATTATTTAATTTTCATGCATTTGCATGGTTTTGAGGGTTCCTTTTGGAGCGGATTTCCAATTTTATTCCCCTGTGGTCTGAGCAAGTACTCAAGTACTTGATATAATTTTGATTTTTCTTAAATGTATTGAGACTTGTTTTGTGGCCTATCACAGGGTCTATCTTGGAGAATGTTCCATGTGTTGATGAATAGAATGTATATTCTGCAGTGTTGGCTAAAATGTTCTGTAAATATCTGTAAAGTCCATTTGTTCTAGGGTATAGTTTAAGTCCATTGTTTCTTTGTTGACTTTCTGTCTTGATGACCTGTCTAGTGCTGTCAGTGGAGTATTGAAGTCCCCCACTATTATTGTATTGCTGTCTATCTCATTTCTTAGGTCTAGTGGTAATTGTTTTATATATTTGGAAGCTCCAGTGTTAGATGCATATATATTTAAGACTGTGATAACTTCCTGTTGGACTAGTTCTTTTATCATTATATAATGTCCCTCTTTGTCTTTTTTAACTGCTATTGCTTTAAAGTTTGTTTTGTCTGATATAAGAATAGCTACTCCTGCTTGCTTTTGCTGTTCATTTGCATGGAATATCTTTTTCCACCCCTTTACCTTGAGTTTATGTGAGTCCTTATGTGTTAGGTGAGTCCTTATGTGTTAGGTTGAAGACAGCAGATATTTGGTTGGTGAATTCTTATCTATCTGCCATTCCGTAGTTTTTAAGTGAAGCATTTAGTCCATTTATATTCAACGTTAGTATTGAGATGTGAGGTACTGTTCTATTCCTCATGCTAGTTTTTGACTGAATACCTCTTTTCTTCATTGTGTTATTGTTTTATAGGTCCTATGAGATTTATGCTTTAAGGAGGTTCTATTTCGGTATATTTGGAGGATTTGTTTCAAGATTTAGGGCTGCTTTTAGCTGTTCTTATAGTGCTGGCTTGGTAGTGGTGAGTTCTCTCAGCATTTGTTTGTCTGGAAAAGACTATCTTTCCTTCATTTATGAAGCTTAGTTTCATGGAATATAAAACTCTTGGCTGGGCCAGGTACGTGGCTCACCCCTGTAATCCCAGCACTTTGGGAGGCTGAGGCAGGAGGATCACCTGAGGTCAAGAGCTTGAGACCAGCCTGGCCAACATGGCAAAACCCCATCTCTACTAAAAATACAAAAATTAGCTAAGCATGATGGTGCGTGCCTGTAATCCCAGCTACTCGGGAGGCTGAGGCAGGAGAATCGCTTGAACCCAGGAGGTGGCAGTTGCAGTGAGCCAAGATCACACCACTGCATTCCAATCTGGGCAACAGAGTGAGACTCTGTCTCAAAAAAAAAAAAAAAAGAAAAGAAAAGGGAAAAAAAAGAAACTCTTGGCTGATAATTGTTTTGTTTAAGGAGGCTGAAGATAGGACCCCAATCCATTCTAGCTTGTAGGGTTTCTGCTGAGAAATCTGCTGTTAATCTGATAGGCTTTCCTTTATAGGTAACCTGATGCTTTTGCCTCACAGCTTTTAAGTTTCTTTCTTTCATCTTGATTTTAGATAACCTGAAGAATAGGTGCCTAGGTGATGATCTTTTTGCAATGAATTTCCTGGGTGTTCTTTGAGCTTGTTGTATTTAGATGTCTAGATCTCTAGAAAGGCCAGAGAAGTTTTTTCAATTATTCCCTCAAATAAGTTTCCCAAACTTTTAGATTTTTCTTCTTCCTCAGGAACACCAATTATTCTTAGGTTTGGTCACTTAACGTAATCCTAAACTTCTTGGAGGCTTTGTTCTTTTTTTTTTATTCTTTTTTCTTTGTCTTTATTGAATTGGGTTCATTTGAAAGCCTTGTCTTCAAGCTCTGAAGTTCTTCCTTCTACTTGTTTGATTCTATTGTTGAAACTTTCCAGTGTATTTTGCATTTTTCTAAGTGTGTTTTTCATTTCCAGAAGTCGTGCTTCTTTTTTATGCTATCTAGTTCTCTGGAGTTTTTTAATCCATACCCTGTAAAACTTTTTAATTTCTTTTTTTTTTTTTTTTTTTTTTGAGATGGAGTTTTGGAGTTTCACTCTTTTTGCCCAGGCTGGAGTGCAATGGCATAATCTCGACTCACTGCAATTTCTGTCCCCCAGGTACAAGCAATTCTCCTGTCTCAGCCTCCCAAGTAGCTCAAATTACATGCACAAGCCACCACGCCCAGCTAAATTTTTTGTATTAAGTAGAGACAGGGTTTCACCATGTTAGGCTGGTTGCAAACTCCTGATCTCAGGTGCTCCACCCACCTCGGCCTCCCAGAGTGTTGGGAATGCACATGTGTGCCACCATGCTTGGCCTTTTTAATTTCTTTAAGTTGGCTTTCACCTTTCTCTGGTGCCTCCTTGAGCAGCTTAACAATCAACCTTCTGAATTTCTTTTCTGGCAATTCGGAGATATCTTCTTGGTTTGGATTCATTGCTGATGAGCTCATGTGACCTTTTGGTGGTGGTAAAGATCCTTGTTTTGTCATATTACTAGAACTGTTTTTCTAGGACTATATCAGAGGAAAGATCTGAGGCTCAAGGGCTGCTGTTCAGATTCTTTTGTCCCATAGAGTGATACTTTGATTTGGTGCTCTCCTTCTTCCCCTAGGGATGGGGCTTCTTAAGAGCCAGACTGCAGTGATTGTTATTGCTCTTCTGGGTCTAGCCACCTAATGGAGCTACCAGGCTCTGGGCTGGTACTGGGGAGTGTGCACAAAGAATACTGGGATGTGATTTGTCTTTAGGTCTCTCAGCCATGGGTACCAGCACCTGCTCTGGTGGAGGTAACAGGGGTGTGAAGTGAACTCTGTGAGGGTCCTTGGTCATAGTTTTTTTAGTGTGCTGGTTTTCTCAAATGGCAGTTGTGCTAGAAGTGAAGCTGTCACATGGACAGACTCAGGACGTGTGGTTATCCAGGATGTTGCAGGCAGTGGAATTAGGTGTTGTTTTCTCCTTTCTTGGAGCAGCAGTTTTCTTTTATGAGTTGCTCTAAAGGCTTGAGTTGCTTGACCACCAGCAGGGAGGTGGTGCTTTTAAAAGAGCATCAACTGTGGTAGTATAGCAGGGATACAAGCCTGTCTGGATAAGTATTCGGGTTTCTCATTGAATGAGTAGAGCCATAGAGCTTCCAAGAGATTATATCTTTTGTCTTTGGCTCCCAGGGCAGGTAGAGAAAGACCATCAGTTGGGGGCGGGGTTAAGCATGTCTGAGTTCAGACTCTCCTTGGGCAGGACTTGCTGCAGCCACTGTGGGGTTGGTGGTTCTCAGGCCAATGAGGTTATGTTCCCAGGGGGATTATGGCTGCCTCTGCTGCATCATACAAGCCACCAGGGAAGTGGGGGAAACCCAGCCATGATGGGCCTCAGCCAGCTCTCATGCAGCCAGCAAGGCCAGTCTCACTCTTACCATGCCCCAACAAATCACCAGGTTTATATCCAGGCAGTCAGTGTGCAGGGCTGAGTTCTTGCCCCAGGCTACAAGCCTTCCTGCTGAGAAAGCAAGTAGGGCTTTCAGGCTTCACCCCTACCCACATGCCATGGCTTCTGTGCTCAAATCTGCACTTCCTGTTTGCTCCCCACCCCCGGATTTTACCCTGGAAAATTCATGTTCAGCCAAAATTATTACAAAGTTCAGCTGGAAGTTTCCTTTACCCTGTGGTTCTTCCACAATTCCACTGGCAGCCCTCCCCAAGGACCCTTGTGAGATAAAGTCTTACATGGCCAGAGCAGTGGGAAGAGAGAGAAGGGGGAGGTGCCACACACTTATAAACAACCAAATCTCATAACTCACTCACTAACATGAGAACAGCAAGGGGAAAATCTACCCCCATGACCCAATTACCTCCCACAAGGCCCCTCCTCCAATGCTGGGAATAACAATTAGACATGAGATTTGGGCAGGGACACAAATCCAAACCATATCATTCTGTCCTTGATGCCTCCCAAATCTCATATCCTTCTCACATTGCAAAATACAATCCTCCCTTCTCAACAATCCCCCAAGTCTTAACTCATTTCACCATTAACTCAGAAGTCCATAGTCCAAAGTCTCATCCGAGACAAGGCAAATCCCTTCCACCTATGAGCCAATGAAATAAAAAGCAGGTTATTTACTTCCAAGATAAAATGGGGGTGCAGGCATTGGCTAAATACTCCCATTACAAAAGGTAGAAATTGACCAGAACAAAGAGGCTAAAGGCCCCCATGCAAGACCAAAACCCAGCAGGGCAGTCATTAAATCTTAAAGCTCCAAAAGAATCTCCTTTGACTCCATGTCTGTAATTCAAGCCACACTGATGCAAGGGGTGGGCTCCCAAGGCCTTGGGCAGCTCTGCCCCTGTGGCTCTGCACGGTACAGCTCCCATGGCTGCTTTCATGGCATTGAGTGCAGTGCCTGCTGCTTTTCCAGGTGCACAGTGCAAGCGGTCAGTGGATCTACCATTCTGGGTTCTGGAGGATGGTCGTCCTCTCCTCACAGGTCCACTAGGCAGTGCCCCAGTGGGGACTCTGTGTGAGGGCTTCAATCCCACATTTCCCTTCTGCACTCCTGTAATAGAGGTTCTCCATGAGGGCTCCACCCCTGCAGCAGACTTCTGCCTGGACATTCAGGCACTTCCACACCTCCTCTGAAATCTAGGTGGAGTCTCCCAAGCCTTAACTATTGCCTTCTGCACACCTGTAGACTTAACACCACATGGAAGCTGCTAAGGCTTACAGCTTGAACCCTTTGGAGCAGTGGCCTGAGACATATCTGGGATCATTTTAGCTAAGGCTGGAGCTGGAACAGTTGGGACACAGGGAGCAGAATCCTGAGTTTGTGCAGAGCAGCAGAACCCTGGTCCTGACCCATGAAACCATTCTTATTTTCTAGGCCTCCAGGCCTGTAATGGGAGGGGCTGCCATGGAAGTCTCTGAAATACCTTCCAGGCCTTTTCTCCATTATCTTGGCTACTAACATTCCTGCTCCTCTTTACTTGTGCAAACTTCTGCAGCCAGCTTGAACACCTCCCCTGAAAATGGGTTTTTCTTTTCTGCCACATGGTTAGGCTGCAAATTTTCCAAACTTTTATGCTCTGCTTCCTTTTAAATATAACTTCCAGTTTCAGATCATCTATTTGCTCACACATATAAGCAAATGCTATTAGTTGCAGCCAGGCCACATCTTGAACACTTTGCAGCTTCAAAATTTCTTCCACCAGATACCCTAAATCATCTCTCTCAAGTTTAAATCTTTAGGGCAGAGGCACAATACCTCTAACCTCTTTGCTAATGCATAACAAAACTGACCTTTGTTCTAGTTCCCAATAAGTTCCTCTTCTCCATCTAAGACCACCTCAGCCTGGACTTCATTGTCCATATCACTATCAGTACTATCAGCATTTTGGTCACAATAATTTAAGAAGTCTTTAGGAAGTCCCAAACTTTCCCTCGTCTTTCTTTCTTCTTCTGAGCCCTCCAAACTGTTCCAACCTCTGCCTGTTACCCTGTTCTAATGTCACTTCCACATTTTCAGGTATCTTTATAGCAATGCCCCACTCCTATGTAACAATTTTCTGTATTAGTCCATTCTCGCATTGCTATAATTACCTGAGACTGGGTAATTTATAAAGAAAAGAGGTTTAATTGACTCACAGTTTCACAGACTTCACAGGAGGCATGGCTAGGGATGCCTCAGGAAACTTACAATCATGGCAGAAGGCAAAGAGGAAGGAGGCACAACTTACATGGCCAGAGCAGGAGGAAGAGAGAGAAGGAGGAGGTGCTACACACTTCTAAACAACCAGATATTGTGAGAACTCACTATCAGGAGAACAGCAATGGGGAAATCTGCCCTCATAATCCACTCACCTCCCACCAGACCCATCCTCCAACACTGGGGATTATAATTCAACACGAGATTTGGGAGGGGGACACAGATCCAAACCATACCACACAATCACCTCTGTGGCTACCACCACTGGGACTGCACTGGGTCTTGCCCAGAGCCCTATCCAGGCCCAGAGATGCTATCCAGAAGCCAGGGCCTGAAGAAATCTACCTGGTGCTCTATTCTACTGCAGCTGAGCTGGAGCGGAAACCACCCTATCCTTCCCACTCTTCCCTTCTCTTTCCATAGACAGAGGAGTTTCTCCCCATGTCTGCCACCACAGGCCCCAGAGAATACTGCCAGGGTACTGTCAATGTTCACTTAAGGCCCAAGAGCTCTTCAGTAAGCTCATGGTGAATGCTGCCAGGCCTGGGCCTTACTCTTCAGGGCAGTGGGCTCCCCTCTGTTAGGTTCAGAGATCTCATCCAACAGCCAAGACCTGTACTTAGGGACGTAAAGAGCCTGCTTGGTGCTCTTCTCCACTGCAGCCAAGCTGGTATCTAAGCTCAAGACAAAGTCACCTTTACTCTTCTTTTTGCTTTTCTCAAGCAGAAGGGGGTTTCTCCTCATAGCTACCACAACTGTAAATGTACTGAGTCACACCTGAACCTAGCACATCTCAGAGTCTCACCCAAGGCCCACAGCGTGTACTAACTGGTTACTGCTGCTGATTATATTATTCAGGACCCAAGGGATCTTTAGTCATCTAGTGATAAATCTTGCCAGGACTGGGTCCTTCCTTTCAAGGCAGCAGTTTCCCTTCTGTGCCAGGGTGTGTTTAGAAATGTTGTCCGTGAGCTAGGGTCTTGAATGGGGGCTTCACAACTCTGCCCGGTGCCCTATCCTTCTGTGGCTGAGGTGGTATCCAAGTTGCAAGACAAAGTCCTCTTTACTCTTTCCTCCCCTCAAGTGGAAGGAAGGGGTCTCTTTTAGAGCTACAAGTTGTACTGCCTGGGGTTGGGGGAGGAGTGACATAAGCATTCCATTAGGTTCCCTGGCTGGCTGGCCTAGTGATATCACTAGGTCAAATGCTCCCAAAGTCCACTGGCTCTGAAACACACCCAGCACCAGGACTTGCCTAGGAATTGCAGTCCTTGTGACCCATTCAGACTTTAAAGTTTTTGTAGAACCCCAGAGCATTTTAGCCCATGGTGAGCCTTGCTGAAACTCAAGTTCTGACTGCTGGGATGGGTGATTCCCCTCTGGCTAAGGCAGGTCTAAATGCTCCCTCTGAGAGCACTGACCGAATTCTGCCCAGGGTTGACAGCACTGCTTTCCAATGCAAAGCCTCACAATCGCTGCACTCTCCCTCCTCCAAGCACACAGATTCTCTCTGTACCACACAGCCAGCCATTGCTGGGGTGATGGAGAAGGGGTGGTGTCAGCAATTCAAGACTATCTTTCCTATTCTCTTCAGTGCATCTTTCAGCAATATGATGTTAAAACCAGCTACTGTGATTGCTCACCTGAATTTTGGTTCTTATAAACGTGCTTGTTTATGTACATAGCTGTTAAATTTGGTGTTCCTGCAGGAAGTACAATTGGTGGAGGCTTCTGTTCTGCCATCTTTCTCTGCCTCCTCAGGTTGTGGTTTTGCAGAGTCTTTTGTGACAGTTCTTGTTATCAGGCATTCCTGCATGAGTCCCTCCTGTCATGGCCTTTTCTTGCTCCATTTGTTAGAATTTTTTATGCAAGTGACTCCATTTTTATTCTGAAAAATTTCACAGTCCAACAAACCATCAGTACTTTTTGATTAGGCTTAGAATAAAAGAGATTTAGTATTATGACCATCATAATAAATAGCCAAGAAAGTTACTGACACATTTTCTTATTCTCCACCCCAAAGCACCCTACAACATCCCAGAGGATGGGTATAAAGGATAAAATATGGGAAACCAAACGTGTAGCAGCAGCTAAGTATGTCTGATTCTCCTAGGTGGGAAACAGCGTCTTGTTAAGGAAACAGCAATCTTGGAAAACATGAAAAGAAAACTCCAAGTTTCTTCTGCAAGGAACCATGCTAAGTCTATAAATAGCACCCTCTTGTTATTTATCTCTACAACAGCCTCTGCTTCACTCCTGGCAAGCCTATTTGGCATCGTCAAAGAAAATCAGAACTGGACAGCAGTTAAAGGGGCAGCAAAAGTAATTTATTTAGGAACTATTGCAGTGAGAGGTAAAATAGATAGAACTCTGCTCAATACTGAACACAACAAGGAAAAGTAGGGAGTTTACCAAAGCAGCATGGTGGGTCAGTGAATGGAAAATTACTATGAAGGTAGGGTAATTTTTGCTAAACTGACCTTGGAGGATTCTTGCTGCAGGCAGGCCAAGGTGATCAAATATCACCTGGGGAATGGTGGGAGAATAAGGAATTTGATCAGATTTGAGGGTGATCAGGTATTTAGGGTGGGAATTCTGGCTAAACCCACTCAACAGGATTTTTTTTCTAAAACTGGGCAACACAGGACAACACAGAAGCCCAAAGTCAAGGTCTAGTTGAGAAGAGGGCTCAGAGGAACCTGCCTAAAGTGTGGTCAAGGAGGTAGTCTTTGTCTAGATATAGAGGTTAATGAGACAGAATCCCAGACCCAAAGAGCTTGCCTTTTAGTGTGGGAGCCAGACAAGGCACATGTTTTTTAAAAAAAGAATCAATATGACAGTTTCAAGGACTAATAAGAGTCATAGGCTGAGTGCGATGGCTCACACCTATAATTCTGGTGCTCTAGGAGGCCAAGGCAAAAGGTTTGATTGAAGCCAGGAGTTCAAGACCAGCCCGAGCAACATAGTGAGATGCCATCTCCCAGAAAAATAAACATAGAAAAATTAGCTGGGTGTAGGGTCATCCTCCTGTAAGTCCTAGCTACTTGGCAGGATTGTCCGAGCCCAGGAGTTGAGGTTACAGTGAGCTATGATCTTGCCACTGCTGGACTCCAGTCTGGGTGACAGAGGAAGAGAAAGACCCCATCTTTAAAAGAAAAAAAAAGTTGTTGACAAAATAAATGAAATTAAATGGCAAAGAGAGAGTTGGCAGTGAGGGTACTATCACAGGGTGCTCACCTCTAAGTTTCAGTGGGACATGAATGATAAGAAGACAGGCATGACAAAAACTGGCAAAAAGCATTCCCCAGTGAAGAAAAGCGAGTGGAAAAGCCCTCAGATGGGCACAAGCCTGGCCTGGAAAGGGGCAGGAGGAAGAGCAACGTGGTTGGTTCTTAGGGAACAGAAAGAGGATGAGGAGACAAGCAGGAGCCAGGAAGTCTGGGCCTTTCTCCTTCTCTTTGCCACTTCCAGTAAATTCACTAGGTGCTCACTGGTCTGCCTTGATCCTGGCAAGGACTCACAGCCTAGTTATCTCATTTCTGTTCCCTAAAGATCATCCTGCTAGGACGTGGCTTAGGACTTAGGACTTATTCCAGCTACTAACAGGAAGGAACAAGACAGAGCACGAAAGTGAAATAAAAATGGTTTGAAACACTTTCAGTGAATGAATGTTGCCATTTGAGTGTCAGTTAGAGGATTTCCCAGAAAACTTACAGTTGTGGCCTTCCTGTCCTACAGTTTCCCCTCCTAGGGGAACTTCACTTACTCCACAAGGCTAAGGGGAACAATTGAGAAAACATGGGTTTGGGTAAGTTGTCGTTTTTACAAATCTCCTTTCTCTTTATCTTTAAAATAAAGGTTGTTGCAAGATTGGATTACATAATCTGTGCAGTTAATTCCTGGTGTACAGAGCTCCACATGGAAGGAGTTCAGAGGTGCTCCCCAGGGCCTTAGCGCTCCTGCCCATCCCAGCCACTGACGATCATGTCTACATCTCTTCAGTCCTGTGCTGATGTTTCTCGAGGATTATGGTCTAGTTGGCACAACAGTGAGGCTTCTGGGTTTTTATATTTAACCATTTCATGCCCATCTTCGTGAAAGTTATAGCCTTGTCCTATTTCAGTCACAGCAACTTTGCATAAATGCTTGAAAAGCTGGGTTTTGCAGCACCAAGCAGGCAATTTACACACATATATAAAGCAGTCTTCTAGTTGATGAATACAAATCAGACAGTTTAGTCAGCTTGATCTTAACTACAGTGGCATAAGACAGGCGTATGTTTACCTATTGGAAGGAAAATTCTCCTTCTCTTTGCCACTTCCAACAAATTCACCTGGTGCTCACTGGTCGTCCACAAGATTTCTTTTAGGTTTTTCTTCATATTGAAAGAGGCTCAACTTATATGATAAATTTTATTAGCTAGCACTAAAAGAAATAAGTAACCCTGAAGTCAAAGCTTTAAATATGAAAAAAAATAAGGCATGAGATTCTTTTAGTAAATGGGATGCAGGATATGTAATGTTTCTTGGCCAGCTACAAAGTTAATTGATTTTCCTACCTATTGAGGGTTCACCTGTCAACTTCCAGAGGCACTGCACAATGTCCAGCACCTGAGGAGATGTGTAATTCAGAACAAATAAGAAGGTGTTCTTCCCCAACTCTTACTCTTTTCCTCCTGCCTTATATCCCAGGAAACTGTTGGATTGATGGACCGAGAACCATTATTTCTGGAGCAGTGCATAAGAGAAGGGAGAACCTGTATGTGGTAACAGAGGCCACAGAACTGATCAGCACTCCTGTGCTAAAGGACAATAGCAGTATGATTGATTTCAGCAAATGTCCATCCTTGGAATACTTATGTCAAGATACAGAGCCACTGACTGAGTGTTGTGGCTCACACCTGTAATCCCAGTAATTTGGGAGGTCAAGGTGAGAGGACTGCTGGGGCCCAGGAGTTCAAGATCAGCCTGATCAAATGTGGCAAGACTCTGTCTCTACAATTTTTTTTTTAATTAGCCAGGCATGCTGGTACATCCCTGTAGTCCCAGCTACTCAAGAGGCTGAGGTGGGAGGATCACTTGAGCCCAGAAGATCATGGCTGCAATAAGCTGTGGTAGTGCCACTGTACTCCAGCCTGAGAGACAGACCAAGATTCTGTTTCACAAAAAAAAAAAAAAAAAAAAAAAAAAAAACACAGAGCCACCCTAAAGTGGAATGGGGATACCAAGAGCAAGCCAGCCCAGCCTCACTTCCAAGAGGGGACTGGATCCTAATCAGGACCTGTTTCTGGGAGGTCAGAAGGGGTGGGGTAATTATTTCCCACTTCTTGGGTGCCATGAAAACCTGACTCCTGTCCTGAGACTATATTCTAACATTCTCATTTATAGTGCTTTAATATATGAGATTATTCAGTATTGATAAAATTGAAAGTCAATTTAATTATGTGATACTACATTTTGCTTTGGGTAAATGATGGATTCTAGAAGATCTAAAGGGGTGGCTGCTATATTACCTACATGTTTGGTTTTATAGCTGGAAAAAAAAATAAGGAACCAACAGCAACAAACCTTCACAGTTAAAGTACCCTAAATGCTATAACATCCTGAGCAGAAATGTTTTATGGCATGAGACTGAAAAATCTTCAAGCACATGTGATTTACCTAAGTCACTCACAATAACCAACTATAATATTTTAAATTAACTTAACCAAATGCATTTATCAAATGTGTATTCACTTAAAGAGTATGCTAGGGACATAGAAAGTTTGTGAGTGTGTGTGTGTGTGTGTGTGTGTTACAATATTAAATAATATGCAATGTATTTTATGTGTCATTTGTCTGCACTTAAGAGCTTTAGAAACTAAAGAAAAGTAACTGGGAAGTGAAATGACCTTCCCAAGTTTAGTTGGTGAGTTACTCCTAGAAGAGGACTCGCCAAGGTTTGTGAGTTAGTCCCGCAAGAGGCACAGGCCCCACTGAGGTCTTTTGATTCCAAGCCCCATAAACAAAGGCACTTAAACCAAATAAAACATCACTCTCGTTTGAGATTGCTTTGATACCTAGCTTTAGGTTTCCACCTCCTTGAAATGGTGGACTGGGCTTTGTGAGAAGGAGGCAGAAGCCCTGTATTTTTCACACAGGGCAGCTGCTCAGCTGAAGTGGTACACTTTGGTTCTTTTCTCTTCTGTGTGTATTTTCCATAGGTATTTTCTTTTTTTTTTTATTATACTTTAAGTTTTAGGGTACATGTGCACAATGTGCAGGTTTGTTACATATGTATACATGTGCCATGTTGGTGTGCTGCACCCATTAACTCATCATTTAACAAAATATCTCCTAATGCTATCCCTCCCCTCCTCCCTTCCCCCACCCCACAACAGGCCCCAGTGTGTGATGTTCCCCTTCCTGTGTCCACGTGTTCTCATTGTTCAATTCCCACCTATGAGTGAGAACATGCGGTGTTTGGTTTTTTGTCCTTGCGATAGTTTGCTGAGAATGATGGTTTCCAGCTTCATCCATGTCCCTACAAAGGACATGAACTCATCATTTTTTATGGCTGCATAGTATTCTATAGGTATTTTCTTTGTGGTTATTACCACAAGGATTACATAAAATATTTTATAACTACAACTGTGGATTATAGGCTGGTAACAATGTAACTTTAATTGGATAATAAAACTCGACACTTATTTCTCTCATCACTACACTTTACATTCTTCATGTCAGAGTTTATGTCTTTTTAAGATATAACATCTTTGTCACTCAGGCTGGAGTGCAGCAGCACGATCACAGCTCACCACAGCCTTGAACTCTTGGGCTCCAGTGATCCTCCTGCCTCAGGATCCACAGTAGCAGGAATTATGGGTACACACCACCACACCGGTTAATTTTAAAAGAATTTTTTAGAAGTGGGGTCTGATATGGTTTGGAATGCATCCCCTCCAAATGTTGAACTGTGATCCCTAATTTGGAGGTGGAACTTGGTAGGAGGTATTGGATAATGAAGGTGGATCCGTTGTGAATGGCTTAGTGTCACCAGGTTGATGATGAGTGAGTCCTCACTATTTGTTTACATGAGTGCTAGTTGTTTAAAAAGGCCTGGCACCTCTTCCTCTCTCTCTCTCTCACTTCCTCTCTCACCATGTGACACACCTGCTCCCCCTTTACCTCCTGCCATGAGTAAAAGCTTCCTGAGGCCTCACTAGAAGCCAAGCAGAAGCTGGTGCCATGTTTATACAGCCTGCAGAATCATACGCCAAGTAAACCCTTTTTATTTATAAATTACAGTTATTTCTTTATAACAATGTAAAATGGACTAATACAGGAAGGAAATTGGTGTTGAGGGATGGGACATTGCTATAAAAATACTTGAAAATGTGGAAGCAGCCTTGAAACTGGGTAATGGGCAGAGGTTACACAAGTTTGGAGGGCTCAGAAGAAGAAAGAAAGACAAGGGAAAATTTGGAACTTCTTAAAGACTTGTTAAGTTGGTTGTGACCAAAATGCTGATGGACAGTGAAGGCTAGGCTGATGAGGTCTCACATGGAAATTAGAAACTTAATGAGAACCGAAGCAAAGGTCACCTTGTTATGCCCTAGCAAAGAACTTGGCTACATTATGTACATGTCCTAGGGATTTCTAAGCAGGGAGTATTCAAGATGTAGCCCAGCTGCTTCTAACAGCCTATGATCAAGTATGGGAGCAAATGAATGACTTAAGGTTGGAACTTACATTTAAAAGGGAAACAGGGCATAAAAGTTTGGAAAATTTGCAACCAGCCTGCGTTAGAGAAGGAAAGAGGATTTTCAAGACAGAAATCCAAGAGGGTTGCAGAACAACCACTTGCTAGAGAGATATGCATGACTAAAAGGAGCCAAGTGCTACTAGCCAAGATGATGGGGAAAAAGACCGTAAGACATTTTCAGAATCTTCTAGACTGCCCTTCAATCACAAGTCCAGAGGCCTAAAAGGACTGAATGGTTTCAGGGGCCAGGTCCAGGGCACCACTCTGCTGTGCCACCTTGGTAAGCTTGTCTGCCCCATCCCCACTCCTCCAGCTCCAGCCTTGGCTCAAAGGGCCCCTGATACAGCTCAGACCGCCACTTTGGAGAATGCAAGATGCTGTAAGCCTTGTTAGCTTCCATGGCATGTTAAGTCTGCAGGATCAGACAATACAAGAGTAAAGGAGGCTTGGCAGCTTCCACCTAGATTTCAGAGGATGTATGAGAAAGCCTAGGTGCTCAGACAGAAGCCTGGCACAGGGCCAAAGCCCCTGCAGAATGACTCAGCTAGGGCAGTGCCAAGGGGAGATATGGGGTTGGAACCCCCACAGAGAGTCCATACTGGAGCACTGCTTAGAGCAGCTGTAGGAACAGAGCCACTGCCCTCCAGACTCTAGGATGGTAGAGCTGCTGGCAGCTTCTGACATCAGTCTGGAAAAGCCACAGGAGCAGAGCTGGCCAAACCCTTGGGAGCTCACCCCTCACACTATGATGCACACCATGGAGTGAAGGATTATTTTGGAGCTTTAGGGTTTAAAGCCTGCCCTGCTGGATTTCAAATTTGTGTGGGACCTATTGCCCCTTTCTTTTGATTGATTTCTCCCTTTAGAATGGAAATGTCTACCCAATGCCTGTACCACCATTGTATCTTAGGAGAAAATAACTTGGTTTTGATCTTAGAGGCTTATAGGTAGAAGGCACATGCCTTGAGTTTCAGATGAGATTCTGGACTTTTGAGTTGATGCTGAAACAAGTTGACCCTTTTGAGGACTACTGGGAAGAGATTATTGTATTTTGCCATAGAAGGATGTGTGATTTGGGGAACGAGGGGTGGAAAGATATGGTTTGGATGTGTGTCCCTTCCGAATCTTATGTTGAAATGTGATCCTCAATGTTGAAGGTGGGGCCTGGCCTGGTGAAAAATGTTGGATTAGGGGGACGGATCCCTCACCAATGGCTTAGTGCCATCCCCTTGGTGATGAGTGAGTTCTGCTTCTATTAGTTCATTCAAGAGCTGGTTGTTTAAAGGAGCTTGGCATATTTCTTGCTCCCTCTCTTGCCATATGACACACCTGCTCCCTTTCCACCTTCCACCTTGAGAAAAAGCTCCCTGACACCTCACCAGAAGACAAGCAGATGCTTGTCCCATGCATGAACCGTAAGACAAATAAAACAATTTTCTTTATAAATCACCCAGTCTCAGGTTTTCCTTTACAGCAGTGCAAAATGGACTTGCTATGGACTTGCAATACAGGGTCTTGCTATGTTGACCGGATTGTTTTTGAACAATCTTAATCTCCAGCAATCCTGTTGCCTCAGCCTCCTAAGTAGCTGGGATTAGAAACATGAGCCAACATGCCTAGTGGTTTATATATTTTTATATTGTATATCCATCAATGATTTGTATAGTTATAGGTATTCTTAATACTTTTGCTTATTTTTTAACTTTATATGAAAATTAAAAATGATTTATACAACACCAATTTACAATATTACAGTTTTCTGTATTTGTATATTTACCTTCTCCAGTGAGTTTTATACTTTCATATGCTTTCATGTTGTTATTTAACATCCTTTTGTATCAACTCAAAGGACTCCCTTTAGCATTTCTGGTAAGGCAAGTTTAATGGTGATAAACTGCCTCAGTATTTGTCTGGGAAAGTCTTTATCTCTTCTTCATTTTGTTGTGTTTAGGGGAAGGTTGTGATTTAGCTTTATTTATAGGTATGAATCTTGACTCCAAGACAATGAAGAAAACAACCTTAAATTGATTTATACCACATTTTAACTTTATAATGCAGACATACTAACATCTTATGTCTGCATTATAAAGTTATTTCGTATTTGTTTTTGTCTATTTCAACTTTTATTTTAGCTTCAGGGGGTACGTGTGCAGGTTTGTTACAATGTGTATTGTGTGATGCTGAGGTTTGGGGTGTGATTGATCCCATCACACAGGTAGTGCACAAAGTACCCAATAGGTAGTTTTTCAACACTTCACTTAGAATATTGGCCTCCAGCTGCATCCATGTTGCTGCAAATGACACGATTTCATTCTTTTACATGACTATGTAGTATCCCATGATGTATATGTACCACATTTCCTTTATCCAGTCCACAACTAATGGACACCTATGTTGATGCCATGTCCTTGCTATTGTGAATAGTGCTGTGATTAATATAAGAGTGCATGTGTCTTTTTAGTAGAATAGTTTATTTTCCTTTGGGTATATACCAAAAGGAAGGGTAACGGGATTGCTGGGTTGAGTGGTAGTTCTGTTTTTAGTCTTTGAAAAATCTCCCAACTTCTTCCTACAGTGGTTGAACTACTTTACAGTCCCACCAACAGTGTATAAGTGTTTCCTTTTCTCCACAGCCTTGCAAACACCTGTTATTTTTTGAGTTTTTAATAATAGCCACTCTGACTGATGTGAGATGGTATTTCCTTGTGGTTTTGATTTGCCTTCCTCTGATAATTAGTGATATTGAGCTTTTGGCATATGCTTATTGGCCACTTGTGTGTCTTCTTTTGAGAAGTGTCTATTCATGTCTTCTGCTCACTTTGTAATGGGATTATTTGGTGTTTTTCTGTTTTGTTTTGTTTTGTTTTGTTTTTTGATGGAGTTTCACTCTTGTTGCCCAAGCTGGAGTACAACGGCACAATCTCAGCTCACTGCAACCTCTGTCTCCTGGGTTCCAGTGATTCTCCTGTCTCAGCCTCATGAGTAGCTGAGATTACAGGCATGTGCCACCATGCTCGACTAACTTTGTACTTTTAGTAGAGACAGGGTTTTACCATATTTGTCAGGCTGGTCTCGAACTCCTGACCTCAGGTGATATGCCTATCTCGGCATCCCAAACTGCTGGGATTACACGTGTAAGCCACCGCGCCCGGCCAGTTTTTGCTTATTGAATTGTTTAAGTTCTTTGTAGATTCTGGGTATTAAACCTTTGTCAGATGCATAGTTTGTGAATATTTTCTCCCCTCTCATGGGTCGTCTGTTAACTCTATTGATAGTTTATTTTGCTGTGCAGAAGCTCTTTAGTTTAATTAGGTCCTACTTGTCAATTTTTGCATTTGTTGCAGTTGCTTTTGCGGACTTAGTTATAAAATCTTTGTGAAAGTTGATGTCCAGAATGGTATTTCCTGGGTTTTTTTTTTCAAAGTTTTTTATAGTTTTAGGTCTTACATGTAAGTCTTCAATCCATCTTGAGTTAATTTTTGTATATGGTGATAAGTAGGTGTCCAGTTTCATTCTTCTGCATATGGCTAGCCAGTTATCCTAGCACCATTTATGAATAGAGAGTCCTTTCCACATTGCTTATTTTTGTTGACTTCATAGAATATCAGATGGTTTTAGGTGTGTGGCTTTATTTCCGGGTTCTCTATTCTGTTACATTGGTCAATATGTCTTTTTTTGTACCCATACCATGCTGTTTTGGTTACTGTAGCCTTGTAGTGTAGTTTGAAGTGAGCTAATGTGATGCCTCTGGCTTTGTTCTTTTTGCTTAGGATTGCTTTCCCTATTCAGGCTCTTTTTTGATTCTATATGAATTTTAGAATCTTTTTTTCTAATTCTGTGAAAAATAATATTGGTAGTTTGATAGGAATAGCATTGAATCTGTATATTGCTTATGGCCATTTTAACAATATTGATTCTTCTAGTCCATGAGTATGGAATGTTTTTCCATTTATTTGTGTCACCTATGATTTTTTTCAGTAGTGTTTTGTCATTCTTCTTGCAGAGATCTTTTACCTTCTTCATTAGATGTAGTCCTAGGTATTTTATTTTTTGGTGGCGGTTTTAAATAATATTGCATTCTTGATTTGGTTGTCAGATTGAATATTATTGGTGTATAGAAATGGTACTGACTTTTGTATATCAATTTTGTAACCTGAAATGTTACCTAAGTAGTTTATCAGTTCTAGGAGCCTTTTGGCAGAGCCTTGAGGGTTTCCTAGGTATAGAATCTCATCATCAGCAAAGAGAGATAATTTGACTTCTTCTTTTCCTATTCAATACCTTTTATTTCTTTCTCTTGCCTGACTGCTTTGGCTAGGACTTCCAGTACTACGTTGAATAGGAGTGGTGAGGCTGTGTATCCATGTCTTATTCCAGTTCTTAAAGGGAATGCCTCTACCTATTTGCTTGATGTGATTGTGAGTTGGTCACAGAAGGCTCTTATTATTTTTATGTATTTTATTTCAATTCCTAGTTTGTTAAGAGTTTTTATCATGAAGGGATGTTGGATTTTAACAAAACCCTTTTCTGCATCTATTGAGATGATCATACTGTCTTTGTGTTTAATTCTGTTTATGTGATGAGTCACGTTTATTGATTTGCATAGGTTGAACCAACCTTGCATCTGAGGAATAAAGCCTACTTAATTGTGATGAATTAATTTTGGATGTACTGCTGGCTTTCATTGCTAGTATTTTATTGAGGATTTCTGCATCTATGTTTGTCAAGGATATTGACCTGTAGTTTTCTTTCTTGTTGTGTCTTTGCCAGATTTTGGTATCAGGATGATGCTCACTTCATAGAATGACTTAGGGAGGAGTTCTTCCTCCTTGATACTTTGGAATAGTTCCAATAGAATTGGTCCCAGCTCTTCATAATATGTCAGATACAATTTGGCTATGCATACATCTGGTCCAGTGCTTTTTTTGGTTGGTAGATTTTTTATTACTGATTCATTTCAGAACTCATAATTGATATGTTCAGGGCTTCCATTTCTTCCTGATTCAATATTGGGAGTTTATGTGTTTCCAGGAATTTATTTATTTTCTCAAGATTTTCTAGTTTGCATGCATATTGGTATTCATAATAGTCTCTGAAGAAATTTTGCATCTGTGAGGTTGGCTATAATGTTATCTTTGTCATTGCTGATCGTTCATTTGTTCATATTTAGATCTTTCTCTTTTTTTCTTTGTTATTCTGCCTAGCAGTCTATCAGTCTTGTTTATCCTTTTCAAAGAATAAAGTTTTTATTTCATCAATCCTTTGTATGAATTTTTAGGTCTTAATTTCACTCATTTCTGCTCTGCTTTGGTTATTTCTTTGGGTTAGTTTGTTCTTGCTTTTCTAATTCCTTTACTTGCAATTTTAGATTGTTAATTTGAGATCTATCTGACTTCCTGATGTAGGTGTTTTAGCATGATAAACTTTCCTCTTAACGCTGCCTTTACTGCATCCCAGAGATGTGGATATAAGTGTCTCTGTTTTCATTTATTTCAAAAATTTTTTTGATTTCTGCCCTAATTTTGTTGTTTACCCAAAAGTCATTCAGGAGCAAGTTGTTTAATTTCCACGTAATTGTGTGGTTATGAGAGATCTTCTTGGTATTGATTTCTATTTTTATTCCACTATGGTCCAAGAGTGTGTTCAGTGTGATTTCAATTTTTTTGAATTTATTGAGAGTTGCTTTATCACCAAGCATGTGGGCAATCTTAGAGTATGTTCCATATGCAGATGAGAAGAATATATAATCTGGGTAGCTGGGTGGAATATTCTGTAGATTTCTATTAGGTCCAATTAGTCAAGTGTCAAATTTAAGTCCAGAATTTGTTAGTTTCCTGCCTCAATAATCTAATGCTGTCAGGGGAGTGTTGAAGTCCCCCACTATTATTGTGTGGCTATCAAAATCTTTTTATAGGTCTAGAAGTACTTGTTTTTTTAATTTAGATGCACCAATGGTGAGTACATATATATTTAAGAAAGTTAAGTCTTTTTATTGTATTGAACCCTTTATCATTATGTAATGCCCTTCTTTGTACTTCTTGGTTGTTGTTGGTTTAAGTCAGTTTTACGTGATATAAGAACAGTGGCCCCTGCTGTTTTTTTGTTTTTCCATTTGCATGATAAATCTTTCTCCAAGCCTTTACTTTGAGCCAGTGGAGGTTGTTACTGTGAGATGAGTCTCTTGACAATAGCTGCCACTATGTATCTTTTAAGAGGAATATTTAGACTATTCACCTTCAAGATTAATATTCATATGTGAGGTTTTGATCCAGTTGTGCTGTTAACTGGTTGCTATGTAGTCTTGATTGTGAAGTTGCTTAATAGGATCTGTAAATGTACTTAAGTGTGTTTTTGCAGTAGCAGGTATTGTTCTTTCATTTCCATGTTTAGAACTCCCTGATGATCTTTTGTATGACTGGTCTAGTGGTAATGAATTCCCTTAGCATTTACTCATCTGGAAAAGATTTTATTTCTCCTTCACTTATAAAGCTTAATTTGACGGGATATGACATTCTTGTTTGGAATTTCTTTTAAGGATGATGAAAATACACCCCCAAACTCTTGCAGCTTGTAAGGTTTCTGCTGAGAAATCTACTGGTAGCCTGATGAGGTTCCCCTCGTAAGTGATCTGACTCTCTTCTCTAGCTGCCTTTAATATTTTTTCTTTAGCATTGACCTTGGATAGTCTGGTGACTATATGCCTTGGTGATGTTCATCTTGTATAGTATCTTGCAGGTATCCTCTCGATTTTTTTTTTGCTTGAGACAGAGTCTTGCTGTGTCACCCAGGCTGGAGTGCAATGGCGCAATCTCAGCTCACTGTAATCTCCGCCTCCTGGGTTCAAGCTATTCTCCTGCCTCAGCCTCCCGAGTAGCTGGGATTACAGGCATGTGCCTCCGTGCCTGGCTAATTTTTTGTATTTTTAGTGGAGATGGGGTCTCACCATGTTGGCAAGGCTGGTCTTGAACTCCTGACCTCGTGATCTGCCCACCTCAGCCTCCCAATCTGGATTTCTTATATATGATGTCTCCCTCTCTAGCAAGATGAGGAAATTTTTCTTGAATTATTCCCTCAAATCTGTTATCCAGGTTGTTTACTTTTTCTCCTCTCTCAGGAATGCCAATAATTCATAGGTTTGGTTGCCTTACATAATCCTATATTTCTCAAAGACTTTGTTAATATTTTAAAATTATTTATTTTTTATCTGACTGGTTTAGTTCAAAAGATTGGTCTTCAAGCGCTAAAATTCTTTCTTCTGCTTGGTCTAGTCTATTGAGAAAGCTTTCAAAATAATTCCTTAAGTGAGAGTTTTCAACTCCAGAATTTCTGGCTGACTTTTTATGATGTTTATCTTTCTTGTCTTTCATTTCCCGAATTGCCTTAGTAGTTTCTTCATATTAATTTTGATCTCATTGAGCTTCCTTATAATCCATGCTTTGAATTCTTTATCTAACATTTCTGGGTTTCCACTTTGGTTAGGAACATTGCTAGAGTGCTAGTGTGATCCTTTAGTGGTGATACGGTTTGGCTGGGTCCCCACCCAAATCTCATCTTGAATTGTAGTTCCCATAATCCCCACGTGTTGTGAGAGGGACCTAGTGGGAGGTAATTGAATGGGGGCAATTACCCCCATGCTGCTGTTCTCATGATAGTGAGTTCTCATGAGATCTGATGGTTCAAAAGGGGCTTTTCTCCCTTTGCTTGGCACTTCTCTTCCTGCTGCCATGTGAAGAAGGGCTTGCTTGCTTACACTTCCACCATGATTGCTAAGTTTCCTGAGGCCTCCCCAGCCATGCTGAACTGTGAGTCAATTAAACCTCTTTCCATCATAAATTACCCAGTCTCGGGTATGTGTTTATTAGCAGCAGACTAATACAAGTTGTATCACAGCCTTCAAATTTTTCATGGTGCCAGAATTATGCTGGTTTCTTCTCATCTGGAGAGGCTAGCACTTCTAATTTTTCTAATTATTTTCTTACAGGTGGATTTTTTTTTCTTTCTTCATATATTTTTTCTTTTCCTTCTCCTGCCCCTTCCTAGGATGTGTGTCTGTAGAATATGTTGAGTAAGGTCTTGCAGCTTTGCTTGTATACCCCTGTGTACTTCTGTCAGCAGGTTTTATATTAGATTTTGCAGTTTGGCCTACAAGTCAGTAGATAGTGCTTACAAGTAAAAGCCAGCTGCTTCCCAGGCAGATGTGTAAGTACTTGATCTTTGTTTACTATGAGATGCTCTCTGTTGTTTCAGGTGATGGGCTGGACAGTGGATAGCCTGATGCCATGAGCTTCTTCTTCCCAGGATGTAGGGGGACAGAGCTTAACAGAACTGGAGCCCCTGGCTTGCCCACAAAGACACCAATAGTGAGTGCAGACATCAACTCTGATGAGAGCGGCTGGGAGGCATTCCTGGTGAAATGCACTGATGTCTCTCTAGGGGGAGTAGAGGCTGCACAGGCTCCTTCTTTTAGATAGGCAAGAATGTGATCTGTTTCCCTATCACACCCCTGTTCTGGAGCTCATGACTTCTAGGTCAGAGCACACTGTAGTCTACTTCTAGACCACAATGTGGTTAAGAGCCATGAAAAAATGCCTGTTTTGTGACTCTCTATTAGAATGGTTTCAGGACAGGACCTCATCATTCAACCCAATAAATGGGTAGGGAGTTGTGGGGTGCGCAGTCTCCCCATTGTTCCTCTGTTTCTTGGCTGTGACATCAGGGCTGATGGTGAACAAAAATGCCCCATCTTCTTGTTTCCTCCCTGGCCTGAGTGTAGCAGGGGCAGCTGCATTGGCAAAGGTGATTATGAAGGGCTTGTCAGCTACCTCTGGGAAAGTTGGTCCCACAGGAACACAGAGCCACAACCAACTGCAGTGTTCAGGTGGGGATGGGGTGGCTGCACTGGGAGCCCAAGCTAGCAGGTCTTGCCTAATGAGGAGCAGCAGTGGTGAGGAGGGTCACACAGTCTGTCTACTATTCAGTACCATGACTGTAGCATCTATCCTAGGAGCATGCAACAGAGCTTGTCCTTCCTTATTGGTGGGGCTATGTCAGCTGGTGCTGGGCTGCTCAGGGATCAAAAGCCCATAGGGCTACATATGGTCTTGAGCAGTGCCTCTACACAGACTCCAGACAGCACTCTGTGTTGGTCTGGAAACCCAGGGGAGTCAGGGTGGCTTTCCTATGCCCAGAATTGTAAAGTTTTATGGCAGAAGGGCGAATACACTGGGGAATCATTCCCGCATTAGGGAGCTTCCCCCAGCTCTACCCCCGTTCCAGTTGGGCAGCCACCTAGCTTCATTCCTCTCTGTTGTTCATGGATCCCATTGCTTCCTTGGTGAATCCCAGCATGATCTCTTAGATGGTTCACTTAAAGAGCTAAAATTTAGTTGCCACTTAGTTTTCTCTCCATAAAAGAGGAACACACTAACTGCTTATAGTCAGCTATCTGGAGCAAAATATTCTTCTTCATTTTTGAAAGACACTTTTGCCAGATATAGCATTATTTGTTGGCAGTGTTTTTTTCTTCCAGGACTTTGACTATATCATCCCACTCATTTCTGGCCTCCAATATTCCTGTTAATGAATCCACTGATTATCCTGTCGTGGTTTCCTTGTACATGATGATTTGCTTTTGTCTTGCTGCTTTAAAAATTCTGTCTCTATCTTTGACTTTTGACAATTTTTAAATTTTTTTCACAAGAAAATTCAGAAGAGGCCTCTGACAACTTGAGATAATGTTTCTCAGTGTATATTTATTTAGATTCTTCTACTTGATGGTATCTCAGAAGTCCCTTGGGCTCTCTCATTTTTTTTTTTTTTCTTTGAGCTAGGTTCTAACTCTGTCACCCAGTGCAGTGGTATGATCTCATTTCACTACAATCTCTGCCTCCCAGGCTCAAGCCATGCTTCTACTTCAGCCTCCCAAGTAGCTGGGACCACAGGCACAAACCACCATGCCCAGCTAATTTTTGTGTTTTTTGTAGAGACAGGGTCTCATTCTGTTGCCCAGGCTGGTCTCAAATTCCTGAGCTCAAGCAATCTGTCCACCTCAGTCTCCCAAAGTGCTGGGATTACAGGCTTGAGCCACCTCACCCAACCCCCTTGGGCTGTCTTAATTCTTTCTTCTCTTTATTTGTCTATATAATTTTAAATTACCTTTCTTTGTGTTTGCTGTTTCTTCCTTCTGCTTCATCAAGTCTGTTAAAACCTTCTATTGGATTTTTAGTTTAATTATTATATTCTTCAGCTTCAGAATTAATGTTTGTTTTCTTTTTTTGGTTTTTATCTCTTTGTTGATATTCTCATTGTGCTCATTTATGATTTTCCTGATTTCATTCAGTTGTCTGGATATGTTGTCTTGTAACTCTCTAGCTTCCTTAAGACTACTGTTTTGAGTTCTCTGTCAGATATTTACAGATTTCTATTTCTTTAGGGTTTGTAACTGGATATTTATTTTGTTCCCTTGGTTATGTCATAGTTCCCTCATGCTTCATGTTCCTTATCACTTTGTATTGGTGTTGACACATTTGAAGAAATAGACACCTCTCCTAGTCTTTATGGAATGGCTTCAAAGGGAAAGACTTTCACTAATCAGCCTGGCTAGAGATTTTGAGAGCCTCTCAAATATTTTCTATGAATGTTCACATCCTACATCTCTCCATCTCTCCTGGGAAAGAAAGCTGAAGGTTATACACCTTCTCTCAAACTTGCAGAGCCATGTTGACTGCACTAAGCCATCTGCCCCTTTTCCCTAGGGCAGTGCACTGAAAGGTTGAGACATTTAATGCATATTCTACTATTCTTCCTCTCTCCTTGGAGAGGGATCTCAGGGTTATGCACCTTCCTCCAATCTTGCAGAGCCCTGCTGCCTACAGTAAGCCATCTATCCCTTTTCTTTGTCCTTGGCTGCCTCTAAACATTCAAACTATGCTTGCAGCATTTCAGTAAAGACAGAAACAAGTCCTTTGTGCAGGATCACAAAAGGCTGGGATGTTGAACAAAGGTTTCACTCTCTTTTACCCACTAAAGAAGTCATGAGCCAAGGTGATCTCTCAGCACAGAGCTTTGCTGGCTTGGAGGAGGGCTGACTCAGGTAAAGTGAAATTTCTCTTCTTACCTGTTTCAATGCAGCTGTTCTTTGTTTTGTGCTCATCTGGGTTACCACAACTTCTTAACTGGATTCTGGACTTTTCATAAAGGTATTTTTGTCCATATGTCATCATTAAATCAAAGGTTCTGTTGAAGATGAGGGCTGGAATTCCCACTCCACTTCTTCATGCTTTTGACTGAAAATTAAAGTTGTGCAATTTTATCAGTTAAGGGAAAAGCAATTAAAAAATAGTGTATCAGTTGACTTAACTATATCAAATAACTGTGGGTGCCTGAAAAGGTCAATGAAGAAAAATTTAGAGTAAACTGAAGAAACTATTTGCCACAAAATGACAGAATCAATACCATTGCCATATACAATTTTTTAAACTACAGAACTTAACAAATGAGTAAAGGACAAAAGTAGATAACTCATCAAAGAAATACAAAACAAACGAACATTTAAAAGTGTTGAAGATCACTAGCAATAAAAGTAAATAATATTGAGATTGCATTTTCACTTGGATTTAGGAAAGTTATTATTTTATTTTATTTTATTTTATTTTATTTTAGACAGTGTGTTGCTCTGTCACCCAGTCTGGAATGCAGTGGATTAATCACAGTTCACTGCAGCCTCAACGACATAGGCTTAATTGATCCTCCCATCTCAGCCTCCCAAGTAGCTGGGACTACAGGTGCACACCACCATGACCAGCTAATTTTTTTTTTATTTTTTGTAGAGTCAGGGTTTTACCATGTTGCCCAGGCTGATCTCAGACTTCCAGGCTCAAGTGATCTACCTGCCTCAGTCTTTCAAAGTACTGGGATTACAGGCATGACCCTCCACACCCAGATTAAAGTTATTTAAAAATACAAATACTTTGCAGTGCTGCCAATAATATAGTAAAACCAGAACTCATCTAAATATTGGTGGGAACATAAGCTAGTAAAATATTTCTAAGCTTGTAGTAGTAGGTATTAAAATCATTTTTTGAAGTTCATGTTCTTTGAATCAGTAATTTTGCACATACAAATATGTCTTAAGAAAATAATCCAAAAGTTAAACAAATATTTAGGTATAGATACTTATTATGGCATTATTATGATACTAAAGAACTGAGGGTACCTAAATTACCAACATTATGGAAATTAAGTTGGCACAATAACTTAAATTTTATTCTGCATCCTGGAGACCCTCCCAAGAGCAGAGTGGGGAGGGAGTCCTTGTCCTCTCCCTTCCGAAATGCTGAGTCCCAGCTGGAGATCATCCTGATTCCTCTGGGCCTCAGCTCGTCTGAGAAAAGGGAATCCTCTCACCCCATCACTCACTCTCACACTCTGCTACCTATATCTACAACGTCACTATATCTGGTCCAGGGAGCGTCCTGGTGTCAGTTACCACCTCTTGGTGGCCATAAACAGAAAAAGGCTAAACCCTCCAAACTTGTGCACTTAGCAGACTCCGCTTCTACAAAGACCAGCCATATCCAAAGCAGCTCTCTAATGAGGAGTCGGCATGAGAATCGGATTCACACTTCAGAGAAAGGTCAGAGACTCCTGCTGAGGGCACCAGGAAATAGTGGTGCTCTCCAAGATCATGGCGAACCATACGGTGATTTTAATTTAGAGAGGGAAAGAAAAGAAACTCCATTTTCAAAAATAGCCTATTTCGTATGTGTTGACAAGCAGGAAGTGAATGAAGTCAGAAGGTTAATCTCATAGCAGAGCCTGCAAGTCACGACCTGACCACTAGGAGGCGAACGAGGCGTCTCTGAACACAATCCAGGCCTAGGGGTCAAGGGAACCAACCTGGCTTGTGCCAGTGCAGGAAACGCTGGCCTGACACCAAGGACTTAACCCTCATAGCAAGTCAAGAAGGAAAACACTGTGCGGAACTGTTCAATAATTTCCAATAGCCTCTGCTGTGTAACTTCAGAGGAAATTCGAATCCATCTTTAAGTATCAGCTGTTGGGAAAATATAATTAAAAACGAAATCTTCTTCCAACCCAGAAAACCTGTATCCATAGGTAGTAGAAAAAGAAAACACTTTTTTTAATTGAATAAGCATTAAACTACAAGCAATCCACTAAGAGACTGCAAAGACAAGGATAAAATTGTACCCTTTATATATACAAGCAGATATCACCAATTACATACTTGTTTTCAAGATAAGCAATAACTAGTTCCCAAGTATGAGGATCTGACAGCACCATCTGTCAGACACGGTGCATCCCAGATTCACCTGGAAATTGGTGTGACCACCTGTTAGCGAATTGGCTTTATCCAGAGAAAAAACAAACCTCTAATATCTTTATGGCAGGAGGTAATTTTGCAATGTGAAGCAAGATACACCCCCTCCCCACCTCGCCTAGTTAGGGTCCTATCTTCCCACAGAAAATAGAAGATAAGGTTGTTTCCATTTGAAAGACAGGTAGGTTCTCAGGTCCTTGAGAAAGACATTCCCAAGTCGTCAAGCTGATAAACAACCTATCTAGTTTTCAAACGGATTTATATACGGTTTCTTGGGGGTTTTTTTGTTTTTTGTTTTTTGTTTTTTTCTGAGACAGGATCTCACTTTGTCACCCAGGCTGGATTGCAGTGGTGCAATCACAGCTCGCTGCAGTCACTAACTCTCAAGCAAAAGCGATCCTCCCACCTCAGCCTCCCAAATAGCCAGAACTGCAGGTACACAACACCACACCTGGTTAATTTTTGTATTATTTGTAGAGACAGTCTTTCACTGTGTTGCCCAGGCTGGTTTTGAAGTCCTGAGTTCAAGCGATTCCCCTTCCTCAGTCTCCCAAAATGCCGTGATTACAGAAGTGAGCCACCGCCCCTTATTTATACATTTCAAAGAGAAGAGAAAGTACTTACAAGTTTTCTAAATTTAAGAAAAAGGAGGCCAGGAAACTCTCTTCCCTTATGTTCAACTGGGAGAATTAGCCTTATTTTTAATTTCTATTTGTCCTTAAACGGCCTTCTCTCGCAAATAATGGAAATGAGACCTTCTCTCCCTGGCTGACGCAAGGAATGGAGTTACATGTCCAGCAATGCAACTGATACCAATTCATCTTCACCTTATCCAGTTCAACAGGATCTTTCCCCTAACCTGACAACACGCTCAGGTCTCTGCCATAAACCCTCTTCTCCAAGTGCCTCCCCCCGCCCTCCCCCCCGTTAGTTGTCACCTCCTCCCACCCATTGTCTCCTCACAGCGACATATTTCAAGAGTCATTTACACGCTGGGTTGTCACTTCCTCCCCTGGCATTTCCATACACCTCAACCACTGCAGGACACCCTCCAGTGAATTTACTCATTAGCCACTAACAAACACAGCTTGATCACTCCATCATAGGAACTCTCTTCTCCCTGGATACCAAGACACCACGGTCTGTGGGGTCTCTTTTTATTGGATTCTATTTTGTCCCTTTCAAAGGCTCTTTTCCCCTCCGGAACACTTAACTTTCAGTTTTATGCTACCTTCAGACCTCAATACATTTCTCTCCATGAATTTGAAATCATCCAAGAAGATGGCGGGCTTGGGAGTGGAGGAGGGAAGGAGGCCCCATGACAGCAAGACCAAGAGCAACAGGAAGACAAGCCTGCATGAAAAGGGAGGAAGGAAGCCGAACTTCTTTACCTTATAAAGGCAGTTTTCCAGTGTTAGAGGGCAGAATCATCACTAGAAGGTCCTATTTTAAATGCAGGCTCCAGCTGGGCATGGTGGCTCTCACCTATAATCCCAGCAATTTGGGAGGCCAAGGCAGCAGACCACTTGAGTTCAAGACCAGCCTGGCCAACATGGTGAAACCCCATCTCTACTAAAAAAATACAAAAATTAGCCTGGTATGGTGGCACATGCCTGTAATCCCAGCTACTTGAGAGGCTGAGGCAGGGGAATTGTTTGAACCTGGGAGGCGGAGGTTGCAGTGAGCCAAAGTCGTGCCACTACACTCCAGCCTGGGCGACAGAGCAAGAATCCATCAAAATAAAATAAAATAATAAATGCAGGTTGCAAGGCCTTCTTTCAGAGAGCCTGATTCAGAAGATACAGTGAGGTCAGAGATCAATTTAACAATCATTCCAGATGATTCTAATGCCAGGGGTGGGGAGCCAGGCCACACTGAGGAAAGCTGCCACACCTGGTCTGACAGAGGGAGCTGGGGAGGCTGAGTGCAGAGCCCATGAAAGACTAAGCAGCAATGATCTCAGCATCCCTTGGCTTTCCTAACCAGGCAGCTTCTTCTTCCAGCCAGTCTTCTCATCTCAGATGACAATAAGCACAAAATCTTTCAAGTAGCGGAGTTTCAGAGCTAGGCAGGTCCTCTGCCTGGATCCTGGGCCCTGCTGAGCCCTGACCCCCTTTGGATGCTGCTATGGTTTGGATATTTGTCCCCTCCAAATCTCATGTTGAAATGTGATTCCTAATGTTAGACGTGGGGCCTGGTGGGAGGTAATTGGATTGGGCGGGGGTGGGGGGTGGCGGGGTGGATCTCTCACAAATGGTTTAGTTCCACGCCCTTGGTGATAAGTGAGTTCTTGCTTAGTTAGATCATACAAAAATCGGGTTGTTTAAAAGAATCTGGGACCTCTCCCTTCTAATAATATCTGTCCCTCTTGCTCCTGCTCTTGCCATATGACATACTGGCTTCCCTTCACCTTCCGTTATGATTGGAAACTTCCTGAGGCCTTCACCAGAAGCAAATGCTGGCACCACACTTCCGGTACAGCCTGCAGAACCGTGAGCCAATTAAACCTCTTTTTAAAAAATAAATTACCCAGTCTCAAGCATTTATTTATAGCAATGCAAGAACAGCCTAATAAAGGCCTCAATACCATTTCAGAAGTCATCTGAGAGCCCCTCCCATCAGAGACCCAGAGGCCTAGGAGGAAATAATGGTTTCATAGGCCAGGCCCAGGGCCCCACTGCCCTGCACATTCTCAGGACACGGCTTCCCTCATCCTTGCCACTCCAGCTCCTTCCTTGGCACAAAGGGGCCCAGGTACAGCTTGGGCCACCACTCCTGAGGGCACAAGCCTTAAGCCTTGGTGGCTTCCACATGGTGTTAAGTCTGCAGATGCTCAGAATGCAAGTGTGAAGAAGGCTTGTCAGCTTCCACCTAGATTTCAGAGGACATATGGAAAAGCCTGAGTATCCAGGAAGAAGTGTGCCACAGGGGCAGAGCCCCCACAGAGAAACTCTACTAGAGTGGTGCCAAGGGGAAATGTGGGTTTGGAGCCCACACAGAGAGTTGCCACCAGAGCACTGCCTAGTAGAGCTGTGGGAAGTGGGCTACTGCCCTCCAGACCCCAAAATGGTAGCTTCATGCAGCTTATGCCCTCTGCCTGGAAAAGCTGCAAGCACTCAACTCCAACCCATGAGAGCAGACATGAGGGCTGCACTCTCCAAAGCCACAGCGGCAGGGCTGCCCAAGGCTTTGGGATCCCATCCCTCACACCAGAATGCAGCACATGGAGTCAAGAATTATGTTGGAGCTTTAATACATAATGCCTTCCCTGCTGGGTTTCAGACCTGTATGGGGCCTATTACCCCTTTATTTTGGTCAATTTCTCTCTTTTGGAACAGGAATGTATACTCAACGCCTGTACCCCCATTGTGTCTTGGGAGTAAGTAACTTCTTTTTGATCTCACAGGTTCATGGGCAGAAGGAGCTTATCTCCAGATGAGACTTTGGGCTTTGAGACTTGGGACTTTTGAGTTAATACTGGAATGAGTTGAGACTTTGGGGGACTACTGTGAAGGTATGAATATATATTGAAATGTGAGAAGGACCTGAGATTTGTGGGACCAGGAGTGAAATGATATGGTTTGGATGGGAAATGGTCAGGTGTCCTCATATAGCCCTTAATTTTTAGCAATAAAATATTAGGATGCACAGGGCACAGTGCTTCACGCCTGTAATCTCAACACTTTGGGAGGCCGAGGCGGGCAGATTGCTTGAGCTCAGGGGTTCAAGACCAGCTACTCAGGAGGCTGAGGCAGGAGAATTGCTTGAACCTGGAGGCAGAGGTTGCAGCGAGCCAAGGTTGCACTCCTCGACCTTACATGGAGAACACAAGAAGAAAAAGTCAGGAGTTCACAGGAGTTGTGTTATCTATTTTTAGAACATAATTAGAGATCACCTAGCCTACTCCTTTGCTTCCCTGAAGCTCAGAGAAGTGAGGTAGCTGCAATGCCTTCCATGTCACGAGACGGGTTGGTGACGAAGCTGGGCAAGGAAGCCTGTCCCAGACTCCCACAGCAGAGTCAGAGACCAGTGATCCCTGGAGTACATACTGAGGCCCTTCCTCCCACTGTCCCACCCACTATTGGATAGAATAACTTTCCAAAGGTCAAGAAGCTGGTGAGAAACAGAGCTGGGGTTCAAACTAAGGTTTCTCTGACTCTGGCTCTGCTGTGCTTAAAGAGCAGCAGATTGGAAACCCCAGGTGTAGCCCCAGCAACACTTGAGGAGGAGAGGTAGAGGCCAGGCCTAGATGGAGCCCTGGCTCAGTGGCCGGGGGAGGAAGCGGTCCATGGTCAAGGAACACCGGCCACCAGGTCAAAGCAGGACATCCTCTTCTTATGAATCTTCCTCGGGTCCCCGAGACACTGCACAAGAGAAGCTCCAGCCAAATGCACACCTTTATTCCTAAACAGAAAGGCAGAGCTGCCTGCTCCTCCATCTCTCTATGTAGATCTCCCACTAAGGATGTCATGGAGCCCAACCTAGTTATGAACATCCATGCTACAGGGAGGACAGATTCATCTGCTCAGGCTGCCATTGCAAAATACCATAGACTGAGTGGCTTACACAATGGAAAATTCTCTCTCACGGTTCTGGAACCTGGAAGTCCAAGATCAATGTGCCAGCACGGTCAGGTCTGGTGAGGGCTCTTGTCGTAGCTTGTAGAAGGCCACCTTCTCACTGTGTCCTCTGGTGGAGACAGTGAGAGCTCTGGAGACAACAAGCTCTCTGGAGTCCCTTCCTATAAGGGCACTGATCCCATCATGAGAGCCCCGCCCTCGTGACGTCATCTAACTCCAGTTACCTCCCAAAGGCCTAATTTCTAAATACTGTCACTCTACTGTGAGGGATTCAGTATGAATTTGGAGGAGACATACACATTCAGACCACAACAAAGGGGAAACCAAATGCAGCCCTGTGCTGTTGGTTGCAGGGCTGGTAGCTGGAAACCCAGATCTTTTTCTTCTTCTTTTTTTTTTTTTTTTTTTTTTTTTTTTGAGGCAGAGTCTTGCTCTGTCACCCAGGCTGGAGGGCAATGGCACGATCTCAGCTCACTGCAACCTCCACCTCCTCGGTTTAAGCGATTCTCCTGCCTCAGCCTCCTGAGTAGCTGGGATTACAGGCACGCACCACCACGCCCAGCTAAGGGTTTTCGTACTTTTTAGTAGAGGCGGTGTTTCACCATGTTGGCCAGGCTGGTCTCGAACTTCTGACCTCAAGTGGTCCACCCACTTCGGCCTCCCAAAGTGTTGGGATTACAGACGTGAGCCACTGCACCCGGCCGCAACCCAGATGTTAAAGTTGGAGAGAACTGGAGAACAAATGCAAGGCGCAGGAATGGCATGAGAACTGGCAGTCCTCATCGATGCAGGACCCATCCTACTGAAACCCGGCGCTGCAGGTCACCCGCGTCAGCCGCATTAGCAGTGGCCACAAGCTCAAACAGCCACCCTGGAGCTGTCCCTGCCAGATGCCTGTGGCCCCCACCCGTGCTCTGCCAACTCACCATCGGCTCCTCCCGGTTGTAGGCTATTTCTTCCTGCTCTGTTAACTCGGACTACACAAGGAGAAGGCTCAGGCGGAAACTGTTTCTCAATGTATAACCGCAGGGCGGCAGCAGAGAGCAGCAATAAAGATGCACTATTTTCTCAGCGATTTTGAAGCTGGTTTTTATTGGTGGTGGCTTTTTGTTCATTTAAGTACAGCACAGAGGTTAAGACTGCAAACATCATAGCTAGACTGCCCTGGGTGCAAACCCTAGGGCTGTCACTTACCAGTGGTGTGTCAGGGGCAAGTAACTGAACCTGTGCTTCAAATTCCTATTGTTAAAATAGGGATAATAATAGTCAACCTCACCGCGTTGTTGTAAATCACCTAAGACATGTGAAGCACCTGGCTGGGACTTCGCACTCAGAAAGCCGGAGCTTGTGTTCGTATACGAAACTGTTCCGGGATGGCCTCCAGAGAACTTCACATTCAGGTTTCCCAAGCCTCCCGCATCCAAACAGGCCTGGTCCGAGAGTCCCTGGGAAGGGCTCAGATCGGCCCCCCAGGTGCAGTTACTTTGGCTCAGCCGGCGCCTCTCTATGGAACTAACAGCAGGAAAAACACTTCTTCAAGCAGAAGATGCCTGGGCCTGAGGGGTCACACTGAGGGACTCTGGGTCAATTAAGGCAGTCGGAGCTGGGGGGCAGGGTTTAGAGAGAACAGAGTCCCCTCCACTCTCAGGCTGACCCCAAGCCACCTCTGTCCTGGTTCTCAAAGTGCAGCAGCACCAGCCTCCCGAGGGGGTGGGGTGGGGGCTTGTTAGACCTGCACCTTCTGGGGCTCCATCCTGGACCTGCTCAGAAACTCTGGGGGCGAGCCCTCCTGGTGATTCTGATGCAGCTAACGTTTGACAGCCACTGCAGTAAATAGATGGAGACTCCTGATTTTGGATGGGAAATGGTCAGGTGTCCTCATATAGCCCTTAATTTTTAGTAACAAAAATATTAGGATGCACAGGGCACAGTGCTTCACGCCTGTAATCTCAACACCCTGGGAGGCCAAGGCGGGCAGATTGCTTGAGCTCAGGAGTTCAAGACCAGCCTGGGCAACATGGTAAAACCCTGTTGTATTAGTTTGTTTTCATACTGTTATAAAGAACTGCCCAAGACTGGGTAATTTAAAAGGGAACGAGGTTTACTTGACTCAGTTCAGCATGGCTGGGGAGGCCTCAGGAAACTTACGATTATGGCAGAAGGTGAAGGAGAAGCAAGGCACCATCTTCACCAGACAGCAGGAAGCAGAAGTGCAGAGAGAAGGTGGAGAAGAGTCCCCTATAAAACCATCAGCTCTCGTGACAACTCACTATCATGAGAACAGCATGTGGGAAACTGCCCCCAAGATTCAATTACCTCCACCTGGTCTCTCCCTTGTCACATAGGGATTATGGGAATTACAATTCAAGCTGAGATTTGGGTGGGGACACAAAGCCTAACCATATTACCCATCTCTACAAAAAATTTAAAAATTAGCCAGGCATGGTGTTCCCGCTACTCAGGAGGCTTTTAAATTTTTTTAATTTAAAAATTAGCTGGGTGCACCTGTGGTCCCAGCTACTTGAGAGGCTGAGATGTGAGGATCACTTTAGCTCAGCAGGTCAAGGCTGCAGTGAGCCGTGATTGCACCACTGCACTCCAGCCTGGGTACAGAGTGAGACCCTGTCTGTCTGTCTGTCTGTCTGTCTGTCTCTCTCTCTCTCTCTTGCTTTTAAATGTATATAAAGAGAAAGGGAGAGATATCAGGATACTTGATACACAAAGGGCAAGAGGCAGGTAGGGAGAGGAAGGCCAGGTGCCAAAATAATGGAATACCTAGATCTTCCAAAAATTCCTGGTGAGTTCAGGATGGAAAATTTCAAATCAGAAGTGTCTAGAAGAAAACTGGGGCATCCATTGCTAGAACACACAAAAGCACAACAATTATTACACAAGGCAAGAAGTGTTTCATATGAGATGGTCACAGTCACTTCAGCCTGGGGCAACCAGTGAAGACACAAGCCTTTTCTGTTCTCATACTACTTGATATTTCAATAGCTTTTGTTTCTCTTTGTTCTTCAGGGGTAAGCAGGATAATGCAATTAGAATAGCACATGGTTTAGATCTGTGTTGTCCAATTCAATAGCAATTAGCCCATGTGGCTATTAATCACCTGCAATGTACCTATCCCAAATTCAGTTGTGCTGTAAGACTAAACTACATACCAGATTTTGAAGGTTTAGTAAGAGAAAAAGTAATGTAAAAGACATAATTAATATTTTTATATTGATGATGTGGTAAAATGTTTTTAATATATTAGGTTAAATAAAATGTTACATATTACATTAATTTTATTTATTTGTTTTTACTTCTTAAATGTAGCTACTAGAAAATTTTAATTATATATGTGGCTTGTATTGTATTTTTATTGGGTAGAACTGATTTAGAGTAAAGGAAAACAAAAAAAGAATTCACACCCTAGTACTGCTGTGTGTCCTTAGTCAAGTCTCTCAACCTCTCTGTTCCTCTGTAAAATTGAGATAACTTTCATTATATTTTACTCATCTACTTCAGTAACAGAATTTTCATGACATTTGAATGTGATTGTGGATGTGAAAATAATTGTGAAGTGTAAAGAATGACTTAAATTTTAATTAATATCAGTCAGTAACAGGCCATGTGTTTATTTCCATTCCTCCCTTCCACCCACCAGTTGATGACATTATTCTGGAACATTCTCTCCCTGCCTCATTCATCTCAAAAGAAATGACAAGGCACATAAAGATACTCCAGGCCTTGGCAGTGAGACTCAGGAGAAGGCATTCTGCAGCTACCCCCAAATACCCTCCTTCTCTGGCTCATGGCCCTTTAGGTGCAAAATCTGGCAGCCTCCTCAGCCCCCATGTTCTCTGCCCTGCTCCCTCCTTCCCCTGAGACAATGAGCAGAGTCCATTTTTTACCTAAATTGGGTGGGAAGGGAATGAGAAAATCAGGAAATACAGAGGATTTTTTAAAAGACACTATCTCAGTATTTTCTTTTTTTTTTTTTTTTTTTTTTTTTTTTTTTTTTTTTTTTCAGAAAAATGTGTATAAAGATACTGCACTGGGTTGAATAGTGTCACCCCCACAAAAATCTGTCTATCAGCGATCTCAGAATGTGGCCTTTTTTGGAAATAGGGTCTTTGCAGATATAATTAAACTAAAATGAGGTCTGACAAAGAGTTTCTCCTTAACCAAACTTTAGTCAGGCTCCTCTTAATCGTCTTTCCAACTAGGCTTTGACTTTTGGACTTCCATATCTGTCCTGCATTATCCAAATTTTATGAAGAATCCTGCTAAGTCAGTTTAGCCAGAACCCCCACCCTCATTATCTGCGCACCCTCAATGTCTGACCAAATTCCTCATTCCCACCACCCCCCGAGGTGCTGTGTGATCACTTTGGCCTGCCCTCAGCAAGAATCCTGTTGGGTCCGTGTATTAGTCTGTTTTCACGCTGCCGATAAAGACATACCCGAGACTGGGAAGAAAAAGATGTTTAATTGGACTTACAGTTCCACATTACTGGGGAGGCCTCAGACTCATGGTGGGAGGTAAAAGGCACTTCTTACATGGTGGTGGCAAGACAAAATGAGGAACATGCAAAAGTGGAAACCCCTGATAAAATCATCAGATCTCATGAGACTTACTCAATACCATGAGAACACTGTGAGGGAATCCACCCCCAGGGTTCAAATTATCTCCCACCAGGTCCCTCCCACAACACGTGGGAATTATAGGAGTACAATTCAAGATGAGATTTGGGTGGGGACACAGAGCCAAACCATATCATTCTGCCCCTGGCGCCTCCAAATCTCATGTTCTCACATTTCAAAACCAATCATGCCTTCCCAACAGTCCCCCAAAGTCTTAACTCATTTCAGCATTAACCCCAAAGCCCACAGTCCAAAGTCTCATCTGAGACAGGGCAAGTCCCTTCCACCTATGATCCTGCAAAATCAAAAGCAAGCTAGTTACTTCCTAGATACAGTGGGGGTACAAGTATTGGGTAAATACAGCCATTCCAAATGGGAGAAATTGGCCAAAACAAAGGGGTTACAGGGCCCATGCAAGTCTGAAATCCAGCAGGGAAGTCAAATTTTGAAGCTCCAAAATTATCTCCTTTGACTCCAGGTCTCACAACAGGTCAGCTGATGCAAGAGGTGGTTTCCAATGGCCTTGAGCAGCTCCGCTTCTGTGGCTTTGCAGGGTATAGCCTCCCTCCTGGCCGCTTTCATGGGCTGGTCAGTTGAGTGTCTGCAGCTTTTCCAGGCGCACAGTGCAAGCTGTCAGTGGATCTAATATTCTGGGGTCTGGAGGACGATGGCCCTCTTCTCACAGCTCCATGAGGCAATGCCCAAGTAGAGACTCTGTGTGGGGGCTCCAACCCCACATTTCCCTTCCGCACTCCATGAGTGTCCCACGCCTGCAGCAAACTTCTCCCTGGGCATCCAGGCATTTGCATACATCTTCTGAAATCTAGGCAGAGGTTCCCAAACCCCAGTTCTTGACTTCTGTTCACTTACAGGCTCAACACCATGTGGAATCTGCCAAGGGTTGGGGCTTGCACCCTCTGAAGCCATGACCTGAGCTCTATGTTGGCCCCTTTCAGCCACAGCTGGAGCTGCTGGGATTCAGGGCACCAAGTCCCTAGGCTGCACAAAGCACGGTGCAGCCCATGAAATCATTTTCTCCTAGGCCCCTGGGAAGACATCCGACATGCCCTGGAGACATTTTCCCCATTGTCTTGGGGATTAACATTTGACTCCTTGTTACTTATGCAAATTTCTGCAGCTGGCTTGAATTTCACCTCAGAAGATGGGTTTTTCTTTTCTATCACATTGTCAGGCTGCAAATTTTCAAAACTTTTATGCTTCGTTTCCCTTATAAAACGAATGCCTTTAACAGCACCCAAGTCACCTCTTGAATGCTTTGCTGCTTAGAAATTTCTTCCACCAGATACCCTAAATCATCTCCCTCAATTTCAAAGTTCCACCAATCTCTAGGGCAGGGGCAAAATGCTGCCGGTCTCTTTGCTAAAACGTAACAAGAACCACCTTTGCTCCAGTTCCTAACAAGTTCCTCATCTCCATCTGAGACTGCCTCAGCCTGGACCTTATTGTCCATATCGCTATCAGGCTTTTGGTTAAAGCCATTCAACAAGTCTCTAAGAAGTTCCAAACTTTCCCACATTTTCGTGTCTTCTTCTGAGCCCTCCAAACTGTTCCAACCTCTGCCTGTTACCCAGTTCCAAAGTCGCTTCCACATTGTTGGATATCTTTTCAGCAATGCCCCACTCTACTAGTACTAATTTACTATATTAGTCCATTTTCACACTGCTGATAAAGACATACCCAAGACTGGGAAGAAAAAGAAGTTTAATTGGACTTACTGTTGCACATGGCTGGGGAGACCTCATAATCATGCGGGAGGTGAAATGCACTTCTTACAAGGTGGCGGCAAGAGAACATGAAGAAGATGCAAAAGCAGAAATCCCTGATAAAACCATCAGATCTGGTGAGATTTATTCACTAAGATAACACCATGGGGGAGACTGCCCCATCCATGATTCAAATTATCTCCCACCAGGTCCCTCCCACAACACATGGGAATTATGGGAGTACAATTCAAGATGAGATTTCAGTGGGGACACAGCCAAACCCTATCAGTCTGTTTAGTAAGAATTCCCCTGATGTTTCCTCTAAACAATTTTCCATCCACCAACCCCACTACTCTGTTACTTGACTTACTTACTCTGTTACTGTCACTACTCTTGTTGTATTTGGAGTTGAGCCTAATCTCTCTCCTCTACTGCAAAACCCCACTTTAGGGGTCCCTATGCCTATGGCAATGGTCCTGTATAAAGCCTTCCATACCATTCTTTAATAAGGGTCTTGAATAAATTTTTCTTTAACAGGACATCCTGAGTGAAAGTGGGCCCTAATCCAATGACTGGTGTTCTTACAGAAGAGCAGATGGAAATACAGAGACCCTCAGAGAAGAGAAGGCCATGTAAAGATGGAGGCAGAGGTTGGAGTGATGCGTACAAGCCCAGGAACACCAAGGATGCCGGCATCCACCAGAAGCCAGGAAGAGGCAAGGAAGTATTCGCCCCTAGAGCCTATAGAGCAGTGGTCCCCAACATTTTTGGCACCAGGGACCAGTTTCCTGGAAGACAATTTTTCCACGGATGTTGGGGGAATGGTTTCGGGATGATTCCAGTGCATTACATTTATTGTGCACTTTATTTCTATTATTAACACATTGTAATATATAATTAAATAATTATACAACTCACCATAAGGTAGAATCAGTGGGAGCCCTGAGCTGATTTTCCTGCAACTAGACAGTCCCATCTTGAGGTGATGGGAGACAGTGACAGATCGTCAGGCATTAGCTTCTCATAAGGAGCACACAACCTAGAGCCCTCAAATGCACAGTTCACAAGAGGATTCATGCTCCTATGAGAATCTAATGCCTCCACCGATCTGACAGGAAGTGGAGTTCAGGTGCTAATGTGAGTGATGGGGAGTGGCTGTAAATATACATGAAGCTTCACTCACTCGCCCACCACTCACCTCCTGCTGTGCAGCCCATTTCTTGCAGGCCACAGACTGCAGAGTCCTCCAGAGGATCCAGTATCTCAGGGAGGGGGTCATGGGAGGAAATAGGGAGTCCGGGGCACAGAGGCTAAAATAATCTTTGAAAATGTATTGTTAAGAAACAGATCAGATCTTCAGATATCCCTTACTCCATAGCTGGAGACTGCCCCTCCCTTACTTGAGCAGAAGACAGAGTCACTAGGCTGGGGATCACCCGGCACAACTGTGAACAATGGTATCAAACTGAAAATAAAGGAATAGGCCAGGCACAGTGGCTCACGCCTGTAATCCCAGCACTTTGGGAGGTCAAGGCAGGAGGATTGCTCAGGAGTTCGAGACCAGCGTGGCCAACATCGTGAAACTCCCAACTCTACTAAAAATATAAAAATTAGCCGGGTGCAGTGGTGTGCTCCTGTAGTCCCAGCTACTCAGGAGGCTGAGGTGGGAGAATTGCTTGAGCCCAGGAGGCAGAGGTTGCAGTCAGCTGAGATCATGCCATTGCACTCCAGCCTGGGCAACAGGTGTGAAACCCTGTCTTGAAAAAAGAAAAGAAATGAAAAGAAAGGAATAAGTGATCATTTACACTTGAAAGGCTACTTCCATCCAGCCCAGCTTTTACTGGGTTCCCAAACGGCAGGCAGCCAGGATTTTGCCTTCCAGGCAGAAGACTGGAAGATTCCTCCCTGGGGACTCAGTTTAAGAAAAAGACCAACTGATACAGACATCTGGTTTCCCTGAGACATCTGATTTCCCCAAGGAAACAGCGGGGCAGATGGTTTGAAACCCTTAGCAGAGGTTTCAGCCCTAGGTGCAGACAGGAATCCACTGGGGAGCTTTAAAAAAAAAAAAACTGATGCCTGGGGTCCACCCCACAATTCTGGTTTAATTGTTCTGTGGTAAGGTCATTGAGAAGTTCAAAAGCACTAGATGATTCTAATCTCAACCAAGTTGGGCACCACTGGCCGTTGGTGAAGCTCACTGTTAATAAGCATTGCTCATCTGCTCAGTACTCCTGATATGCTTTTTAACACCCCTCTCCAAAGTGGGAGCAGACAAGGATCACCAGACATTTCAGAAACAGACAGAGACCAAAACAAACCAAAAAAGCAGATTGGGAGGAATGCATGCAGAAAGAAGAAAGTATATATTGTATTTTTTTCATCATTGACATCCTCAGAGAAATAGAAGAAAAATTATTGCAATAATAACAAGATGATATTTTTAAATGAACACTGAGAGAACATAAAAAGAACTCTTAGAAATTCAAACTCTGATGGGAGAAATAAAAAATCCAATAGAGGGATTAGAAGATGAAATTGAGGCAGCTTCCTAAAAAGTAAAGCAAAAAGCCAAAAGATGAAAAATAGGAGAGAAACAAGACTTTTAGAGCAGCTGTTCAGTAAGCCTAACATCTGAATGAAACAAGTTCCAAAATAAAAGAACACACACATTTTTAAAAATGGAGAGGAAATCATCAACAAAATAATTCAAGAAAATATTCCATACTTAAGATATGAGTTTCCAGATCTAAGAGCCCATCAAGTTCCTAACACAAAGGGAGGAAGTTGGGTTCACAATAAAACATATTTTCAGGACATTTCAGAACATTCAAACAATGTACAAATCCAGAGAGAAGAACAAAAGTTACTTTAAAAAGACCATATGTGAGAATGACTTTAAACTACAACCACACAGGAAACTAGAAGTAATCCCTTCCTAAATTTTGAGGGAAAATTATTTCCAACCTAGAATTCTATACCAAGCTTGAAGGTAGAATAAGGACATTTTCAGATAAAGTGGTTTTTTTTTTAATGCTTCCCTTGTTTTCATTACCAGAAAGCTGTAAGAGGGTGTGACATACCAAAGTTAAAAGAAATCCAAGAGGAAGACATTGGACACTAGGAAAAGGAGATTTATGTAGACCAGAGACAGAGGAATTCCCAAGATGATACTGAGTTCCCGAGAGATTTCTCCAGGAAGTGAAATTAATACTTTGAGCATATTAGGAGATTTATGCAATTAGCAGCGTTTGAATTTAATTAGATATACATAAGTGCATAGAAAGCAAGGAAAAAAGCAGAAAGGACAAAAGAAGTAAAACAAAAATTCACCAAGAAAGGAAAAATAATCACAGTTTACTAATAAATGAATAGCATTTTTAGTCTTTAAAATAATAATGAACACAGGAAATTAGGATGTATAGTAGTCTCTCTATAAAGTTTTGCTTTAGTGGTATGTTACCCCAAAAGTCTTCAATGGAAAATTCAAAAAATAAGCAATTCATAAGTTTTCAATTGCACACTGTTTTGAGTAGTGTGATGAAAGCTTGTGCTGTCCTCCTCTGTCCTGTGGAGACATGAATCATCCCTCTGTTCAGCATCTTCACACTGTCTACACTACTTGCCCATCAGTCACTCAGTAGCTATAGGGGTTATCACACCAGAAAAAACAACAGATACAGGAGTCGCTACTATCTGTGGTTGCCAGCATCCACTGGGGGCCTTGGAACATGGCCATGTGGGTGAGCGGGAACCAGTGTAACTCCACTGGAAAGATGAGGGATGGGACTTGTGCGTGGTACAGAGAGAAGGGGCCCCAGATCCTCATCTTCCATGGTCAATCCATGGATACTTTCGAAGGCTCAGCAATTGATTAGCAACACAAGCTTGTTATTTAAGAGATGACGGACACAAAGGACCATATCTGGTAGGAAATATCCAGAATAGGCAAATCCACAGACTGATGCAGGTGAACCCCAAGACTGGGGCTCACCCGGGGAGAGTTCTTGGCTTCACCCAAGAAAGAATTCAAGAGCAAGCTTGCAGTGAAAGAAAGAAAGTTTGGCCGGGTGTGGTGGCTCACTCCTGTAATCCCAGTACTTCGGGAGGCCAAGATGGGTGGATCACTTGAGCCCAGGAGTTCAAGATCAGTCTGGGCAACATGGAGCAACACTGTCTCTGCTAAAAATACAAAAATTAGCCCAGCTGGTGGCATACGTCTATAGTCCCAGCTACTCAGGAGGCTGAGGTGGGAGGATGCAGTGAGCCATGACCATCCCACTGCACTCCAGCCTAGGCAACAGAGTGAGACCCTGTCTCAAAAAAAAGGATGAAAGAAAGTTTATTAGAGCAACAGCATACAGCAAAATAGCTGCTCCACAAAGCAGAACTACCCCATAGGCAGAGGCCCAGAGCAGCACTGGTGGACTGCTGGTGGACTAGCTATATTTATACCCACTCTTAATTATATGCTAAATAAGGGGCAGGTTATTCACAAACTTTCTGGGAAAGGGGCGGGGAGTTCCCAGAACCATATAAGGTAACTTCCAGGTTATTGCCATGACATCATAAACTGCTATGGCACTGGTAGGAGTGCCATATAATGCATATAATGCAAATGTATTATAATTAGTGTATAATGAACAATTAGAGCAATGAGAAGTCACTTACATGGCCTGTTGGTCCTAGCTGGTGTGGGCTAGTTTCTTTGCTATTAGTTCATTCTGCTTTGATCAGCAGGGTGGTGACCAAGGTGGGGAAAACAAGTCCTGCTGATCTCCTGCCTCAAGGCCAGGGCTAGCAAGAACAGGGAGGGCCGGGAGGGAAAGGGGATGGCAAGGAGGGAGGAGGGTCTATTTGGGGGTGATGAAATATTCTCAGATTGACTGCGGCCAGGTGTGGTGGCTCATGCTTATAATCCCAGCACTATGGGAGGCTGAGCAGAAGGGTTACTTGAGCCCGGGAGTTTAAGACCAGCCTGGGCAACACAGTGAGACCCCATCACTACAAAAAATAAAAAGCTGTGGCTGGGTGCAGTGGCTCACACCTGTAATCCCACACTTTGGGAGGCCGAGGAGGGTGGATCACCTGAGGTCAGGAGTTCTAGACCAGCCTGGCTAACATGGCGAAACCCATACAAAAATTAGCCAGACGTGGTGGTGGGTGCCTGTAATCACAGCTATTCAGGAGGCTGAGGCAGGAGAATTGCTTGAATCTGGGAAGCGGAGATTGCAGTGAGCCGAGATCACACCACTGCACTCTAGCCTGGATGACAGAGTGAGACTCCATCTCAAAAAAATAAAAAAAGTTAGCTGGGTGTGGTGGTGCCTGCCTGTGGTCCCAGCTACTGGAGTATTGCTTGAGCCAGGCTAGGGGTGCCAGCAAGGTCCCATGTGGGGCACAGCCTGGGCCCTGGAGCAGCGATCCAGAGCCTCAGGTACAGGGTTGCCAGAGACCCGGACCTAGGTGGTACCTCAGGTGGCCCCTCTGAGGAGAGCAGGCCAAGGGGCATGAGCGTAGCCACCTGCCCATCCCTGCCCTCACCCCGCCCCTCTCTGGCCCAGTGGCCTTTGGAGACCCTCTCCCTTGGTCCCGCCCACCTGAGGCGGAACCCGTCTTTGGGTGGCACCTGCGCAGCTGTCCCCTCCCTGACTACTCCCCACTGCCCAGCGGGCGCACCTCTGGCACCCCCAGAAACAGGCCCCTCTTGGGTCATTGCCTCCTGCTCCCCACGCTTGTGACTCTCGGGGACCCCAGGCACTTTGGCCTTTATGGGGCCTTTCCTCCAGAAAAATATGAAAAGTTATCACTTAAGACTGTGTTGGTATAAAGAATATATTAGTACATTTTTATCTTAGGCATTAAGACATTCTCTTAAACCTACAAGTGTATTTTTTTCTTCTGATTTTAGAATATAGTCAAATGCTTTCGTGGCCCTTCAATATATATTGTGGGCCTTGGGCCCAGTGCACTGGGTGGCTGCCCTGCTCATAAACCTTCTGTGGCTCCCTGGTGCCCACTGTAGTAAGACGCTTGCTTCAATGTCCAGTGCTATCACAGACGAGTGAACAAAATGCCACCACAGCTCAGAGGAGAGGAGATTAGAGACTCATCCTAGATCCATCCACCCAGAACATTTCACTGTTATGTGCCAGGAGGACGACAGAGCGAGATTCTGTCTCAAAACAAAACAAACAAAAAAATTGTGCAGGTTTGCCTAGCACCCACACTGACTGAGGAAAGTAGCTAAACTAGTACTGTAGATTACTCTAGAATGGGAAACAGTACATGTTAATGGATATAATACCTACTGCGTTTAATGTAGTCAAATGTCATGATGGCCAGAATAAAACTTCTGATATGCATATGACATTGTAGGCATTAAACTAGCACAATTCTCAGGACCACCCTAGAGAGGTAGCTATTTTGAGTATTCCCTGTTATGAGGACACATGAGACTTGCTCAAAGTCATACGGAGTTAAAGAGGGAGACCAGAATAAACTACACTCCACTGCCTAAAGCCTGTCTTTTAAGTATTCAAACTACTACTGCCTTTGCAGACAGTATATGAGACATGGAATCAGTGTTAGAGATCATCTGTTTCAATTTTCTCATTGTACTGATGAGGAAAATAGAGTTTCAAAGAAGAGATATGGCTTGGGTCTCCTGACCCTTGACCCACAGATCTTCGCATTGTACCTTCTATGATTGAATCTTACTCTGAAGTTTAAAATATGCTTCGAACAGTAAGAACTTCAAAACTGCAGTTAACTGCAATCTCAAATGGAACCAGAAGGACATTTCAACTCAAAAGACCTAGATTTGAGTACAAATGTCATTAATCCTTATGACAAGTCTAAAATACTTGCAGCAATCTTAAAATGGTCCAGAATGCTTCTTAGCCCAAATCTTTAAAGTGAGAAGCCAGCCAGTTGAAAAGTTCCACTTATCTATGTTGAGGGCTGTGGAAATGGGGCAGTGGTGAGTTAATTATGGGCATGTTTGGTGGAAGAGATGAGGCAATGGATTTCTCTAAATTGTGAAGAAAGGCTGGGGCATAGGCACACTAACCAGGTGCGTTTTAGAGACTAGACTGGGGTTCAAAGGATTTACCTACACCAGAGCAGACTCATACCTCCCTCCAGTGGGCAGTAATTAATCCCAGCTGATATGGTTTGGTTGCGTCCCCACCCAAATCTCATCTTGAATTCCCACGTGTTGTGGGAGGGACCCAGTTGGAAGTAACTGAATAATGAGGGCAGGTCTTTCCCGTGCTGTTCTCATGACAGTAAGTGTCATGAGATCTGATGGTTATTTTAAGGGGGACTTTTCCTGCAAAAGCTCTCCTCTCATCTGCCACCAAGTGAGATGTGCCTTTCACCTTCTCCCATGATTGTGAGGCCTCCCCAGCCACATGGAACTGTAAGTCAATTAAACCTCTCTTTCATAAATTGCCCAGTATTGGGGTATTTATTAGTAGTGTGCAAATGGACTAATACACTGGCTAAGTCCATGCCTACCCCCCATAATACTTCACTCCAAGGACAGACATGAGAACTACAGATAGAGTTGGCAGAGAAGATGCCTGCTTGCTCTCTTTGGCTATCTGACTGGCAAGTACTAGCTCTGAGGTTGAATCATCTTTTGGCAGCAGAGCTGTCTCCTTTGATCACACTGCAGCCCTCAGCTTCAATCACACTAGGTTCTCAGATAAACCTACTCTTGGATCTAGTGGAAGGAGAGGAAAATTCTTTCTGGAAAGGGCCAGATAGTAAATATATTTTAGCTTTTGAGGGCCATATGGTCTTTGTCACAACTCAATTCTGCTGCTGTCATGCAAAAGTCTCGATAAATAATGTGTCAACAAATGAGTGAGGCTTAGGTTCCAATAAAATTTTATTTATGAACACTAAAATTTGAATTTCATATGCTTTTCTCATGCCACAAAATATTATTCTTTTGATTGTATTCAACCTTTTTAAAAACCATTTTTAGCTCACAAGCTGTACAAAAACAGACGGTGAGTAAATTGGCCCACAGACCGGTTTGCTAGCCCCTGGGCTTAAGAGATCTGTCCACTTACTCCTCAACATGCAGAGTGTGAACTGTGTGAACTGCATAGGCCACAGCAATCTTACTGCATCCATTCCCGCTGCATCATTATTTTTGATTTGTATTCATTCAGTCCACCGAAGCATTCACTTGGCACCTCTCCAAATCTGGGTACTGTGCAAGATCCTTCCTTGGGACACTGAAGGAAAATCAGACACGGCCCTTCTCTCAAGTTCGCAGACTCTCCGGTATCCAGATACTACGGCTCTCATAGTATCAGAAAACACAGCCACAAGCGCAGGTAAGTATCAGAGGTGTTTTACGAGATACATGTATCAGATTCTTAAGGCTGCTGTACCAAAATACCACAAACTGCATGGCTTAAAACAACAGAAATTTATTCCCTCACAATCCTGGAGGCCAGATGTCTGAAATCAAGATATTGGTAGGGTTGGTTCCTTCTCGAGACTCTGAGGGAGAATCTGTGACATGCCTGTTTTCCTAGCTTCTAGTGACTTCCTCCAATTCTTAGGGTTCTTTGGCTCATAGATGCATTGCTCTAATCTCTGCCTCCATCTTCCCATGGCCTTCAGCTCTGTGTGTCTATTTCCCCTTCTTTTCTAAGAGCTAGTCATTGAATTTAGGGCCCACCCTACTACAGGTTGATCTCATTTCCAGGTCCTTGATTTCATCTGCAAAAACTTTTTCCAAATAATGTCACACGTGGAGATTCCCAGTGAATGTATCTCCTGGGGGCCACTATTCAGCCTATTACACTATTCTTAGAAGATGCCTAGAAGGATATGGCCAATGTTATCCAGAAGGCTTCATGAAGGAGGTAATAGAAGCTAACCCTTCAAAGATGAAAGTTGGCGTTCATTAGAGGGTCACAAGGGGAGGAAGGGAATGTCAGGTTCAGGGACCAGCCAGACCAGAGCTAAGGAAGTGACATCACATGGAACAATTTGTGAACAGCAAGCAGTAGGGCCTGGCTGCAGGACAGGGTGTGAAGTGGGGGAGCAGTGATCAGGAGGGCCAGAGAGATCAGCAGGGATGTGATCTTGAGAAGCTGTGTGTGCCATGATCTGGCCCTATTAATCCAGAAGGGTCTGATGGAAGCCTCTGTGATTCTCTTCCATGGTTAAACATTTTAATTGTATTATACCTCGGATATTCCTAAATATTTAAAACACTGGCATGGTTGAACTAGACAACCTTTAAGTAGTTTGTTCCAACCATGAGATTTAGATTTCATGATTTAGGTTTTATGATCTTAAACTGAAACCTGTTAGTTTTCTACCACTAGTGAGATCATGGCCTCTGCTTTTCTCCTGGGAAGTCCCTCTTATAATCACTCTCTTCCCATGATTAAAGGGCTACTCTGCCTTCATGTTGCTACCCGCTCCCCTGGAAATGGAGAATCAAGCAAGGATGCGGTTTTCCTTCCATTACTACATCCATACAAGAGTAAATCAAGAATAAAAGTCCAGTTAATGAAAAGATCACTGGTCTTAATATACTTAGCAAAATTTTAAAGGCAATTAAAAGTATATACATAGACAATGATCAAAATTCTAATGAAAAGACCCGGCTCTCCCCTAAAAGAAGAAAAAATCATGTAATGTATATATGCATTCCATAAAAACATACATGGGGAAAACTTCAGAAGCCTAAAAACAAAACATCAGTAAACCAAGCCACACTTAGAAAAATGAAAGCTGATTTTTATTTTATCATCAACAGCCATTCTTTAGACATGAACATGCATACGTAATATTCTACGCACACATCACAGCTTTTAACGTTAGTTAATAAAGGTTAAACACACAACATACATCCTTACAAAAAAAGTCAAAATGCAAACTTAAAACTTTAAACAAAAGTATTACTAATTTAAAAAAAGTTTGTGTTGGGTACCATTTGTACAACACAGTTAATTTAAACATTTTCATTTTGGTTGCACATGAAAAAGGCGGCAGTAGAAAATAAAGTCATTGAGGGTTTTTAAATAGCAGAATAGGCAGTTTTGCCATGCAGGAGAAGCAATATTAAATATTAGTTTCAAAAAAAATCCACATTTAAAAATATTTAGTTCAAGTCACAGAATTTTTCTCAGTAGAGACCCCAATGCAATGCATAATTAGCTGCCTTAGATGGCCCGTTTGAAAGGATGATATCCCTTCAGAGTGTAACTTTACTGATTTTGGCACAGAAAAGAAGTCTTAAGAACATGATTAAAAAAGAGGGAAGAGGAACAGAGGAAAGAAATAAAAGCAAGAATAAATGAGATAGTAATTGCAATCACTAAAAAACTGCATTCTCAGTCATTGCAGAATACTGTCTTCTGTCTACAGCAGGTGCTTATTCCAGAATTGTTATTGCAGCATGGATTTAATTTGCTTGGAGGTAGTCTCATCATTCAAATGTTTTGTTGTGTACCTAAAAAAAGAAAAGAAAAAAGATCAATTTTAGGAACTTAAAAAATAATCAGCATCGGGTTCTCTAATTATGACAGGATGGAGAATTGGTCTCAGCAAAACTCACAAAATTATGGCTTCTCATTGTAGCTTTAACCCTGTTCAGGTTCTGCACAGCCTGTCATCCTCACCCCCTTTCTAACTGAATAGCCAGTAGCTATTTAGCAGCTATTTAACTTAGTTACAACTACACTGCTGAAATGATTGGTTGACCTCTCAAGTAAACAATTAGCTGTAACTTCTCCCTCAGAAGAAAATGCTGTTCTATCCCAGAGGCTGGCAAATTATAGCCCATGGGCCATCCAATCCACCAATTTTTTTGTGGACTGTGAGCTAATTCTATTTTTTAACCTTTTGGATGACTGGGGGGCAAAGGAAGACAAAAAAAGAAATAGTAATATTTCATGTGTTATTGTGGAAATTCTATGAAATTCAAATTTCAGTGCTTACATATAAAAGTTTTACTGAAACACACCAAGTTGACTCATTCATGTATCATCTATGGTTACTTTCTTGTTATGGTGGCAGAGGTGAGGAGCTGTAACAGAAACCATGTGGCCCACAAGGCCTTTAATATCTACTTACTCTCTGGCTCTTTACAGAAAAGTGTTTCAACCCCTTTTCTATTCTGTATTTAAGATGCCTCAATTACTACAGCTGTTATATCTCTAAAATGTCTCAATTCTCCCAAGTGCCTTATTTCTAGGCATGTGTTTTGCTACATGCATGCAAATCCAACATAAGAATCCAAAAAAGAATCACAAAGAGTGATTATTATAAAGATTCACAACAGTATTCCCTTAAACAGTAAAAATCCACTAAGCAAGCTTACTATGTCTCAGGCACTGTTCAAGGAGCTTACAACCTAGCAGACGGAGAAAGATAATGATACACTAATATTAGTGACAGGGTAAAGCCTAGCAGCAAAGGAGAGAAGTATAACAAGAAGAGGCTACATACAGAGACAGGGAAACACCATCTCCCATGGACACCCAGAGGCCATACATAGTAAGGAGTTTGGAGATTATTTTAAGTGCAGTAAAAGCCAGTGGAGCATATTAAGCAGGAGAGGGGTGTGCTGCCACTTAAGTTTTATCATTCTGGCTGTTGAGGGCAAGCTGTGGAGAACAGAAGGAGCAGCAGGGAGGCATTAAATAAGGGGGCTGTTACTGAGCACCAAGTGTGAGATAATCAGATGTCAAGGCTTGGGCCAGATTACAGCAGCAATGGAGACAGGTGTTCAATGCGTGAATGTGGACTGTATTTTGGAGATAACCCAGACAGAGAAATCTGGTTCACAAGAATTCCACATATAATCTTAAGGACTAGATCGTTTTTTCTAGAGATAAGGTCTGGCTATATTACCCCGGTTGGCCTTCAATTCCTGGGCTCAAGCAATCCTCCTGCCTTGGGCTCACAAGTAGCTGGGATGACAGGTGTGTGTCACCATGCCCAGCTAGGACTACATCCTTTTCAGCAGGTCCACATAGATCTTTCTGTGTTTAAGAAATTTAAACCCAATTCCTATTAGGTTCATTTCAAATTAATTTAAAAACCGAAGAATGCTTATTAAGTACCTGATATACTGTCTACAATGTTACTGAGAAGTCACTCCCAAACTGTTCTCATGTTTTTGAATAGGTATCAGCGTGCCTGGCACATAAATGGTGCTCAATAAATACTTGCGGAAGGAAGACAAGATAAGCAGCCAGGTTGGAAAGAAAAAAAAATCCATAAAGGAATATTGACATTAAATGCTAAGTGATGTCACAAGGATTTAACCTTTTTGTTCTCTTTATGTAGATAAAGTATACGCAATTACACGAAATCCTACAGATGTCTCGTAGTTCTCAAAATTCTTCATTTGTTTCTCCTCCACTTCTTTATACAACTAAATAGTAGAAAGAGCCAAGCAATGTGCACAGTAAAATTTCTACTGCAGAGTAGTTAAAAGTATCACTACTCAGCAATGTACTGTACTATTCAAAGAGTGCTAAGTGTTTTCCTCTCTACCCATGACGCAAGTTCTCGCTCCTTCTGTGGGATGTGATCTTGGCTTCCTTCTTTGGACAAAGCCAATCCAGAGCACACTGCATCACCACACTCACTTATCAAGAAAAGGCCAATATTATCTAATATACGTGAAAATAAAACATGAAGATATATGGCATTATTTTCCTTTGTGCACAAAAACAAATTTTTTTTCCAAGTGCGACTGTTTTACTAAAGAAAACCAATTATTATTTACCTTTACTCTTAAATTTAATAAAGAAGACAATTATCTACTACTGAATCTGAACTCCCAGCTCTCTTTTTTTCTTTCCCTCTTATGATTAAATGTATTTGGTTCCATTTTTCCACCTGTAAAATGGACATATGACTTGATGCCTTCTCTTAGTAGCACAGGAAGTTCTATATAAATAATTACTACAGGAAAGCATTCAAAACAAACATATACATACATATGGAACTATTCTCTCATTTAAAATCTTTTGGTCTTTAAGTTCTATTTTGTGGAGGTGTGTAACACTCGTGTAGTACTTTTGGGGTTACAAAATGCTTTCTAAACATGTGCTCTCAGTAAAACATATTAAAGGCTAGATGGATTTCCTTTAAGAAATATTTTTCAAAGTATCAGCATTATCTACATCAGCTAGGGTGTTTGTTTAAAAGGAAAGTGCCTGAGTCCCAAGTCAGACCTGATTTTGTTGTTTCTAAAAGCAACATTTTATTTTCTAGTTTCCATTATCTATTATAATAGGAAAGAAAATGTACCAAACTGACAGGTGACTCTTGCCTCCGTGGTGCTTTCCTTCCCTCCCCTCTCCCTCAAACACAGATTACTTTGTGGGAGACTTCAACCCTGTCTTTCACTCGCCATCACTGGTCTCCTCTGCTTTCATTCTAAGGAAAAGGAAACTGAACTACCCTTAAAGTGAAACGTAGATTCTGAGTTAGGCATACTACCTTCAAGCTCAAGAAAGAATCCTAAAACCTCCTAGATCTCAATTACCTTCAAGTTTTTAAAAAAGATTTCCTGCCACTTGCTGGCTTCAAAGAGCCTGACCAATCAGAAAGACAAAGTCTTGGGAGAAAAATCAGGTTGACTGAGACACAGGGAGTATTCAGAAAGAAACCAAGGAGGAAAGACTCATGATATCATTAAATATTGGCAAAACCACTGAAGTATGCGTTGTAAAAACCCCAAGAATACAGAATTCTAAAAACTAGGCTTATGGTTAAAATAGTTTGACATTATAAGGATTTTAAATTATGTTCCTTAATCTTGCTGATGTTCATTTAGAATAGATCACCTTTATTCAGGCAGCTACCGCTTATGCAACACTTTTCATAATCTTTTAAAAACTATTTTTAAACATTTTTTCATAATCTTAATAAAATCATTTGACAGTTCCGCTTAGCTGAAATGATACAGCCTACATTTTATGTGGTAAATATCATTATATAAATATTTCTGTGTTCATGTAATTTTTGTGTTTAAACCCTCAAAAAATCAAGTAATGGGACATCATCTTTTATGTCATGTGAATACTACCAATTAAATCTCTGTAGTCAAATGTTATAAAGTATCGAGATTTTCATTTAAAAATGTTCTAGCAGCTGGGCACAGTGGCTCATGCTGTAATCTCAGCACTCTGGGAGGCCAAGGTGGGTGGATCACTTGAGGTCAGGAGTTTGAGACCAGCCTGGCCAACATGGTGAAACGCTGTCTTTACTAAAAATACAAAATACAGGCACATGCCTGTGATCCCAGCTACTCGGGAGGCTGAGGCAGGAGAAGCACTTGAACCTGGGAGGCCGAGGTTCCAATAAGCCAAGATTGTGCCACTGTACTCTAGCCTGGGTGACAGAGCGAGATTCCAACTCTAAATAACGAAATAATGTTCTAGCATTTGTAGAAGTTTGAGCAACTAAATTAAGTAAAACTAATCTAAGAAAAGACATTAAATAATGACTACTTAATTTTTATTGTAGGAAATACATAAAAATAACAGAACACAAGTCTGAGCACAAATGTAATTACATTCTATTAAGAGGAAAGAGCTAGTTACAAGCCACTTTGTAAGATATTATTTTGTAAAAAGATAACTACTACATAGAGCTATTATCTATATATGTAAAGAAAAAACTCTGGAAGGCTATATGCTAATAGTGGCTTATCTCAAAATGGTGAGATTACATTATTTCTTTTTATTTACATTTTCTTATGTTTTCTGAATTTTATTTATAACTGGTATATAATACTTTTATTACAAAAACAAGCAATCTCTGTTTGAAGAGAAGCAACAAGTAAAAGCCAAAATCTTCAACCAGAAAATGAAGCTGCTATTGTCATGTGTCCCACACATTCCTCATCATAAAATACCGTAACCAGTGTTTGGAAGCAAGATTATCAATAAACAAAATAAGATCTTCATATTTCTAGCTTGAACACTTATTTTTATATCCTATTCACACTTAATGCATTTTCTTTACATAAACATCGACCATTTTCCTTACAGATTTTTTCTGTACATACGTACACGTACATATACACACCTGAGAGCATTTAGAAGACCTTCCACACTATTAGGAGGTTGGTCCTTAAGAACTTTGATACAACCTTTCATCTAAAGAAAAAGAAAACAGAAAAGGTAAAACAGCCATTTTTTTCATGTAACATTCCTTTTCAAAATAGTAAAATAAATCAAGACCATAACTATGGAACTCAAGAGATTACATACTATGTCAAATTAATTATTCTTAGAACAGAAAAAAACCCAACCTAAGAGTTATTATTCTCACTTAGTGAAAACAAAATCTTTTTGAGAACAAAATCAGTCAAACTAATATACCACACATGCAATGAAAAACAAACGGTTTGCTAAGGGAAGACTTCTGGAAAAGGTGCTGAGTGGCGATTTAAAGGACAGAATGGGCTGGGCAGGGTGGCTCAGGCCTGTAATTCCAACACTTTGGGAGGCTGAGGCGGGCGGATCACAAGGTCAGGAGTTCGAGACCATCCTGCCTAACACGGTAAAACCCCGTCTCTACTAAAAATACAAAAAAATTAGCCAGGCGTGGTGGTGGGCGCCTGTAGTCCCAGCTACTCGGGAGGCTGAGGCAGGAGAATGGCGTGAACCCAGGAGGCAGAGCTTGCAGTGAGCCGAGATCGCACTACTGCACTCCAGCCTGGGTGACAGAGCGAGACTCCGTCACAAAAAATAAAATAAAATAAAAAATAAAGGACAGAATGAGTATGTTACTAAGGAAAAGAAGAACTTTCAGGTAGAGAAACCTCACAGAGTAAAGTATCACACAGAGGACAGATAGGAATTTTTCAGCACTGCACCTGGAGTTATGAGAGGCTGAAAGCCAGGATGAGTTATACGAAGTGTTATGCCTGGCAGCAGGGGACTCACAGGTTATTTTAAAAGGTAACCACTTGATGACGATGGTATTTAAGATATATTAGCCTGGTTGTTATAAAAAAGCATAATACAGCAGAAAGAACACAGGCTTTGGAAGCCAGAGAAATGTGGGTTCTACCTTTTCTAGCAACTCTTTTTATTTTTGAGATGGAGTCTCGCTCTGTCACCCAGGCTGGAGTGTAGTGGCGCAATCTTGGTTCACTGCAACCTCTGCCTCCTGGATTTAAGCGATTCTCCCACCTCAGCCTCCCGAGTAGCTGGGACTACAGATGTGTGCCACCACACCCAGCTAATTTTTGTATTTTTTTTCAGTAGAGATGAGGTTTCACCATGTTGGCCAGGCTGGTCTTGAACTCCTAACCTTAGGTGATCCGCCTGCCTCGGCCTGCCAAAGTGCTGGGATTACAGGCATAAACCACTGCACCCGGCCTACTAGCAATTCTATTACTTGATCTGCTAAACTTTAGTTGCCCTGTCAGTAAAGGGAGATGACACCTAAAAGAGTATTTTCAGAGTCACAAGGGAGAACAAACGTAAAATTCCTGGGACATGGCAACCATACAGTAAATATTAACTCATTTCTCTTTACATATGACAGGTGTACATGAAGGCAACAAGCTTGGCTAGTAATCAGTAATCGAGATCCGAAATGCTAAGAGCCTAAACTAGCTATGAAAGGGAAACGGGAAGACAATTCTCACCAAACACTAATGAACTAGATGTGAGAGGTTGGGGAAAGAAACTACGAAGTAGAGAAATTAGAAAACTATTTCTAATACAAACTTTTACAGAGAGAAGAAAAGTCGAGAGCCAACTATAGTCACAAATTATTATGACTAGGTAGGGGAGGGAAAATACATAAAGTCTTCATCTTTTTCCACTGGAGCATCCTACTGGCTGTCTTTTTAATTTCAAGACAGGGTCTCTCTCTCACCCAGACTGAATGCAGTGGTGTGATCGTGGCTCACTGCAGGCTGGAACTCCTGGGCTCAAGGGATCCTCCCACTTCAGCCTCTCAACGTAGCTGTGACTACCGATGTGTGCCACCACACCTGGCTAATTTTTTTTTTTTTTTTGTAGAAATGGGGGTCTCACTATGCTGCCCAGGCTGGTCTTCTACTCCTGGGCTCAAGTGATCCTCCTGCTTCAGCCTGCCAAAGTGCTTGGGCTACAGGCATGAGCCAGCACGCCCAGCAGCACTACTGACTTTTTATATGCATTCTGAAATAAACATTTTATTTGAAATGGCCTTTGGCCAAAGGAATTAAAGGATATGACTCAAAATTCCTTATATCTAATTATCTATTTATATTGCCAAATACGTAGTAGAAGCCTTCCAGGAGGTACTCACTAGACAATATAGTCATCCTTTGATCATTCTATTCCACCTGAATACAGGCCACAAGAAAAACAGCACAGGGACAGAGGAGATGAAAGTCCACCATTTCACAAACTATAAATCTGAGTTTTGTGAGAGTCCGGTTTGCTGGCTCTTATCATAAAATAAAATCCTATGGTTTCCATGGAGAAACTCGTTTGAAATTATTTATATAAAACAATAACTTACATCAATTTTGGAAGTTTTAGCAAATGCTCCCACTGGATGTACGTGGTCATAGAGTATTATGACACCCACCATTACCCTCAAGCAGAATGACACTGTCTCTTCATTTGTAAATCTGCTTCTGTATTCCCTGAAGAGTAGATAAGATATGCATGGAAGAAGTGCATTACAAAATTCTTTTTAAAAACACACACACACAAGAAAAACCTCTTCTGAAATATTTTATTCAAATTTCTATCCATTAGTTGAATGCAGTATGTTCACAAGTAGCCACACTGATACATTCAAATCTTATGTCTGTTTTCCTTTCCAAATCAACCCCCTGAAAGGGATATAAAATTCTTTAATGAGGTGATTCAACTTTCAGCTGATGCTGACTTGCCCCTTTGATCTCTAAAAGGTATACTAACATTATGCCCCTTACTCCACAATGAGATCCCCAGAGATATGAGAAGATGGTGAGTGGAACAGTCATCACCCATGTATTCTGGTTTCTATAATATCTGCACCCACATTAGTGCACTGCTCCTCTGCTAGACCGATAGCAACAATTTTAGAGAATAGATGCTACGTAATGGTTGTTAGCACCTATAGTGAAAAATCACTAGCTTAATAGAGCAAGCAGGTTTGCTATTTAGGTGCTAACTTGATCTAAATACATTATAGTATTACTGGATATCAATTTTACTAAAACTCAATCATATTCTCCTCTCATTTGTGAAAAAGAAAATTGAACTTTTATCTATATATAGAAGGCAGTATATCATAGCGGAAAGAGTACGGAACCAGGATAGAGACATCCAAGCACATGGATAGTGTCCCTTCATTTCCCAGGACCTCACTCCCTGAAGTTGGTGGTGGGGGGAAGGAAGATGATTATGATGATAGTTGCCCTCCTATTTCATAAGGTTTTCCAATGAGATGATGTACAGTATAGTGCTTTGGACCATCATATATGTGGCCCATTGTTGACCAAAACGTCATTAAGCAGCACATGACTGTATTTATTATTCTGGAATCCAGGAGGGATTCTTTCTGCCTGCTAACAGGAAAAATCCAGCCAGGACACACTGTATCATACATCATAAATGTTTAGAGAGGAGAGAAAAAAAAACAGAATTCAGGTTCGTGTTGGAAAAAAAAAAGAAAAGAGTGACAATTAATTATTGAGAGAAAAAGGGATAAACAGAAGAATAATTCCAGCCCTTTGGCAAAAGGGTAAGATTCTTTACTAAATATGGAAAAAGAACATTTATGGTAAGTATAACCAAGGAACTTTAAAGTTCTTCTCCTACATCCCAGCCACCAAAACACCACCACCACTTCTGTTCTGAGAAGAGAACTAAGAGTCTGAGTCAGTCTGAGTGGTCTGAGGTACCTGAAGACCAACTAACTCTATTTTATACTTAACCAGAAGTTACGTTAAATAGCCAAATTATTTTAAGTTTGTTCATATATTAACATTCAATATTTGGAATATACTTACTTTCCACCTTCCAGATAAAACATGTTAACATGTTCATATATGAACATGTTTTGAAATATCAGTCATCTCAACAGCACTGTTAAAGTGAAAAAGATCAGCTGATACTCACGGTGTTTCCAGCATGACTCTGCATACACTAGCCATTGTGCTTAAACAATCTGTGGTATTTTCTATTGGTAAATTTTTATTCTGTAGAAGTATATGAAGAACAAAAAAAGTAAAAGTAACAAACGTTATTACTTAAGCACAATTTAAAATTTAGCGTAATATGAAAAATTAGCAACTTTAAAACCTGGTTCCTACTCCTAATTTTCTAAATAATGCACTAGACTCTAAGCAACTGTTCCAAGCACTGGGGATACAGCTATGAGCAAGACAGCGAAGGCAGGACTCTTCTGAAAGGCACCTGCATTCCAGCAATGTAAGAACAACTGCAACAATGCAGACAGGGGGTCAAAGGTGTAGAGTTTTATAGGCTATGAAATAGTTGGATTTTATCCTAAGGGTACTAGGAAGTCACTGGGAACATTTTACATGGAGGAGGGAGGGAACATGGTTTATGTTTTAAGATTACTTGGTTGCTCTATGGAGAAAGGACTATATTGGGGCAAGAGTGGAGGAAGTAAGAATGGTCAGGACACGAATGCAGTAATCCAGATGAGAAGTCTGATGTGGCTGGTGGCAAGAAAGCAACTTAAGTTTTCAGAATCATGATATATTAGTATTTTGGAGGGAAAGCCAATGAGACTGTTTGATGGAATACATGTAGGGAGTGAGGTATAGAAAGGAATTTAGGATGATGGCCAGGCGCGGTGGCTCATGCCTATAATTCCAGCACTTTGGGAGGCGGAGGCAGGCGGATCACCTGAGGTCGGGAGTTCGAGACCAGCCTGACCAACATGCAGAAACCCCATCTCTACTAAAAATACAAAATTAGCCGGGCGTGGTGGCACATGCCTGTAACCCCAGCTACTAGGGAGGCTGAGGCAGGAGAATCGCTTGAACCCGGGAGGCGGAGTTTGTGGTGAGCTGAGATCACGCCATTGCACTCCAGCCTGGGCAACAAGAGTGAAACTCTGTCTCAAAAAAAAAAGAAAGGAATTTAGGATGACATAAGTTGTAAGTTTTTGCCTGCACTGGTACTGTTAATTGAGAAAGCAAAAACTAAAGAAAGGGCAGGGTTAGAAAACGCAACCCAGAGTTTGGTTTGGCCATGCCATCAGCTATCACTGAGGTTTCCACCATCCCTCCAGAGAAACTGCAAATACGTGGACAGGTGTGCACATGTGGGCCTCAGAAAAAAGTCAGGACTCAACACATACATCTGGGAGTCTGTTGGTTTCAAGATGGTATTTAATGTCTTGGGCTTGCTGACATCACGTCTGCCAACAGGGGCATAAATAACAACACAGAGTACCTGCCTAGGCAATGCTTACCTCTGATACAAATTTTGTTGTGGCATCACTCAAGGTTTTCAGCATTGGAGTTGCCTCAGCATAAAACAAAGACATTCGATTTGCCAATTCATTATTTACTTCATTTTCTCCTTCTGCCTGTGGGGAAGGTAAAAGCACTGGATGTTAGTTCACAAATTATTACATATAATAACAATTATACAAGGACCCAGGCAGGGTGCCTGCCTCAATTACATTTTAGACTCTCATGTATCGATAATACTCAAATATTCTTTTTAAAAAAAAGTTATTTTTTTTAAAAAAAGATTAACCTCTTCAAAAATATTTTAAATGATATTAAAGAATTTAAATAAAACCTTGATGAACTGTCTACTACATACAAGAGATTCTAAATGTTATGGAGGACAGAAAAATGATTATAAAATTGTACCGTCCTCCATTATGAACAATAAGTATCCATACAACATCCATGGTAAGATTCTAACAGGTGATAACACAAAAAGGGAGTCAGAGAACATTAAGTTGGAACAGAAGAAACTAAGGAGAAGAGTTATCCTTTTGCAGGTCATATTGGGCAGGTAAACAAGGTATTCCAATCTGGCAGGGGAAAGAGTATGTTTTCAAATGACTCCCTAAAGAGTAATTCAGCATATTCAGTGTAATAAGGGGCTGCAACCAACGAAAGATACAGGTTGGGGTCAGACTGTATAGTGCCATAAATGCTAGCTTAAGTTCATATTTTTCTTCCATGTGGAATGGGGAGCCATTCAGTGTGTTAGATGAAAGGAATGACAACTAAGTCAGTTTCCTAAAGAAAATTAACTGATAATCGTGGGCAGATTGTACCAAAATGGAAAAAGACTTGTAGGTCCGAAAATGAGTTATGCTGTGCAGAGTGACTGCCAGAAAGAGTGGGAATTAGGCTCTCTGTTGGAACAGTGGGAGGAGGAGATGGAAAGGGGGATGGAGAAGACATTTCAGAGATATTTCACTTGAAAAAAATTGGATTTTACCTGTAATTATTGAGGGTAAAAGGGAGAACCAAGATGACTAATGTCTTTAGCCTTAAGTGATGGCAAGGATGGGTATAGTATAGGATTGGCTGCTTTGCTTTTTGCTTTTATCTTATTTTACATGGTAGGTATGAAAAAGACAGATGTTAAGGTCAGTCTCACACGAGGAACTGGTCTATGCAAAAATCAAATTGATGCAAATTACAGATGTTTCATAAAGAGGAATCTTTTCCTCCAACTCAGTGCCTTAGTGCAAGTGCTTCCTAAAATATTTTTTCAAGGAAAAAGAAAATGAATGATAGTCTTTGATATATATATTTTAAATATCTTATGCCACTTATTACTCCTTACATAGTTACAGTATTTCTCTATTAAACTATCTATTTGAAACAAGGGTTGATCTTTGAAATTTTTCAGACCAATTATAAGGTTCTCAGAAACACAGAGAACAAGTTAATATTTTCTTCCGCTCTAGTTTTACTTATGGTATTTAGTTCCTTGGAGGTAGAAAAGAGTAATAAACAGCTTAAGAGGAGGATGGTAAGAAGTTAAGAGACCTAAAGAAGCCAGAAGAAATGCTATACTAGCCAAGGAGCAGGCACAAAGCCATTTTCTCAAACAGCTATATCAGGCACAGATGTGTTAACAGGCCATGACCTCACTATCACCTCTTGCCAGCATTAACCATTAATTTCTTGGAGGAAAACGGACTTGGGTTCAAGATTTCTCTCCAAGAAATTAACCCACGTCAATTTCTCTCCAAGACTCTTCCATTCTAAGAATATAGAGACAAAAAACTCGTAACTATGAATTCACAGAATTTCTGTACAGTTAAAATGAGAGTACATCGCGAAATTTTATAAGGATCAACGTTATACAGATAAGCAATTTTGTTGAAGTAGTTGTGGGAATTTAAGAGACTGTGAAGAAAAACAGGTAAACACCATATGGTTTGTTACAGTTTGCTTTTCCTCCTACAGCTATGGCTGCCCATAATTACTAACTTTATTACTAGCTTTAACACTATCTGAATGAACAAACAAAATAATAAAATGAACAGGCTGAGCACTAAGTTACTCTTACCATCCCCCTAATTCAAAGCATTAACTTACCGGTACATTGTTAATCCTCATACGACTCAATGTTCTTCTATAATAGCTGAAATCATTCTGTATGGCAGGATTTGTCATCTGAAGAAGACAGTTGTGGAAAAAAAATGTTATGTACTAAATGCTAATGTAAAAAAACTAAGTAAAAAATCTTTAGTTTTAATTAGTATAAAACATTCCATAATTCATAGTATCATTTTAAGAACTAGCACTGGTATAATCCAAGGTGGCTTATAACTGTATTTAGTCCTTACTGAACATATAAAACGAAAGACCACAGGCAGTATACTTTCCCTTTTCTTTTCAGTTAATTTCAGGTAATGTACTAAAAGCTTGTTTATCAAATAAACAAAAACAAAAAGGACTGTTTAGGCACTTGTTTTTAGTTATTACGATAAAAGTATGTAGGTATGGTCAACAGAGCAATCCTCAAACTAGAATTTTACATACAAATCTGACTGTGATACAACTATAAAATGCTGAAGTTTGGAATCCAGCTCTTCCATTTTCTAGACAGGGTACCAGAGGCCCTGAAAAATCAAAGGACGTGCCCAACGTCTCATGACTAGGGTTACTGTGGCAGAGTATAAACTGGAACTCAGGTCTCTTGATATGAGACCTAGTGCTTATTCCTTTACATTCATTCTTTTTAACAACAAGGTATTTATAGTTCCAAACACTATAAACAATGACAGAGGAAAAAAGAAACAGAAAGAAAGGAAGAAAGCGGGAAAGGAGGAAGGGAGAAAAAAGAAATTTTAGCAACATTTTAATATAAAAGAATGTTGAAAAACGGGGGTAGAGGGTGTGAGCAGAAAAGAAAAAGTATTAGAAAAAAAGCTCAACCTTTTGTTTCGGAGATTAATTTTTAAACAAGGTTAAATGAAGACTGCTGAGACATGTGGATCACCTGAGGTCAGGAGTTCGAGATCAGCCTGGCCAACATGGTGAAACCCCGTCTCTACTAAAAATACAAAAATTAGCCAGGCGTGGTGGCACATGCCTGTAATCCCAGCTACTTGGGAGGTTGAGGTGGGAGAATCACTTGAGCCCAGGAGGGAGAGGTTGCAGTGAGCTGAGATCACGCCACTGCACTCTACCCTGAGTGACAAAGCAAGGCTCTGCCTCAAAAAAAAAAAAAAAAGATTGAGACCGAATACTCAGTAATTTGCTCTTTGCCATGTATCAAAAGACCCGTCATTAATTTCTAAATCCAGCTTTGCATTTTTATTAAGGTCTAGCAGACATCATTTAAATACATTTTAACAATGTTTCCCGGCTCTTCCTCCTAGTACTCATTAAAAGATTCATGATTTTCGTAACAATCAGGGCCAATAGATAATTCTACCTTGAGTTCATCAAACCGGAGTGTGAAATGAAGAATTTCTGCAAACTGTTTAGCAAGAGCCTGCTCTCGCTCTAGATGCTGGGTGGGAGAATATGGGGTACTTGTTAAGGCTCCCAGAAGACCTCTTAATGCTGCTTCTAAAGAAAAAAATTGAAAAAAACATTAAGTTGTTTGTATCTGTGTGATATTTGTTTATTAAAAAGTGAACAATTCATAAATGTTAATTCCCAGAAAAGTTCTCTTTAAAAAACAGATGATCTAAACATAATAAAACTAATTAAGAAGTTTAAATGTTGCCATTGCTAATGTACTACACACATTCTGAATACTATTTAACAGAATAAAAACCTTAAACGGACTAATTCAAGGGTTTATAATTCTGTAAACCCAGATTGAAAATAGTGCAGAAGTGAATTTGAATTCAACACCAAAGGGCAAGTTTTATATTACTTTAATCACTTCACACAGTGTGGAATTTGGTTTTATGAAATGGTAACTATTATCTACAGCTGAGTAACTTTCTTCAATGGCACTGTGTCCACACTGTCTGTATATGCCTATGAATCAATTACCAATTTCTCATACTTTGAATACATCCTTTATTTATAACCACAAACTGTTTGCTTTCAGCTACTAAAGAGAACAAAATATGTGGTTCAATAAGCTTCTTGTCTTAGAACTTGACATTTCAAGACTACAATATAAATATTCTAATTCATTATGTGAGCAAAATGGTCCCTTTGAAATAAGTGCTACTTTTGGGATGCCAGGCTAATAAATACCATGTTTGATAATGGAAATACTAAATACTAATACTAATATTAAATACTAAATACTAATATTTCATTTCAATATTTCAAAAAGCCATAGAAATCAAATGAATTCAGTTACAGATCACAGAACTGGAAAATGCTGCTAGATTCTGGTCAGAGAAAATAAGAGCTTACAGAGTTAAACTATGATCTGATGTTAATAAATGTCAGATTAACAAACAAATATTAATGATAAATTTAAAACTTTATGTCAGGTCATCAGCCCGTAACTTTAAAAAAACCCCAGTTTTCCTATTTATGAAGATTTACGTATGAGTCAACATCTACTGTACACTGAATATAGTCTCCCATTTGATTTTTACCATCAACTATGACATGGTCATTCCAGATGGATCAAATGAGTTTCAAAGAACTTAGAGCCCAAAGTTATAGCTAGTAAATGCTAGGTATTTCTGACTCCAAAGCCCTATTCTTTCTACCACAATAAACTGTCTCTGAAATAAAGCAACATTGTACGTAGCCTCTGTAACTTTATAAAACATTAACCTCCTGATTACTACCAATAGTACCAATTACTTCTGTAACCCTACAAAACATTAATCTACTGATTAAAAACAATAGTAGGTACTTCCTGTGTGTCTGTCAGATACCAGGTACTGAACTATTTCTTCACAGACATTATTTCTCATCCATGTAATAACTCTAAATGACAGCTATTATCCTTTTTTTTCCAGTAAGTCTGAAAATGTACTGACTGGCTACTCTGTGCCAAGCACTGGGAAAATGGATGTAGACAGACATGCTCCCTGTGCCCATATGGAGCCTTATTATATAGAGAGAAGACAGACAAATGATTACAGCTGTGATATGTGCTGAAAATAAGTACAGTGGAAAGGTATAAAAATAAGACCTCACCTAATGGAAGGCCCAGGAAAAGATCTCCCTGAATAAATGACTCCTGGACTGAGACTGAAGTATGTAGTAAGGATGAACATGAGTTTGCAGACAGAAAGGCAGGAAGCCAGACCCTGAACTGAGAAGAGCATGACATACTTGAGGAACTGCAACACCACCAATATAGGAGCACAGAGGGCAAGGAGGAGGGTAACCAGGACTAAGATGATTCATACACATGTAATTTGTGGACCACATTAAGTACTCGGGCTTTGGCATCCTAATGTCCCTAGAGAAATCATCTAAGCAGAGGAGTGGCGTCAGCAGATTCGCATTTTAAAATGCTACTTCATTTGCAGTGTGGAGCATGGACTATAGGGGTATGGATGGTGTATCAAGGTGTAACAGTGGATGTGAAGAAGATCAATTAAAAGTCAAACATTTTGGGTTATATTTTAAAAATGGTTTACTTCTCCCAAGATTCATTCTTTCTGTTGGTGTTAACTGGAAAACTAAGTAAGAGAGACACCGAACAGAAAAAAACATTTTTACAAAATATTATTATAGTCTGTTAAAGAAAAAAAGAAAAATGCATCTGCCTAGACTTTATCAAGTCTCAGGGTTAATTTCAGCATTCCAAGTTCTCTACCACTTTTGGGACTGGAGTCAGGTCGCTTGACTAAGTTGGGATGGTCAGTGACCAGTAGTTGCAGAACTTTTGTCTATGAATGGCTGAGGCCCTCCATGGTAGATCTATGTTGAAAGGGAAGCTCAAGATGATAAATCTGCTAATCTGCCTTTGAAGCAGCTAGATCAGCCTCACCCTGCAGGCCTGTGCTGGCACAAGTCAGTCCTACTAGCCTACAATGCTCTGTCTCAAGAGAGAAACTGGAGACAATCCCACAGAAAATGTCCCAGAGGTCTCTGGATGAGTTGGAGAGAAAGAGAGGACAAAGAAAAGATGCCTGGGATTGGACTCAGATGAAGCTCCTAAAACAAAACCATGAGATTATGATTTTTTAAAAAGCAGATGACCAGGAGAAAATTAATAGTCTATTAAGCCCTAAGTTCTGGAAGAACCAAAGGAAGCTGGCAGATGAGTGCAGGAGCCAAAACCACAGAAGGAGGTTGCAAGGAAAAGACAACTAGAAGGAATGATAAAGATGACAAATCAGTCCACAAGCTAGGACAGGGAAGAATAACTAGTTGATTAGGAAGAGGAGGCCCCTGGGGAGAGTTTCCCTATAGAGACAACAGTCGTTTATTCTCATCAACTGCCATCTATCTACTCTCAAACTCTCAGAAGAGAACCTGAGGACATGGATTCTAAAGGATTTAAGACAACCAAGAGTCATGACCACAATTAACGGTGGGCATTTGGGGCCTTTAAAATACATTTTGATAAATTCTGCCCAGTGAAACGAAGCTAACATGTTGAAGGGACTTATTATGACCCTTGGAGGCAGTCCCTAATGTAAGCCCCTAAAGCATGAGCAAGACTGAGGGGAGACAAAGCAGTTTGTCCTACTACCTGACCATACAACCTTCCCTTAGGTATCTGCCTCAACAGGAGGGGCTCCAAGGCCTCAGAACAAAACAAGCAAGTACAGAACAAGCAAGTATGGCAAGTTTACTGTAGGGTCCAGCCCCACAGGGTCGGTGGGTTTCTCCCCGTGTGCAGAGACGAGAGAGTGTAGAAATAAAGACACAAGACAAAGATAAAAGAAAAGACAGCTGGGCCCGGGGGACCACTACCACCAAGACGCAGAGACCGGTAGTGGCCCCGAATGCTAGGCTGCACTGATATTTATTGGATACAAGACGAAGGGGCAGGATAAGGAGTGTGAGCCATCTCCAATGATAGGGAAGGCCACATGGGTCACATGTCCACTGGACAGGGGGCCCTTCCCTGCCTGGCAGCCAAGGCAGAGAGAGAGAGGAGAAAGAGCGAAACAGCTTACATTATTATTTCTGCTTATCAGGGACTTTTAGTACTTTCACTAATTTGCTACTGCTAACTAAACGGCAGAGCCAGGTGTACAAGATGGAACATAAAGGCGGACTAGGAGCGCGACCACTGAAGCTCAGCATCACAGGGAGATGGTTAGGCCTCCGGATAACTGCAGGTGGGCCTGACTAATGTCAGGCCCTCCACAGGAGGTGGAGGAGCAGAGTCTTCTCTAAACTCCCCCGGGGAAAGGGAGACTCCCTTTCCCAGTCTGCTAAGTAGCGGGTGTTTTTCCTTGACACTGAGGCTACCGCTAGACCACAGTCCGCTTGGCAACGGCCATCTTCCCAGACGCTGGTGTCACCGCTAGACTAAGGAGGCCTCTGGTGGCCCTGCCTGGGCATAACAGAAGGCTCGCACTCTTGTCTTCTGGTCACTCCTCACTATGTCCCCTCAGCTCCTATCTCTGTATGGCCTGGCTTTTCCTAGGTTATGATTATAGAGCGAGGATTATTATAATATTGGAATAAAGAGTAATTGTACCAATTAATGATTAATGATATTCATATGTAATCATATCTAAGATCTATATCTGGTATAACTATTCTTGTTTCATATTTTATTATACTGGAACAACTCGTGTCCTCGGTCTCTTGCCTCGGCACCTGGGTGGCTTGCCGCCCACATTTACCAGGGCAGTGTAGTTAAACCCTGTCAGCAAAACTGAGTATCTTCAAATTAAGCAGGTAATCCTTGCCCTGTCCCATTGTAAGTATGCAAACTGGCAAGGGATCAGGGTCCTTCTTCTGAAGTATAACCCATGGTGTATCTGTAGTGCTCAGGCCAAGAAACCTTCTCCTTAGAACTGCAAGATTCTGAAGGATCATGTGTGTCTTCATAGTTGCATGCTGCTCCATGGTGCTGTTTGTGCTGGAATAGCACCCATGATGGGACACACACCACGAGACCGATTAATTCCCATGGTAAAAATATAACACTTAAGTCCAACTAGTTTGGCCTATTTTACAATTATTCTTTGTGTATTGGGATATGCTAAAAGACCAAGATGAGCTTGAATAGCATCTGAGCACCATCAAAAGCAATTTAACTATAAATGCAGCCAGAAACCAGCGTAAGAAAAGCTGTATATAGTAGAGAAGACAACCAAGACAGAAAACCTAGGCTGATTGGGTTATAAAGTGCAAAGCTACAAACTATAGAGACTCTTGATTGAAAGACAAATACTGTAAAATAACTAATACTAAAATTGGGAAAATAAATTACAATTCTTATTTCCAGTAAGAAAAAGATAATTTATACAATATTTCTATCCAAACTACTGTCTGTCTTAACATTACATTTAACAGGCTGTACTGCATCTAAAGGAAAAACAGCAACTGTCTTACTTTTTTTTAAGAACATAGGCATTTTTAAAAAATGGAACTTCAACTTCAGAAGTTACAAATACAAATGGCCAAATAGCAAATATAAATATAGTAAGATATTAAAAAACATGAAGCAATAAAAACTTATTACAAACTAGAAAGCACAAGTCCTAACTAATGGAGGCAGAGATGGTTTGCCATGTGGTTCTGGCTCTCTAACATGCAGATCAATTATTGCTAGTTGGAGGCTTAAAGAAAAAAAAAAAAAAAACCATACAGTGACCAAGTGTTAAACCTGGCAACTAAGTAGAAATTTTCAAAATTATGTGGGCCAGACAAATCACATCTCTCAAGTCTAAATTTAGCTTTTGGGTCCCCAGTTTGACTTCAGTCTTACAGTATATACCCCCTGGTTTCTGGCTTATGTATTTAAAAAACAATCACAGTATGATTTTCTTATGATTAATTTGTAATGTTTATACATTTCAAAAATTCAAACTATATGGAAGTACGTGTTTTAACTACATTCAAATCGTCCTAATTTCTGACACACATCTATACTATTCCTCTCCTGTGTCTATTCACTGTACAAAATAAAGTGCTTCACATTTACAACTTTAAAATCAAACAAAGAGCTAACTGGCTAAATCTTACCTGCTCTGCCTCCTCCTCCTCCAATAAAGGGAGTTCCAATTTTGCTTACTCATATTGAAGACACAATTCTGACCTTTGAATAATTTTTCCCAAGCAAGGGAAAAAGCAAACTGTTTTGAACTCTTTTTGCTTTAATAACTCCCTAGACAACTTTGGGTATATCATTAGCTTTCTATTTCTTTCTTTCTTTTTTGAGACAGGGTCTCACTTTGTCGCCCAGGCTGGAGTGCAGTGGTGTGATCACAGCTACTGCAGCCTTGACCTCCTGGACTCAGGTGATCCTCCCACCTCAGCCTCCAGAGTAGATGAGACCACAAGCATGTGCCACCACACTCAGCTTATTTTTGTTTGTTTGTTGTTTTTTTTTTTTTTGAGACGGGATTTTGCCATGTTGCCCAGGCTGGTCTCGAACTCCTGAGCTCAAGCAATCTCCCAACCTCAGCCTCCAAGTGTTGGGATTACAGAAATGAGCAAGCACACCCAGCCTATTTCTCATCTTCTACAGTTTTAGATACATGAATTAAGCGTAACCAGTAAAAATTTCAAGAAAACCTCTTTGATTTCTTTGGATGCTAAAGGGTCCTATTATGAGAAATCACTTGGTAGAATCTCTCTCCATCGCTACAGTAAGTCCTTTTCCCATATATGGGAAAGTAATCCTCAGGCCCTTGGTTAGTCAAACTTTTGTGTTCTTAAAATCATTTAAAATCAATGCTCAGATTCATGTATGTAAAACGACAGATGATGAGGAAAATAACTTGTGGACAAAAATGGTCTAAATGAATTAAAAGGCCAGGGTTGAAAGAAGATTAACTATAATCTTACAGTCTAACAAGCTTGCTTTACTTATAAAACAGATACTAAGCCAAATTCAGCATTATGAACATAAAAAAACTCTAAACTTCTGGAATGAATAAACATCTTTTTCACTAGGGAAGTCACAATTACAAAACTTTCAACTTACCTAACCTCTGAGAAAATTCGTAAAATTTCTTTAATTTGCCTACTAGTGGAACAACTGCACCCCATGCCTTCTCTTGCAACTTCTCATCTGCTGGATGCTGGATTGCCTTCAAAATCCAAAGAATAAAAATAGTTAGAGTTAAAAAAAAAAAAAGGTTCATTTTTACATTAAAATGTAGGCTTTAGCAAACATAGGAAACACTGGTATAATCCATAAAATATAGAATATTGAATCTAGGAGTGTTGAATATTTTTTTTTTTGAGAGAGCGTCTCACTCTGTTGCCCAGGCTGAAGTGCAGTGGCGTGATCTCGGCTCTCTACAACCTCTGCCTCCCAGGTTCAAGTGATTCTCCTGCCTCAGCCTCCCAAGTAGCTGGGACTACAGGCACGCGCCACCACACCCAGCTGAATTTTTTTATTTTTAGTAGAGATGGGGTTTCGCCATGTTGGCCAGGCTGGTCTCGAACTCCTGACCTCAGGTGATCCACCCACCTTGGCCTCCCAAAGTGCTGGGATTATAGGCGTGAGCCACCACGCACGGCTGAGTGTTGAATATTCTATATTGAGTGCTAAGGGTGAGTCTTCTCAACTCCACAGACACTCCATAGGAGTGCTAAGAGTGGGTCTTCTCAGCTCCATAGATACTTCAACCTTAGTTAGATACATAACTAACATAATACATTCTTAGTTATCCTTGCAATAGATATGAACATAATGAAAATTTAAAAATGATCCAATATGTTTGTTAAATATTTTATGCCTTGGTGCCCAGCAGATCCACAAAAAAAAATATTGCATATGTTTCCCATATCACAGAGTCTCTTAGTATTTCTTTGTCAAAGAATTATTTTAGCAGTAGAAAAGAAAACTCAAAAAGTAAGACAATAAGATGCCAACTCTGGGAACAGGCTAAGAAATTTCCAATAATTAAAATTCCAGGGTCTAAACTAGCATTAAGAAAACTACCTACGACTTAAGAACCTAAATCAAGCTGAAACTGTGATTTAAGAATTGTCAGCTGGGCGCCGTGGCTCACGCCTGTAATCCCAGCACTTTGGGAGGCTGAGGCAGGCGGATCACAAGGTCAGGAGTTCGAGACCAGCTTGACCAATGTGGTGAAACCCCGTCTCTACCAAAAATACAAAAATTAGTCAGGTGTGGTGGTGTGTGCCTGTAATCCCAGTTACTCAGGAGGCTGAGACAGGAGAATTGCTTGAACCCGGGAAGTGGAGGCTGCAGTGAGCCGAGATCATGCCATTGCCCTCTAGCCTGGGTGATAGAGCGAGACTCTGTCTTAAAAAAAAAAAAAAGAAAATACAAAAAAGAAGAATTGTCACAGATACTTATTCTCTATAACTAAAATCCTATCCTATTCTAGATAATAACTTTTCTCAGGCTTTCCTGAGTAAGATGAAAAACTAGTTTCAAATCTGAAAGGGAAGAAAATATAATCTAGAGATCCTTAATATAAATGACTTCTTCTATACCCAGTCTTTCAAATCATTAAGTAATCTTTTCTGAATAGAGGGTTATTTCCAAAAATACATATTTTTTTGTCTTTATCTTTCATTTGCCCATAGATGTTTTTTGTACTCCTTTACAGAAGTTAACATGTTCTTCAACAACCTGATTTACTTTCTCTAACATCTTGAAACAAACTAAACATACCATCTGAAATTCAGAACTAAAGCAGGGACCTGCTTATAAACACTACCAAGAGGTTATATGACATGTCTCAATACTCCCAAGGCACTAGTATTCTGACTCCATCCACACAAAAAACAAAAATTCAGGAAAGCAAAATAAAATTGAACCCAGACAGATCTAACGGATGCTCTGAACAAATTAGCTGCAAACTGAATTAATGGGCTATATACTGGTTAAGCAATTTACTTTACAAGCTTGGCACCATTTTCAAATTGATGTTTTATTCAATATTTTTAAATGATGCTTAAACCCATTAGAAGCCTGAAGTCAATCCTACTTATGTCATTAATCTAGAAATATTGTAACATTGAAGAAAATCTGACATTACAACATGTAACAATCCTTTGTTCACATTCTATAGTAATGAGAACATCTCAAAGAGACCTTGATATGCTGATATAGATGAAAAAAAATCCTTTGGCCGCAGGCCCAGACTTGGTAATGATTTCTATCAGGTAGTAAAAATTTGTTTCTTGTATTTGTTATTCAGCAGACAAGTAAATAAGCCTTTCTGTCTGGTGGCAGCCATCAAATAAGCCAAGATGGGTACACACAAGTCCATCCAGGAGGCATGGAGGAAGAAGTAGTTTGATGTAGTGTGCTTTCACTGATGGCAGTACCATCAGCTCTCTTCTCTCCACAGAGATCCTGGCCCCACCCAGCCCAATAAAGTGTGCAGACTAGGCCACACAAGGTTATGTCATATATAGGATTTGTGTGTACTGTGGCGGCTGAAAATGCCCAGTTCCTAAGGGTGCAATGTATGGGTAGCCTGTCCTTTATGGTGGTAATCTGCTGAAGTTTGCTCAAAGCCTTCGGTACATTGCTAAGGAGTGAGCTGGACACCACTGTGGGGCCGCGTCCTGAATTCTTACTGGGTTGGTGAAGATTCCACGTACACATTTTTGAGGTTTTCCTCATTGATCAATTCCATAAAGCTATAGAAGAAGTCCTGACACCCAACAGATCACCATACCAGTCTATAAGCACAGGGTGATGCGTGGGCTGACATCTGCCAGCTGAAAGAGCAATGGCTTGGATGGTCCCTAAATTCCACAAAACTATGTCTGGTTCTTGCCATGCAGCTTGGAGAAGGTAGAATGCTCTCCAGCTCCACCTTCACCACTAATATATGTTTGTATAATTAATATCTAATAAACAATTTAGGATAGTTATGTCTGTTTACAGGTGTTACTTTTCAAAAACAGTCTGCAGATTATTTCATGAATGCTTTGTCAAATCATAGAACTTAAAGTGATAGTATGTCTTCTTTCTAGTAAGATAAACTTTGGAGTTACATGTCAAGTGTTTAAAACATGCTGTGTGGTGCAGGAGGTTTAAAATAAATTCTTTAACTAGCTCTGCAGATTTGTCTGGTGCATGTGATTAATCTTACAGCTTTATTGGGGTGATGGCAACACTGTGCTGGTTTACTTTCAAGTGGCTGGGTTCAGCAAGTACAAACTTTTTTAGTTTTGCTTTAGACATTTGCAGAGTGGGAGAAGGATACCTTAACCCTATGTCGTGATCATACGTAGAAAAACATGGACTCAAATAGAATCCACATTTTTGAATTTAATCTATTGTTTCATTTGTATGACTCCTGCTTCTGAGAGAAAAGTTTCCAAAAATGCCATCATTTCTCAGAATAATAAACGTGTTGCAAGAGGCTTTTCTTAGGAATGAAACAAATCTGGGTTAACCTAAACAAAACTGCCTCAGTCTCCACAGTAGCATTTTAAGTTCACATAAAAGTTCCAATGCCATAGCTCTATAGAAATCAATGGATAGTAGTCAGTAAGGCTATTTACACTGGCGTATTGTGAAACTGAATGTTATATAAATATGAATTATTAACCTTAACTTTTACAAACTACTAATCAATGCTAGGATGGGAAGCCAGTAAGCTTTAGATAAATACCTTTCAAGTGTGAGGGTAGAAAAAGTCAACTTTGATCAAGTTTTTAAAATATTTATCAGTAACACTAATTTGTGACCATTATGAATCCCTTCAGCCACATCGGGGAAAATAGTTGGCTATTCAGAAGCATGTACATCATTCTTAGACCAGTTAGCCTTACAAATAAAAACATCTTGAGCCAACCCACTCTGTCCACACTCACAGGCTACAGAGAAAAGTCATAATTGAAGCCAGTATAAGTTCCTGGTTTCCAATCTAACCGTATGTGTTGTGTGCAGTTATTTTTCTTGTCCCTGCTCAAACTACCCTAAAATCCTTATCATTCAACAAAGCTGGAACATCAGGTATGTGCCAACATTTACATACCACCACAATGCATTGCATTTGTTTTTATCACGTTTTTCCATAGACGAGGCTACTGTCTACCAGGGTAAATTTGAGTGTGAAGGAAATGCAGAAAAGGAATTGCACAATTCTTCTCAATTCTGGATTTGCTGGCTTTAATTTAAATACTGGTTTCTATGGACTAATTTTTCTCCTATCTTCTCTATGGGATTCAAAAGGCTTGGTTAACTGATTTCCAGGGAATATTCATAGAAAGTTCACAGAAGTTCTTGAGATCTAAATTCCTTTCTACTAAAAAAAAAAATAATAATAACTTAAATCACACATTTTGACTGTATATAGAGATTGTTCAACTAAAGGAATAAATGTCTATTAAACTAAAAACAGTAACAACAACAAAAAAGCAAATAGACAAAAGTTAAAATTTTATTTTCTTCTCTTAAAGAAGTCGATCCTATTTTCTTGCAAGGATCTAAAAATGCTTTTCTAAATATCAATTCATTCTCACAATATAAAAATGCTCTAGCAAATGTCACCCATTTTCATAACTGGACAGAGATAACCATTTCCCTGCCCCTGCCTTGCCTAGATTTAGAACTGAAGACACTGGCTGCTCTCTTATAATAAACATTTTATGGTTCTTCCTTATACTTCTAATTCCTTGTCCTCTCACAATAATTTACTCTGTTTGATAAGGTTTTGGGTCAACACCCATTATAGCCCAACATGCAAAAGGGCACTTAGTAAACGTCAATGGTGAGGTTATTACAGAGCAGGTATAACTTATTTTCAAAAATATTAAACTGGCTGGGCACACTGGCTCACGCCTGTAATCCTAGCACTTTGGGACGCTGAGACAGAAGGATCGCTTGAGGCCAGGAGTTCAAGACCAGTCTCGGCAACACAGCAAGTCTGTCTCTCTGTCTCTATTGATTTATTTTGATGGAGTTTCACTCTTGTTGCCCAGGCTGGAGTGCAATGGTGCAATCTCAGCTCACTGTAACCTCCACCACCCAGGTACAAGTGATTCTCTTGTCTCAGACTCCCAAGTAGCTCGAATTACAGGCATGTGCCACCACACCTGGCTTTTTTTTTTTTTTTTTAGTAGAGATGCGGTTTTACTATGTTAATCAGGCTGGTCTTGAACCCCTGATCTCAGGTGATACACCTGTCTTGGCCTCCCAAAGTGCTAGGATTACAGGGTGTGTGCCACCAATTTGGCTATTTATTTTTTTAAAATTTACAAAAAAAAAGTTAAAATGGTTAGGGACATATTACATTAATGGAAAGTACTTATTTCCCTCTAGGTGGTTAATCCTAGACAATAAGCATTGTTTATTTAATAGATTCTATCTTAAATCAAATTTTATTCTATTTAATAATGTTTAAAAAATTATTTAAAGTAAAATATATTAATATATAATTCAACATTATTAGTACAGTGATAATAAGAAAACTCTCAGTTCATTTTAGCTGTGTATCAGACACGGTGCTATGCTGTTTACATGGATTGTCTAATTTTATCTTCATAATAACGCTGTGAATTGCTTCCACATTTTTGCTACTATGAATAAGGCGGCCATACCAGTTTTTACATTGACATTTCCTCTTAAACTAGTTGTTTGCAATGTTTTATAAAATATAAGTACCTGGTGCAAGAGCACAAACAATTTTATAGTTTTTTTTTAAATATACTTCAAACTGACCTCCAAAAAGACTACCCATTTTACAATACTTCTTGCACTAACTGAGATTACTGTTTCTTCACAAACCAACCAAAACTTCTTCACAGTGATGTGCACTTACTAGCAAAGCTGACCATTTTTTCTGTTGTCTGTGCTTTTTTATAGGTAGAATAGTTGGCTGCTCTAAGTCTTATTAATTAACACTATTAGCAATTTAATTATTGACCTATGACTCTTGTAACACATCAGTTATTTGTATATTTGGTGTATATTCATCTTTTATTTGTACATTCCTTTCTTAATTTGTTTCTCTACTCTTCAGAAATCTTTTCTCTTTGTATCATTAAACCTGCATCAACTTCTCAACAAAAATTTCAACTGCTTCAATAGTTACATATTTGTCCCCGATCTACAGTAGATTTAAATGCAGCTTTTCCGTTTTTTAGCTTACATATTTTGTATTTCAATGCCTATTTCTCTTTTATTACTTATCAATGTTTAACAATGGTACCTTTATAAGTTGTTTCAAGCCTGGTAAGATGAATTACTTACCATTGCTTTTTACTTTTCCCTTATATTTTGGTGTTCTTCAATGTTATTTTTCTATGTAAACTTTCTCTTTTCTTTTAAACTTGGAGACACTTACTTACTTTCTCACATCACCAATCATGGACTATTTTTGAGTGAACTATGCGTGGCTATGTCTTGTATTTCCTCAGGAAAACAGCACTACTGAGTGACTACGGTATCCTATGCAAAACTTCAATCTTTGGTCATAGCATTACGAGATCCTGGTTTCCCAGCCCCAGAAAGTCTCTTTGATATATCCTATATATAAACTTTTCTACCACTATACTCTATTCCAAAAGATTACAAATGAATCTTAATATGCATCCAATCAAATATATAAACAGACTTTAGAGAAAACACTATTATTATTTTATTGTAGAAAGCCTTCCCACACACAGAAGCAGAATAATTCTCCCAATGGGAAGTACTGCAATTAAAAAAAAAAAAAAAAAAAACCCGGGCTGGGCACAGTGGCTCATACCTATAATCCTAGCACTTTGGGAGGCTGAGGCGGGAGGACTGCTTGAGGCCAAGAGTTCAAGACCAACTTGGCCAACAGAGCGAAACCCCATTAAAAAAAAGCCTAAGAGTTCTATATTTAAAAAAAAAAAAAAAGAAGAAAAAAAAATAAAGAAGAAAGAAAAAAAGGCTGGGCGCGGTGGTTCACGCCTGTAATCCCAGCACTTTGGGAGGCGGAGGTGGGTGGATCACATGAGGTCAGGAGTTTGAGACCAGCCTGGCCAACATGGTGAAAGCCCATCTCTACTAAAAATACAAAAATTAGCTGGGCATGGTGGTGCATGCCTGTAATCCCAGCTACTCGGGAGGCTGAGGCAGAATTGCTTGAACCTGGGAGGTGGAGGTTGCTGAGCCGAGATTGTGCCACTGCACTCCAGCCTGGGTGACAAGAGTAAAACTCTGCCTCAAAAAAAAAAAAAAAAAAAAAAATCAAACAGGTAATGAATAGTGTTTGTCTCTATAGCGAGTAAGATTTTTCTCTTCATAACAACAAGCTTTAAAGAAGTTTAATGACCTAACACTTATAAACAATTTAAACTAATTTGTAGCACTGATAACCATCATAAAAAATTTTACCAATTAATTAAGATCCTACTAAATCATTTAAATCTTTCACTTCCACAAATGTTTGATTTTTCAAAATACGTTTAAATGTTTAGAGAACTTGAATTTCACAGAAATGCTTATATGCCTTAGTTACTGAAATCTTAAGGTTTTACTTAAGCCAATAACAATGCCAAGACCAAAGCCCTTGTATTTATTTGTTCAACAGCTAACCGCTTACTAAGTGCTGTAAGTTTACAATGTACTAGGTGCTGATAATAACAAAATATATAAGAAACCAGGTTTACCTTCCTCAAGCTGGAAGTACAGTGGTACAGAGATAAACACTCAATAGTAATGTTTTACCTCCCCCCCGCCCAAAAAAAGGAATGGTTCCCACAAAAGAAATGTGTATAATGTGGGCAAAAGAGTAAGAGGAAGTAGGAGATTATGGGGGGGTGGGGGGAGGGGGGGCGTTGAAGAAAAAAATGAAAGGAAGGTCATTCCAGACAAAAACAAAGGAAGGGTGCATATCAACAAACAGAATTCACACCAGAATTTCCCTCAGTTAATGACACTACGATCTGCTAATGTAAAATAAAAACAAGGGCCAGGCATGGTGGCTCATGCCTGTAATTCCAACACTTTGGGAGGCCAAAGCAGGTTGGGGCGGGGCGGGGGATCACTTGAGGCCAGGAGTTCAAGACCAGCCTCGGCAACATGGCAAACCCTGCCTCTATTTGGCAGGGGATCAGCCAGGCATGGTGGTGAGTGCCAGCTACTTGGGCGACTGAGGCAAGACGATCACTTGAGCCCAGCAGGTTGAGGCTGTAGTGAGCTGTGGTTGCACCACTGCACTCCGGCAGGGTGACGGAGCTAAACCCTGTCTCAAAATAAAATAAACACCATGGAATCATTTAACTCTCTCTCTTCCCTTGCCCTAAACATTTGGTCAATCACCAACACATGTTTTGAATCACCACCTTCTGGTGTCTGCACTTGATTCTGCCTTCACTAGTACTCCAATGTCAGAAGAGAAATCAAGGTGGATATGGAATGTATGCCCCATATGGAATGTATGCCCCAAAGAGTGACCCTGATGACCTCTGCACTCTTTGTTATAGACAATAATAAACAAAACAGAGGATGGGAAGAATCAAGAAACACAGCACGGGCAATGGCTTCAAGAAATGCAGTAATGAGAAGGGGAGAGATGAAGGCCCAGGGGACAGGGAGTTCCTCTGTGTAGTTCTGGACACCTAAACATGGATATGCTACGGGGAAGAATTCAGTAAAAGAAAAAAGATAGAAGATTTAATTAAGAGAAGAAGAAATAATTAAAAGAGTAAAGTTTCAGAACAGGATGAAGAACAAAGGTAAAGAAGTCAGTCTTGGAAAGAAGCAAGGACACAGCTTCTTCTGAAAAACAAAAGAAACAAAAAATGAGATGAATGCAAACCTGAAAAAGTTCAGCAGTTTGGGAGAGGAAAGTTGAGGGAGACCACACTACATATTTTCTTTGTGATGTAAAGTCATGGGGAAGGTGTACTGACTGCAAGGATGATTTCCACTTTCTCCTAGGAAGCACCACATAAATACTGCAAATTTCAGGTATAAGAGCAACCCAAAAAGTAAATAACATTTTCTTAATTTACAAAAACTACCTATTTATGGAACACAGTTTTTCCTTTTATGCTCATTTCACTGCAATCACTTCTGAAACAATGCCAAGTGAGCATCCTTCAAATATAATACTTAATATGAAATATAGAATTCTGAAGTCTAGAAAACAAGAGATTACAAAGAGGTGGGACAGTAAGTTTCAGTTAACTAGAAAATACATAAATGCGCTTTACCTCTCGTATTTCGTGGCCAGCTCCTCTGTATGACTGCAAGTCCTCCAAGATGCCTTCTGCATCTTTTAATACTACATTCACCTGATTATAAATTTCCTTCTCAGACTCTGTAGGCTGGGCATCTAAACAGCAGGAAAGCACAAGAAAATTTACAGTGACATGAATTTTTTAAAATACATGTGTAACTCTAAGCAATTAACAACCCAAATTTCCAAAGATGAGTTAATTCTAGTTAATGTTAACTTTGAACTTTTAAAGAAAAGACTAATACTTTTTCCATAGTCCTACATTTAAATGACTAGTTTCAAGTACATAGATATTACAGAAAACAAGGGAACACCAAACATTATTAACTTAGTTTAAGTTCCAAATTAGGACTTGGTATATTAAACCAATCTGAGAATTATAATTAAAATTTTTAATTGTGATAGTTTTAACAATCACTTTTTCTACTACATTCATCACTATCACTGTAAATGCATCAGAAATCACAGATTTTAATGCAAAAGAAAGCCTACTAAAACATGTTGCTCATGTATAGTTTAAGACAAACTATTTTTATTTTCCTATAAAGTTCATTTTACTTTTAATGACTGAGTTTTGATATAAAAAAGTAAAAAAACTTTAATAGTTTTTAGGTGCTCACCCCCTTTTCCAGGAATCACTTCGAAAGTGTCTCAACATATATGATATTATAGGTTAAAGAAGAGAGGATATATATATCTAACAACAAACCCAAGAGAGTATCACTGAACTATTCTGCTGATGAACAGAAGGTCAAGAATCCTGTGCAGAGGATTTCAAGTTATAAAACTGCTCCACAATTACTCAGCTGCTGAAAACTAGATACTTTAAGCTACACTACAATACTACTACTGAAATTTTGAAATACTAAAGAAAATCTGAGTTCCTACACACTTGGGAGTAAGAGAAAAATGAAGGAAGAATTACAGTTATAAAAAGCAGAATCAAGGACACAAACATATGGGCATTTTCACCACCTGTGGTGTTAGCCACAAAACATATGTTAATGAATGACTAAATCTGGATTTCTCTCTGCTTGACTCAAGTTAACAGAAATCTTGCTTTTAATAATACTGGTCATTTGTTTCTCTAAGGACAAATCTTTTATATTTTAAGGAAAAAGGTGGACTCTAAGAGGAAATGAAGGTTTCTTTACAAATCTTTCCAACTAGGCCACATTCAGCACCACAGGTAAGGCATAAAGCACTTAAAATCATAAACATTATGATTATCATATTTTAGAGAAAAATGACTGGCAGAATTCCTCCATGCTAAAATTTTCTCTTATGAGGGAAAAGGAATCAGTCCAAATTTATAAGATGAAGTAAGAACGTTTTTAATACTATCACACTGGTCTTTTAAGTTTAAAAATATTTTAACAAACAAGAAGGTTTTTGGTAAATCTTTGTCTACCAATCATATAAAATTAGTTAACTAGACTTTTCTGCTCCTTTTCACCTCACCACAAATACACAATGATTTCTTTATTCCTTTACTTAGAACATTGTAAAGAAACTTTGTTTACACGTGAAACTGGGAGTAAAGATCCCTAAAAACGGTAACGTTATTTTGTGCTTGGAGCAAGTCATAATTCAATTCTACCTAATAAACCTGCCAAATAGTCAAAAATATACCACATTTTTTTTAAAATTCAATAATTACATTACCAAATTTTAAACTCAACATATGTAAAACAGTACTACAGCAACAATAAAGTAACATTCATATGTAAAGTCAACTTAAGAATGTGTTTACATATCTGTTCCCTTATTTTTCAAATTTCTTTTCAGAAATCATTTTTTAGGAGGAAAATACTGTGACAAAATAATTATACAAGAGGAGCCAATTGAAAAATTAAAAAGACTCTCTATCCAAGGCTACAAAGGTATTATCACTAGGAACAAATACTGATATTGCAACTAAATGGTTAGCTTTCTTATAGATCAAGCTTTGCTATTTAGCAGTAATAATTTACTGCTAAATATTTTACATTTAGCCAGACCATATTTTCCAATGTAATAGTCAGACATACACTCTTTTTAAAAAAGCACACTTCATAACTTTTATACTTACATCAGATTCAGTAGAGAAAAATATGTTTTACATGCAAAAAACGACAGTCTTACACTTTTTCATATGGAATTGTGAAACTACAGACATAACATCAATAGTAGACACGTATTTAGTTTGAATTCATGAAGTGGGAATTCATGACAAAGGACAATAGTTTAGCTATTATATATCAAAGGTATCTGTGAAGTTTGAAAATGCTAGACTATGTATTTTAGGTGTGGTGACTAGCTGTTAACATAAAAATGTGACACTGAGACTTAACATACAAACGAAACATTATCAAGTAGACTTAAGTAGACCTTGTAAGTGGTTAATAACTAGTAAAGGTTTAATAAGTACCAAGAAATTTAAAAATAGAGGAGAAGATTTAAGTTTCCCTTTAGGGTGAGAAAAACACCCAGCACCACAATGATTAAACATTTTTTAGACTGTCACAGGAAAGTCACATTTATAATTTTGAAAGCTGCTGAAGACTGCTATAGAAATGAAGACAAACAGAAAATAGCAGACAAGTAAGCACTACTTTACTGAAAGCAAGTCATGCAAAAGGGTGAAATACTAGGAAGGGGGAAAAGCTGTATAAAACAAAGCTTTTTATTTTATTTTTTTCAAAAAACGGTACTATATAATGCAACCAAGACTTGTCACTTTGATTTTCCATAGAAAAAAATGGCTTTACTATTTAAAAAAAAAGTACCATTTAGTCAGCTTACAAAAGGACATGCAAAATTGCAAAATAATGTATCTACTACTGAGGGTAGACATATTCATTACTCATCAAGCTTAGTTTTTAAAGCTGTTCAAGGGAAATTAAGGCATGTTTCAATTGTTCTTATTGAAGGTAAATTAAAAATTTTATTAACTTCACACTAATTTCTTATAGGGTGGAGGGTAGAAAAAGAGTCAATATAACTGCTAAAATTGAAGTCGTTGTAATATAAAAAGAAGCAAAGATTAACTATGAAATGAAAAAATAAAAAGTCAAGATAAAAATTATAATTGTGATAAGGGGTCTTTCTGCTTTAATTTTACATTAATTCACTTAATAAACCTACGCAATCTATCTCTGTAAGTTACATCAAGACAGAGACCAGAATGTACAGTATGTACCACTGGTACATCTGTAAACTCAGTACCTAGATTTTCTGTAATACATTTTGAATGAATGAGAGGGTACAGAGACATAAATAAGCCTCTGGCATGAATTAAAGGAGACTACTATGCTTTTTGATCTCTGAATAACTATGATCCTATATCATTTTTGAAAAATAAATATAAGAAAGATGACACCAGAATAAAGATATTTCAAAGTACAGGGCAAAACCAACTGAAACTATGCAAGAGATAAATGAAAAAATAAGTTAGAGTAGGTCCCAATATTTCTAAATGATAAGGGGGAAACAAGTAACACAAAGGACACAAGAACTATAGAGGAAATGCATGACTCAATGGAAAGGCACTATAACAGAATCAGAGAAAATATACTCTATTTCTCCCTTAACAAATGACTACCTCTATTTACTCTCCTATTTTGATTTCCCTGGAGGTAAGTGAGTCAAGTTTAAAAAATACTTACTGAACTTCTATCATTTAAAAAGCACTATGCTAAGATTGGGAAAGGACACAAAACTAAATACAAGTCTCTTTTCTCCCAAGAACTAGAATTTAGTGAGCTAGCAGTTATGGAAGTTACTGAGGCTAAAGATTTGTCATTAGAATAAGCTATAAATTAACACTGTTGTTATAAAATAGGAAATTCCAACAACTAGAAGAGGCTATGCAGGCCCCCATTCAGTGCTTTTTTTTTTTTTCAAAGACAGTTTCACTCTGCTACTCAAGGTGGAGTGCAGTAGAGCAAATCACAGCTCACTGCAAGGGCACACATCACTATTCCCAGCTAATTAAAAAATTTTTTTTTTCATACAGATAGAGTCTTGCCATGTTGCCCAGACTGGTCTCAAATTCCTTGAATCAAGTGATCCTTTTGCTGTGGCCTCCCAAAGTGCTGGAATTACAGCCATGAGCCACTGCACCTAGCTCGATTGAGTGCTTTTTATATGCTGTCAATAGCATAACTGCTGCCAAATTTTATGGAGCAATTTTGGGCTTATATTTTAACTGAACTATTATTAAATAAAAACAAAATAAAATCTTATCATATAGGTGTAATCTGTTCTAAGGAAAAAATCCTTCTATCAAGACTAAACGTCTAACTGAATACAGAATGACATTTCATGCCTTAAGGTCTCTGTCCATGTTGTTCCTTCTTTCTACTGTCCTTTACTGTATTAGTTCAAAACATTCTAATTCACTCTCCAAAACCCAATTCAAACATCACCATCAGAAAGTCTTCCATGATGGGCCAGGTGTGGTGGCCCACACCTGTAATCCCAGCACTTTGGGAGGCTGAGGCAGGTGGATCACCTGAGGTCAGGAGTTTTAGACCAGCCTGGCCAACATGGTGAAACCCCATCTCTACTAAAAATAAAAAAATTAGCTGGGTGTGGTGCTGCATGCCTGTAATCCCAGCTACTCGGGAGGCTGAGGTAGGAGAATCACTTGAACCCAGAAGTGGAGAATGCAGTGAGCCAAGATCATGCCATTGCACTCCAGCTTGGGTGACGGAGTGAGACTCCATCTCAAGAAAAAAAAAAAAAGGTCTTCCATGATGATTCTCAATCTACTCCCTGCCATTTAAAGTTAGTATCTTCATGAGCTACACGTTGAAAATAAATAATTTAAGTAAAACTGAGTTTTCTGGCAGGTGGGCACCTGTAATTCCAGCTACTTTTGGGTACTGAGGTGAAAGGGTCACTTCAGCCTGGGAGGTCAAAGCTGCAGTGAGCTGAGATCATGCCGCTGCACTCCAGCCTGGGCGACAGAGACTGACCCTGTCTCAAAAACAAAACAAAACAAAATTATGAGCTTTCGTGTCTATCCTCTCCTACTAGATTGAGAGCTTCCAGCATGTATGGGTTGTATCTTAGTTATTTTGCAACCCCAGCACCTACTGGCTGGTATACAGGAGGCAAGGCATAAATGTATGTTGAACTGAAGTGAAAAACAGTTACAGGGGTCATGAGAGGAGTAAATTAAAGGAATAATGATTTACTTTAAAGACAATCTTAATTTTGTAAACTACAAGATTCCATTAAATTACATTTCAAATGCACTAGAGTATGTCATTTGTATATAATATGATACAAATAGCGAGGTAATCTGCATGAATTATTTCTGTAGTCACCCAACTGCAGAGACATATTGGGTCACCCAACTGCAGAGACATATTGGGTCACCCAACTGCAGAGACATATTGGGATAGACTTAATCAATCAGATTAATAAAACAGTAAAACTAAATTACTCTGGTGACATGAATATTAAAGTGCATCTAGAAATAAACAATGTAGTACTAATTACTCTAGCAAAAATAATGTGGCTTTAAGTTATTGAGAATTAGCAGATAACTATGTTGGCAATTTTGAGTCTGGTATAAAGCAGTATAAAACGGTTTAAGAGAACACCCATCTGATAGGCCAAGGTCACCATAGTAGCTTATAAGGTAAGCTTTTACAAACGCATATTTCCAAAAAGAAGAAAAATATACAGAGATTAAATTAAGATAATGCCAATGTTAGAATCAAAAGACAATGTATCTAAAAATCTAAATAAGAAATAACAATGGGTAAACTCTAGTTTGGTATACAGTATGCTGTCACTAAATTTCATTTATAGTATACCAGTAAGTATAAAACCAGAAGATCTACATTGGCTGATATAGGCAACAATATCTGCCTTTACAGTTAACATTTTATATGTATTTCTGCATTATTGGTTATTATTGTTGCTTGCAATTTTTACCTTTTCCTGTCACTATTATTAAATTATAATAATGTACCAGGTGCAGTAGCTCACACCTGTAATCCCAGCACTTTGGAAGGCCAAGGTGGGTGGATCACTTGAGCTCAGGAGTTTGAGACCAGCCTGGGCAACAGAGTGAAACCCCATCTCTACCAAAAATATGAAAAATTAGCTGGGCTTGGTGGCATGTGCCTGTAGTCCCAGCTACTCTGGAGGCTGAGGTGGGAGGATCCCTTGAGCCAGGTAGGCAGAGGTTGCAGTGAGCTAAGATTGCGCCACTGCACTCTAGTCTGGGTGACAGGGTAAGACCTCATATCAAAAAAAAAAAAAAGGTGTGTGTGTGTGTGTGTGTGTGTGTGTGTGTGTATAAAATGATCCAAACACTCCCACAGATTGGAAAGCCAAGACCAAGTAATCTTTTAAATACTACATTTAAATTCATGCTTCCCACTTGACCATAACATAATACTAGGTTTACAAAAAGATCAAGTGCCAAGTCTTGAACAAGATCTTGACTATCAAAGTCAAGATTCTGTAAATGTAAGGAATTTGAGACAAAGAGGAAAAGGGAGACAGAATAGCAGAAAAAGACACAAGACCAAGTTTGAAACAGATGCAAATAAACTAAAATACAGCTCTAATGTAAGTTGCCTCATCTGAAAGAATATCTTCAAGTCAGCAATCTGCTCGACATCCTCAAGCTGATTAAAAGTCATGCTAAACATGCACTTAACATAGCACTGGTAAATTGTTGAGAAGGGTCAAGAAAACTAATATTCATCTAATATTTAACAGTATTTCCCCTAAAAACCCAATTTCCCCTGAAACCCAATTTCACATGGACCTGATATTGATTTACTACTCTTTACTAGCCTGTACACAGTACCCAAACTGTAACAGATCCTTTATAGAAATGGAATAAAAGTAGAAAATAACCAGAGACCACAAATTATTCTACAAAATGGAGATAGCTATAAATTGATGTGTTCATATGAACTGCCATGGTTTAGAATGATTCATAAAATAGAATGAATTACATAAAATTGTAAAAACTAAATTGAAGTTGGAGGAAAAGGCAGTGACTTTCTGGGGTTTAAGTGATTTATTTGTTTTGTTTTTAAAATCAGAAAACATCTTAAATTTTAAGTATATAAAAATACATTCTAACACTTAAAAATATAAGGGATCACATGATTAAAAACCTAAGAAATACCTCTTCACCCTTTCCTAACAATTTTCTATTGATCAGTTAAAATAGCATCATTCACACTAAAACACCAATTTAATAATTCTTCTCAATTTAACAACCAGACAAGCTAAAGCGATATCAACAGCCAAAAAAAGCAAAAGCTTTGCAACATGCACCAAGGTCAATGACACTTACCTGCCACTCTTAGACCATATTACAATAGGTCATGCAACATAAAACAAACAGAAGGCAAATTACTTAAAGGTCTGTGAACCCATTATTTTTCCTTTCATTTAGAGTCAGAAAAAATAAATTCCTGAAATAAATACATTCTATTTTTTTAACTTTTCAAATTATCTGCAAAGATTAAATAATTTAGGTTCACACTTACCTTTTAATATTATGCCCAAATTACTGAGCTCTGAATGGCCTTCATGAACAGATTGATATTTGAAATACTTAAATATGTACCCTACAATAACTGAAACCTGGTCGATTTTTCTTGACTATAATATAAGTTTTCCCCAAATATTGCTTCTATTAATAAATCTTGAGGTAGTACTTGTCCTTTCCAACAAAATTTTTTCATAAAAATGTTTTCATTAGAGAATAGATCGTAAATTACAAAATAATCTCCAACTAAGAGATATGAAATCTCTTATAAAAACTCAAAGACATTTTATCATCACAATTTAATCTATAAAATAGGACTTCCAGTTCTAGAAGGCACCAGAAATTTACTCAAACAATTCATAGCTCAGTCATGCAAAGCAGTTAAAAAGATGGCAAAGTGGAAACATTCATTTAGTGCAAGACAAACGCAGTCTACTGCAGGCAAAGAGAAATAGATATAAAATCATCTTCTCACTTTCAAAATCAAGGAAAAAATTTGGCCCCTGCTCAAGGTCTGTGCATGTCAAAACTTTAAGAAGATTCCCCATGTTAAGGTACCTGTCAAGACAAGAATGAGAAAAGAGAAAATATCCCTTTATAAAAAAGAACATCTGAAGTTTACTTAAAGAAAAATAGTAACAGGGAAAATGTTCATTAGGCCATGAATTCATTCTTCAGGTTACCCAGACTGTGCTCTGGCAGACAGCAAAACGGGTTCTCAAGGTGTTGATATGTAGGACCTAGAGGTGAAATGTGGTTTTCCTGTACACAATGGCACAACTGTTGCTCTAATTCTTCTCAAAATTCTCCCAAGACAAGTTTCATTAATGGCCTTATAATGAAAAATTCTTTAAGTATTCCAATAGTGCTAATATTCTGAAAAAGAAATTTCTGATCAAGAATTATTTACATGTAGTACTGTTAGTATAGCACTGAAACAACAATTTATTTCAAAGCCAAATATTAATACATTTGGCCATGTCTCACCTTTGCATCTCATCTTAAAACAGTATAAAACTTTCTTCCTGCATGCGGTTCAATAAAGCATATATTTCTAACCAAATTTGGATTGTCAATAATTTGTGGAGGTACGGAGACTACTGATTCAAGGTATGCAGCACAATTCTGATTTTTAAAATAAAATTATTACAGGATTATAAGCGAATATTGTTTGACATAGTCACTAAAGCATACTATTAGAATGTTCATCATAAGGCTACTTGCTTCATGGACTAATGAAAGGACAGCACTGGCTACACACTCAACATGATTTTAGCAAATGAAAAACTAAATTATACATATGATGGTGATGTTTGCCTACGATTAAGAAAAAATCATGCAACCTTTGTTTGATTCCCATGTTTAATTAACAAATATTCTGGCTGGCCTTCACTGTGGTGAGTATAATTCATCTTTCACCTTTACCATTATGCACCAGCTGTGAAGGGCTAAAGAGACTTACTTTCAAAGTCCAAGAAAAAATGTGCTGCATTGTGGTCTATGTCCCTGGTTAGCACCTTAATGAGATTACCCATGCCAGCAAACCTAAAAATAAAAATGGCAACATCATTTAGTTCCAGTAAAAAATTTTAAGCAGAGGCCTGGGATTTGGCAAAGGCTGGCTTGCTCATAATTATCAACAGGTGCAGGTTTATATGCTTTTGGCATTGAGAATTTGGAACAACAAAAGCACATTTGGCTCTGAGTTTATAGCTCCTGTCCCTCTTTTCCACATATCAAAAAAGTTACATAAAGCAAGATGGGAAAAAAGATTAGATTTTGACATATAACTTGCAATATTTACATTTTATTACTATCTATGTTAGTGTTACTCCTTTAAAATTTTTGAGGCATATATTTCTCAATTTAACAGCAAAACTAGATTTCTCAAATAAGTAACTATAGAAACCATTTTTTTAAATAATAGGGATATTTTCCTTCTTGCAGAGTCAAATCCTATTGGGAACACAAAGAAGAAAGTATTCAAACCACATTTAACCATTAAAGCCTAAAGAAAGTTATCAATTAATGACCCATCTAAAAAAACTTTACCACACATAAAATGTTTTTGATATCTTCTGTCTCCTAAGATTAATCAAACTTATTATTTAACTCTTAGACTGAATAATCAACTATACACAACTATACCATGTATGGAACTTAAAAGTTAACACAGCAAACAGGGAGCCAGCAATTATCACAACTTAGTAGGTTTGCGGAGGACAAAAAGTGAAAATACGGCATTGGCATAAATGTTGCCCAAGATTTCCATAATGCAGTGAGGATGAAAGTGGGAAATGGGGTCAGAAACATCCAGGAAACCAGGTTCAAACCTGGAAGGTAGAGTAACAAAAGGGGAGGCAAACTATGGTATCACGGCTACCCACATCCTCCTCCCTCCAACTGCTGTACTTTTCCTCCAATTGCTATGTGTTTTTCTCCAAAGATCCCGTTGCTGGCAAATGTAAATAAGGCAAAACATAAAACAATATTTTTATTAAGAAAAAAGACAACTTGCCACTCACTCTCATTATAAGAAGCTTGAAAAAAGTTAGCACTTCCCGTCACCTGTGGCATCCCCCTCTTCCACCTACTCTCCAACATCAGCATATGTTTCTAACTGTAAGCTTCCCATGAGGAAATACAAATAGCTATTTGCTTTAGAGGTCAAAGTCTGATGTACGGAAACACAAATTTCTTATAAAATGTTAAAAGCAATCCAATTTATTCATATATGGTAAGTACTGAATGGTTCTTCCCTTTTGAAACAATATTCCCCCAATGGGGGAGGTGGAGATCTATCTTCTTCTTATATTAACATTTCTATTACACAGAATTTCAATGGTCTGATTTTGTACAATACTTTACACAAGTGGATTAGGTGACATTAAGCTAAGAGGGAAATATTTAATATTTTGACTTAATTACTGTATACATTGTAAAACATTTAATAATACCAAGCTTTTATATTAAAGGAAAAGATAAACATTTTTCCTAAATCATCACACCCAAATAATTATCTCAAATTGGTTACTAAAGTTCTTCAATAGATGTTGGAAGAAACCATTTGGAAATAGCATATTTCACAGCTTTAATTTTTAAAAGCTTTCCAACATATATGGAATGACTGTATCCAAACATATATAAATTTTCTCACTAACAAGAACTGAGACCAAATACACAAAAAATTACCTAGTGGTATCAAAATTGGAACTACAGATGAAAAATATATCATGAGAAAGGACTATAATTATTTTCAGTAGGAAAAAGGCAGCACACCATTTGGTTTTAGGAGTTTAATCTATGGAATCAAACCAGAAATTCGACTCTAGCTTACTAGCTGTTTGACCTTAAGGATGGTAGTTAACCCTTTTGGGGACTCATTTCTTGATTGGTAAAACACAGGTAATTATAGTAAATATCTTAAATTCCTATTATGAGGGTTAAATTAGATTAAGCACTGACTCAGTGTCTGGCACACAGAAAACATTTAATAAATATTGGCTGTTGCTGTAATTAAAACCTAAATATCACAAAATAACCTTTTAAAAGTAATAATGGCTCTATTTCTTTTAACATAAACCTGAGTCCTTATCAACACATTCCAATGTTATAAATCAGAATGAAGCCCATATTTATCAAGAATATTGCTGAAATGTCCTAAAATTAGTTCTATTAACATCATCAGGTATGCATGGAGAAGAGGGAGATTAGGTTTCCTTACCTTTTTACGTGTATGCACACAGTCCAACCTTGGGGAAAATTTTGGAACTAGCCATGTACGTCTGCTCCATTTTCCTACAGCTCGTTCTGTAAACTTCTTCCTCTGTATATGGTTCTTCTTTCCAGGCACCCGAGGCTAATGTGATCCTCCCCTCCTCATACTTGGGAGTATGACCACTACCATCAGACTTGGTCCTGACCTATTTGCTCTCATAAGGATTGAGAATTTCTTGCTTATTTATCCCATACACAAACACTTAGTTTGAAAATGGCTCAGTTGGCTGGGCGCAGTGGCTCACGCTTGTAATCCCAGCACTTTGGGATGCCAAGGTGGGTAGATCACAAGGTCAGGAGTTCGAGACCAGTCTGGCCAACACAGTGAAACCCCGTCTCTACTAAAGGAGGCGGCAGTTGTAGGGAGCCAAGATCACGCCACTGCACACTCCAGCCTAGGCAACAGAGCTAGACTCCCTCTCAAAAAAAAAAAAAAAAAAAAAAAAAAAAGGAATTGGCTCAGTTTATCTAACACAGTGTTTCTCAGTCTCAGCACTACTAACATTTTGGGCTGAGGAGTTCTTTTGTTATTGGAGTCTGTCTCACATTGTAGGAAATACACCAACATCTTGGGCTTCAATCCACTAGATACTAGCAGCTACCCCCCATACAAGCTGTGACAATCAAAAATGTCTCTAGATACCGCCAAATATCTCCTGGGGGCAAAATCACCCGACTGAGAATCACTACAACTGTTGTCCAGCGCAAAAATTCGCTCTACCACATAGCACACAGGACAGATGCTACATAGGCAGCTCATATCACAATGTCTCTTTGAACAAAAACTCATGGAAGTTTTCAAAGCTCTAAAAACAGTCCCATTATAACATTATCGGTTCTCCTATCCTTTATAAGAATAAACAAAAAATTAAAACCATAACCCTATCTTGCTATATTTTAACCTGGCCAAAAACCAAACAAACAAACAAACAAAAAAAACCCCTGCTGTCCTCTCACTGTGACTGTTTTCAACTAATATAACAGTGGTTAATCATCAGCTTAGGTGGGACCAGACTGCCTGGGTCTGAAACCCAGCTGTGCCACTTCCAAACTTTGTGACTTCAGTCAAGTGTTTTTTAACTTCTCCATTCCTCAGTTTTCTCATGTGTAAAAGGTGCATATTAATAATATCCACCTCAGAGGGTTCCTAAAATCATTAAATGGGTTAATAATAAGCACCACATTTAGTGCCATACCTGGCAGTTTATTTACTATTACTGTTGCAGCTGTCAGAGCAACCTAACTAGGGGCTCTGTTCCCAGCAGCAGAACTTATGGAATGTGAGGCGTGGGCGGATGTGGCAGTCATACTTCCTGCCCTAGAGGATGGCAGTCTATCACAAGAGAATGAACCAATATTACAGTGCAAGGTCTCAAAGAGTGTCCTGGAGTCATTAATTTCCTTCCATTCATTCCCGAGTTCCAGCTGTCACTTCTCTCAGTCCAGCTGCTTGATTTTCCTCTGGTTTTAAGATACCCTAGTTTTTTTAAACTAATACCCCTTTTAGCTGTTGAGTTGGATTTCTGCCATCTAAAGGAGACTAGTAAGATTTCTAAGTTTCGGATGAATAAATACATTTGATATGAAAGATACCAAAGGATTTAAGATTTTTTTTGAGACGGGGTTTCACTCTTGTTGCCCAGACTGGAGTGCAATGGTACAATCTCGGCTCACTGCAACCTTCGCCTCCCAGGTTCAAGTGATTCTCCTGCCTCAGCCTCCTGAGTAGCTGGGATTACAGGCATGCACCACCACGCCCGGCTAATTTTGTATTTTTAGTAGAGACAGGGTTTCTCCATCTTGGTCAGGCTGGTCTCAAACTCCCAACCGCAGGTGACCTACCCGCCTCAGCCTCCCAAAGTGCTAGGATTACAGGCGTGAGCCACCAGGCCCGGCCGGATTTAAGATTTTAAAGCAGACCCAAAACACTATTGATATATTTTAGAGGTAACAAATATTATCATTTAGAATAATAAACTAAGTCTTACTATCTGAATTTAGAAGGGAAAAGCTAAAGAATCTTCTTTCAAATTATTTTCTATCGTAATCCTTGGATTTAAACTAAATATTGTATTTACTAAATAAGCTAAAAATAAATTTAACACAGATTTAATACACAGAAACCAGACATGGTTTACCTCAGGAGTTGTCCTATTTCTGGTGGAATTTTTTTTACTATGAGCCCTTACATTAGACATTTGTTTCCACGTTGACAACTTATCTGGAAAGGAACACGCCCTTCCTGGCCGGTAGTCTGTGGAATGTATTTTTAAGCTAACAAAAGGCACTTAAATACATTAGACCATTTTCCCATAAAACATTTGAAAAGAAGTTTCCTTACAGAATAATAGCCAATAGAAACAACTATACCCTACAATTACTATAATATTTCCTCTATCTTTCTAGAAGCTTCCTAAGAGATGCTGTTACTTCACTTACTTTTTCTCCTCAAGGTACTTTTTAATTTTGTCTCCTCTTCCTAGAATGCTAGTCCCAAAGATTTTCCCATGACTGGCTTCTTTCCATCCTTCAGGGCTCATCTTAAAAGGCATCTCTTTGAAGAGGCCTTTCTCTGCCAACCTTCTCAAAGGAGTTGCACCGGTTGCAACTTCTAGTGATAATCTTCTACCTACCTCTTCACTCAACTTATTTCTTAAGCATATTTATCACAATCTGAATTTCTCTTGTTTAGTGTCAGTTTTCCTCACATCCAGCTTATAAACGTATTAAAGACTTGTGACTGGCCAGTGAGAAGGAAGGGGAAGAAAGAAAAGTAACAAACACACTAACCAGCTTCACTTTAAATCAGGGTTTCTTAAACTCAGCAATACTAACATTTGAACTGTACAATTCTTTGCTGTAGGGGACTGTCTAGTGCCTTGTAGGTTGTTTAGCAGTATTCTGGGCCTCTGCCCACTAGATACCCCTTATCACCTCTGCTCCCAGCTGTGACAACCAATAACGCCTCCAGACACTGTCAAATGTCCCCTAGGAGGCAAAACTGCCTGTTGTTGAAAGCTGCTGCTTTTAACATATGACCACCAACCTGAAGTGCAGCCTCAGTTTTGCTACCTCACTCAATCTCCTCTCCCACTTTCCCAGGTGATTATTCCACACATTAAAAAAAATTCTTACCTTTCTCATGATCTCTTAAAAAAAAAAGAAGAAGAAAACCACAAAAACCCAACAACCCATCCTCCATTCTCACTTGCAGGAAATGACCTCACTGTATCTTTCACACACAAAACACATAAGCATCTATCTTTTCTACCATCCTTTCTTCAGTAACCATACACCCACCCTCTGTACCTGTTTTCCTGAAGGACAACCTTTCTTCTGGGGCACTACTTCTCCTGCCTGCTTTTGTCTCCTCAAGGACTTCATGTGCCCTCTACTACAACATCATCTTTCCTGTCCTCTTTATAGCAAGACTTGTCAAATGAACTGTCTGTAGCTGTTTCTTTCCACCTTTCAAACTCCGATTCTTTCAACTCATTCCAGTTTGGCTTTTATGCCCACTACAATAAACCTGTGCCTGTCAAGGTCACCAAAACTTGCATTTGGCTAAATCTAAAGGACAATTCTCACACTTCAACTTACTGAACTAGCAGCTCTTGACCCAGTTATCACCCACGCCTTCCTGAAAACACTTTCTTCAAAATTTGACATTCTGAACAATACATTATCTTGAGTTTCCTTCCTACTTCAGTTTTTCTTTTTCAGTACCCTTCTGTTTGGCATAAATACATTTATTTCTTCCATCTTAAAACATAAACAGAAATGTACCTTGATTCTATTTCCCTCACCAGCTCCCACCCTATTCCCTTGCTTCTCTTTGCAGCAAAATTCCTTAAAAGGAATAATCTAACACTCAGCATCTTTTGTTTCTCTCCTTTCGTTCTCTATTAAACCCACTGCAATGTGGCTTTTATCCCCATCCCACACCACCAAAACTGCACTGGGAAGGCCATCAGGTAACTTCCACGTTGCTAATTCCAGTGTCAATACTCAGCCCTCACACCTTACCTTGCCTGCCAGGAGCATCTGCCCTGACACTCCCCTCATCCTCCTCAACACACTTTTATCATTAGCTTAAAGGGCAGCACGTCTCACCTCCCCCACTGCCACACCTCCCTACTTCTTGCTACCCTCACTTCCTGCTAGGGTTGCTGGTCTCCCTGTTTCCAACCCAGCCTCCTCCTACAATCTCTTCCACATATAAGAGGCAAAGCACTCTTTTAAACATATAAATCATCCTTTCTCTGCTCAAAGCCATGCAATGACTCACTAACACACTCAAAATAAAATCCAAATTCTTTACCAGGTTGATATGATTTGAATTTGTGTCTCCGCCCAAATTCAATGACAAATCAAAGACAATGGGGAAAATGCCTTGAAGGCATCTCAGAGACCTTTGTGGCAGCCCCTCCCACCACAGACTCAGAGGCCAAGAGGGGAAGAATGGTTTCACAGGCCAGGCCCAGGGCCTGGCTGCCCTGGGGACACTGCTCCCTGCATCCCAGCCACTCCAGCTCCAGCCACGGCTAAAACAGTCCTAGATTATGTCTCAAGCTGCTGTTCAGGCAAGTAGAAGCCATAAGCCTTGGCAGCTTTGATGGGTGTTAGGCCTGCAGGTGTGCAGACAGCAAGAATTGTTGAGGCTTGGGAGTCTCTGCCTAGATTTCAGAGGATGTATGGACATGCCTGGATGTTCAGGCAGAAGGTACACTGCAGGGGCAGAGCCCTCATGGAGAACCTCTACTAGGACAGTGCACTGGGGAAATGTAGGGTTGGAGTCCTCACTGAGGCACTGCCTAACATAGCTGCGAGAAGGGGGCCACCATGCTCCAGACCCCGGAATGGCAGATCCACCAACAGCTTGCACCATGCACCTGGAAAAGCCACACTCAATGCCAGCCCTTGAGAGCAGCCATGGGAGGTAAGCCCTGCAGAGCAAGAGGGGCAGAGCTGCAAAAGGCATTAGGAGCCCACCCCTTACATCAGTGTGGCCTGGATATGAGACACGGAGTCAAAGGAGATTATTTTGGAGCTTTAAGATTGAACAACTGCCCTGCTAGGTTTCAGATGTGTATCAGGCTTAAAGCCCCTTTGTTTTGGCCTATTCTGCCCTTTTGGAAGGGGAGTATTTAAACAATGCCTGTACCCTCATTGTATCTTGGAAGTAACTAACTTCATTTTGATTTTAAAGACTCATAGGTGGAAGGGACTTGTCTCATCTCAGGTGAGACTTTGGACTGTGGACTTCTGAGTTAATGCTGAAATGAGTTAAGACTTGAGGGACTGCTGAGAAGGGCTGATTATATTTTGCAATGTGAGAAGGTCATGAGATTTGGGAGGGGCCAGGAACAGAATGATATGGTTTGAATTTGTGTCCCTGCCCAAATTTCATGAGTGTTGGAGAAGGAGCCTGCTGGGAGGAGACTGGATCATGGGAGTGGACTTCCCCCTTGCTGCTGTTGTGATAGTGAGTTCTCATGAGATCTGGTTCTTTTAAAGGGTGGGGCACTTCCCCATCTCTCTTCCTCCTGCTCTGGCCATGTAAGACGTGCCACCTTCCTCTTCGCCTTCCGCCATTCAAGGTTTCCTGAGACCTTCCCAGCCATGCTTCCTGTACAGCTTGCAGAACCATGAGTCAATCAAACCTCTTTTCTTTAGAAATTACCCAGTCTCAGGTAGTTCTTCATAGCAATGTGAGAACAGACTAAAACAGAGGTCCCACAAAATCTTACACAATCTGCTCCGACACACTCTGGCCTCATCTTTCTTTACTCTCCACTGCACACATGCGCATCTAACCACAAAAGCCTGCTTGCAGTTTCTGCTGCTCAGTAAGGCCTCACCTCTTCAGAGAGAATCCTTGAGCTACCTACCCACCTATAAATGCCCCTTCCATCCTCCTCTCTATCCCCTTCCCAAACTGATGGTTCGTACCATCTAACACACATTCCTGTTACTCTTATCTATTTACTCTGTCTTCCTCTGAGTAGGCAGGGGTTTTGTTTTGTACACTACTCTATCCTGAGCACTTAGAACAATGCCTGGGATGTAGTTGGTATTCATTAAGTATTTGCTGAAAAAATACATGATTAAAAATAGAGAGGCCAGGTACAGTGGTTCATGCCTGTAATCCCAGCACTTTGGGAGGCCGAGGTGGGCGGATCACCTGAAGTCAGGAGTTTGAGACCAGCCTGGCCAACATGGTGAAACCCCATCTCTACTAAAAATACAAAAATTAGCTGGGCAGGGTGGCAGGCGCCTGTAATCACAGCTACTCAGGAGGCTGAGGCAGGAGAACTGCTTGAAGTAGGAGGCAGAGGTTGCAGTGAGCCAAGATCGCACCACTGCACTCCATGGGCAACAGAGCTAGACTTTGTCTCAAAATAAAAATAAAAATAAAATCCTAGGACCCTTAAGAATTATACTACATCCACTCTGCCTGTGCTCTCTAAATGGTACAACAAAGCCTAGATGACAGCATATCTGTTTACAGCATGGTGTACTCAATATTCTAAGCCCACCATTGAGCCCTATTCCTCAGAAAAAAAATATTCGTTTCAATAAATTACTGCTCACTGATAATGCACCTAGTCAATCAAGAACTCTAATGGAAATGTGTAAGGAGATTAACGCTGTTTTCATGCTGCTAACACAATATCCACTCTGCAGCTCATGGATCACAAAGTAATTCTGGCTCTTAAGTCTTATTATTTAAGAAATACATTTCTTAAAGCTAAACCTGTCATAGATATGGATTCTTCTGATGGATCTGAGAAAGTAAATTGAAAGCCTTCTGGAAAGGATTCACCATTCTGGATACCGTTAAGAACCTTTGTGATTCATGGGAAGGGGTCAAACATCAATAGGAGTTTGAAAGAAGTTGATTCTAACTCTCACAGATGACTGTGAGGGGGGTTCAAGACTTCAGTGGAGAAATGGCAGATGTGGTGGAAATACCAAGAGAACTAGAGTAGAAGTTCATCTTAGAAGGGCCTTTAAGATGTGACTGAATAGCTGCAATCTTATGATAAAAACTTGAGTGGATGAGGAGTTGCTTCTTATGGATAATCAAAGAAAATGGTTTCTTTCCTTTTTTTTTTTTTCTTTTGAGACAGAGTTTCCACCTTGTCATCTTGGCTCACTGCAACCTCAGCTCTCGGGTTCAAGCAATTCTCGTGCCTCAACCTACTGAGTAGCTGAGACTACAGGCACAAGCCATCACAGCCAGCTGATTTTTTGTATTTTAGTAGAGATAGGGTTTCACCATAATGCCCAGGCTGGTCTCAAACTCCTGAGCTCAGGCAATCCACCCACCTCGGACTCCCAAAGTGCTAGGATTACAGGCGCGAGCCATTACTCCCAGCCGAAAATGGTTTCTTGAGATGAAATCTACTCTGGTGAAGATGTTGTTTAGACTGTTAAAATGAGTATCACATGAACACAGCTGATAAGCACTGGCAAGGTCTGAAAGTACTGCTTCCAATTTTGAAAGTTATACTGTGGGTGAAATGTTACCCAACAGTATCATATGCTACAGAGAAATCTTTCATGGAAGTGTCAACTGATGTGGCAAACTTCATTTTTGTCTTATTTTAAGAAATTGCACAGCCACCCAACCTTCAGCAACTACTACCTTGATCAGTCTGAAGCCATTAACATCCAGGCAAGACCCTCCACTAGCAAAAAGGTTAAGACCTGCTAAATGAAGGCTCAGATAAGTGTCAGCATTTTTATCAATAAAGTATTTTTAAATTAAGGTATATACACTGTTTTTTAGACATAAATCGTATCAATAATCTCAGTAACCCTTCTGAAAATATTCAAGGCACCACCCTCATCAAATATTGCCCGAAGTCTGCTTATTGAACGGCTTCTAAGAAACTGTACCATCACTTGAAAGCAGGCCAGGCGTGGTGGCTCACATCTGTAATCCCAGCACTTTGGGAGGCCAAGGTGGGGAGATTACTTGAGGTCAGGAGTTTGAGACCAGCCTGGCCAACATGGCAAAACTCCGCCTCTACTAAAAATACAAAAATTAGCCAGGCGTGGTGGCACGTACCTGTAGTCCCAACTACTCAGGAGGCTGTGGCATGAGAATTTTTTGAACACGGGAGGCGGAGGCTGCAGTGAGTCAAGATTGCACCACTGCACTCTACACTCTGCAACAGAGTGAGAATGTCCCAAAAAAGATAAAATTTAAAAAAAAAAAGAAAAAATAAAAGAAGAAAAGAGAAGAGAAGAGAAAGCAAGCAATGTCACCAAAAGGAAATGAAAAGGTGGGAAGAAGAAAAACAAAGGGATCTTTCAAGTCCTGTCATAATTTCTTCCAGCAGTAAGACAGCTAGGGTTCCAAGCTCTAGCTTCTTGTGGAACTCCCAGCAGCAGTGCATTATCTGGCCCCCTTCAAAGGTCTGAGACTCCAGGCCTATGGGGTTCTTCCTTCAGGCTCCTAAATTCTCCCAAATCCATCTCTTCTCTTTTGTTCCCTCAGCCCTAAAAGTAATTGCTGCTTCTTGTGGTTTCTATTAATATCTAAGTTACCTCAGCAATCTCTTTTGGCTCAGGTTTCCAACACTTGTGAACTAAATACATATATTAAAATCCCTCGTTTTCTTTCTGCTTTCCTGGTTGGAATTTGACTGATATCGGAGAAGTTCTAGAGAACAGCTTAATCCTTAACCTTACTAACACTATCTAACTCACTGCTATCAAGTACTAGTTTAGCTATTAATAAAGTGATGCTTTGATTCTCCATCTTTTGTGAAATGTAAAGGAAGAGACAGAGAGATTAGTACAACAGGATTCAGGTATTCCTGGATGCCAGTGTTAATATCAACATAGTAGTACTAAAATCTCCCCATGAAGCCCTAGCAAATGTTAAGATCCATATATTTTAATTTTAGCTACTAAATTACATGCAGTTAACTCACTTGACTTAAAGAAATGTGATATAACAATGGATTAAAAATTGGGAGACTTGATTTCTAGTCCTGACTCTATCATAAAATGCGTGCCTTTATACAAGTCAGTTTACTTGTTAGACTAAATCTCTTACTGAGCTTCTGGCTATTATTCTACATCCATTCCACTCCATCTTGCCTAATGCTGACATCTAGTGGATGGATACACTTAGACTTCATATTATAGAATGAAAAATCTTATTTCACCTATTTCTGTTGGGCCATGTGCAATGGATATAATAAATTAGGAGACCAATACTGTTCCTTACATGGAAGTGAAACACAATAAAATAGTATTAGATCAGATTGTCATGGTATCTTTGAATCTGATTCAAAGATTACTGGCACTCTTCCATGATTCCAGCCATTAAATGTTAAAAAAACCTCTATTACAGGAGGTAGGAAAAGGAAGAGTTTAACCACCAATGCAAATTACTGTCAGAGCCACATATTTAGACCATGAAAGCACAGAAACACATCCTGCTACAATGGTTTGCATCAAGTACAGACAAAGAGTATGAGAAGGGCTAGTACAAAGGCTCAAGGCAAGTAATACAGAAGTTTCTGGAATGGAATATGATGGAAATATGCAAAACAACTCAAAATGACCTATTTTATAAGGACTTACTATGAAAGTTTCTCTTGAAAATACGTTATCATTAGACAAATATAGTATTCTGAATTCATTTTGCAAACATTATTTTAAAATCTATGAATGCAAAATGAATTTTATTTCATGTCAACAACTCAAAAGAAAAGCCTGGTCACACAAGTCCACTGTCACATTTAATTACCAAAATTGTCAGAATTTTTTTTTTTTGTGGAGTAGCATTCTGCTTTTAACTATGGCTTTCTTTATATATCATGCTGTAAAATAAATATATGCCAATAGTTTCAATGATTACTTCTGGAAATATTTTATTTTAGAAAAGTTTCATTTCATTATATATTTCAAAATTACACTAGGCTGATGTAAAACGCAAGAGCAATGGGCACAATTGGGTGGAAGTGTAAACTACTATGAGAAGTTTGGGAAATTAGTCTGACATTCCTTCTGAAGTTCATGTGCAATATTCACATAATGAACTATAATACTGTGCAAACAAATTAACTCCAGCTACATACGATAAAGATGAATAAGAGAACTATAATGCTATCGGCAAACTGTACACAATATAATACCATTAAATCAAACATCATATTAAAGATACTGGTTATTTATACAGGGGGAGACAATCATAGGATTGGGCAACTTTAAAAACCTGAGAATTATTCTAGTTCCTCAATTAGCGGCGGATTTGTGGGAGTTTTATTTTTAGGCTTCACAATTTACAAATGAAGTATGCACACTCTTGTATGAATCAGTAATTTTGAATGTTTAAAAATGTAAAGCCATTGATGCTCAGAGAACACGTATGTCTCACTGAAAGATGCCCAACAAAAAAGCTTAGAATGGAATTCAGGTACCTACCTCTTTCTAATACACATGCTACAACGCATGGATGATCAGTTTTTTAAAATGTATCATTATATAAGCCTCAGATACTTCTATATATTTAGCTTTTACAGTATCAGTGGTGGTAGTCGTTTTAAATCAAACAACATTTACTTAGCACCTGTCTGCCAATGGCTATGATGAATACTGAATATCTGGTGCTGAGGAATTCACAGACAAGTGGAAGAGACCAGACAAGCAAGTGTGGGTATGCTTTCATAAAGAAAAAAGCAAAGGGCATTCTGAACACACAGAAAAAAGAATACCTAACCCAGTCTTGGTAAAGTAAATAAAAGCTTCCCAGAAGGGCTGATTCTTAATTCTTTCTTGTTTGCTATTTATTTAAATTAGGAAGTAATTCCAACATAAAGTATAAAAAAAAATACTATTCACAGTCTGTCACCCAGATTAAAACTATAACAATTTAGCAATAGTTGCTTCAGATGGGCTACTTTTTTGTGTGTGCAGTTGACCTCCCAACCTCTTTCAATCAACTTTCCTCCCCTCCTCTCTCACTGAAGATAATTAGTATCTTTTTAAAAAAATTATTAGATAGAGATGGGTTCTCGCTATGTTGTCCAGGCTGGACTTGAACTCCTGGCCTCAACCGATCCTTCCACCTCTGACTTCAAGTGCTGAGATTATAGGCATGAGCCATCACACTAGGCCTTTTTTTTTTTTTCCAGCATGGTTTCCTTGCCAAACATATTTTAAGATTTTTTACTCCAAAGGTATATATTCATCATAAACAATACAGTATTGTTCTGCTTTTCAATTTGCATACGTGATATACTGTGCATTCTTTGAAAACTGGATTTTCTCACTCAATAGTTTTTAAAAATTATTAATATGTTCATTGTAGCTATTACATACTATTGGATTATTCAAAGAAACCAGTTTATTCATTCCTCTACTGATTGACAATGAGATTATTTTCCACTTTTAAATATTAACAGTTATGCTTTACACCTCCATACACACACTACATATACTTAAGCTCATGTACAAGAGTCCTATAGGACAGCTGTCTGAAAATGAAAAGGCAACTGTAACTTTAATACATGGTGCTAAATTGCTCTCCCAAGTGCTTCCATCAATTCTGTTCCACAGGTACAAAGATTTCCTATTTCCTGTCCTCCAAAACCTCAAGTTTAATTTTTAGAGTCTGAAATGTCTCACTGATGTTTAAATTTGTATTTTCTTATCAGTAAAAATGTGCACCTCTTTGTATTATATGTTTATGGGCCATCTGTGAAGTGTATATGCATTTCCTTTGTCACCTATGGTCCTTATTTTTCTGTTGTTTCGCAGCCCCACTCCTACCTTTCTGCACTGCTGGGGCTGAGAATGCAAATGACATTTCCCAGACATCTTTGCCAGCTGGGTTCCTGTTAGGAGGAACTGGAGGGTGAGAAGACAGGAGGAAGAGAGAAGTTACTGATTAGAACAGGCTAGCAGTTGTTGTAGGAGCAGTGTGAATAGTATCCAATACCCTAATTAGGGACAGGTGCAGCCTGTAGGTTCCAGCCTAGTGGTGGCAGCAGCTTGTCTCTGGTAAAAGCAGCATCATAATTTCTTATTTTATTTTTGCTACTCTGTTCTCTCCCTTGTTCCTTTTGCTCTTCCAGCTTTTCTAGTATCTTTGTAACCAATCTTCTATATTAAATTGTTTGAAATATCCAGAGTGGTAAGTTTTCCTAACTTAACTTCAACTGTCATACCACTCTTTTTTCAAACTGAGTGTTAGAAATATATATATATATATATTTTTTTAATTAATTTATTTTTTTGAGACAGGGTCTTGCTCTTTTTCGCCCAGGCTGGAGTGTAGTGGTGTGCTCACGGCTCACTGCGACCTCAACCACCCTGGCTCAATCGATCCTCCCACCTCTGCCTCCTGAGTAGCTGGGACTACATGCCCGTGTCATCATGCTAGTGTGTGTCGGCGGGGTTGGGGTGGGGGTGGGGGTGGGGGTGGGGGCAGGGGCAGGGGGAATACTGTTGTTGTTTGTTTTTTTTTGTAGAGACAGGATCTCATCGTGTTGCCCAGACTGGTCTCAAATTCATGGCCTTAAGCAATCCTCCCCCACCCTGGCCTCCTAAAGTGCTGGGATTACAGGCATGAGCCATCATACCTGGCAGCTTTAGAAATTCTGGATACCACCCTTTTAATGCTTATATACAAGGCAGATACTTTCTTCTAGGATCTAACATATCTTAACTTTGTTTATGGTGTTGTTTGTCATAACAGTCCAGTTTTTCATTTTTCTTCATGGTCTGTGCTTACTGTTTAAATAATAATTCTTCAAAATTGCCTTATTCTTGCCCTTTTATTCACTCATGTGATTGTCAAATTCTACAAAAAAATTCTGATGGGATTTTGATTTGATTTTGCATTAAATATATAATTGCCATCTCTATAATTTCAATCATTTTGTCATTTAATCTATGAATATGACAGATTACATAAATTCATTTTCTGTTGCTAAACCATTCTTGCATTCCTGAGATCAAGTCTGCTTGGTTGGTTATTTATTTATGTATTTATTTATTTATGAATAAATGAATGAGGGTGAATGAATAAATTTGAAACACGGTCTTGCTCTGTTGCCCAGGCTGGTCTTGAACTCCTAGGCTCAAGGAAACCTCCTACCTCAGCCTCCCAAGGTGCTACAACTACAATTACAGGCGTGAGCCACTGCACCTGGTTTATTTGATCATTTAAAAATATATATTCCTAGATTTGGTTTTGCTAACATTTCACCTTGGATTATTTTGTAAGACTGACCTGTAATTTTTTTCTCTGTTCCTGTCTGGTTTTGCTGTCAAGCCTATTTTTATACATAGATTTTTCTATTATTTAGAACCATTTATAAACAATACAATGTGTCAATTACTCAGTGAGTTTTATAGGAAAGTTCTTCCAAACATCTAAGAAGTCTACATCTGTTTCATTTTTGAAACTCCAGCCTAACAGACATTCTGTCACACAGCCAGTACTCAATAAATATTTGTCAAATTAATAAATGAACAATTCAAGTAAAAAGCAGCTTATTTATCCAAAAAGAGAATACCTAAACTAAGGGCATCCCATAAAAAGAGTAGGTTTAGGTCAAATTAAACAAAGTGCAACTTAATAAATTAGGGACTAAGTTTATGGAATAATCCCTTAGTCTTACCTACGAAGGGATAATTCAAATACAAGATCTATAAACATCAAGAAAATCAAGGACAAGGTTAACAGGCAAAGGTTTACTGCTAAAACATTAAAGCTGGCCTGGACAGCAATGATATTTTCCCACAATACTCTTTACCACCTCTGAGCTAATCTTCAATGGTGTTTCCCATGTTCTTATGCATTATCGCAATGAGAGTTCAAATCCTTAAAAATCCTGATGACCAACAGTCATCTTCAGAAGTAGCAATTTTAGTTTTCTGCTTTTTGCACAGAGAATAACTAAGGGCTACAGAGACATTCTCATCCATTACTTATAAACATGCCACCCACCTCCCCAGAGTGAGAGTCTCTGGTGCCTCTTCCAGTCACCAAACAGCAGCAAAAAAGCAAGGAACTTAAGGACCTACTGCCAAGTAAACAGGCCTTGTGGCAGTGAAAGGATAAACTGTCCATCATTCTTTCTTCTCCTCGGAGATTTCACAGGAAAAGGAGAAAGCGCAGGAAACAGGAGGCCTACAATTGAAAGGAAATCTGCCAGAATTTGGCATATAGAAGTAAAGTGTCATTCCTAGTCACCTCACTATGACTGAAATGGATAAGAGATTCTTAAAAATTGTTCTGCTTTCTCTCATAATTTGAGTTAAAAGATAAGGTATTCTCTGAAGTTAAGTATCCCTTAATTTCTGGGGTTGACTAGGGGCTCTTCTCAACACTATAGTCACTGTGAAGAGTGAAAGACAACAGGCAGAATGGCTTTATATCCCATTACCAATAAATAAGAGAATCTCAGACCAGGAAGGGACCATTCACGGTCAAATGGAAGACTCACCCTTGACTATTTAACCTTAGTATGAATCTATTCTACAACATATCCACACCAAGTAGCCATCTCACCACTGCTTAAATACTCTACATGACTTAAATTTTAGACTTTGGTCAATTTTTAGAAAAATTTGTAGAAACTTAAGACAATGACTGAATAAGCACAATTAAGACATGAATTCTACCCTCGAAAACCATACAATCCTTGTATTAAACTGAAATTCACCCATTTGTTAACATCTCCTCCTTGGTTTAAATTCTCTTTGGCCTCCTAGAAATAAACTAAACACAATCCCTGTGCTACTTAACAAACCATTAAATATATGAAGTATCTTAAAACAACAGTCAAATGAGGTCAAAATAAAGTTACCCATCAGATTATGTATGTTCACATTTGCAAAGGTACAAACAAGACATCTCCTATCTAGTAATGCCAGCCAAGAATTTAGCTTCTGAGTAGAGTTTATAAGTGATTTTCTAGGTAGGGAGAGGCATGGTGGGCGGCTAATGCCTATAATCCCAGCAGTTTGGGAGGTGGAGGTGGGAGGATTGCTTGAGCCCAGGAGTTCGAGACCAGCCTGGGCAACATAGCGAAACTCCATCTAAATTTTTATTTTTTGAGACAGAGTTTCACTCTTGTCACCCAGGCTGGAGTGCAGTGGAGCAATCTTGGCTCACTGCAATCTCTGCCTCCTGGGTTCAAGTGATTCTCCTGCCTCAGCCTCCCAAGTAGCTGGAATTACAGGCATTTGCCAATACGCCCGGCTGATTTTTGTATTTTTAGTAGAGATGGGGTTTCGCCATGTTGGCCAGGCTGGTCTTGAGCTCCTGACCAGGTGATCCACCCGCCTCGGCCTCTCAAGGTGCTGGAATTACAGGCGTGAGCCACTGTGCCTGGCCCCAATCTAAAAATTTTTTTTAAGTTTTTTTGTTTTTTTTTTTAAAGGAATACTCATCACAAAGACCTTGTTAAACATTATAGGCTAAAGAACCAAGGGCAGTGGAAACTTTTTTCCCTGTGATCTTAACTTCTGTTTCCAAAGCACCCTGCAGAGGGCTTTGCATGACGTTAGTGCTAATGTTAAGTTAATAAATGAACGTTTATTGTGGCACATACAATTCATCCAAAAACAATTAAGAAAAATTTCAAGTGTTCCTAAAAGAAATTAGTACTAAAACTTCTAAGTTAGAAAAAAAATTTCACTGGAAAAAACTTTTTTAAGAAAAGCAGTAAGTATGTTATGGATGGTTGGATGCAGAAGCTAAAAGTAAAATAAATTTAAAAAAGAAAAATGTATGCTTATTAGGAAAAGAAGACGGATGTTAAGAAATGTTCTTAAATAGTTTTCAACAGTTTGTCAGGTCTTTCTGTTTGAGCCTTGTACACTAACGGAATTTAATACAAGTGAAATTACAAAAGGCACAAATGTTTTCCTGGTTCTTGAACTTAATTTAACTGAACTAAAATTAAAATCATTCTCTTAAATCTATCTCCTCCAGGCTTATCATAACCAAACAGAATACAAAAACATATTTTTCTTCTCTTGGTAATAGAATTTTAAAGATATGTACTTGAATAATTTTCTACATTAATAAATCAGTATCTCTTACAGTGCTAAAAAGAGTCCAGCAGAGGTCATTCATTTACATTCTGATGTTGCCAAGGAGGTGGTAATTATAACTGAATATATACAGTTTTACTTTGCCTTTCTTTTTTTTTTTGGAGTCTCACTCTGTCGCCCAGGCTGGGGAGTGCAGTGGCAGGATCTCGGCTCACTGCAACCTCTGCCTCCCAAGTCAAGTGATTCTCGTGCCTCACCCTCCCAAGTAGCTGGGATTACAGGCATGTGCCACCAGGCCCGGCTAATTTTTGTATTTTTAGTAGAGACGGGGTTTTGCCATGTTGACCAGGCTGATCTCGAACTCCTGACACCTCAGGTGATCTACCTGCCTCAGCCTCCAAAGTACTGGGATTTACAGGCATGAACCACTGCACCTGGCCTTTCATTATATCATTTTTTAAAATACAATTTTACTTCAGAAAGAAGTAAAATTTTACAGCAGAAAGAGATCCCCCTCAGTAAATTTAAAAAGCAGGTCCCATAATTATTTTCAAATGACAAATGACAAGGCCAGGTATCTTTGTAAATAATTTTGCAAAAGCTGGTTTGTTTTATTTTAAAGGCTGATTTATATAAAATAGGAAGAAACCTATGTTTTCTTAATACTGTGGAATAAGCTAATTGTAAATGAAATGTTGAGATCATTATTAGGACCAAATGCAGTATGTGCATATCATATAAATTTTTTTAACTAAGTATGCCATTAATTATTACACCTTCTAGTTTCACAAAGCATATAAAAAGGAAATGTTTATATAAAGCAAAGTTCAAATCACTAAACCACTTTGAATTTTTACTGTCAACCTACATAACAGAGAGAGGATCACAAAGAAAAGATGTTTATTTCAGAACAGAGCATTGCAATAGGAATATGCATAACATAGTAAACTATGCCATACATATTCAGGGAGGTAAAGGAAGACAAAGGTTTTTAAAGGAGAAACAAGGGTTATATAATAGTTTTGAAATAAATATCCTTAGCTACAAAGATCAATAACAAGGGTGACACCAGTTGGAGGCTGAACAGGCAGTTGCTGGGCAGATGTCCTTGCAGAAGTACTATTTTGTGTAAGGTGGTGATGGCCTTTGTGTAAGGATATGGTCTTTGTAGTCTCTTTCATTATCAGGCATACAAGTGTGAGAACACTCTCTTCACAGCCTTCCCTGGCTCTGTACACAGCTTCCCTGGGTTTCCTTAACATTAGTAACTCCATTTTGATTCTGAAGACTTTCACTACCACATGTCTAAAGGTGCTAAAAAAACGGAGAAAGGGGATGACAAAGGATAGAAAATCTGAGCCCAGACTAAAGGGTTTGTGAAATGACTTGAACGAGCTCAACTCCCTAATTTTATGAAAGAAGGGAAATAAAGACTAGAGCAACCTGGTGACTTGGACAAAGCAGCAAATGAGTAAAAAAAAAATGTGGGGCTTAATCCACTGACTCTGGCAGTGCAGCTTTTGAGAACCTCTTTAAAACATGGCATCAGGGCCAGATGACATCAAAAGAATTAAGTACCACCACAACAAAGGAAACAAAAACGAAAGTCACGTTCCCAACTATGTCCCCTTTGAAATGATTGTTAATGCTGTTTTTGCTGTTAATCAAACTTTAACAGACCTGACATTCAATTTGTAGTCAGTGTCAGCTGCTGGGCAAACACTGGGATTCGGGGACATCATTCTAGGCTCTTTCTAGATCAGGCTGAAACTTACCACCGTACAGCTTATACTACTGATGGAACTGCAAAACAGCTGGTGACTTTCTGCAAGTCTCTACCTTTTTCTTGTTTTCAAAACACAATTATCAGAGCACTACTATTCGTATCTTTCCTATGGCAATGATGGCGTTTCTCTTCTTAAAATTTTGGTGTCTCATACTGATATTTGGGTTTTGGGAGGGTGTTTTTTTTGAGACAATGTCCTGCTCTACTGCCTAGGCTGGAGTGCAGTGACACGATCTAAGCTCATGGCAACCTCCGCCTCCCAGGCTCAAGCGGTTCTCGTGCTTCAGCCTCCTGGGTAGCTGGGATTACAGGTGCGCACAACCATGCCCGGCTTGTATTTTTAGTAGAGATGGGATTTCGCCATGTGGGCCAGGCTGGTCTTGAACTCCTGGCCTCAAGTGATCCACCCACCTCGGCCACCCAAAGTGCTGGAATTACAGGCGTGTGCCACCACGCGCCCAGCCCTGATACTTGTTTTTTACATATTTACTTCATGTTCTTTGAAGGCAGGCACTCGCCAAGGCTTAACACTTATTTTCTACTCTCTTTCTCCACAAAATTTGGGACTACAGCCTGGGACTACAGGCACACGCCACCACACCTGGCTAATTTTTTGTATTTCTAGTAGAGATGGGGTTTCTGTTATTATGGACCAGCAAATAGAAGCTTCTTCAAAGCTATTTCACAAACTTCTAGCCTACATCATTAGGATACCTTTTTTTTTTGAGAGACAGAGTATCTAGCTCTGTTGCCCAGGCTGGAGTGCAGTGGTGAGATCTTTGCTCACTGCAACCTTCCAGGTTCAAGTGATTCTCATGCCTCAGCCTCCCGAGTAGCTGGGATAACAGGCAGGTGCTACCATGCCTGGCTGATTTTTGTATTTTGAGTAAAGACGGGGTTTCACCATGTTGGCCAGGCTGGTCTCAAACTCCTGACCTCAATCCACCTGCCTTGGCCTCCCGAAGTGCGAGGATTACAGGCATGAGCCACCGTGCCCGGCCTGTAACTACTTAAGATTAGTCATATAGAATGTGAAAAACTACGCTTACTGAAGTATGATGGAGAAAGGTCTAGCTGAATTTTCACTAACTGAGGTTCTTAATATGGGGAGTCCATAGAGAATTCAGGGATCTGTGAATATGGATGGGAACCTTTTCACTAACCTCTATACAAAAATTAACAATTCCTTCAATCAAGAATATTAGTAACAAACTACAGTAGTATTAGAAAACCTATGAATTTGTCATTAATAGAAACCATGGGTATTTTTGTATTACAATTTTTGCACACAACATCTATTTAAAATTATGATATATAGTATATTTACTCCTAATGCTTATTCTCTAACATGAGAAACACACATATTAATGTAAGAAGCACACATATTAATGTAAGAAGCACACATATTACTTATCACAAATTTGTATTTAGTATTTGTTAATGGCTTTTCAATGTAACGTTTCCTTCTTAATCCTATGTAGTTTACTTCATACAATCATGAATCATTATTAGAATCATTATTCTGAGGCAGGATTCATAGGCTTCATAAGATTGCCAAAGAGGTCCTTGGCACAAAAAATACTCGTTAAGAACCTCTGAACTGTAAAATACAGAGTAAGCAAGGTGATAACAATTCTGAAGGACTGTCATAGAAGTAACTGTTGTACCAGCTCTAATAAAATGATGGGCTGGATTTTTGTTTTTGTTTTTATTGTTTTTGTTTTTTGACACAGAGTCTCACTCTGTTGCCCAGGCTGGAGTGCATGGCGTGATCTTGGCTCACTGCAACCTCCACCTCCTGGGTTCAAGCAATTCTCCCGCCTCAGCCACCCAAGTAGCTGGGACTACAGGCACACGCCACCACACCTGCCTAATTTTTTGTATTTCTAGTAGAGATGGGGTTTCACCATGTTGGCCAGGCTGGTCTTGAACTCCTGACCTCAGGTGATCCACCCACCTCGGCCTCCCAAAGTGCTGAGATGACAGGCATGAGCCACTGCGCCCACCCTTGTTTTTGTTTTTAGAGACAGGGTCTTGTTCTATCACCCAGGTTAAAGTGCAGTGATGCAATCTTGGCTCACTGCGGCCTGGACATCCCAGGCTCAGGTAAGCCACCACGACCGGCCTGATGAGCTAGTTTTGAAAAAATATACTCTGTTTATAACTAAGAAGAACACGGAAAGGGATTTTAAGCTAGTCATTTTCACTTAAGAACACAAAATCTGCCTGTAAAAAAAATTACATTTTGAATACTTAATAACTTGTTATAATTAAAACAACTGCAGGATTACAAATGTTTCAGTACTCAGGACCCTTTAACAGTAACTACCTTTTATGGTAACGATTCTTTGTTTCTAAAAAATTTTTTTTTAAAAAAAGGACCAAAACCAGTAACAGATAGAATTCTTAAGATTATGTGTAAAGTGTCTTCCCTTCTGTTTTCAATGAAAAAAAATATATATGTACATATATATACTTTAAACTACTAAAATTATGGCTTAGAACTTTCTTGATCAACTATACTGGTGACAGCTAAAATGACTTAATTCAAAGGAAAACACATACCTCTCCTAAAGAAAGAAAGCTGTTAAAAAAAGTTCTAATTAATTTACATTTTCCCCACCAGGTCCTATTCTAAGCCAAAAACTAAACAATCAATATTTCCTAACAACATTTTTAGCAACTCAATATTGTGTATAGAACATTTCCCTTAAATTATATATAGTTAATATAAGTTTTTATTGAAATCATAACTTTTCATTTATATTTGAATAATCATTTCCCCCAAAGACATATTTACCTTCAGCCAGTGCTGGTGATTCTGTCCTTGTCCTTCTATCTGTTTAAGGAAAGAAAAAAAGGAAGAAAGTCTAAAACATTATTATACTTTAAAACAAGTTTTTATTACAGTTAACTTTAAAGTTTACGAATGCCATCATGCACGTGCACATTTTATACATACACACATATATTTATTTATTTCCTTGGATTAACTCAACCACCATTTATGGAGGACCTATTTAGAGTAAGGCATCATATTAAGCCCTGGAAACAACAATAGGTAAGACAACCCAGTTGTCACCGTCAACATACTCAGAGAGTAAAAAGTGTACGAAGACAAGTACACAATTCTCATCATAGCTTATGAAGCAAAGGGTAAGAAAAGGAAAGTTAGTTATTCCTCTTTAGTCTTACAGCAGGGGCCTAAAACTATGAAAAGAGGCATATTTATATTTCTTATCACAGTTTAAGTTCATTCAGTTTCAATGTATTAATAATCAGTTTTACTCAAGGTATTAAAATCCTTATTCCGTGACCATAACCTATTATTTGCCAGGGACACATTTGGCAAAATTCAAGTGAACCACAAAGCCCTCTCTAGGATTGGTTTTATTATTTCACTCATTCATTCATTCATTTCTGCAGAAAGAGGGTCTCGCTATTTTGCTCAGGCTGGTCTCCAATTCCTGGTGCTCAAGTGAGCTTCCTGCTTTGGCCTCCCATAGTGCTGGGATTACAGGCATCAGCCACCATGCCGGGCTTGGTTTTACTATTTCAAACACACAATTTTAGGTAAAATGGAATCTTCAGAATGAGTATAACTTTGCAAATAAGGTTATAAGAAGCAAATAAAGACATTAACCCCTTGGAGAAGAAGGTATGGATCACTCTATCAGGAAAAAGCCTCATGTTTTCACTCTAGCTGAGGTACCTCCTCCTGATTGTACTATCTGTGGTTCACTTTCTGCTCTGGGGCTTTGCAATAGGAGACGTCTACAGGAATTCTTCAGCTATCCAGAGATATAAACAAACCTGAAAATTTGAAGGTGTTAACACCATGGGCAACCCTTGACCAACGAGAGATGGGATCTAGCAAATAAATACCACCTTCTTCCCAGCAAAAGGCATATCTTTATTGCTTTCTCACAGGGCTTCCTCAGGATCAAGCCCCAGTTGCTCACAGAAGTGAGCAGCTCAATAACGCACCCTTGGATTGGCGTTCCCTCTTTCCTAGTTCACTTGTTCCAGTCCTTCAACTTCTGTTTCTTGCTAACAGGTGTGCAAATGAATTACCTGTAAGAAAGCACCCATCTCAGTTTCTGCTTTTGGAGTGAAACTAGGTCAAGACACTTGATTTCCACAATACCATAATCCCTTTTCATCCTACCTCACTGGATGCTCCTTCTTAATTTCGACTACGCTTTCTTGCACACCCCATATTCCACCCAAACTCTCACTACCTAAAATCCTTGTGCCTACTATCTCCTACTAACTCAAGGCAGAAGATTCTGTTGCCTGAGCATTATCAGATCTACTACTACTTCATATTGAAGAGACTAGAACAGAGGTTGCAAAAATGCATATGGAGTTGGCTGGCTGAGGCCACCTTAGGTAAATGTTAACCAGGCAAATAAACGTGTGTGTTTATCTAAATGGTGCCACTGCTATCAACATGCCATGCTAAAAATACAGGTGATACAGAGCTCAATATCCATGTAAAACAGATTTTAGACATTAGCAACTAATGAAATAAGTCAGACACTCAACAGGCCAAATGAAACAGTCTAAGGGCTATACGTGCATGAACCACCAGTTTGCAACTTCTGCTCCAGAACCTCACGTTGTCTACAATTTATTTTTTAATTAATTTATTTATTTGAGACAGAGTCTCACTCTGTCACCCAGGCTGGATTGATTGATTGATTGATTGATTGATTGATTTTGAGATGGAGTCTCACTCTGTCACCCAGGCTGGAGTGCAGTGGCGCTACCTCAGCTCACTGCAAGCTCTGCCTCCCAGGTTCACGCGATTTTCCTGTCTCAGCCTCCCAAGCGGCTAGGACTACAGGCGCCTGCCACCATTCCCCGCTAATTTTTTGTATTCTTAGTAGAGACGGGGTTTCACCATGTTAGCCAGGATGGTCTCCATCTCCCGATGTCGTGATCTGCCCACCTTGGCTTCCCAAAGTGCTGGGATTACAATCTTTCACTTTTCTCTATGAGTTAGTTCACAAATGGGAGTCACGTTCAAAGCCTAACTGTTCTAGCTTTTCTCAAAAGCTTGCCTTGGATCAATATTACTAGAAGTGAAATGAATAAACACTTTTTTTGCTTTTTCTGCCGAAGATAAAACTTCCTTCCCTAAGGCCCACTGCAGGCTCCCAGAAATAAACAAAACAAGTGGCTTGACTGACCACTTTTATAAACCACAGCAGAAAAACCAGTGCCACTTTGCATAAAATCATGGGGGAAAATTCAATTATTTATTCTTAATAAATCAAGACACAATAAAACACTTGTAACTGTATTCACCCTTAGAAATCAAATATCAGGTCATAAATAGTAAATATTAATTAATATTTAAATTGGATCATCCAGGCACCTAAAATCTACAAACCTAGAGATTCCTCAAGTTAAGTGTTAAAATTTACTTGCCTCCATACAAACAAATGGAAGAACATTCCATGCTCATGGATAGGGGAAAAATCAATATCGTGAAAATGGCCATACTGCCCAAGGTAATTTATAGATTCAATGCCATCCCCATCAAGCTACCAATGACTTTCTTCACAGAATTGGAAAAAACTACTTTAAAGTTCATATGGAACCAAAAAAGAGCCCGCATCACCAAGTCAATCCTAAGCCAAAAGAACAAAGCTGGAGGCATCACACTACCTGACTTCAAACTATACTACAAGGCTACAGTAACCAAAACAGCATGCTACTGGTACCAAAACAGAGATATAGACCAATGGAACAGAACAGAGTCCTCAGAAATAATAGCACACATCTACAACTATCTGATCTTTCACAAACCTGACAAAAACAAGAAATGGGGAAAGGATTCCCTATTCAACAAATGGTGCTGGGAAAACTGGCTAGCCATATGTAGAAAGCTGAAACTGGATCCCTTCCTTACACCTTATACAAAAATTAATTCAAGATGGATTAAAGACTTACATGTTAGCCCTAAAACCATAAAAACCCTAGAAGAAAACCTACGCAATACCATTCAGGACATAGGCATGGGCAAGGACTTCATGTCTAAAACACCAAAAGCAATGGCAACAAAAGACAAAATTGACAAATGAGATCTAATTAAACTAAAGAGCTTCTGCACAGCAAAAGAAACTACCATCAGAGTGAACAGGCAACCTACAAAATGGGAGAAAATTTTTGCAATCTACTCATCTGACAAAGGGCTAATATCCAGAATCTACAAAGAATTCAAACACATTTACAAGAAAAAAACAAACAACCCCATCAACAAGTGGGCGAAGGATACGAACAGACACTTTCAAAAGAAGACATTTATGCAGCCAAGAGACAAGAAAAAATGCTCATCATCACTGGCCATCAGAGAAATGCAAATCAAAACCACAATGAGATACCATCTCACACCAGTTAGAATGGCAATCATTAAAAAGTCAGGAAACGACAGGTGCTGGAGAGGATGTGGAGAAACAGGAACACTTTTACACTGTTGGTGGGACTGTAAACTAGTTCAACCATTGTGGAAGACAGTGTGGCGATTCCTCAGGGATCTAGAACTAGAAATACCATTTGACCCAGCCATCCCATTACTGGGTATATACCCAAAGGATTACAAATCATGCTGCTATAAAGACACATGCACACGTATGTTTATTGTGGCACTATTCACAATAGCAAAGACTTGGAACCAACCCAAATGTCCAACGATAGACTTGATTAAGAAAATGTGGCACATATACACCATGGAATACTATGCAGCCATAAAAAATGATGAGTTTAGGTCCTTTGTAGGGACATGGATGAAGCTGGAAATCATCATTCTCAGCAACCTATCGCAGAACAAAAAACCAAACACTGCATGTTCTCACTCATAGGTGGGAACTGAACAATGACAACACTTGGACACAGGAAGGGGAACATCATACACCGGTGCCTGTTATGGGGTGGGGGGAGGTGGGGATAGCATTAGGAGATATACTTAATGTAAATGACGAGTTAATGGGTGCAGCACACCAACATGGCACATGTATATGTATGTAACAAACCTGCACATTGTGCACATGTACCCTAGAACTTAAAGTATAATTTAAAAAACTATATATATATGAAAAAAAAAATTTGCTGGCCTCCAGCAAGACATGAGTTATTACTTCAGACCATTCTGTCAACCATGTTTACAGCTCTGTAGTATTTCAAATGATGGTACCTATGATGGCCTGGTGCAGTGGCTCACGCCTGTAAGCCCAGCCCTTTGAGAGGCCAAGGTGGGTGGATCACCTAAGGTCAGGAGTTTGAGACCACCCTGGCCAACATGGCGAAACCCCATCTCTACTAAAAATACAAAAATCAACCAGGCATGGTGGTGCATGCCTGTAATCTCAGCTACTCGGGAAGCTGAGGCACAAGAATTGCCTGAACCTGGGAGGCAGAGATTGCACTGAGCTGAAATCACACCATTACACTCCAGCCTAGGTGACAGAGTAAGACTCTGTTCAAAAAATAAATAAGTAAGTAAATGGTGTTGAAATAACTCCATGGAAAACTAAGACAGACCCTTCTCAAACTATACATTACACATGGATTTGAGTTTAATTTCTCAAAACTAAATCTCAGAAAATAGAACAAAGAATCTTACTTATCTTTGGAGGAATAATATGCTAAAATATAAAGCACTATAAAAAATTTAAAATGGAAAGATGAATCAATCATGTAAAAATTAAAGATAAGGGATACCAAAATGTCTTAAAATAGTTCATGGGAGTGTATATAAATCACATGAAGACAACAGAAAAAAATAAACGATAATTTGTAACAGGGAGGCAAAACAATAAATTATGAAAAAAATGTATACTCCCTAATAATAAAAAGCAAATATGGTAAAATGGTTTAGAGAACTGGTTCTGAAATCAGGCTTGGGTTGCATTTCCAATTATTTAAATTATTAAGTTATTTGAGCATCTTTATTTGTAAAATGCAGATTTTCACTTATTTAAATTAGGTTATCTATGCATCCTTTTCCTTTGTAAAAGAGCAAAAATAAACTCAAAGTGTGTAGATTAATGGAAATGCTAGTTTTGCTGAACATGGTCATTACCTTTTGTATTTAATATTTAATATTAAAATTACAATAATATGTATCTCTCTACTGACACTAAATCTCAAGTACAGTACTCTTAAGAAAACCATGTCTAACAGCACCAGAACTCAAACACCTGAGGATTCCTCTATGTCATCCTACACCATGCTTACTACCACAAAATAGTTTGATCAGAAGAAAGCACAATGGTTACATTAAGAGCCTCCCTCCTTGATATACCTAGAACTACATTTTCTATATAAAAACAAATACCAAGGCATATATGATACATATAAATCTTAATACTGCGCAAATATTAATACTAAATATTAATACAATATCAATACATTCTTTTTTTATAAAGATTTTAAAAAAATGTTTTTAAATAAAATAGAGATGGAGTCTTGCTATGTTGACCAGGCTGGTCTTGAACTCCTAGCCTAAAGCAATCCCCCCATCTCAGCCTAGCAAAGTGCTGGGATCACAGGCATGAGCCACCATGCCTGACCAAGAAATTCTTAATCTCTATTGTAAACCCATGCTCCAGAAGATTTGAAATACCAACATTTCTAATTATCTCTAAAGTTTTTTTTTAATTACCTCCAGGAAAAAGTAAATTGCAGTAACAGTTGCCTAGGTAATGCCAGGCTTTCAGAACATGACTTGATTTTTGTAGAGTCTAAAAAGTTTTTACAATCTTAATTTTCCCCTTTATTATAAGGGTAAAACATGCTCACTACACAAAATACATAAAGAAAGTGGAAAGAAACAAGTACCACTACCTATAATCCCACAACCAAAGCTTTAACAATTTATTCTCTTCTAATTTCTTTTATGTATATTTTTATACAATTTAACACCCTTTCTTTGTATTTGTACTGCTTTTTATCATTCACATCATGAGCAATATTTTCACATCATTAAAAACTCTGCCAAAATACCACTTTTAGTCTTTACATACCAACTCATCATATGGTTGTACCACATTTTTTCAAGCATTTTCTCACTGCTGGACATTCAGGTTTTTCTAACCTTTTGCTCTTTTAAACGATGCTATATGCCCAAGACTTCCATAAGCACATAAAGACTTTGTGAGATTAGAAGAAGTTATCCCAGTCTAATATAAAAACGTTTATGAACTATTATTTTATTACACAACCTCAACAACTACACAATATAGCTCTGCCTGGGTTGGGGTTTAAGAACCCCAGCAAGCAAACACCCTGGCTGTGCATACACATGCCCCTGCACACAAGGGTCACGCTCTTGCCTACTGACAAACATAATCCCTGAACATTAAGGCACATAAACATACCTAAGCCAGTGCCAGGCACCCTTGCCCCAAATTTCTCAAATGAGACTACCAGATCAGTTTCTGTCAGACTGGAGTGGTGGGCAAGTTAGCGAAAGACATCACCTCAGGGGATGCCTGGAGTCTGGAGCTCAGTCTGGACAAGACCATGCTGTAACCACCTGCATGGACAGAGTGTCCTCACAGGAGCTCTCCAGAGTCTTCGCATGCCATAGGTGCTAGTATGGGTTTATGTACCAGGCAACTTACTGTAACCTGGAACTCCTGGCTCCAAGATGTGGCCAGAAGGCCCAGAATCCCTTCACTCACCCACGGTCTTCTCAAAGTGACATGTCTATCTCATGTCTGATACACCCACAGGTGTGGCACCCCTTGTGCAGAGGGCCATGTGAACACCTTGAATAATTATCTTAGCTATGAACATATATCTTTGTTGAAATAACTTAAAAATGTTTAGGATACATCAAGGTCTTTATACCTAGTGCCAAATTGCTGTCCAAAGATACATTCTAATTAACACTACCATCAGAATGATGCACTGGCCAACTTCACAGCATCCTTGACAAGTGGTGCCTTCTTTCACTTTTTTTTTTTTTTTTTTTTTTTTTTTAAAGAGACAAGGGCCAGGTGCAATGGTTCCTGCCTATAATTCCAACGCTTCAGGAAGCTGAGGTGGGAGGATCACTTAAGACCAGGAGTTTGAGAACAGACAAGACAACATAGCAAGACCATATACACACAAAAATTAAAATGAACAGCCAGGTCTAGTAACATACAACTGTCGTCTCAGCTACATGTGTGGCTGAGACAAGAGGATGGCTTAAGCGCAAGAGTTCAAGGCCACAGTGGGCTATGAGTGCCACTGCACTCCAACATGGGCAACAGAGCAAGACCCTAATTCTAAAAACAAACAAGAGAAACACGGTCTCGCTCTGTCGCCCAGGCTGGAATGCAGTTGTACAATCATAGCTCACTGTAACCTTGAACTCCTGGCCTCAAGGTGTTCTCCCTCCTTGGCCTCCAAAAGCGCTGGAATTATAGGCATGAGCCACCTTGCCCGGCCTCTCTCCCATTGTTTTGTTAACTACTGAGGCCAGCTATTTTTTCCTCCACAATTGTGTAACTTAGTCCTTCCCATTTTCTATCAAGGCCTTATGTATTTTTAAGGAAATAACTATCAAATCTGAACTTCCTTGATCAGATACTCAATATAAATGTATAAAGTGAGGTACAGTCTTTTAAAATTGTCCCTTTCTACTCAGCTGCCTTTTTCTAAGTACTTCCTATGTTTTAGACACTGTACTGCATGATATATTTCACATAAGCCTGTGAACCTAATAGGTTAAAATTAAACCCTTTTCATTGATGAGCAATCAGAGGCTTTAAAAGGTTAAGTAGTTTGTCCAAGGTCATGACTAGAGGGTAAGGAATTGGGAAAAGGAGCGGAAGGGACAGAAATGAGGAAGGGAACAGAGGGAGAAAATTACTTTTCAGGAAACAATCTTGTTCAATATTTATTATAATATTCCTTTCTGTAGATGTGATTTCTTGTAAAACAAATACTACTTTTCCACTAACTTCTTTTATTGTAAAATTAAAAATGATTCTTTAAAAAAATAACCCACGGCCGGACGCGGTGGCTCACACCTGTAATCCCAGCACTTTGCGAGGCCAAGGTGGGCGAATCACGAGGTCAGGGGTTCAAGACCAGCCTGACCAACATGGTGAAACCCTGTCCCTCCTAAAAATACAAAAATTAGCCCGACTGTGGTGGTGTGCAAAAAAAAAACAAAAATAAAAACAAACAAAACCTACAACAGCAATAATGCTGTTTTCAATTATGAAAAACCTGAGGCAAGGGCTAAATTAAAAGGCTCACCAGGCTTTGAGGACATTATACAGAACCTTCTTACTTCTGGATCTCCTGGTTACTGTCAATATCTTGCCCTGATTACTGACCATCTACAATGGGACTTTTCTGATACTTCAACTCAGCTAAGTTTTGGAACATACAGCCATGGAGAGACTGTAAAATGCATTTTTGATGGCAGGTGCTGCAATCGTGCTAACCTAAAGATTCCACAGGTTTAAGATACGTTCTGTGAAAACAAGTAAGTACCTTATTTTGCAGCTCTATAAGCTCAAACTCTGTAAAATTAAATGCTAGTTAAAAGAAAGAATTTTTAGTGTTCATTTAATCTACCCCACATGTTCAAACCCCCTTATAACATTTACACACATAATTTTAAAGGAATGGTAAATACAAACAGAGGTAATAACATAAGGCAAATAAAGCTTTACAGTTTATATATATACACGCTCCAAATTTACCCCAGGTTCGATTTCATAAAAGATCAAATAGTTGAATTTATACATCCTGCTAAATATATATATATATGCTCCAAAATTATCTGAAGTTGCAAACTGCACTAGCACTGAAATGACCATTCCTTCCAGCTTCTCACCTGCTTCACCACTCCCCCAGTACCACTCTCTCCACCTCTAGTCCAATGCTGCAGTTATCTGAAATTACAAAGTTTTTTTTTTTTTTTAATTATGACCAAGTTTGGCTTACCTGAGAAGTGCAAGGTTGGTTCAGAATACCTACTGTTTTCACCACCCTAACAGATTAAAAGAAAAAAGCCATATAATTACCTCAAAAGATGCACAGATGCACTCTGGGGTTGGGGGAAGGGGAGGACTGGGAACAGAGAAGGTGCATTTCAATGAAAACAAAGACTTGGGTTTTTTAAATTTGCCTTTATTTTTATTTTTTTATTTTAGAGACAGGGTCTTATTAGGATGCCCAGGCTGGGGCTTTCTTTTCTTGCAAGTCATTTTTTTTTCAAACAATTCTATATGATAATCAACAGGATGAACTAATGAAGGCATATTAAAGAGTGGTTCAGGTAAAATGATTCAGTGAATTCCTAATCTGTGTGTCATGTTTACGGTGACAGAAAACAAGTGTGTTCTCTACTGCTGTTAAAGTTATCTCTACTGCTGATAAATTTAAATACAAAGCGCAAAAGTGAATCCTACAATGCAATACCATGACTTTCAGGAATCTGCTTCACTTTTTTTTTTTTTTTTTTTGAGACGGAGACTGCTCTGTCACCCAGGCTGGAGTGCAGTGGCATGATCTAGGCTCACTGCAAGCTCCGCCTCCTGGGATCACATCATTCTCCGGCCTCAGCCTCCCACGTAGCTGGGACTACAGGCGCCGGCCACCACGCCCGGCTAATTTTTTGTATTTTTAGTAGAGACAGGGTTTCACCGTGTTAGCCAGGATGGTCTTGAACTTCTGACCTCATGATCCACCTGCCTCAGCCTCCCAAAGTGCTGGGATTACAGGCGTGAGCCACCCCTGGAATCTGCTCCACTTTCAAAATCATGCCTACATAAGCAGAAGCTCTTGAGATAAACCTTGTCTTTCCCCACAGTGTTGTAATTACAGTAAAAGCTTTTCCATAATAATCAGAACTAGAAGTTGTTCAATTAATTGCAATTATTGATAGAAACATTTAAAATACATACACGTGCATTCATTAGCTAATCCTTTTTTAAGAAAACCAAAGCACATTCTTCAATGACAAGCCATTGCTAGAGTATTTTCCAGCCACTATGATCCAATGTTTTTGTAGAAATTACCAGAGGAGAAAAATATTTAATTTTTAAAAACTTACAAAGTGGAAATTCCAATTCTTCACAGACTACGTGTGAACAGTTCATGGACCAGTGCTGGTTTGCAAAGTGCGCTTTGAGTAGCACTAGTATAAATAAAGCACGGGCTCTGGAGCCAAACTGTGAGCCTCACCCTTGGACAAGTTTCTCTCTCTCTAGTGGGGATAATATTAATACCTACCACCTAATTGGGTTATTATGAAGATTAAATAAGAATATGTCTAGCATTTAAAACTGTCCCTGCCAGATAAGGACTCTATAAATGAAAGTTGATGTTATTATCATTATTACTATTGTATAGACCATAACCATAAATACACTTTTTCTAAAATGTCTAGTTTTTGTCTTTTTTAAATGTAATGAGAAATGAAGGTACTGAAAATACAGAATTCTTTATAGTTTTATCCTTTTCTCCAATTTTTTATATCCTGATCCATGACCAATCATATCACTTCTTTTAAAGTGAGTCACTAGTCACTGCATACCTGTTATTCACTAAATGTACAGGCTGCAGAGCAGTAGCTGTCCTGTGTTACTTCCCTGTCCCCAGTGACAAATCCATGAGATACTTTTTTTTTAAATGGGCAACTGAAGGAGAGGATTTGCCAACAAAGACGAAAGTGAAGCAAAGAAACAAAAGCGATAATGCTGGAAATAAAATTCTAATGGAATATAAATGGAGTTACAAAAGAAAGAGTTGACTGTGAGAATGGTGACACCGCTGCCAACAGGGAGACTAAATATGCAGCCAGAGGAACCTTCTGAAGGTAAACTGATCAACATAAGAGAGTGGTTATGGTGAAAAGGATGACAATGTCTCAGAGGAAGTCATGCCAGCAAAAATCCTTCATATTAAAGGAACTTTTACATATACTTCTTGATATTCACAATGTAATGGATAAAATGTTTGAAGCTGATTCAAATTTAGAAGTATTAACAACTTGTCCAAGGCCTAGAAATGATGCTCACTCCACACTGTACAACAGGGAAGAAGAAACCAGGCACAGTTCTAATTACTCTTGAAAAGATTTTTACAAATAAATAAAACACTTTAGTTTTCAAGGTTTAAATTACACTGTACTAAGTAAATACTAGTTTTACTGTTTTATCCATTTCCCTATACATTTTGCAACAATGAGAGTTATGTTTTGACGAAAATTTCTAAAAATCATGAACAACATAATTTCTAAGATTGCTTTGCAAAATTTAAGTCTGCACAAGTATTTTTACATTCCACAGCACAAAATGAGAACTGCCTGTATACACAACTTTCACAACCTAAGAAGGAAAGCAACTGAATCTAAAAACAGGCAAAAGATTTCAACAGATAATTCACCAAAGTTAAATGGACTGCAAATAAGCACTTGAAAAGATGCTCAACACCATCGGGCACTAGAGAAATACAAACTGAAAACATACCAGATGGCTAAAAAAATACTGTAAATGACCATACCAAGGGCTGGTGAGAATACAGTGCAAATGAATTCCTATACACTTGTGCAAAGCCACTTTAAAAAGTTAAATATACACCTTCAATATGACACAGTCATTCCATCTACGTATTCATCCAAGAAAAATGAAAGCATTATGTTCATACAAAGAATCATACACTAATGTTCATAGCACTTTACTTGTAGTAGTCTCAAACTGCAAGCAACCCAAATGTTCATCAACAAATGAATGGACAGACTGTGGTATTTCCATATGCTAGAATACTATTCAGCAATAAAAGAAACAAGCTACTCACACATCCAACAATAAATATAAATCTCAAAATCACTATGCTGAGTTGAAGAAGCCAGATATAAAAGAATATATATTGTATGAGTCCTCATATATAAGATTCTAGGAGTTAAGTCTGGGCAACACAGTGAGACCCTGTTTCTAAAAAAATTAATTAATAAAAAAGTAAGATTCTAGGAAACGCAAACTAATATAAGGACAGAAAGGGCACAGGTGGTTGACTGGCGTCTAGGGGCAGGTAGGGTGGATAGATTTGAAGCAGGCAGGAAAAAACTTTGAAGGTGATTATGTTCATTATCTTGATTGTGGTGATGGTTTCATAGGTGATTAACTATGTTGAAGCTCCACAAACTGTATGCTTAATAAAACTTTTAAAAATGGTCCATGGACCATCTGCATCTGCCAAAAATGTGGATTCTCAGGCTTGCCACAACCCACTAAATTTTGTGGGTCAAGCCTGAGAAATTGCATTTTCCAAGATCCACATTACTCTAAGGTATGTATTTACTCTGTAATCTAGAGGATCTAATGCCTAGAGTCTCCAGAAGAACTATCTCACTCAAGCTTTAGAACTTAAGACATCTTATTACATTCGTATTTATATTTTAACTTTGAAATCTGATATATAGGTGATCTCTGAAATAGTTCAATAAAAGAAAAAAGCCCATAGAGACAAAAGTTTTAAAGCTAAAAATAAGCTTTATGATTTCAATTTAAAATCATATCTTGTCCCAATTCCATTTCACAAATGGGAAAGTTGAGACCCAGAAAGGTTAAATTTGGGCAGAGTCAGTAATAAAATGCAAATCTTCTATTCTACTTTCTTCTGAAATGAAATTCTATCCAACTTTCTTCTACAAAGGCTTCTATTCCTCTGCTTTCAATTTCTCCTAAATTCATATTTATTCTTTGTCATTTCCGTAGCTCAGATTTTTATGCTCTCACTCCTAACTACTGCAATAATCTCCTAAATGGTTAACCTACTTCTGTAGTTCTCTCCCCACTTTATTTCTATCACACAAATACCTGAGTACCTAATATTAGTCAAGCACTATAAGAGACACTAATTTTATCTCATCACTGCTCTATTAAAAAAAAAAAACTTCTAATAGCTCCCAATACTCTTCAGGATACATTCTCAAACTGGCACACTTAGGAATGAATATCCATTCTGATTTCAGGCTACTCCTAATAAACATGCTACTAGAGCAGAGCCCCCTAACAGCCTATGCCCATTCCAGTACTGAAATCTGTTTCCTCCTAAAAAGGCATTCCTTTCTTCCTTCTAAAAAGATTCTTATCCTTAAAGGGCCAATTTAAAGCTATTCCTGCTTTCAACAGGCTTTTCCCGAGGACTCCAGCCCACATCAATCCCTATAATTCTAAAGCATTTTCATCCAATAGTACACTGCTACTCATTGGCTGCAGATGTTAGTTGTATAACTGAGGGAAGATAAAATTTGTTTCTCAAGTCTTTTGTACCCTATTTAATATGCAGTGCTTAAGTATTTTACAACGAAGGGAAACAGCATAGCATATATAGGTAGAAAAGTTTTAGTCTAGAGGCTTTGAAACCAGTCAAATACCAGTTTGAATCCTAGTTCTGACAATTACCATAACTCAGGATCACACAGCTAGTAAGCATTAGTTTCCTCATTTGTCAAATGGAGTTAACAGACCTTACAGCACTGTTGCAAGCATTAAATAAGATTCAATGAGAATGCATGTTTACTGCTTAGGAAAAATCACAAACATTCACTTAGTTGTAGCTATTATTAGCAACACAGATCAAATATCCACCATGTGGCAGATATTGTACTAGGTTCTAGAAACACCAAACTGTTTAAGATTTAAGCGCTGATCTTAAAGAAGTTTATGTATTAATACATACCAATACCATTCATCCATCCAAGTTAGAAAACACCAGTCATCATTCTTACCTGTACTGTAAGACCTGAAAAACCTGACCATTCTATTTCCTGAAGACCTCTACTCACACAACCACTGAACTAGCAGTTCAAGCCAGGACTCCTACTATAGCCTATTTGGGTCTCACTACTCCACCTCTAATCTTTTCTAACTAATTCTCCATAATGTTATTAGAATAATCCTTCTAATGCAGAAACCTGATCACATATCTACACATCATCCTTCCCATTAGTCTATATCTGTAATTGTAATGGCATAGGACACAAAGATCTCAGGCTGACTCAATTCTTAAAAAAAAATTTCCAAGATTTCTCTTAAATATCTTGGCCAGGTGCAGTGGCTCAAGGCCTGTAATCCCAGCACTTTGGGAGGCCAAGGCGGGCGGATCATGAGGTCAGGAGTTCGAGATCAGCCTGACCAACATGGTGAAACCCCATCTCTACTAAAAATACAAAAATTCGCCGGGCATGGTGGCGCGTGCCTGTAACCCCAGCTACTCAGGAGGCTGAGACAGGAGAATTGCTTGAACCTGGGAAGCAGAGGTTGCAGTGAGCCGAGATCGCACCACTGCACTCCAGCCTGGGTGACAGAGCGAGACACCATCTCAAAAAAGAAAAAAAGTCATTTTTATGTATTGTTAAAGCAGCTTTTTAAGAAATTTAATTATTTCTTTAAATACTTCAGTTGTAGTTTTATTAGAAAATCCACCCTACTACTGCAGTGATTTAATAACAAAAAAATTGGAAAAAGAAAATCCACCCTAACTCGTATTACTTCATTTTCACGTGTTTACGAGTGACCACTGGCCAGTACGTACTATCAATAATGGCTGCCCACCACAATTATCCATGGACCACCACCACCCTGTTTTTAACTATGCATGCCACAGAGCTACCACAGCAGATTCTTATTCACCAAGCCTACGGTACACCATGGTATTTGTTTTTTTAAGAAGCCACACAATGTTTCTAATATATAGCCAGGATTGCCCAATCCCAGATTGAGAAACTTTACATAGAAAAGTGACCAGATATGATAATATTGCTTTGTCTATCTAAAGCAGGGGTCTGCAAACCACCCACAGACCATGCCTAATCCCATGGCTTTTTGTTCTACCCGCACACTAGAATGCTTTTTACGTTTTCTAAGGGTTGAAAAAAGAAAACAACAATCTTTATCCTGAAAGTAGTTAATGACTTCCTGTGGAAATAATACTTGCATATATAAAAAGTAACGAATTCATAATAATTCTGTCAACACCAAAGTATTGTTACAGACTACAATTACAACAGAAATTTAGAGAACAGGACAGTGTGAGATAAAGGTATATTCCATGTGTGAGTTAAAAATCTTCTCTGTAGGCCTCACAGCACATCATATCACTCATCAAAACGCTGGACCCTTTCCCATGACTCAAAGTGGCTACCACAGGCTGTTCATTGTTATCATACTCTGCTCTGCACTAAGCACAATGCCTGAAACATCACAGTCTCCAAAGTATAGATGCTGAATGAGTGAATAAGCAAACATCATAAATAATATAAGTACATTAGAATAAATGCAACCCGTCTAAAGTTAAGGTTCCAAAAGGCTGTCATTCTGCTAAAATGATTTGTTTGGGGAAAAGAGAGATAAGGAGAGGTCAATGTATCGTTAGCAGAAAACTGGTAAAATTTAGAAAAATATGTAATTTCTCCTATTAAAAATTAAATAAAGAGACTTCAAATGAAATACTCTAAGGTGTGTCCACCACCGTTTTACAGATAGTTTTTAAATTATTTTATTTTACTTATTTTTTTAAGAGATGGGTTTTTGCCACGTTGGCCAGGCTTGTCTCGAACTCCTGGCCTCCAGTGATTGGCCTCGGCCTTCCAAAGTGCTGGGATTGTGGGTGTGAGCCACCGTGCCCACCCAGCCTACAGATAGATATAGTTTTTCTGGACTGATAAAACTCAGTTGCACCAATAGGCATAGATAACCACTTTGGAGTGATATTATATATCTGATATGTGGTAACATATATTACCGCATGTCTTGGTAGCAATAGAACAATAGATTTTAAGACTATGAAAAATACTTTTGTCACATAGTGTTAAAAACGTCCTCAAAACTCAACAAAGATCAGTTACAGACTCCCAATAGGCCAGACATTCTATGTATGGCAAAGTACAAAATGCTGTGTAAAAACAAGATCTGCCCTCATAAAGCTCATAGTCTATGAGATGACATGTAAACAAATTACTACAATACAGTACAATTAAATAAAATGCTATGCTGGAGTTCTGTGGTTAAACTGCTATGGGAAAACAGATGAGGGAGTAATTTCATTATGTCTAGAGGAGAATGTCAGAGAAAGCTAGAGAAGTGAGATGTCTGGGTGCCTTACATACTTAAAAAAACACCAGTACTACTAACAACTTCCAAAGACATTTTTATATGCTTCAAATTAAGTCAAATAACTTAATTTTAAGATTTATGTTAGCATATACACTAAACTGGAAAAGGAAAATCTTCTCCTATACAAAGCATTTTAATTACTACCTATGATTGTTAACAATGGGGTAACATAATAAAATAATACTAAAATCCTTAAGAAAAAGGCTTTATTAAACTGAGACTGAGACAACTCCAAGAATTCAGAAGAACACCGGGTAAGATTTTTCAGTCCTAATAAATACAAAACTGCACTGATTTATTCAATAATTTCTATCCCGTTTGCTATCCATGTTTGAACCTTAATCTGTTTGCCCTTCTGTTATTTCTATTTATTGGATAGCTTATATAATTCCAAATTTGGACTATCAAGTCTGAACTTACAAACCAAATCAGGGGAAAACACTTTCAAAAAAAAAAAAAAAAGTACTATTCTAAAAATTACTCTTTCATGGTCAGAGTATATATTTATGTAGTAAACCTTTATCTTTAAAACATGTAAGTCCAGCCTGTTAAATGTCCTATGAAGTGGTTCTTTCTTGTCTATCTTCTCCTCTTTTAAAAACTACCTTACATGTCTTATGAGCTTTTCTCCCAAGTGCTCATTAGTAGCCACATGGAATCTAATGGGTTCAACAGACAAGACATCAATACACACAACTATAAATATATCATATCAGATAGGTTCATTTCTCAAAAGAGCTCATAATTCTTCAGTAGAAGAACTTTATTTTTCCTAACATTTAGAAGTTTCATAGAGATAATTAAGTAGAAATCATTCAGTATTTTCAGATTTTGGCTATTTCTTTATTTCCTAGACTTAAACATCTTAGTTTAAATGATTTTTAACAGATAGTCACCCACAAACAGAATGAGTGCCATAACTGTACTTCAACTGCTATGTAACAGACTTCCATATCATCAGTAATTTTTAACTAGGTATTTCAGACTGGAAAAGATAAATAAAATTTGATTTTAAAATAAATTCTGAAACCATTAACTCATAACATCCTGGATGTTTTACCTTCTGCTACCCTACTCATTCACTAATTTAATACCTTACAAAAACCTGTACAGTTTAGAAATTCCCCTATCCCCTTTCATTTGATTTCCACCAAATGTAGGAGCACTTACGTATTCTAGATTTCACTGTTTAGTTTACTATTTGCAGTATCTAGGAATTCATTTTATCTACAGAGATAGATTTCTTGAACAAGAGACAAAATTTTAGTCATTTGGGAAGTAGACCTTGCTTCCTTGAATTAACAGAAAAAATATTAAAGTGCAAGAATAGGAAAAAAATTGTAAGTACTAAAACCACAAAAATGGAGAAAAATGTTGATCTATGCTAAATGATGTACAAGAAAATACTGATCACCGAAGTGAACAGATCATCAATATTTATTTTAGCCATTTCTTTCAGCCTTCTTCCTAATGTACCTTTTACTCAGACATAAGTCTTATCTATTAAAAAATAAAAGTTAAATTGTATGTAGCCATCATTTGTCACCTTTGCAGTCCATATTGGAGAATGACTGTTAATGCTTCTTTTCAGAATTTGAGATTCATAACAATTTACTTATCTTTCCTCTACACTATTAAAAACTGAAACTAAAACAGGAAGGTTTTCTTCTTCCCTAACTTCTTGATAATAACTAATAGCTATTATTCAGATATACATTAACAGCCATTATTTGAGTGTATGTCCTCTCCTATGTTAGGCTACTCAGTGAAAAGTTTTGGGCAACCAGATATTCACATGGTTTCAAAGTATCACCAAACCGAGACCTTTTACAAGGTCTCACTCTCTCGCCTAGACTGGAGTGCAGCGGCACGATCACAGTTCACAGCAGCCTTAATCTCCCAGGATCACACCACCACACTCAACTAATTTTTGTATTTTTTTTGGAGAGACAAGGTTTCAGCATGTTGCCCAGGCTGGTTGACACCATCTTAATTGAAGGATAAAATTTAGTATCACCAAAAATGTGACAGACATTATATGCCTGATGATGTAATGCAATGGGATGTATTCAACATTACCCTATGTAATAAACTTGTCAGGTATATATAAACTGATTCTATTTATCAAGAAACAAAGCAGACAAATCTTGATTATGAAATATTTTCTATCAGACAGCTTGCCTGGATGAAAAGGAGCAGGTGTGAAGATTAAAAAAAGAAGAGGAGTTCAGTTTTGGACATGTTAAATTTGAGAGGCTTATGAGCCACCAATCTGAAGATGTTGAGAAGGCAATGATGGATACAGAAGTATGGAGTTCAGGGAAGAGGTCAGATCACAAATACTTTATCTACACCCCAGGACTTTGTATCCAAAGACCAAGGACACTTGAAATGGTTCACAGTGGCAACAGTAAGAGACCAGTGGCCACACTGCACTAACCACACTGTTATGGTAACATAATCTGGGCAGTATTTTCTTGCTGCTCATCTGCCTCTGGTTATTGCTCATTTTGTGAAGCTGGGTTCCCACTCTCTCCATCAATTCTGTAACCTACCTGTCATCATCCCAACAAATTCCTTTTATGTCCAAATTACCTAGTCAGTTTCTGCTATTTGCAACCAAGGACCCGTTAATGAATTATGAAGAATATTCCAGTCTCGAATAGAAAACTGTAATTTCCTTCCCAATTTAAAGCCATTCCTACAAACAAGCAGAATTTATGGTACAAATATAACTCTAAAGTATAAATACACATAATAAAGATATTCAAAAATTAAAGACGGTACAGATCAGTTTTTTGAGATATTTAAGAGGTCCCAGGATAATTAAAAAGAAAACTTTGTTTCAAAACAAAATTTGAACATTATTATAAAAGTAGAACACCCAGAAAAAAATGGCAAAACACCAAGATCATTTAAAAAATATCTAATAAAGGCCGGGCGCGGTGGCTCACGCCTGTAATCCCAGCACTTTGGGAGGCCGAGGCGGGCGGATCACGAGGTCAGGAGATCGAGACCAGCCTGGCTAACATGGTGAACTCCTGTCTCAACTAAAAATACAAAAAATTAGCTGGGTATGGTGGCAGGTGCCTGTAGTCCCAGCTACTCGGGAGGCTGAGGCAGGAGAATGGCATGAACCTGGGAGGCGGAGTTTGCAGTGAGCCGAGATCGCACCACTGCACTCCAGCCTGGGCGACAGAGTGAGACTCCGTCTCCAAAAAAAAAACAAAAAAAGATGCTTTACTTTGTTTTATACATTCCAAACTACTCCTACTAAGAATAGTAATGAAAAAATTCTCCGGCCGGGCGCGGTGGCTCACTCCTGTAATCCCAGCACTTTGGAAGGCAGGGGTGGGCGGATCACCTGAGGTCGGGAGCTCTAGACCAGCCTGACCATCAGGGGAAACCCCGTCTCTACTAAAAAAAAAAAAAAAAAGAATACAAAATTAGCCAGGCATGGTGGCACATGCCTGTAGTCCCAGCTACTTGGGAGGCTGAGGCAGAAGAATCGCTTGAACCTGGGAGGCAGAGGTTGTGGTGAGCCGATATCGCGCCATTGCACTCTAGCCTGGGCAACAAGAGCAAAACTCTTAAAAAGAAAAAAATCTCCACCTAAGTCTACATTTATGTATGTATGTATGTTTGAGATAGAGTTTCGCTCTTGTCACCCAGGCTGGAGTGCAATGGTACAATCTCGGCTCACTGCAACCTCTGCCTCCCAGGTTCAAGCGATTCTCGTTCCTCAGCCTCCCAAGTAGCTGGGATTACAGGCGCTCGCCACCACACCCAGCTAATTTTTGTATTTTTAGTAGAGACGGAGTTTCACTATGTTGGCCTGGCTGGTCTCAAACTCCTGGCCTCAGGTGATCCACCCACCTAAGCGTCCCAAAGTGCTGGGATTACAGGTGTGAGTCACTGCACCCGGCCAAGTCAACCTTTAGTCTCTTATTTCATACACTTCCCTCACACGTCAGTAAAACTACTTTTCATTCTTTCTAAAAACTTTTCACATTTCAAATCAAAAGTATAATTGTTGGCTATACTAAAGATTAAACATTTCTTACATCCTTGATAGTACACCATTTATGTACTAAACTCCCTACCTCCGTTTAGTATTTTTAAGGAATACATTTTGAAGAAGTAAAACATGAAAAAGAGTAAAAACACTTAATAGGGAATATTTGCTTTAAGGAGGAAAAAAGTACGAACATATGTGAATATCTAGTATGTACCATGCATTCTGCTATAGATGATAATTTTTTTTTTAAAACACTGCAAAACCGGTGATGTTACCTTTTTACAAAAAGTAAATGAGGAAAATGAATTTCAAACACTGGTTTAGGCCAGCTGCAGTAGCTCATGCCTGTATCCCCAACACTTTGCAAGGCTGAGGCAGGAGAACTGCCTGAGCCTAGAAATTTGAGACCAGCCTGGGCAATCAGTGAGATTCTATCTCCACCCCAAAAAAAAAAAAAAAAAATTAGCCAGGTGTGGTTGTACATGTCTGCTGTCCCAGCTACTCATGAGGCTGAGATGGGAGGACTGCTTGAGACCAGGTCAAGACTGCAGTGAGCTATGATCATGCCACCACACTGCAGCCCAAGCGACAGAGTGAGACCTGCCTCCAAAAAAAAAAAAAAAACCGGGGGGGGGGGGGGTGGCGGGGGGGGTGTTACTTACCTCACATCAGTGCTAATAAGAGGTCAGTGTCAATAAGGGGTAGATCTGTTTCCAGAACAGATCTGCCTATCCCAAAGTTGATGCCACTTTATTCACAACAAAATGCCTCCATGAGCACATTCTTCGAAAAATTCATTCTCATTAATTTTTTTATTAGAAAAACAATTGTAACCATTATACTGAACAAGCCGAACCCGTGGGATGTAACTATAAAAAACAATTTTTTGTCCACGACTAGCCTTTAAAGTTACTCTGTAGCCATAGTTAATGTCCCTGAACTTTCATTTAGGCTAATGATCATGACTTTGGTCACTCCCAAGTTATAAAAACAATCTGACTTTTAAAACTGAAAGATCCAGCTGGGCATAGTGGCTCCCACCTGTAATCCCAACAATCTGGGAGGCTGAGACAGAGGATCACTTAATCCCAGGAGCTGGAGACCAGCCTGGGCAACATAGGGAGAACCCGTCTCTACAAAAAAATTTAAAAAAATAAAAAAACTTAGCCAGATGTGGTGGTGCATACCTATAGTCCCAGTTACTTAGGAGGCTGACGTGGGAGGATCACTCAGGCCTTGGAAGTCGAGGCTGCAGTGACTGAAAGATCTTTAGTATAATCGTCAAATTTTTCTCATTTAAAGTTAGTTTCTCTGCTTTCCCAGCTCAGCCCTACACAGTACAAGAGCACTACACGCTTTTACTCCACTCCTTTCCACCTTGCTAACCTTGGGTGGGGCAATTATGTGCTATCAGAGAGCTTAGACACTTTCATGACTCAAAAAATGTTTAGGCCGGGAGCGATGGCTCATAGCTGTAATCCCAGCACTTTGGGAGGCCGAGGAAGATGGATCACGTGAGGTCAGGAGTTCTAGACCAGCCTGGCCAACATGGTGAAACCCCGCCTCTACTAAAAATACAAAAATTAGCCGGGCATGGTGGTGTGTACCTGTAGTCTCAGCCACTCAGGAGGCTGAGGCACGAGAATTGCTTGAACCAGGGAGGTTGCAGTGAGCCAAGGTCATGCCACTGCAGTCCAGCCTGGGTGACAGAGCGAGACTCCGTCTTAAAAAATAATAATAATAATGATGACAATAAAGTTTAAAGCTGATTCTGTTCAGGAATGCTTTCAGGGGTTCCTTGAAAGTTGGGAGCTCTCACTCCAATTCCTGTAATGCATCTCCTCTGGGAATCCAGCCTCCATCCTGTCCCCCTTATACCTACTCTTTTGGGTTTTCCCTCATGTGGTCTCACTTCTCTCAGGTGGCCCTCATGTGATCTATGGGAAACACAGATCTCTTAGTCCAAAAAACTTTGGGAGCACTGGCAGTCCATCTACACAGCAACCTTGCTTTCTTTTGCTGTGCTGCCAAAGCAGATAGTCTCTCTTTCACCCCTGAAAATTTCCAGGTATGAGTTAGACAGACATCAATTTACTGTGTCCACCAAATTGCAGGAGTTACACATTAAGTTCCCCAAGTGGTCACTATAAAGCCCTTCTATCTTTACTGGAGGGGGAGTACTCCCCATCCCTCCAACAAAGACAGAGGAAAGAGGTTAGGAAAGACTCCTAGAATACCAACAACTGGGTTAAAAAACGTTTCCAATTTCTAACAACACGTGTCAAAAACTCTTTTCCAACTTCCAACTTTCTGAATGAAACCTTTTACAACAACAGATGGATACATATTAGAAGTCACGATCCATTTTCTGGCTCTCTTTTGAACACCCACATGGTGTCCTTAAAACTCACTTTAGAAATATGCATCTGTTGACTTAGGGTCAAACTCAGAATACAAGAGTTCCACCCATTTTAGCACCTTATTTCGTATTCTGTATTTTCTAAATTTTCCATGAAAAGCAGGAATAAAATAAAAATCCACAACCTTACCACTCAGCCACGGTTAACACTGTCCCTTTATGCCACTTAAAAATGTAAGTTTATATTTTTTAAAACCTTGTACAATAACACTTCATTTATATAATTTCATTAAGCAATCCAGTTTATCACCCAATTTAAACACATTACCTTTTTCAAGCATCAAATTTCCACTGAACTAGTGTGCTGCTCTTTCTAAAATGTGTCTCACTGTGCCACTCTGAAGTCCAAACCCTTTAATGGCTCCCTACCAGAGATTAAACTTCAGTCTTTTAAATAGTGTAATCTACAGTCTCCTAGAGCTGTTACATCTCTAAATATGATTTTGAACCATGTATGCACCATATAAAATCATACTACAAGAAAAATGCAGGTGTCAGAGGAGTTCCTAATAATGGGATGTGATCTACACTAGCGGAGAGAAACATTTCAGAATTTGCGAATTCAACCTTGTAACCCCTCAATGAAGCTGGATCCTGAGATATTTTCAACAGGAACTGGGACCAAATTCTGAAATGCAAAAGAACAAAGGTGGCTATTTCTTTATTAGCATGATAAAACTAAGCTTGCAGTGGGGATCAGTCCTCACATGATTGCAAATAAAATTCTGTATCACTACACATATATCTACTGGCTCCACACTCATTATCACCAACTGCCAAAAAGTTAATCTAATACTCAAGAGCAGATTTATAAAAACTTTAAATGCCTAAAACTGGATTTGGGAATTAATTTTGTTGTAAGTTCTACACATAATGTGCTGCATTCATAGAGCACACATTTAAAAAATTGTCTTAGAGTCAAGTGGAGTGGCTCATGCCTGTAATCCCAGCACTTTGGGAGGCCGAGGTGGGCAGATCACTTGAGATCAGGAGTTTGAGACCAGGCTAGCCAACATGGTAAAACCCTGTCTCTACTAAAAATACACACACAAAAAAAAATAGCCAAGTATGGTGGTGCGTGCCTGTAATCCCAGCTACTTGGGAGGCTGAGGCAGGAGAATCGCTTGAACCCAGGAGGCGAAGGTTGCAATGAGCCGAGATTGCGCCACTGCACTCCAGCCTGGGCGACAGTGAGACTCTGTCTCCACAAGAAAAAAAAAGTTTTAAAGTCATCTTTTACCAGATGAAGTGAGAAGTAAATTCCATTTAAACATGCTACCAAGAAAAATGCACTCATAGTTCTTAGCTCAAAGAGGCTTCGGTCTGCTAAGAAGTTTAAGTCAGTAAAAATGCACAAAATTACAAAAGTCCCTGCAGAAAGAAAAATAATCAGTTCTCTCTTAAAGCTGACAATAAATGTATTCACTCAAAAAAGTACACAAGAACAATGAGCGTAGGCAAATACGGATATGTCTCTATGAATAAATGTGGAGAGTATGTGTGTGTAGTCATCTAACATATATATATGCATAAAGATGGCTGGAAAGATGGTCACCAAAACAGCGACTACCTAGGTGGTGATTTTTGCTTTTTTCTTTTACTACTCTATATTGTTTCAATTTTTTTATAAATATGAGCATGTATGTTTACAAGAATTTTCATTATTAAAATACAGTATGAAAGCTACAGTAATCAAGCCATGTGGTACTAGCAGAATGATAGATCAATGAAACAGAAATAAAAGTCTATAGAAAAACCCAAACATTTGTGGTCAACTGATTACCAACAAAGACATCAAGGCAATTCAGTAGAGGAAAGGATAGTCTTTTCAAAAATGGTTCGGAGACTACCGGAAATCCACAGGCAAAAAGTTGAACTTAGTAACTTACACCATAAAGTTAACAAAAATGGATCATAGACCTAAATGCAAGGACCAAAACTAGAAACCTTTTAGAAGAAAACACAAGAGTAAATCTCATAATCTTTGGTGAGGCAAAGATTTCTTAGATATGACACACACTGCACCATTCTTAACAGCAAAAAAAAAAAAAAGTTAAACTAGACTCTACCAAGTGAAAATGCTTACACCTCAAAAGACACCGTTAACAGCCAAGTGTGGTGGCACACGTCTGTAGCATCAGTTATTAAGGAGGCAGAGGCAGGAGGATTACTTGAGCCCTGAGTTTGAGTCTAGCCTGGGCAACACAGCAAGACCTCGACTCTGAACCCCATCTCTTAAGAAAAAAAAAAAAAAAACACCATTAAGAAAAGGACAAGTCACAGATTGAGAGAAAATATTTGCACATAATGTATCTGACAAAGGACCTGGATACAAAATATATAAAGAACTCTTACAACTCTGTAAGAAGACAACCCAATTAAAAATGGGCAAAAAGACCTGACAGACATTTCACCGAAACAGATGGAAAAAATGGCTTGGTGCTGCATGCCTGTAGTCCCAGCCCTTTGGGAGGCTGAAGCAGGAGGATCGCTTGAGCCCAGGAGTTCTAGGCTGCAGTAAGGTGTGATTATGCCACTATACTCCAGCCTGAGTGACAAAGTAAAATCCTTTCTTTAAAAAAAAAAAAGAAAAAAGAAAAGAAAAGAAGAAAATGGCTTGAAAAGATGCTCAACATCATTAGTGATTAGGGAAACTCAAACCACAATGTATACTACCTCCCACCCAGTAGAATAATTATAATCAAAAAGATAATGACAAGTGTTGGGAAGATTCAGAGAAACTGAAATCCTCATACACTACTGGTAGGACATAAAATAGCACTGACAGTCTGGTTTTGGCAGTTTCTTTAAAAATTATATAAGTTTTCCATATGACCCAATAATTCTATTCCTAGGCATCTATGCAAAAGAAAACATATGTCCACACATATCTGCATACAAATGTTCACAGCAGCATTATTTATAACAGCCAAAAACTGTGAACCATCCAAACACCCATCAACTGGTAATGAATAAACAAAATGTGGCATATCCACAGAATGGAATATTACTCAACAATAGAAAGGAACAAATTACTGATACACTCAACATGCATGAACCACAAATTAAATGAAAGAAGCCAGACATAAAAGATACTGTATGTTCCATTCATAAGAAATGTCCAGGAAAGAATAATCAAGCAAAAGTGAGAGAGTGAGGGAGAGAGTGTGAGAAGGAAAGAGGGAGACACGGGGAGAAGAGAGAGAGGGAGAGGGAGAGGGAGAGGAAGGGAAGGGCAGTGTGTAAGAGCTAGAAGATAGGAAAGTGGATGCCTGGGGCAGGGGGTAGTATGGAAGATGAATACGATTTCAAGGGATCTTACTGGGTTAACAGACAACATCCTAGACTATGGTAATGGTTGCAAAGCTGAATAAACTAACTAATAATCAGTGAATTGTGCATTTGAAATAGATGAATTTTATAGTGTATAAAGTATACCTCAATAAAATTGTTTTTAAAAAGATGGTGAAAAAAACTTAGTATATAATTATGTTTACTGAAGGAATGATTAGGTTTTTCTAGATGCCAAAGCCAAAAACCAGTGAGAAAACAAAACATTTTAAATGAAAACATAAATTAAAATAGCATACCAAAATGGCGTACATACCACTTATCCCCATTATATAAGTGATTTTCACTTTCTGCCTTTTAGTGGAATACTTCTAAGGGTCATGATTAGGTACAGGAATTTGCTACAAGACTTTATGTGCAATGTAACCTGGATACAGTGGCTAAAACTACCTGGAATAAATTGTTTTAGGGTACCGGTACCTGTTTAGCCCTACTTTATGACTTAGGACAGTTTCTATAATACAGTTAACCAGTTATGCGTTTAAAAACAAAACTGGCGAGGTGCGGTGGCTCATGCGTGCAATCCCAGCACTTTGGGAGGCTAAGGCAGGTAGATCACAAGGTCAGGAGTTCGAGACCAGCCTGACCAACATGGTGAAACCCCATCTCTACTAAAAATACAAAAATTCGCCGGGCGTGGTGGCGCATGCCTGTAATCCCAGCTACTCAGGAAGCTGAGGCAGGAGAATCACTTGAACCCGGGAGGCGGAGCTTGCAGTGAGCCGAGATCGCACCACTGCACTCCAGCCTGAGTGACAGAGCGAGACTCTGTCTCAAAAAAAACAAACAAACAAATAAAACTGTTCATTCATCTCTTACTTATGAGACCCTAACAAGATCCTAGAAGGGATCTGAGAGACAAGGGGCAGTAAAAGAATTTCACAAAAAGTTCCACTTGCAGACCTCAACTAGGAAGAATTGTGAAGTGCTTATATATATATATATTTTAATTATTTAAATCCATAGGCTACCCTCCTACCCAAACTAGGCATACTGAAAATGGTTTAAAAACTTTAGTTTTAATAAAACACTGTTTTTAAAAGTTGCTTATAAGGCATGAACAATGAAAATCTGCTAAAACTAAGTTCTTAAAAGACACACATTTAAAATGTTAATAGACTACTAAGAGGTCAGTGCCACATACCAAAGACTGAACACTAGCCAGTTGTCACCATCGCACATACCATAATGGAACTTTGGCAACCCATTTCAAAAGGTTGCCAACCAGGCTACATATTTTGACTACTGCTTCAACATACTGTTCTATAAATAAAAAGACAGAGCTTTAGTTTAACTATATTCACATTTTAATACAGGCAGTTCCAAATATCAAAAAGACTTTCCAAAATGCTTCATCCCTCATTTTCAGGGATCCACCTGCTTTTACCCACTGGCAACTGAGAACTAGCTCCACAGCAAGAAGACTGTTTTAAGTTTCCAAGTCTCTAAATTCACGTATGCTTTAACCCAAATGAATGGAATAAATGAAGTTGACTTCTCCATACTTTTGAAAAAAACTCGGTAAATATATTTACTAAATACCAGGACACATTTAGTATCTAACATTTAAATAAAAATAAATTCAAATATAACAAATAATATTCAGCAAGTTAGCTTTCAAAATAACATTTTTACAAGACTTGTTTACAGAAAATAACTGGAAGGGAGGATAATTTATAAGATGCTAATAAATAAAATGGAGCCCTACTCCCCTAAAAAAAAAAAGAAAGAAAGAAAAATTGTGAATTTGAACATTCCCTTCACTAACTATGCTAGCCTCTCATTTACCTAAATCTACACATATAAAGGGAAAGAAGCCTCCCTGAAAATGTTCTTAATTTACATCATTTAGTTTGTTGGAATTTGCCAGAATTTAAAGTAGAGAACTGTGGTTTGATATAAAGAAAGCAAACTAATCTCACACCTTGCATCCCAAGATGGTTTTCTCATATTTCACTTAAATTCAATGTCCTTGAAATTCTTAAAACCCTGTAATCTCTTTCAAATTGAAAGACGTATGAACATGTCAGTCATTACTTTTTGAGTAAATGTTATTAAAGTGACCAACTCATCTTTGAGAAAATTAATCTCAAATTTCCACCAAGGTCATTACATATAACTTTGCCCTCAAAAACAGATTAAAAAATGAACAGCACCAATAATAATAATATGTGTCGTGTTCTTATCACATGCCAGGAACTTTTTTTTTGAGACAGAGTCTCCCTCTGTCACCCAGGCTAGAATGCAGTGGCATGATCTTGGCTCACTGCAACCTCCACCTCCCAGATTCCAGTGATTCTTTTGCCTCAGCCTCCCAAGTAGCTGGGATTACAGGCGTGCACCACCACACCCAGCTAATCTTTGTATTTTAAGTAGAGACGAGGTTTCACCATGTCAACCAGGCTGGTCACAAACTCCTGGCCTCAAGTGATTTGTCCACCTCAGCCTCCCAAATTGCTGGGATTGCAGGCGTGAGTCAGTATGCCTGGCACTTCTTTAAATGTCAGATTTAATGAGGTATAATTTATATATGTTAGGAAATAATTCTTCATAAGTATCTTCTTTTTTTTTTTTTTTTTTGAGATGGAGTTTCACTCTGGTTGCCCAGGCTGGAGTGCAGTGGCGCAATCTCGGCTCACCGCAACCTCCACCTCCCAGGTTCAAGCGATTCTCCTGCCTCAGCCTCCTGAGTAGCTGGGATTACAGGTGCTCACCACTTCGCCCAGCTAATTTTTTGCATTTTCAGTAGAGACAGGGTTTCACCATGTTGGGTAGGCTGCTTCATAGGTATCTCTTTTGCATACAGTACAAGCAGAGGTACCAGCTGCCCTTTGCTCTAGAGAGTATCTTTTCAAGAATGTTTGTAGAGTGAACAGTCTTGAGAAATAAAGATAGTATCTCCTTCTGGAGCAAAGGACAAGCATGCTTACTGTCTGTTCAGTATAATAAATATAATGTATTCCTCCAGAGCAAAGGGCAGGCGTGCTTATTGCTCATTAGAAAAGATCTGGGTTCCCTTAACTCAGGGCTTCTCTCCAGTAAGAAAGCCCACTGGGTGTACAAGTACTACCTGGTCCTCTTCACATCATCCTGTAGACTGAGGCTCAGAAAACCAGTGCAAATGCTGATACTCTGGCTACTACTATTATAGAGAATAATAATCTGCCCTTGATCTTTAACACAGGAGTTTCATGTCTTCTACCAGATTCCATGAAAATATGGCAGGATAATTTATTAGCTTGCAAGTAGGATAAAATCTCAGACCATCATGGTTCTTGACAGTTCTGGGGAAAGAGGATGGGATGCTGACATAGCCATAACTCTCTAAGGGAAAGGATAAAGGCCCTGCAGACTGAGTTCTGGGACAAGGGAAGATACCCTGGAATCTGAGAGTGATCCTAGTGGTGGATGGGAAGAAGGTGGGAATAAAGACTCCCCCACCTGTTTACCTGTTAATGAACAGGGTGGAATTAATGTTTAGAAACTGAGCAGTGAGAAGTGAGGCTGAAATTAGCCACCCAAATGGTGGGTTGGTAGTTGTTCACTATCCTCTGGGCTGGTGGAAGGAGGGGAGTATCATAACAATAAGGGCAACAAGCCCCATGGTCCCACATGAAAGGCTGTGGCTGTGACTGCTGAGCCAAGGAATCCCCTAAACTAAAAGAAATGGTGTAAGTAATGATGACCTTGCTGCCAACTACAGAGCTTCAAGTAGACCAGAAACATTAAACTGCGAGAGAATGACCCAAAGTGAATATAAAGCCTTGATTACCAGCACCAAGTTGCTCTCTCCCCCTCCACACTCCCTGATCCCTCTCTGCTCCTACCCCCAAACTCTTCTGCTTTAATGAGCAAGATGGTTAGGAATGGGGCTGAGGTCTCCCTGATCCCCAAGATGGACTGAAGGCCAGACATACTAGGAGGTTTGCCCAGAGAAGTTCAGGGAGAGACTCAAAATTTTATGGTTCTCTTGGAAATAGGCACCCAGGTAACCATTCTATCTAGTCCTGTCAGGCAGACACCCAGATTAAGCTAATAGGGTCTGGACAGGGTTTACAGGGGTTAGGAAAATAAATGTGACTTATGGGTGGGATGTTTTGGACCAATTCAATGTGCTTATTGTTGCCTCTACATCATAATGTATAGTAAGAACTGATAAGCCGGGTGCGGTGGCTCGCGCACCTGTGATCCCAGCACTTTGGGAGGCCGAGGCGGGCTGATCACTTGAGGTCAGAAGTTCTGAGACCTGACCAACCTGATGAAACCCTGTCTCTAGTGAAAATATAAAATTAGCTGGGCATGGTGGCACGCATCTGTAGTCCCAGCTACTCAGGAGGCTGAGGTAGGAGAATCACTTGAACCCAGGAGGCGGAGGTTGTAGTGAGCCAAGATTGCGTCATTGCACTCCGGCCTGGGTGACAGGGTGACAGAGTAAGACTCTGTCACACACACAAAAAAAAAAAGAAGAAGAAGAAGAAGAAGAAGAACCTGATGTGTTTTGTGCTTGTACTTAAAAGACTCACTTAAGAGCTAGTGAGGGTTTTTCCAATCAGAAAGGGCTGTATGTATAAAAGTGTACTAGTACCTTTGGGGCCCCACAACCTTAAGGATCACTTTGAGCCATAAAGTCTCATGATTTCACTGATTAGAGGATTTGACAAAAGGAGGCAGCCTCCACCTACAGGTGCCCCTTGGGGTTTTGAACGCTTTACCTCCCTGACACAGCAATCAAGTTTACGCCTTCTGAAAAGCAGCTATTAGCTTGCTTCTGGATTCCAGTGGAAATTGAATGCCTAACTCATGGAGGCCTCACGAGTCTCCAGCCTGATGTTCCTATTTCGAGGTGGGTCAGCTTACACTCAATGACTAACAATGCGGTAAATCAATGGAAAATGCTTATGTGAAACACACCTGGCTTAGTCTTAGCCCCAAGAAGGATCTCAACTTTACATGAAAAAGGGCTGGCATAAATCTTAAATTATAATATCACATTATGATATGTCATATCATGATAGGTCATAATATATATTATGATACATTATGTCATATTGCGGCAGGCCAGGTCTCACTAATGCAGGCCTCCACAACAACTGTTTCAGTACTGAGTGGTTAAATTAAATATTAAAAGCCAGTGCCCTTAAACAAAGCCTGGGATTAACAAAAGCCCATCATGAGTTTTGCCTAGGCCTTTCCTAGGCCTTAAAGCATGACAAAATAATGAAGGAATTCTTAAGAGGACCCATTTAGGATTAAACAAGTTTTATTATGGGTCTGAAGAAACTCCCTAGGCCTCCACTAACAAGTTTACTGGGGGTCCGAAGGAATTCCCCAAACCTTCATGATTTTGCAGGAGACAACATAAGGGTAATCACCCCCAGCAACTGGACCCGTTTAGATTAAGTAAATTTACTGAGGGTCTGGAGGAGGCTCTTCAGGACTTAGACCTTAGTTATAGATTAAAAGAAGTTAATCACTTATGTATTTAGATGAATGCACACTTACGCATAGACATATAGCTTAGAAGGCATATAAGCTCTGGAAAACTTTGTAATTTTGAGTTGGTCTGGCAATAATTTCCAGGCCTTCTCCCTATAACTGGTTGCAGAAAATAAAAACTCTCTTCCTCTCCAGTTCACCTGCATCTCGTTATTGGGCCACGAGAAATAGAGTGATCCTCACTTTGGTCCGAGAACAGTATGACATATTACGTCACATTATGACATCCGGGACTATGTCATAATTTCTTTCTTAGCAAGTGTTTTCTGAAAATGCTTGACCTAAAGTAGTATTCAGGTTAATTTGGATTATCTGAAGACATACCAATGTATGATTGGAAGGAATAAATATTCTAGATCAATGGTCCCCAATCTTTTTGGGACCAGGAAATGGTTTTGTGGAAGACAATTTTTCCACGGACAGGGCGACAGGGGGAATGGTTTCAGGATGAAACTGTTCCACCTCAGATCACCAAGCGTTAGATTCTCACATGGAGCACAAAACCTGGATGCCTCTAATGCACAATTCACAACAAGGTTCATGCTACTATGAGAATCTAATGCTATCTCCGCTGATCTAACAGGAGGCAGACCTCAGGGAGTAATGCCGCTCACCTCCTGTGGTGCAGTCCAGTTCCAAACAGGCCACGGCCCAGGGGTTGGGGACCCCTGCTCTAGACACAGTAGAAAGGGTCTGTATCAATCTAGAATTTAATATATATCATACATAATGCATCAACTAAAATATACCAAGAAGAGATTACTGCATTAGCAGAAAATAACTGTACAGGACTCAGGCTTCACAGTGTCACATACAATAGTACCTTAATGTTGATGATCAATCTTTTCAAAATGAATAGCTACAAAAATATATCTCTGCATTAAGTCTTCTACTTCAACAAAATCACACAATATCTTTGAAAGTAGTCATTCTGACCCATGGTACCATTATCGAGATGTGAAGGTGTGTTGCAAGAAATGTTTATATTTAAATAATCAAAATTCTAAGAATGATTTCTTTGTTTAAAAAGTTTACAAATGTGACTCATTTGCATTCTAATTACTTGCATAAGTGGGAAAGGGGTGAAGCTATAGCTGTCAATCCTGTATATGCTTACAGGAGAGTACAGAACAAGTGAACATTATCCATCCTCCTTGGCAGCTGAAAAAGAAAAAGTTTTGAGATTTGCTGTTTTAAGTATGTTTTACAAATACTTAATATAAAATATAAGACCTCAAATTAGTAGGTTGAAATAGAATTTAAGTAAACGTGATGGGTTCAAATGCCAGTCTTCAACGTCTCCCACTTGGGAGTATACTTGAACAAGTATACCTAATTGGAAATATTTAATTATGATTAATGGCATACCTAAGGTCTCTGAGCCTTACTTTCCTAATGTTAATTAGAAATTAAATAGAAGTTAACCTACACATTACAGAGTTGTTATAAAACTAACCTAATGGTTATAAGGAATCTGGCAAACAGTAGGTGTTCAATACTACAGCGTAATTAAGAGCCAGGATTTAGTGAACTGATCATAATATAGAATGAGTTCACACATCCAAGAACATTTATGTATAATTGTAGAAACTCTAAATGCCCAATAAATTATTTGAATTCACTGTTGTTCATGAATGCTGACAAGATACATATATCAAGTGCCCATTCTAAGCAAACAAATCCATTCTATGAACTAAAGTATAACACAAAATCATGTCTATACTTCCTCACCCAAAGATCTCAAAGCAAATTAGATAACCCAATATAGCAGTCTTTTTTTTTTTTTTTTTTTTGAGACGGAGTCTTGCTCTGTCGCCCAGGCTGGAGTGCAGTGGCGAGATCTTGGTTCACTGCAAGCTCCGCCTCCCGGGTTCATGCCATTCTCCTGCCTCGGCCTCCTGAGTAGCTGGGACTACAGGCGCCCACCACCACGCCCGGCTAATTTTTTTGTATTTTTGGTAGAGACGGGGTTTCACCATGTTAGCCAGGATGGTCTCGATCTCCTGACCTCGTGATCCGCCCGCCTCGGCCTCCCAAAGTGTTGGGATTACAGGCGTGAGCCACTGCGCCCAGCCAGCAGTCTTAAAAATATACAAGATACCTGAAAAAACTACAGCTCAGGGCAATCAACATCTTTATCAAAATTTTTTGCCACATAATTACAAAATGCTGTTACAGTCTAAGATTCTTTGACCTTGCCATTAACTCAATTGTTCAAAATATAATTATTGAGTATCCACTATGCACCAGGCAGGCACTGCGCTAAACTCTGGTGTAGTTACAGAAAAGAAGAGACCAAAAATAGGAGGTATGTCACAAAGCTATTTCCAACTATTATAGTCTTGTTTTCCTTAAACAATGTAAGAGAAAATTGTAGGTTCTCACAGTTGAATGCATTAATACTTAGAAAGAGTCAAGTAACCTCAAATAAGTGACAATCCAGTATCTTCCCCCATGGAGACTAGGAGTAAAATAAGCACCCCTCTATACTTCTCCATCAATTGTTATTTACTATGTAAAGATAAATGACCATTTCAAATATCAGTCAAATAATCTCAAGAGGGACACTAATTTAACCTGTAAATTTTTAAAACCCGTTTATTCCTGGAGAGTTCAGAAAAATGAATTTTAAGTTCGATTAAGTTAAACGTCAATCAAAAATCTATCAAAAATAAACTGCATTCACTTAGTTTTACTCAACATCTGAAATTATACTTTTTCTGGGGCAGCTAGAATTAACTTACTAACCACGCCTCCCTCTGATCAACCAACCACTTTCTTGGGAGACAAAAATCTAGCCTCTACCCAATTATATAATCTAGAATTCATACTATATATCCTAGAACATTTTACAAAGCAAGAGTTCCCTGACAAACAGCTACATCACTATTAAAGTTTTAAAGAATTCTTAAACATTATTATCTAGCAAAACTGTTCTGCAAATACACATTCTCTCTCTCTCTCTCTCTCTCTCATGAGTTAGGAAATCTTACTACTGAAGTGGTTATCCAAAACCTAAGCGGGGACAAACAGCCAAGTACCTTTTTAACACCAAGCTCCCCAAAAACGAAGCTGTTAGAAAATGCTGCCATAAATACTTACAGCAATAGCACCATCATAATGATATGCAGGTAGGTGTACTTTAGGACTAAGAGCCTCTCGTTCGTTATTATGGATATGAAAGTCACATGAAAAAAAAAAGTGCTGTCATTTCATTTTATGAATGCTGATTAGGGAGTTTCAGTTAACTGCAACACTTTGCAAACAGGCTATCAAATAAACCCCAGTTATCAAGCAGTTCTAGACACAAAGCTTCTGTTTCTATTACTAAATACAATTAAAGAATTAAAAGGATCAGTGTGTTTTTCTTGAGGTATATTAGTCTAAAATAATTTGCGATAGTAAGTCACCAAACACCCGAGTGACTGAAATTCTTTTAGCTATATAAAACACTCCTTTGGAATGCCGATCTCCCACACCGTAAGACTTAAAACACACAAAATTCACTGACATACATTTTTCACATAGAGATTAAGGGGTAAAAAGGTGGCAAACTCAATACACTTACACAGAAGTAGCAAAAAACGTGTAAGCAAATTCCAAAAACCTTTGTCTTATCCAGAATGGCACTTTGTGGTACTCCAAGGATTCAGGCATTTCATCAGTATTCCGCACATAGGGGTACTCAAACAATGTTGCTGACAGATGAGACAACAAAGTCTCACCAACAAACATTTCTACAGCAATGTATTAACAGGTAATGTTGCAAATCAGTCAAGGGGCCAAGTGAGGAGGAATCCAGAGGAGTAGAAAGAATACTAATTTTCTGCCAAATTTTACACTCAGAGGAAATTAATCCATCATAGAAGTCTTCCATGAAAAAAATAAAAAAGGTACTCAGTATGACCCAGAATAGCCATGAGGTTAAAACACATACACACACACACACAGCAATTGCCACTTCCACTAGAGTTTGACAGTTATAGATTTGGGTAATTATAGTAGAAATTGCGCGTTTGGAAACACACTAAGACCACACCCTAAGACTGAGAATCTGGACTTTAAACGCTGATCATTAATTAAAAGGACAACGCAGTATCTAAGTTGGAAGATCTGGCCGCGCAGGTGGAAGGCGAAGTGATGGGGAGCGATAAAGACACCAACTTCAAAACCAGGGACCAGGAGGGCTGGGTGTCGAGGCGAGGCGAGGCGAAGCCCGGGGGATAAGGGGGTGTGGAGCTGGGGACGGGAACAGGGGATGAGGAGAAAAAGCGGCCGCGAAGAGGAAGGAGTGGTGGGAGCCAGGATTGGGGAGGGGGGACAACGCCGACACGGGAAGGGACGAGCCAACGAGCCAGGAGTCACTGGCGGGCGCAGGATCTGGGGTGGGAGGGGGCGGCGAGAGCGCGCGTGGAGGTGCCAATGGAAGGAAGGGGGCGGAAGAAAGGAAGACCCGAATGAATGAGCGCCGGGGGCAGGCCGGGGCCGCGGGGCCACAGAGGAAGCGGGCCCGGGGCGTCGCGGGGCCGGGGGCGGGCCCAGCGCGCCTGGAAAGGAGGAAGCCCCGCGCCAGCGCGGGCCCCGCCGCACCCGCCTCTTCGCCAAAATGGGGTCGCAGAGCAGGAAAGCTAGGAGTGTGAAGGAAGAGGGGAAAATGGCAAAAACCAATCACTCACCCTCCGCTCGAGCCTCCAGGCGCTCTCAGTCCCGCTCCTGCGCCCTCCTGGAGCCGCAGAGGCGGCTCCTCAGCGGCGCTAGGGGGAGCCCCGGGTCCGGAGCGGGGGAGCGGCGGCAGCCGGACCGGGAGCCCCTCAACACCTGCCCCTGTGGCAGAGCCGCGACAAGCCAGGCGGCAGCTCCGAGCGGGGAGGGCAAGTGACCCGGATGTACAGGGTAACGACGGGGAGGGGGAGGAGGGAATGCCAGGAAGTGAGGGCGCCGCGGACCTGTCCGGCCGTGCGCATGCGCCGCACGCCCGCCCCGCAAGGTAAATCCTTAGCCTATCTTCTCCGCCCCTCATCCCCGCCCCTCCCGAAGGGGCGGGGCGAAGCCAGAGACAGGTGGTCGGCGGGCGCGGCGTGCAGAGGAAGGAGGCGTGGCCACCCCCTTGCACCCCGGCCTCCTTAAAGGGGCAGCACCTTCGCAAATATCGCGCCGAGATAGCTTCTGAGTGGGTTGGGGTCTTCCAGCCTTCCAGATGTACAGATGGGAAACGGAGGTTCAGAGGTGGCGGTGACCTGCCTCTTGTCAGCGGGCTTGGAAATGGCAGGAACTGGACCTCGGGACTCGATGCTGAGCCCTGCGAAGTTGCCATATTCCCCCCACGCCTGGAACCGCTAGGCTGCGGGCGCGCCTCTCCCCTTTGGGTCAGGTACTGAGCCTCGCCCGCGATTCCCGGCGCGGCACGTGTTCCTGGCAGGCGCCCAGCGCCAGGAGACTGTACTGTTACCGCCTGCGATGGTATCGCGGAGACGCCCTTGGGTGGTGAAAAATGATCATTCTGAGAACAAAAATTAGACTCCACTTACAACACTCTCAGATATATCAGACCCCTGTTCTGGGGTCGACTCTGGGCAAAAATATCTAGTGGGCAGAAACTTGGATGTGACAGAGGGCACAGCCTCTTAATTACTTCCCTAATTCCCCTTTCACTCTTTGAACATAAATGATCCCTTTCCCTTTACAGACAAAAACAGAACATCCCATCTAGCTAGCTTCTCCTAATCCTGTTATAAAGCTGAATTTTTTTTTATTAACATTAAAGGGGAAAAGATGACAATGTTATCTCTCCCAGGGTTGTTTTCAGTTTGACAGCTGAGCAGATCACTAAGATGGAGGTAAATGATTATGAACATTTTGCAGTCACAGGCCCAACTGAAAATACTGTAACAGTATGGACTTTTCCCCCCGGGAAAATACAGACATGCACACACATTTGCATAAAATTTCAGGAGTTTCATGCAACCAGGGAGCCTATCCATGAAATCCTGATTATGAACGAAGCTCTAGTCAAAGAGCTAAGGTTCCGGTAACTATCTGCGCCTTACTCTATGGGGCCAAGAAATCACTCCTTGCCACAAAACACAGAAGGGCAGCCCTTACCTTAGCCTTTTTGTCTTCCTCTTGAGTTATGTAGAAACCAAATGGTATGTAACATGGTGGGCATATTACTTAGAAACGTGTTGAGTCATGGAGAGATGAAGTGGCTTTTTCAAGGCACACACTAAGGGCAACATTCCTAGGCCTCAGACTTTTACCTTAATTATCATACTTCAGGAGGATTCAGGGATTCTATATTGTAGCTATTATAATTCTGGTCAATTTCAATGAAACTGAAGGAGATTTTTTTTTTTTTTTTTTTGGTGATGGAGTCTCGCTGTCACCCAGGCTGGAGTACAGTGGCGCGATATCGGCTCACTGCAACTTCCACCTCCCAGGTTCAAGCGATTCTCCTGTCTCAGCCTCCCAAGTAGCTGGGATTACAGGTGCACACCACCATGCCTGGCTAATTTTTTGTATTTTAGTAGAGACGGGGTTTCACCATGTTGCCCAGGCTGCTCCCGAACTCCTGAGCTCAGGCAATCCACCTGCCTGAGCCTCCCAAAGTGCTAGGATTACAGGCGTGAGCCACCGCCCCCAGCTGGAGATGATGTTTTACAAATGTTGATGCTGATAGAAAAGTCCTCCTAATCCAAGAAGCTTGGTCCACTTGTCTGACATACTGACGTCCAACCTCAGATAACCTGGGTCCAGATGGATCACTGTCCTCAATGTGAACAGGAGGAGGAGTTCATACATGTGCAAAGTCCCTTAGATATGAGCTCTGAGTAACCACACACCTCTAACCCTATCTCCCACCAGAAGCAGAAATCTTTCATATTATCTTCAACACATGAATATCTAGTTCAGCTCCAATATCTCCAACTACAGGGAGCTCATTACTGCAATCATCAGCCTTTGATTGTGAGGAACCTCTTTTACACTAAGCAAAAATCTGATGCACAACAATTTTCATCCACTGGTCGTAATTTTCTCTATGGAGAGCAATATAGACATGACGCTGGCCTAGGGAGCTTACAGTCCAGCAAAGAAGCAGTCCACTGAGAAGTGATAATAATAAAATACTGGACCAGGTGCAGTGGCTCACACCTGTAATCCCAGCACTTTGGGAGGCTGAAGCAGGTGGATCACGAGGTTAGGAGTTCGAGACCAGCCAGGCCAACATGGTAAAACCCCATCTCTACTAAAAATACAAAAATTAGCTGGGCGTGGTGGCAGGCGCCTGTAATCCCAACTACTCAGGAGGCTGAGGCAGGAGAATCGCTTGAACCCAGGAGGTGAAGGTTGCAGTTAGCTGAGATCTTGCCTTTGCACTCCAGCCTGGATGACGAGCGAAACACGTCTCAAAAAATAATAATAATAACAAAATACAATGAGTCCTGTGAGGAACACGGAATACCCCTCTCACATGCACCTTTCTCCTTAGCTGCCCTGGGTCCATTCCTGCCATGTACAAGAACTCACAAGTAAGTTCTTCCATTACCCCACATGGGAATTCCCTAAAAGAGGGAGCTGGCTCAGAAAACAAGACTCCTATAAGAAGTGCTGAATTTATTCTTCTATAATCCTTTCTTCATCATTCTGCATGAATGTGATCATATTTTTGCCGAGGGCAAAGCTTTCAAAGACTTATGTTGAAAAATTGAACAAAAGGATGCAAAAAAAAAGGGCTTACATAAGAGCACTAGTCTCTTAATGATGATTTACGCATTGTGGCTAGCTGTATTTTGTGAGTCCTTACAATGTGCCAGGCACTGTACTAAGCTCTACGCTCTTGACTTGTTTTCTTCTTTTGCTTTTTCACAGCCATCCTATATGGTACTATTATCAGGCCCATTTTATAAATGAGGCAACCGAAACTCCGTATGTGACAGATGCAGGATTCAAACCCAATCTGTCAACTTCACAGCTTCTATGGACACTGCATTGTCTCTGTCTACTTTTTTAAATTTCACAAGGTCCTGTGGCTTTCCTTCAGTGCTGTTTTCTTGGAAATTTTTATTTATTATTAAATCAGTTTTAAAACCCTATAGAGAATAAATGGTTTCACTCAATCATTGATTCACTCAATCAACACACATTTTTGCACCGCCCACCCGCCCCCCCGCACTGTGTCCTAGGCATCAGGCTGAGGGTCTGGGAAGAAGGAGAGTAAGACACCAAGTCCCTGCTCCGGAGGGGCTGAGAGTTTAGTGAAAGGACAGGCTGTCATCTTGCACTTAAAACAAAGCATGACTCGTTGTAATTCAGAAGGGTAGAGGAAACAGCTTTCCCTGGGACAATTGTGAAGGCTTCAGAAAGAATGGGACCTTTGGCCAGGTGCAGTGGCTCACACCTATAATCCCAGTATTTTGGGAGGCTGAGGCAGGCAGATCACTTAGGGTCAGGAGTTCGAGATGGCCTAACTAACATGGTGAAACCCCATCTCTACTGAAAAAAAAAAAGAAAGAAATTAACCAAACATGGTGGCACGCGCCTCTGTAATCCCAGCTACTTGGGAGGCTGAGGTGGGAGAATTGCTTGAATCCAAGAGGCAGAGGTTGCAATGAGCCAAGATTGCACCACTGCACTCCAGCCTGGGCAATAGAGTGAGACTCCATCTTTTTTTTTTTTTTTTTTTTTTTGAGACAGGAGTCTCGCTCTGTGGCCCAGGCGGGAGTGCAGTGGCGCAATCTTGGCTCACTGCAAGCTCCGCCTCCCGGGTTCACGCCATTCTCCTGCCTCAGCCTCCCGAGCAGCTGGGACTACAGGCGCCCACCATCACGCCCGGCTAACTTTTTTGTATTTTTAGTAGAGACGGGGTTTCACCGTGTTAGCCAGGATGGTCTCGATCTCCTGACCACGTGATCCGCCCGCCTCGGCCTCCCAAAGTGCTGGGATTACAAGCGTGAGCCACCGCGCCCCGCCGAGACTCCATCTTAAAAAAAAAAAAAAAAAAAAAGAATGAGACCTCTTAGCTTGGTCTTTAAGGGAAGGGGAAAGGGCCAAGGAGAAAACGCAGGGGGCCAAGGGTTGGCAGGGATTGTGGGGGTGCTGTGACACACTGAGATTGTAAAGGACATCATACACCATACTAAGAAATTTGAACTTGCCTTCTGAAGGCAACAACAAGTAAAGAGACGCTTCTAACCAAGGGAGACACATAATCAGGTATGTTTTATATCAGGATCACTCTGACCACAGGGTCCAATATGGACTACAGTGGTAGGGAGAACAGAGGGCCAGCAAAGCAGTTAAGAGGCTGCTGTGGGGTCCAGGAGAGGGATAAGGAGAGCCTGCTCAAGGAAACTGGCAGCGAGGATGAAGAACAGGCACCGGAATTAAGATGCTACCTGATGCAGAATCTGCAAGTTCAATCTGGGGGAAGAGGAGACTGGGGTTGTCGGGATGACCCAGAGGCTCCTGGCTTAGCAGACAAACTGGATGGTGACACCACGTGATATCAATACTTTTACACAGTTTTCATTCCTCTTATCTTCCAATCTTTATCCATGTAAATGCACTTGCTTTGCCGGGCGCGGTGGCTCACGTCTGTAATCCCAGCAGTGTGAGAGGCCGATGCAGGTGGATCACTTGAGTCCAGGAGTTCGAGACCAGCCTGGCCAACATGGTGAAACCCCGTCTCTACTAAAAATACAAAAATTAGCCAGACATGGTGGCACACGCTTGTATTCCCAGCTATTCTGAAGGCTAAGGCAGGAGAATCACTTGAGCCCAGGAGGCAGAGGTCGCAGTGAGCCAATATCCCACCATTGCACTCCAGCCTGGGCAACGCAGTAAGACTCTGTCTCAAAAAAAAAAACAAAAACAAAAATAAATAAATAAATGCACATTGCTTTCATTGGTTTCTTCAGATATGTGCAACTCTTTCCCAATACTTTTTCATATTTCTACACACTCACATCTATCATTTTAATGACTACAGAGTATTTCATCATACTGAAATACCTCAGTTTCCTTCAGTTGCTAAAGGTCCACATCCTACATGGCTGGTTTACCCTCTAGACTCATTTGGCTTTGGGTATTTTGCAAGGGATGAGTTGAGCCTTTAGGGAAAAAGAGCCTTTAGGCAAAAGGTGTTGGAGAAGTGTGGCCTCCGGGGAAGCTGCAACTCTCCTGGGAGGGGCCTGGGCAACCGCATTGCTGTATTGCAGGTAAAAAATGCGGAACTATGGAAAAGAACCTGTCATCCATGGGGAGCCTGAGGTCCAAGTTTCCACAGAAGCTGGTTTTCATGTCCTAACTCCCTAATCCATTTGTTCATTCATGTGTTCATGTATTCACTCCTTCTACAAAGCATTCCTGTGAATGCAGAGGGCAACACAGCAGAGCTGAAACCATGTCTATGCTCTGGATGTAACTTAGGCTCTGAAACCTGCTCTACAACTTACACAAGTTATTCAACATCTGAAAGCCTCAGTTTCCCCCACAAGTTTGTTAACTCAGAGAAAACTTGTAAAATGCTAGGGACTGAACTAGGCACAGACTAAGCTCAATAACAGTTTTCAGTCTTGGTTTTCTCCTTATGCTTTTTTGACTCCCACCACTGTACCTTGAGTTTCTTTTTTTTGTATTTTTATTTATTTATCTATTTGAGACAGAGTCTTGCTCTGTCGCCCCAGGCTGGAGGGCTGTGACACAATCTCCACTCACTGCAGCCTCCGCCTCCCGAGTTCAAGCGACTTTCCTGCCTCAGCCTCCTGAGTGAGTAGCTGAGATTACAGGCATGAGCCACCACACCTGGCTAATTTTTGCATTTTTAATAGAGACAGGGTTTCACCATGTTGGCCAGACTGGTGTTAAACTCCTGACCTCAGGTGGATCTGCCCACCTTGGCCTCCCAAGGTGCTGGGAGCCACTGCACCCAGCTGTACCTTGAGTTTCTGACCAAACCCACTGGGTAGCCATCCATGAGCTGCAGCTCAGGTCCTAAATCTGCCAGAGTGAACTAGACCCACTCACTTGATCTTTGCTTCCTATCTGTGAAATGGAGATAAGACAATCTACTTCTCGGAAATGTTGGGAAGCTCTCATGAAGACTGTATAAGAAAATACTTTCAAAGCTCCAAAGCACTATGTCATTATTGACTGTTAACTTTTGTTAGAGACATTTTGTTTTCTTTGTTTTTCCCTTTAAAAAAACTCTGACCTCAGCGTAAGCTCCCTGGATTGTAATTACTGGGTCAAAGGATCTGAAAATTTTTTAGATCCTGATTTGTTATTGCCCAATTGTCCTTAGAGAAGACTCTATATTTTGCTGCCAGCCTTCACTCAAAGACATCTTTCAATATGCTTCAGCACCTAGAGTATAGTTTTTGCTGCCTCTGTATCCAGTCTCGCTCCTCAATTGAACATTCAGGGAGTTCTATCAACTGTTTCTCTCTTCCTTTTCACAGGATGAATGAACACTGAATCCTTTAGAAAACAGCTCCAAACATTTCCACCATAGTCAGGGACTCCAGTGTTGCCTTAGGGATGAGGACTCCATGGATATTTAACGAAGAAAGGGGAAGAGGACAGGGGACAGAGGCCTGAGAATCCCCTGGGAAGGGCTAGAAGCTCATCCAGCATTGAAAGATGACATCAGAGCCGCTATTCAAAAAGAACCCAAGTAAGAAGGCAACCAATCAAACTGACACCTTCCTGTTATTTAGCAAAACATTAACCAGTCTCACAGGAGCCATAAAGCTGTCCTTAGAGCCATATTTCCCCCGAGTTATAAGGTTTATCTATGAGCCTCCGGCACATCTGCAAATCTAACATATTTCTCACAAGTGGGGCAACTCCAAGTCTCATTTCCCCAACCCTTCAGGTGACCTGCAGGAAGAAAAAAGGGTGCCACTGCATCACATTGGCTGTTCCCTTCTGTACCTCAAGTACACTTTCCAGTCTCTTCACTTGGCTGTTTGTCAGCCTTCGGATTCAAAGCAGTTCCCCCATCACCCTTCCAAAGGTGAACCCCCCATCACCCTTCCAAAGGTGAACCCCACCTACCTTCACTCATTCCCTAGCATGTCACTGGTGTTTTTCCTTCACAGCGCTTATCACAAACTCTAATTCTTTTATTTATTTATTTTTTTTTTTGAGACAGAATCTTGCTGTGTCACCCAGGCTAGAGTGCAGTGGTGCGATCTCGGCTCACTGCAACCTCCACCTCCCAGGTTCAAATGATTCTCCTGCCTCAGCCTCCCAAGTGGCTGGGACTACAGGCACATGCCATCATGCTCAGCTAATTTTTTCATATTTTTAGTAGAGATGGGGTTTTGCCATGTTGGCCAAGCTGGTCTCAAACTCCTGACTTCAAGTGATCCTCCTGCCTCGGTTTCCAAAAATGTTGGGATTACAGGTGTCAGCCACTGTGCCCAGTCTCTAATTATTTTACATTTTTAGCTTAAAAATGTTTTAACTAAAAAAACCCCAAAGAAATAAACAACCAAAAACCACCTCTTGTTACAATGTCAGCTGTGATGGCAGAGACAGAGCTATCACCATGCCCACTGCAGTTCCTGCCATGGTGCCTGGCCCCTAGGAGAGCCTCCCTAAATATGTTGAATGAATGGATAAAAAAAGGGAGGACCCGAGCAGTAAATAAGGTGCCCCGATGCACTATTCACCCTGATTATATGAGTAATACATATTGATTGCAGCAAAAAAATTTGAAAATACATATGAGCAAATGAAAGAAAAAATAAACACCCATGATCCAACCACCCACACCATGTGGACACCCTTCCAAATGTTTTTCCTGTCTATATCTATATAAAGGCAGCACATATTTTTATTAAAATGGTTCATTTACTGAATTGTAATCTGCTGTCTTTCCACCTCACAGTTTATCAACCTTTCTTAATAAAGGAACGTCAGCCACATCGCTGTTAAAGGCTATATAACACTCCGCTGTGCAGCTCAACCATGAAGTGTTGAATGATTCTGGAGTTCAGCTGAAGGGAGGTTTCTTCAATGTCAATAAAGGTAAAATGCTTTATTCCAGCACTTCCCCCTTGCCAAGCTTCCCATTTTTTCCCTCTGTGTTTGTATTGCTTTAGAGCTGTATTTCTACAGAACTGTATTCCCCACCGCCCATTCACCACCTGGAGTTATTAGAGTCCTCGTCAACTAGAGAAGCAAAATTGTTTGCAGCCGGAAAAGCTGATGTATGACGAAGCAAGGACGATGCCTTGAAGTTCAAATTGGGAATGTGCTGCTGATACAGGAAACAGAAATGAAGAGTGTGCTTTCTTGCCAAGATTTGAATAGGGAGAAGAGGAAAAGATTTTCTGCACGCCTTCACTTCTTCCCAAGCCCTACCCTCGAGGAGAGGTTTTTCCCAAGGGATAGGCTGTTCCCCACCATGCTGACTGATGCTGTAAGCAGTTTGCAGACCAAGCCCATGGCTCCATTTACAGACTCACTGGCTGCAAAAAAAATCCAAGAGGGCATGATCAGAAGGTTCCACCCCTTCCACAAACAGCTCTTTCAGCCCCTGGTGTGGTTCAGCAGCACGAAGGACTGCTCACTTGGCATGTTTAGCTCTGACAATCCCATTCCTTCCATCAGGAAAAGGCACAGGCACAGGAGGGCGCCACCTGAAGGAAGGGACAAGATGCCATAAAATCATAGATGGCTCCAGAGGAACGGAAGGGAGAAAAAGGGTGGGCCGTTCACTTCTGAGCTTCACCCCACTGTGACCCCAAAACCTATGGAGAGGTTAGTTCATCTCTGCTTTTCCACCCACCTTACATAGCATACCATCAGAATTAAATCTTTGCCTACAGAAAAAGAGAATTCCAGCCAGGTGTGGTGGCTCACGCCTGTAATCCCAGCACTTTGGGAGGCCAAGGTGGGAGGACTGCTTGAGCCCAGAATTGCTTGAGACCAGCCTGGGCAACATGAGGAGACCCTGTATGTAGAAAAAATTTAAAAACAAAGGAAAATTAGCCGAGTACAGTGGTGTGAGCCTGTGGTCCCAGTTACTTGGGAGGCTGAGGCAGTAGGATTGCTTTGGCTCAAAAGGTCAAGGATGCAGTGGGTCGTGATTGCACTATTGCACTCTGGCCTGGGCGACAGGGTGGGACCCTGTCTCAAAAGAAAAGAAAAAGAGAATTCTTAATTGTGTCTATAGTCATTAATTTTCAATGACATTTTAAAAGATTGATAAAGTGTATTAATTTATCAATGCCATTAAAAAAAGATTTGTTGTTTTACAGAAATACCATCATTAGAAGACAAAAGGATTTAATGTGAAATATAATGACAGAAGAACTATTACCACCAATATCTCTGATCAATTGCTTAGTTTCTGCCATTATTACAGAAAGTGATTTCTACCCATTTATAATGCAATCCTTACAACATTATGAAAGATATTTTATTACTTCCCTGTTTTCAGATGAGAAAATGGAGGGACAAACAGTTCAAGTACTTTGCCATAGGTTACATACCTACGAGGAGGTGAACCAGGATTCTAGACCAAGTCTTAGCTCCCTGCTTTGCATAAATCATTCCACCTGCCTTGCTTCTCCAGCCCGTTTTCCTTTCTGTAAACATTAACTAAATCCCTCAGTGACCAAGCTCCACCTGAAATACTACACTAAGGCTGGGCATGGTGGCTCATGCCTGTAATCCCAGCACTTTGGGAGGCCGAGGTGGGCAGATCATTTGAGGTCGGGAGTTCGAGACCAGCCTGACCAACACATAGAGAAACCCTGTCTCTACTAAAAAAAAAAAAATACAAAAATTAGCAGGGCGTGGTGGTGCATGCCTGTAATCCCAGCTACTCGGGAGGCTGAGGCATGAGAATCACTTGAACCCAGGGGGCAGAGGTTGATTGCGCCATTGCACTCCAGCCTGGGCAAAAAGAGCGAAACTCCATCTTAAAAAAAAATAATAATAATAATACACTACTCATCTATAAAACAGCCACAATTATCACCTACTTCACTGTGTTATTGTGAGCACTGACTACAATAATAGGTAGAACTTAGGAAATTGCCAATTCCAACTGTCTTTGGCTATAAAAAGCAACAATTACATAGGAAACATAATCAGTAAAAGTTTGGGTAAAACTTAAATGTTTGGTAAACTCTTAAATAAATGTATGTACCTGATTATCTTGGCTTTTGACATTTGCTTTTTTTTCTTTTAATTTGAGAGTTTGGGGCATTTTTGTTGACAATTGCTGTTTTAATATTCAAACTCGCAAAGTTGTGTATGATAGAAGCTGACAGTCAGACCCCGGGCTTGGTCAGCCTTAAGTTTTAATCCCTTCATTTTCTCATCTATAAAATAAAGACAGTGTCCGGGCACTGTGGCTCACGCCTGTAATCCCAGCACTTTGGGAGGCCATGGCAGACGGATCACCTGAGGTCAGGAGTTCGAGACCAGCCTGGCCAGCATGGCAAAAGCCCATCTCTACTAAAAATACAAAAATTAGCCAGACGTGGTGACGTGCACCTGTAATCTCAGCTACTTGCGAGGCTGAGACAGGAGAATCACTTGAACCCAGGAGGTGGAGGTTGCAGTGAGAAGAGATCACGCCACTGCACTCCAGCCTGGGTGACAAAGCAAGACCATCTCAAAGAAAAAAAAAAAAATGAAGAAACTAATGGTACTCATTGTCAGATGTAAATTATTTCATGTAGAGTACTTAGCACAGGGCACAGAAAATTTAAGAGCTCAGTAAATATTAACATTTTCTATTACTTATTATTATTGTTTTTATTAACAGACTTGCTTTCATTAAGATGCTGTTGGTATAAAGCTGCCCACTGCAGCATTATTTATAATAAAAGCCAGACACAAATTAAATTTCCCACTATAGGGAAAGGGCATAGTAGGATTCTGAAAGAACCATCTTTAGAATTAATGAAAATCACTTTAATTACAATGTAAGCCCCTGCTTTGCTACTTGGGGGCAGTACGATTTTGAGCAAGTCATTTATTTTCTCTGGACCTGTTTCCTCACCTCAGAAATGAAGGGTTTGCTCTCAATGACTCCCATGTCTTCTCATGATTTAAAGTTACATAGTCCTGGCCAGACAGGGTGGCTCACGCCTATAATCCCAGCACTTTAGGAGGCCAAGGCAGGCAGATCACTCAAGTCAGGAACTTGAGACCAGCCTGGCCAACATGGCGAGACCCCATCTCTACTAAAAATACAAAAATTAGCCAGGTGTGGTGGCGGGAGCCTGTAGTCCCAGTTACTCGGGAGGCTGGGGCGGGAGAATCACTTGAGCCTGGGAGACAGAAGTTGCAGTGAGCCGAGACTGTGCCATTGCGCTCCAGTCTGGGTGACAGAGCGAGACTCCATCTCAAAAGAAAAACAAAGCAAAAAAATAATAATAAAGTTATATAGTCCTAAGGTTCTCAATACATTAAAATCCATCAACCTCAAGGACAACATACAACTGAGGACATAAGAAAATGGTAGAAACGGCCAGTTGCGGTGGCTCATGCCTATAATCCTAACACTTTGGGAGGCCGAGGCGGGCAGATCATGAGGTCAGGAGTTCGAGACCAGCCTGGACAGCATGGTGAAACCCCGTTTCTACTAAAAATACAAAAAATTAGCTGGCCGTGGTGGCACGTGCCTGTAATCCCAGCTACTTAGGAGGCTGAGGCAGGAGAATTGCTTGAACACGGGAGGCAGAGGTTGCAGTGAGCCAAGATTGTGCCACTGCACTCCAGCCTGGGTAACAGAGCGAGACTCCATCTCAAAAAAAAAAAAGAAAGAAAATGGTAGAAACACAAGAAACTATTTTATAAATTAATATTCCCAATCTTCTTTCACCCTACTCTTTGTTTCCATAACATTTGTCACCTCCTAACATCGTTTGTATTATGTTTATTGTCTTTCTCCATGAACTAGACCTAAGCCCATGACAGTAGGCATTTATGGCTGGTCTGTCCACGAATGTGTCCCCAGCCCCTAGAACAATGTCTGGCATATAGTAGGAGCTCAGTTAGCATTCATTGAATTTAAAAATGTGAATATTAAGTTAAAAGAACAAAGTACAAAACTACATATATCATAAAATGCAAAAATTACCTTTTGTTTTTGTTTATTTTTTTTGAGACAGAGCTTCGCTCTTGTTGCCCAGGCTGAAGTGCAATGGTGCAATCTCGGCTTACCGCAACCTCCACCTCCCAGGTTCAAGCGATTCTCCTGCCTCAGCCTCCCTGGTAGCTGGAATTACAGGCATGTGCCACCATGCCCAGCTAATTTTGTATTTTTAGTAGAGATGGGGTTTAGTAGAGATGGGGTTTCTCCATGTTGGTCAGGCTGGTCTCGAACTCCCGACCTCAGGTGATCTGCCCACCTCAGCCTCCCAAAGTGCTGGGATTACAGGCATGAGCCACCACACCCGGCCAAAAATTACATTTATAATTATGTATATTACATGTATATGTATGTATACAATAAATACGTAATAAAGTTATATATAATAGAATGCAAAATTGTATATACAATTAATATAAAATATGTACCCCTATGGAGAAATGGTAGAGAGGATCAGAGAAGGTAAAACTCAATGATAACAAGATGAATGTGGAAGTGAAATAATATTCTTTTTCATTTTTCTTTAACGTTTTGAACCATTTTGTTTGTCCAAAAAGATGGCATTTTAAAAAGGAAGAGTGTGAACAGGAGAAATATGGAAGAGAAGAGGAAGCAGAAGTGGCCAAGGGAGAGAACCTGATGGAGAAAATAAGGAAAGATAGGAGGGGCCAAAGCAAACAGAAGGCTCATGGCTGGTAGTTACTCTATTAATGGAAATAGAATCACACAGGCAGAAAGAAAAGTGAGTAGATAAAGGAAAGACAATTTACCTTGAACTTTTAATTCCAAGCTAATATCTATTAAACTACTCCTAGGTTGATAGAATTTCCCCCCATTAACTGCCTCAATCCACAGAAGCTTTGGTAAATTTTAGCACAAAGGAACACTTGGAACTGTTACGTGTTACTGTTCTTCATTCCGAACCTTCTGTTGATCAGCTGCTTTGGAGGCAAGAAGAAAGAGGCCCACATTCTAAGACTAACTGAATGCCACAGGCATTTTCATTAGCCAACTGATCCATCAAGCATTTCATCTAGGGTCACCTACTTGGGGGACATAGAGTGTAGGAAACAGACTTGTCTTCTAGGGGATGAAAGGCACACTACTTACTCCAATACAAAGCAACGCACAACTGCCAAATAAATGACACGGATGATATATCCTGTAAAATTAAAGGGCTAGAAGAGTTCCTTCCAGCTTGGGAAGGTCAGGGGAGGGTGGCAGGGAGATGTCCAGGGAAGGACTTGTCCTGCACTTTATCCAATAACAGGGACCCTAGTGCTGTTCGTGAGCGGACTCTTGACCCCTTCACCTGGTCCCAACTTGTACTTGAGATCACTTGCTGCTCTTAATGCCTAGAGCCCCCAGGTATTGGCCTGGGTTCCTCATCACAGCCATGCATTTGCCATTTTGAGCAAACCAGGTCAGATCCCCTGTGCACGTGCTCTCAACCTCTGTGCTTCTTGTTTACAGCACACACCATCACTGCAATTGTATGGTTATTGTGTGGTTCCTTAAACACTGTGAGCTCCAGGACGGTAGCGGCCACACTATTTTGTCACCACTGTATCCCCAGTGAGAGCACGGAGCCTGGCACAAGGCGGGCACTCAACAAACAGCTGCAGCTGGTCAAGGAGATGGCATTGGTCCAGCCTGAATCAGCACAGGCCTAGGTTTTAACGCTACTGTGAATCCCCAGCATGGCCACAGAGCTGGAACCAGGGAATCAGATAAGCAAGACAAGGAGGTAAGATTGAACCCTCGCCCAAAATTAGCCTAAATGATCAGGTCACTACTGTGTAACCTAGTATTTGAAATACAGAGATTTAGACAGAATGACAGGAAAAAGTCAAACATAAACTAAAAGTCCGAAAGAGCTTAGGTTCTCACAGTCACTTTTTGAGGCTACAAAAGGAAAGATATTGCATAAACCTTAAAAAAAATGGACCAGTTAAGAAGTGTAACTGGTTTAGCAAGCTTCCCTTCTAAAATCCTGGTGCCGATTTCATGTTAGAACACAGGTTTAATGAGAACGTATCCCTCTCCCCAAGTTGTAATACACAGAAGAGGGCAAAGGGGAGAATGTTACCTTGCCCAAGCTCTGGTCTTATCTCAACCCACAGACTTGGAGAAAATGTCTATAGTCCATTTCAGTATTTACTTAGCTTTTTAATTTTTAATTTTTTTTTTGACACAGACTCTCGCTGTGTCCCCCAGGCTGGAGTGCAATGGTATCATCTTAGCTCACTGCAACTTCCGCTTCCCAGGTTCAAGCGATTCTCCTGCCTCAGCCTCCCGAATAGCTGGGATTACAGGTGCTGGCCACAATGCCCGGCTGATTTTTGTATTTTTAGTAGAGATGGGGTTTCACCATGTTGGCCAGGCTGGTCTCGAACTCCTGATCTCAGGTGATCCACCCACTTCAGTCTCCCAAAGTGCTGGGATTACGTGCTTGAGCCACTGCGCCTGGCCTAGTTTTTTAATTTAATAGGCTGCTTGTACTTATAAGTGCCTGCATCAGAGTTTCTGGATGAAATGAACTAATTTTAGAAATGGGAAAAACTTTGGAATTCACCTTCAATCTAATATTTTTGCTTATGAAAATGCAGGGCCCAAGTGGTTAAGGAACTTGTCTAGGGGCACGATCCCCCAGTCATGAACTCTGGACCCAGGGGGAAGATTAGAGGGATTTATGTCTATACTGTCTTTATTTCCAAAGGTTAGTCTACATCACTGAGGCATCAGTAAAGTCCTGTGAAATATCTATACTAATAAGCAGTGTGCAACATTTGGTATGGTATCTGGTGTGATCTTTCAGGGTAAAAGTAGGTAAATTAATTGCTGTCCTTATTTGGCCCTTACTACACACAACACACAAATCTCTTCCACCATTGCAAAATGTTAGAAGATGTATGTGCTGTGGCCGGACGCGGTGGCTGACACCTGTAATCCCAGCACTCTGAGAAGCTGAGGCAGGCGGATCACTTGAGTTTAGGAGTTTGAAACTAGCCTGGCCAACATGGTGAAGTCCCGTCTCTACTAAAAACACAAAATTAGCTGGGCGTGATGGTGCACACTTGTAGTCCCAGCTACTTGGGAGGCTGAGGCAGGAGAATCACTTGAACCCAGGAGGCGGAGGTTGCAGTGAGCCAAGATCGTGCCACTGCACTCCAGCCTGGGTGACAGAACAAAACTCCGTCTCAAAAAAAAAAAAAAAAAAAAGTATGTGCTGCATGATGAAGAAATAAGTGGAAATGCAGGCTTTCTGAGATTTTCCAGTCACCCATAATAGCAAGGAATGGTATCTTTCTCGGTCACAACACTAAGCTGCTTACAGAGTTCATGTAAATACTGTTTCTTGCTGTTCCACCTCTGCTAGGAACACCTTCCACAACACTCCCACGTTTCCGCACCAAACTCCTACCTACACATCGAGGCTCCCATCAGAAATCTCTACAGACGTCGGAAATCTATAGAGATATTAGATAAGCATTTCAAGGTAACTTATTTCCTCATTTTACCTTATGGTAACAGCCCTATTTACCTCTTACAAGCGTTCTACGGTGTATCAAAAAGACCAACAACAGTAAGAGGTTTGCATAGCACTGTGTATTCCATTGAGAAAAGTGCTACAAAAACACAAGATAGCATTTTATTAATTTATTAAATCTGATTCCTTGAGACACATACAAAGCGGTGTTGATGGATGAACCAACAAACCCAAGATTAATAGCCTGGTTTACTGCACTCTTTTCTCCTTCCAAGCCACAAGCCAAAATAAACTCACCCTCAATTTATAATGTTGCAAAATGTGCTTCTAAGCACCAATGCCTGAATCCACTGTGGTTATTAAAAGGATGGTTGCATCCATCGGGATGGGATAGGTTATGCTGTGGTAACAAAGAACACCTAAATCTCAGCCCTAAGGATGACCACAATGGTCCCTCTGGGGTCAAGAAGGTAAGCCCAGCAGCCCCATCTTTCTCATTTTCACCTGACAATCTGGTTAGCCAACTCTGTGGCTTACATAAGTTTGAAAGATATGACCCTCTCCTTTCCTTCTCCAACCACCTACAAAACTGTCTCGTGGAGCGCAGTGAGAATCAGAAGTGATTATCTTTGTAAAACATCGAGAATGCTGCCTGGCATATAGGTAGCAGCCAGTAAATAATAATGATGGCTACTACCATTGTCACTTCCATTATCCCCACCCCTTCTCAAATAATAATAATAATGATATTATAATTCTCACAGAGCAGTGATTCCTGAACTTAACTTGTCCTGAACATTAGAATCATCTGGAGAGCTTAAAAAAACTAATGCTTGTGTCCCACCCCTAGAGTCTATGAAGTAATTCATCTAGTGTATGACCTTAGGCTTGGGATTTTAAAAGATTGCCAGGTGATTCCAAAGTGTAGACAAGTTTGGAAACCAGCCTCAAGAGGCAGCAAGATTCATATATACACATACATGTCTTTGTGTTTGCACACACACACACACACACACACCTGCTCCCAAGTTCCATGAATCATGCTCCCTGTATGACAGTAGTGGTTATATCACTTAGGGTGAGCTGGGTTATGCTGTGGTAACAGAGCCCCTGAATCTCATCCCTAATGAAAACCAATTGATCACCCCTGCAGGGTCACAATGAGCCCAGAAGCCCTGTTTTTCTGGTCTTTACCTGACAGTTAAGCCTATTCTTTTTTCTTTTTCAGTCTTTACTTGACATTTAAGCCTATTTTTCCTTCCTTCCTTCCTCCCTCCTCCCTCCCTCCCTCCCCCCAGCCTCTCTTTCTTTCTTTCTTTCTTGGCTCTTGCTCTGTCACCCAGGCTGGAGTGCAGTAGCATGACCATGGTTCACTGCAGCCTTGACCTCCAGGGCTCCAGTGATCCTCCCACCTCAGACTCCCAAGTAGCTGGGACTACAGACACACACGACTGTGCCTGGCTGATTTTTGTTCTTTTCTTTTCTATTTTCTTTTTGTGTGTGTAGACACAGGGTCTTGCTGTGTTGCTAGGACTGACCTCAAACTCCTGGGCTCAAGCAATCCTCCCACCACAGCCTCCCTAAATGCTGAGATTACAGGCATGAGCCACTGTGCATGGCCTAAGCCTCTGCATTTTATCCTCAGACCTTTCTCATGTTCTATTTTCTTCTACTTCATACCTTTCCCCAAGTCCAGGTAAAGTTTGCCTGGCCCAGAGTAAATCAGCACCCAAAGATGACACCAATGTGGACAGACTTAGGGGAAATCTGGTTAGAAGAAGGCCACTAAAGGCTATCAGTACTTAAGGCTGTACTTTGCTCAATTCTCTGTCCCCAAGACTTAAAACACAGCACACAATGTGGTAGAAATTTGGATAGTTAAATCAGTTATCATCAGTAATAACCTAGAAGAAAAGCAGACACAAGAACTCAAAAAGCACAGCATCTAAGCTGAAAACCTTATTTATCAACTTGTCACCAACCACCATTTGAATTTCAAATTTTTTTATTGCCGGCACGATGGCTCACACCTGTAATCCCAGCACTTTGGGAGGTGGAGGTGGGCGGATTACTTGAAGTCAGGTGTTCCAGACCAGCCTGGCCAACATGGTGAAACCCCATCTCTACTAAAAATAAAAAAAATTGGCCGGCGTGGTGGCACATGCCTGTAATCCCAGCACTTTGGGAGGCCGAAGCAGGTGGATCATGAGGTCAGGAGATCAAGACCATCCTGGCTAACATGGTGAAACCCCGTCTCTACTAAAAATACAAGAAATTAGCCAGGGATAGTGGCGGGTGCCTATAGTCCCAGCTACTTAGGAGGCTGAGGCAGGAGAATGGTGTGAACCTGGGAGGCAGAGCTTGCAGTGAGCCGAGATCGCGCCACTGCACTCCAGCCTGGGCGACAGAACGAGACTCCATCTCAAAAAAAAAAAAAAAAATACAAAAAATACAAAAAATTAGCCAAGCTAATTAGCCAAGTGGCACACGCCTGTAATCCCAACTACTTGGGAGGCTGAGGAATGAGAATCGCTTGAACCCGAGAGATGGAGGTTGTAGTGAGCCAAGATCGTGCCACTGCCCTCCAGCTTGGGCAAAGAGTGAGACTCTGTCTCTGGGGAAAAAAAATATTAATTTCTCCCTGGATAAAATTGTATCTGCTGGGGTGGAATGGAAGTAGGTGAGGTTGGGGGACCTATGAAGAAAAAAGAGCCTTTCCACTGGGCAGTGAAGTGTGTACACACACACTGGGGGCAGAGCAGTGTGAAAACATTCTGCACCAGCACACAAATGACTTTTGGCAAATCATCTTCCTGATCTGTCGGATGTTACGTCTCTGCAGAATCTGGAGAAAACCAGAAAACCCAGCTTGTTTGCCCTCATTTTGGCAGTTTAATTTAGGAATCACACTGGCTTTACATAAACTCTTTACCAAAAAAACTGTATTCTGTATTTTGAAGGCACAAGTTAACATGGGCCCAAGGGAAGGAAGCATTGTATACAATTACATAATAGCTACTCTATTACTTTAAAACCTAATGGCAGCCTCGGGCAGAAAAGTCAAAAGGGGAGAGAAACCATTTCTGTGAAATTATCTGATGCAATCATCTCTTTGGAGACATTGTCAGTTGACAATGGTTCTGCTTTTTCTCTCGAGCTCATTCAATTTCTGTTATTTACCTGAACCTGGAAGCAGAGTTTTCCTCCCATCTACCACTGGTTTAAAAAAAAAAAAAAAAAAGAGGCCGGGAGCAGTGGCTCACGCCTGTAATCCCAACACTTTGGGAGGCTGAGGCGGGTGGATCACGAGGTCAGGAGTTCAAGACCAGCCTGGCCAAGATGGTGAAACCCCCGTCTCTACTAAAGATACAAAAATTAGCCGGCTGTGATGGCGGGCGCCTGTAATCCCAGCTACTCGGGAGGCTGAGGCAGAGAATTGCTTGAATCTGGGAGGCAGAGATTGCAGTGAGCCGAGATCATGCCACTGCACTCCAGCCTGGGCAACAGAGACTCTGTCTCAAAAAAAAAAAAAAAAAAAAAAAAACAAAGGCAGGCAGGATTTCTCTAATAAAAGCTTGAAATGAAAAGCAGTAACTACTCCCAAGGCCCTGCTTATTGTAGAAAAGTCATTCAACAAATCTTTTTAGGTCTCTATTAACAATTTATTTTCTCTACCCCCATCACAAAAAAGCAGAGGAAGTAGTGTAGCAGCCCCAGCCACAGCCACAGCCACACCCCACTACTTGCTTCCTAGGTGTGTGTGGTGTGTGACTGCCTGCAAGCAACTCCAGCTCTCTGAACTTGTTTCCTCATCTGCAAACTGGAAATATTTATTTATTTGACAAGGACATTATGAGAATTTACTCTGAAAAATACATGTAGAGTACCTAGCATTCAATTAAGACTAGGTGAATGCCCTTCTCAGGAACCGTACTAGAGAAGGTGAGTTTCTGGTCCAGTGTGATGACTCACGCCTGTAATCCCAGCACTTTAGGAGGCTGAGGTGAGAGGATGGCTTGAACCCAGGAGTTTGAGACCAGACTGGGCAACTTAGCAAGACCCCATCTCTATTATTAATATTTTAAAAAATAAGAAAAAGGTGAGTGTCTAATAAGAGATAATACTTTTACCCATCTTTGTACGCCAATCCTACCACATCTACTCCACTCCTTCCCCATCAAGAGGCATTCTTCAGTCAGGCACACCTTACCTCCAATTCCAAGGGCAGGTCCTGAATGGTCTAAGCCAATCAGTATTATCCCATTTCCCACCACAATTAATTGAAAGATGAATGCATGTCCTGAAATGATCCAATCAGGACAAAGTTCAGGAAGTTTGTTCAGTGGCTCTAGGGAGAGATGGTAGCTCTTTTCTCTCACGACTATGAAGGAAGTCAATCTGAGAAGAGCCCACAGACAGAAGTACAGAGCTGGGAGGATCTTAAGGAAAGGAAGACGGAGCCCTGACCTATCCTACCTCTACAATTTTTGGTTATGTGAGCCACTTAACTGCTTTTATCAATTATCCCATTTGAACTGGGATTTATGACACTTGCAATTCAAAGCATCTAACTGATACATCCTGGTGCATGGCTGAATAAATCACTGAATGAAAGACTGCACACTTCCAATTATTTAACTCAGACTTTAAGTTCCCTGGGAGCAGAAACCCTGGTCAATCTTGGTCACCCAGGGCCAAACAGAGTTTCTGTACACAGGCCCTCCTTAAGTACTTTTTAAAATAAATGAATGAAATGAAACTTAACAAATCACGATCAGGCGCAGTAGCTCGTACCTGTAATCCCAGCACTTTGGGAGGCCAAGGTGGGTGGATCACCTGAGGTCAGGAGTTTGAGACCAGCCTGGCCAACATGGCGAAACCCCGCCTCTACTAAAAATACAAAAATTAGCTGGGCATGGTGGCGGGCACCTGTAATCCCAGTTACTCAGGAGGCTGAGGCAGGAGAATAGGATAATCGCTTAAACCTGGGAGGCAGAGGTTGCAGTGAGCCAAGATCGATCGCTTAAACCTGGGAGGCAGAGGTTGCAGTGAGCCAAGATCAAGCCACTGCTTTCCAGCCTGGGCGGCAGAGCGAGACTCTGTCTCAAGAAAAAAAAAAAAAAAAAAAAGGCTGGGCATGGTGGCTCATGCCTGTAATCCCAGCACTTTGGGAGGCCGAGGCAGGCGGATCACAAGGTCAGGAGTTCGAGACCAGCCTGACCAACATGGTGAAACCCCCATCTCCACTAAAAATACAATAATTAGCTGGGCATGGTGGCACGCACCTGTAACCCCAGCTCTCAGGAGGCTGAAGCAGGAGAATTGCTTGAACCCGGGAGGCGGAGGTTGCAGTGAGCCAAGATCATGCCACTGCACTCCAGCCTGGGCGACAGAGCAAGACTCAGTCTCAAAAAAAAAAAAAAAAGAAAGAAAGAAAGAAAGAAACTAGGAAACTTACCAATCACCTCACATTTCAGAAGCTTTGAAAGCCCTACTCCCCAGACCTACCTGGATCAAAGGAGGGTCAAGAGGAAGCCCATATGATTTTGGAGCCATCAGACAGGGCTGGGCTCAAATCGTGACTCTAAATAAGCCTCGGCTTCTTCCCCTGAAAAATGGAGACAATAATACCTATTTCCCTGGGCAGGAGGAGCCATGTCAAAGAACCAGGGGGAGGTCTCATTCAAGAAATATTTATTTCCCCCCTGTTCAGCTAACCCTACTTCATTCCATGGGTTCTGCTCTGGGGTTCAGAAACGGGAGTCATCATATGGACAGAGTGGTGGGACACAGCCCAGATCACCCAGCAGAGCCAGCCCTGGGAGGATGAGAACAGGTGAGGCACACCCTAAGCCTCCCATACCTCAATATCCATCAGTCCCTTTAGGAGCAGCATCCTAGGCAGACAGCATAGATAAAACTGGGCCATCCAGCTTCTTGGTTTTGCTGGTTGCCTCCTTACAGAGGGGTGGGACTAGTGCAACTCCCATTATCATAGATCTGTACAACCTTAGAGGCTGTCATTTAACCGTTTAGAAGTAATATGGAACTTGGCCAGACTGTAAGCTCCAAGAGGGCAGGGGCTTGAATCATTCACTAGTCCATCTCTGGTACCCAGGTAGGCAATCAATGGAATATTTCCTGAGTACATGAGTGAAGATGAATGAGTGGATAAACAAATATTGATGAAATCAAGATCTCAGAAGAGAACTATGGCAAAACCCTATTATTTAGTACAGTCTGCTGGCTATGCAGCAGCTAAATCAAATACCAGGCAATGCAAGGGGCTTCTGAAACTGGCAGACCTAGACTGAATTCTGGCCTTGTCAGAGCCCAGGCCTATGACCTCGGGCAAGTTCCTAAACTCTCTGAGCTAGTTTCTTTAACAAACACAATTATCAAGATTAAATAAAAATTTTTTAATTGCGGCCAGATGCAGTGGCTTGTGCCTGTAATCTCAGCACTTTGGGAGGCCGAGGTGGGAGGATGGCTTGAGCCCAAGAGTTCAAGACCAGCCTGAGCAACATGGGAGACCCCTTCTCTAAACATACAAAAAATTAGCCACGCATGGTGCTGCTTGCCTGTGGTCCCAGCTACTCGGGGAGGCTGAGGTGGATCACCTGAGCCTGGGAAGTCAAGGCTGCAGTGAGCCATGATTGCGCCACTGCACTCCAGCCTGGGCAACAGAGTGAAACCCTGTTTAAAAAAAAAGAAAGAAAGAAAGAACAAAAGAAAGAAGGACAGAAAAAGAAAAAAAATTAGCTAGGTGTGATGTGTGCCTGTAGTCCCAGATACTCAGGAGGGAGGCAGGATGATTGCTTGAGCCTGGGAGACTGAGGCTGCAGTAAGCTAGAATCATACCACTGCACACCAACCTGGGCCACAGAGCAAGGCCTTGTCTCAAAAAAATGAAATAACATAAATTAAAATAAAAATAAACGTGGGGTGATGTCAATTAAAGTGTCTAGCCCAGCATCTATGGCATAAAATAGGGACCCAGAAAATGTCCCTTCCCTATGAATGCCCTTTACGTTTGGAAACAGCTATCATATGTCTCCCCTGTCTCCTATTTCTTGTTAAATATTTCAGCTAATTTAATGGTATCCTTAAATGACTTGATTTCAGAGCCCTCTTCTATCCCTCCCCTCTGCAAAGTCTCCATCTGTTAAAACCCCACTCGGGGTATTGCATAACCAGCTCGCAGAATCAGCAGCACGCTCCTGTTTGCTCATTCATCTGTTAATTCATTCACTGAGTAAACACTGATTAAAAACCTACTATATTGGACATCCTTGGCTTTTGCCTACCCACCATTCACAAACGGTACCCGCATTTCCCTGGAAACCTGCAATCTTTCCCTCATTCTCAGTCTCTGTACCTGAGCAGGTGCAAGCTGCACCCAATCTCCCTCAGGGGGAGGGCATTTGATCCAAGATGGCCAATCAGAGCGTCGCATTTGCCTGCCACAGCGATTGGTTCAGGGCTGTGCATGTTACCCAGAAAAGACCAATCAGAAAGACAGTTGGACTCAGTTCTAAGACTTGTTGAACTACTGGAACAGTGGCCTTTTTTTACCTCCTGCTAGAACCGCTGACAACCATTTTGGACCACAATCCACAAGAAAAGGGAGGCAGCGTTAAAGATGGTGAAAAACTGTGTAAGCCTTGGCAACACTTTAAGCCTTGGATCCTCCAGGCCTTATGTTTCACTCCTAGATTCTTCAATTACATAAACCAACAAATCCCCTTTCTGCGGAAGCCAGTTCGAGGCGAGATTCTGTTTCAAGGTCGACAGAATCCTGACTAATGAAATCCGAAGTGCTGTGGTGTATGCTGCATGCTGGCTATACACAGATGAAGCAAGGTGATCCATACCATCCTTCCAGGCACTCACAGGCTGATGTGGAGACAGCCACAAACAATTACAGCTATTTAAAGCCAATAAGATAACTGCTTTAATTAAATACTACACAGTGCAATATGAGCACAGCAAAGCACCTGGGTCCAGGAAGGCCTCACAGAGCAATGGCGATTAAACCTATTCCCTCTCTCTATTCAGGCAGTGAAGATGGAATTACTAGTTGGAGGAGTCAGATAACACTGTTGATTCACATTCATCTTACAGTAAACTAAAACCATTACATCCCACGTTGCACAGAAGGGCGATGATACTTAAAGCTCTTAACAGCTCTCTCTGAGCCTACAAAATACTGTCTCAAGAGACCAGCAAAGTGCTAAGGTCAAATAACTCTCACTTGCAAGTGTTTCATCTGAATTGTGCAGATAATGGAACGCTCTTAAATACTACCCAGGTCAGTTTTTGTGATTTTGATTCCATACGCTTAAATTTTCATTCCATCCTTCTTGACCATTTGGATTTCTTGTCCATTTGTGTGCTGATCACATCACAACAGCATCAAAACAGCCCTTTCAAGATGAATAACCTACTTACTGAATTTATTTCCAGATGATCAAGGGAAGGGGAAGAGAGAAAGTCTCTGGTTCTATAAAACATTTCCTGATGGGTTAGAAATGTGGCTGATTGCAGAAAACAACAATAACAACAATAAAAAGCACCTCTGGGAACATCTGTTTTGAGAAGAAAGGCCCCTAAAGGTCAGTCTTTTTAAGTGAACAGAAGCTGGTGTCTCTTAGTCCTTTGATGATGCATACTCAACGGGAAAGTTGTAAAGATAAAATAATTCAGGAAACGAGGACATCGCAGGACAAATTCTCCTTGCCTTTATTGTTTCTAAACACATCAGCAATTCATGTGGTCCAGAAACACAAGCTACAGCTTTCCAGAACAAAGAATCTTACAGTTGGAAAAATTAGTACTGACTGAATACTTCCATGTGGACTCAAGAGAGGTGCCAGGGACTAGTGTCAGGAGAGACGAAGTTAAGATGCCTCTCAGATAACTCAGATTTCTATGAAGCAGCTGGGTTACCCGTTTCCAAAACACCTTGCAGGCCGTCATGGAATTTCCCTTCCTCTACCTGCATGCCACAGGACTTTGCACAACAAAGGTACCATCCATTTTCTTGAAAATGGGATTATCGGGCCAAGCACAGTGGCTCACACCTGTAATCCCAGCACTTTGGGAGGCCAAGTCAGGAGGATCACTTGAGCCCAGGAGTTCAAGACCAGCCTGGGCAAGATAGGGAGGCCCCTGTCTCTACAAAATGAAAAAAGTGAGCCAGGCGTGGTGGCACATGCCTGTAGTCCCAGCTACTCAGGAGGCTGAGCCTGGGAGGTCGAGGCTGCAGTGAGCCGTGATCGTGCCACTGCACTTCAGCCTGGGTAGTCAAGCAAAAGTCTGCCTCCAAAGAAATAAAGAAAAAGGAAAAGAAAATGAGATTTGTCATTTATCACACATTTACTGGGCAGCTCTGTAGTCCAGGTATCAGCAGGCAATGGAGAGAACTCCAGTGTTATGGATGTGTGAGGACACCTCCTCACATCCTTACCCGTGTGATCTGTCTTACCTGTGAGCAGATAACACAGGGAACTGCCTGTTGCTTGGCAAATGCTCAATAAATGTTGGTTTCCCATGGGGCATATGCAACCCCACCAAGGGGACCTGCCAAATCTCCTCTATAAACATTCAAAGAAACATAAAAGGACACATAGCAGGATATCTTCCACCCACCCAAGACCCACAATCCCCTAAGCTTTTCCAAGAGATATACAGAATTCCCCCAGACACTGTGTGTGTGTGTGTGTGTGTGTGTGTGTGTCCTTCCAGCAATCGCCCAGGCATAATCAAGCATGAGTATGTGTGTGGGTGGGTGTGTATAAACACTTATACCCTCTTCTTGTTTTCCTACATCTGGCAGCATACCACATATACTTTCCTGCAAATTGCTTTATTCTTAAACTTAAGAATATATCCTGAAAATCATTCCTTCTTAGCAGATATGACCTACTATTTTAAACAATGGCGGAGCAATCCACTTTAAGAATATACATTCAGGCCGGGCGCGGTGGCTCACGCCTGTAATCCCAGCACTTTGGGAGGCCGAGGCGGGCGGATCACAAGGTCAGGAGATCGAGACCGTCCTGGCTAACACGGTGAAACCCTGTCTCTACTAAAAATACAAAAAATTAACCGGGCGTGGTGGTGGGTGCCTGTAGTCCCAGCTACTTGGGAGGCTGAGGCAGGAGAATGGCATGAACCCAGGAGGCAGAGCTTGCAGTGAGCTGAGATCGCGCCACTGCACTCCAGCCTGGGCGACAGAGCAAGACTCTGTCTCAAAAAAAAAAAAGAATATACATTCAATCAATTCGCTACTTTTTGTTTTTTGGAGTTTTGTTTGTTCATTTTTTGAGGCAGAGTCTTGCTCTTGTCACCGAGGCTGGAGTGCAGTGGTGCAGTCTCGGCTCACTGCAGCCTCCGCCTCCCAGATTCAAGCTATTCTCCTACGTCGGCTTCCCGAGTAACTGGGATTACATACAGGTGTGGGCCACAACACCCAGCTAATTTTTGTATTTTTTGGTAGAGACACAGTTTCTACCATGTTGGTCAGGCTGGTCTCAAACTCCTGGCCTCAAGTGATCTGCCTACCTCGGCTTCCAAAGTGCTGATTATAGGCATGAGCCAATGCGCCCAGCCTAAATCAATTCCTTATTGACATACATTAAGTTGCTTCCACAGTCTTTCTATTACTAGCAATGCTGCAATGAGTATATGTTACATGCATCTTCACACACATTTATAACTATAGGAAACATAGAATTTATAAGAGAAAATCCTTGAAGCAGAATTGCAGGATCAGAGGGTATGTGCACTCAGAATGGTGCCAAATGGCCCTCCAAAGAAGTTGTACTAATTTTCACTCTCATCAGTAGTAGAATGAGTATGCCTGTTTCTCCAACCACAGTCACAAAAGGTTGTTTTGTTTTTAAATACAAAAGAAGAAAGGCAGAGCTCACTCTTGTCCCATTGTCTCTTCTTGCCCCTGTGATATCATTAATGACATGACTACTTCTTAAAAATTCCACACCTGGATGCAAAACCCAGAGATCAAAGTTTAAAAAAGGCCAGGCGCAGTGGCTCATGCCTGTAATCCTAGCACTTTGGGAGGCCAAGGCAGGAGGATCACTTGAGTCCAGGAATTCAAGACCAGCCTCTATAAAAAATAAATTTTACTTTATTTTTAAATTTTTAATTAATTATTTTTAGATAGGGCCTCACTCCATGGCCCAGGCTGGAGTGCAGAGGACCAATTCTGGCTCACTGCCACCTGGGTTCAAACAATCCTCCCACCTCAGCCTCCCAGGTAGCTGGGAATACAGGTGCATACCACCACACCCAGCTAATTTATATTTTTTTTGTAGAAACAGGGTTTCGCCATGTTGCCCAGGCTGGTCTTAAACTCCTGAGCTCAAGTGATCCTCCCACCTTGGCTTCTCAAAATGCTGGGATTGCAGGCATAAGCCACCAAGCACAGACAAAAATAAATTTTTTTAAAAATTATCCATGAGTGTTTTTTAAAAAATTAGTGCAGTGGCCCATAATCACTTCACTGCACTCAAGCCTGGGCAACAGAGCGAGGCCCTACCTCAAAAATAAAAAAACAACAACAAACAGAGTTTAAAATAAAATGAATGCCAAAGGCAGTGGTGTTCTGAAGGTGGCTATACTGACTCAAGAGTCCTAACCATGTTCATTTCTTCCAAACTCCGTGTTCAGTGGCATCATGTTGGTAGCTTGAAACTGGTCATGGTGGAAGTATTTACACCATAGGAATCAGCAAATGCTACAAATTAGGGCTTCTTTTCTTTTCTTTCTTCTTTTTCTTTTCTTTGGTTTTGTTTTGTTTTGTTTTGTTTTTTTGTTTTTTTGTTTTTTTTTTGAGATGGAGTCTTGCTCTGTCGCCCAGGCTGGAGTGCAGTGGCGCGATCTCGGCTCACTGCAAACTCCACCTCCCAGGTTCACGCCATTCTCCTGCTTCAGCCTCCCGAGTAGCTGGGACTACAGGCGCCTGCCACCATGCCCGGCTAATTTTTTGTATTTTTAGTAGAGACGGGGTTTCACCCTGTTAGCCAGGATGGTCTCGATCTCCTGACCTCATGATCCGCCTGCCTCAGCCTCCCAAAGTGCTGGGATTACAGGCGTGAGCCACCGTGCCCGGCTTTCTTTCCTTTTTAAATCACTGTAAACATTTACCAGCACACCAATGTAGACTACAGTGAAAACTGAGGGTATACCACCCTCCTTTGAATATTTTGCCCTCAATGGTGACCTGGTCACAAATTCTTGGAACCTAAGGATTGGAAGATGTCTGAAAGGACATCTAATCCTTACGTCTTCTAATACTGCCTCTCCCTTAGTCCCTCTATGTAGATGTAAGTAGTGCCATTGATACTTCTTCACCATTATTTCATATACCCATCTCTTTATCGCTTAGTGCCTACTCTTGGTGATTTCCCATAGTATAATACTTGCAAACACAGACCCAAGGCTACCCAAGACAGCCTGGAGTCAAATCCCAGATCCATCACTTACCAGCTATGTGACCATGAGCTAGTGGCTTAAACTGCTATTTAGTTTATTTGTCTATAAAATTCAGATGATCATAATGCCTCCTCATAATTTTGTTCTAAGGAGTAAATGAATTAATGCAAATAAAGTACACAGAACAATGGCATGTACTATGCACTTAACAAATTTTAACTGTCATCGTCTCTCAGCTCAGCTCATTAATTCTCTCTTTAGCTATGTCTAATCTGTCATTTAACTCTTTTGTTGGATTTCAATTTTAATGATTATTTTTCCTTTCAATTCAGCTGCTCTTCAAGTCAACCTATTCTTTTTCCATCTTTCTTTACATTTTTTATATCATCCTTAGTTCTTAATCATTTTATTTCTTTTTTCTTGTGAACCTAAACTAAGACATCTTAATCATTTTAAATATACCATTTTTATAGTCTCTTATAAATGGTTTTATTATTTCCAACTTGGAATGGTTTCCTGAATATAGTTTTTCATTGTGAACTCGTCTTCAGAGGTCATTCTCACTGTGGGAGTGCTGTTAGGTATAGGTTGTTGAAATATGCCTATGGAATGACTTTGCGTTCGCAGTAGAGGTTTCCATGGTACTAGACCAGTTCTTACGTTAATTTTTCAGGTTGAAGGGTCTCATACCTCATAAGTAATAAAAAATACAGATTCCACAACCATATATAGTACAATCCCATGTGTTTAAGTTCTTGCTGGTAACTTTTTTTCCAGTCAAGTCAAGCTTCCTCTCTATTTCTCCAAGTATTGAAGTTTTTCTAGCCCCTTTTCATGAAAAAGTCAGACCTTCAAGGCTCCAGAGCACTCAATTCCACCTTGAGTCCAGGCCTCCTTCCTAGAGCCACCGTGCCATTAAAACTTTGGCCCTCAGGCTCTATAGCTTCTGTGCAAAAGCCCCAGGAGTAGTCATGGCTTCAGCTCACATGCCACCATTTAGCTTAAATTTGTCCTCCTTTTTTTTTTTTTTTTGAGGTGGATTCTTGCTCTGTCGCCCAGGCTAGAGTGCAGTGGCTTAATCTCTGCTCACTGCAACTTTCCCCTCCCAGGTTCAGGCAATTCTCCTGCCTCAGCCTCCTGAGTAGCTGGAATTACAGGCATGCGCCACCACACCCGGCTGATTTTTGTATTTTCAGTAGAGACAGGCCTTCGCCATGTTGGCCAGGCTGGTCTGGAACTCCTGACCTCAAGGGATCTGCCTGCCTTGGCCTCCCAAAGTGCTAGGATTACAGGCGTGAGCCACCGCGGCCGGCCTATCCTCATTTTTGACATTTGCAGGTTTCCCTTTCTTCAGCGCTCCCCTAGATAAAATTCTTATATTTCCATCAATTCTGTATTCATACCAGGAAGGACTCACACAAGTCAGCTTAGTCCACCATGCTGCCAGAAGTATTCCAGGTCACTAAATTTAATATAACCACTTATCCACACTTGAGTTCTGCCCACATTAAAATTGTATCTACTCAAGGGTTAGCTTCTGAAGCCAGCATGTTGTGTGAAAATTGAAAGAAGCCAAAATTCCCCTTGAAAAATCCCACAATAAGGTCTCAGGTTGGAGACAAACAAACCATCTTTCATGAAGTCCAACACAGCCAGTCTTTCCTTCAGCACTGGATTTGGTTTCTTAGGGTTGGGCACCATATGTAATAACTGGCTTAGATTTAGGGGCCATGTTGTGTGATAATTAAAATCCATAAATATGAGAAACATATTTGGTGGCACAAGATGCTCACATCCTAAAAAGCCATGAGAACAAATGACCAACAGACGGAATAGCAGATCCATGTCTGCCATTCACACCCACTCCAAGAGAGACGCCCATTGGGTGGAATGACAGGATCACCTACACTATTTAAAGTGGTGTTTTATCCTTTTGCTTTTGTTGAGCAAGTATATTTGGATACGGCCAAGGTGGAAGCATGAATCTATGTTGACAGACGTCAGAATAGTGCTTATCTCTGGGGCAACACTAAGTGCAAAGGGCATGAGGGACCTTTCTAGAAATATTGTATATCCTGATTTGGGTGGTGATTAGATGGGTGTAACATATCAAAATTTCACCAAGCTGTACGATTAAGATTTGTGCATTTTACAGCATGTAAGATAGCTCGATTAAAATAAAAGTTAAAAGCACGCCTACGTAGAAATGGCTGTACAGTATTTTGCCAAAGGTCCCCATCCTATGGTTAAGCCTCACCAGTGAGGATAGTTGGGAGTCTAGGAAACCGGGGGAAAAAAGAAGTAGAAAAGGGAAGTGCACTGTCACAGACAGAGGGCACCCAGGCTCCAAGAGTCAATGGTTTTCCGTGAAGGCCCTTATAGGGTTGACAAGACTACATTAGTTAAGAGCACTGACTTTCTTTTTTTTTTTTTTTTTTGAGACGGAGTCTTGCTCTGTCACTCAGGCTGGAGTGCAGCGGCGCAATCTCAGCTCACTGCAACCTCCGCCTCCTGGGTTCAAGTGAGTATTTTGTATTTTTAGTATTTTTAGTAAATTTTGTATTTTTAGTAGAGACGGGATTTCACCATGTTGGCCAGGCTGGTCTTGAACTCCTGACCTCAAGTGATCCACCCACCTCAGCCTCCCAAAGTGTTGGGATTACAGGTGTGAGCCACTGCGCCCAGCCTATAGTTCTTATTTAAACTAATAATTTGACCTAAAAACCTTGTAGGTTCATGGAATGAATGAATATTCATAGAGTGAATGAAGGGGTGTATATGTATTCTGATTTCAACAGAGGTAGGAGGTTCTTATTTCTATGCAACTGAAATCCATCTTGTAGCCATCACCATCCACTTTAATTTTTCCTCATAGGAAGTGTGGTTAAGAGTGCTGGCTCTGGAGCCAGATGACCATGGTCAAATTCCAGCTCTGTTACTTACCAACTGGGTAACCTTGAATGAGTTAATCAAATTCCAGGCCTCAGTTTCTTCTCCTGTAAAAGAGTTATAGCAAGGATTAAGCAAGTTACAACAGTTCTCAGTACACAGAAAGCCCCCGGTAAATCCTAGCTATTGTTTTTTTCCCATAGTAGAGGTACAGTTTGGGAATAACAACTCCAAATAGCATTTGTTTGTTTGATTGTTTGTTTGTTTTTAAGACATAGTCTTGCTCTGTCGCCTAGGCTGGAGTGCAGTGGCACGATCTCGGCTCACTGCAACCTCTGCCTCCCAGGTTCAAGCAAGCATGCCTGGCTAATATTTTTTATTTTTAGTAGAGACAGGGTTTCATCATGTTGGCCAGGCTGGTCTTGAACTCCTGACCTCAAGTGATCCACCAGCCTTGACCTCCCAAAGTGCTGAATTACAGGCATGAACCACCGCACCCAGCCCCAGATAGCATTTGTACAGTCCATTATATCACTGAATTGTTTTGCAAACAGTTTTCTCATTTAATGCTCAAAATAGTCTGGTATATTACAAATAAATAAACATTCAGAGAAGTTGAATAATTTGCTGAAGGTTGCACAGCAAGTAAAGAACAAAGACCTAAACCAAACTCCTATGACTGAAGGACAGTTTGGCTGGACTGTGTTGTCCTTAGGAGCATATATGGTGGGGCCAGCGCTATCCATGGAGATTCAGTATAAAGGATATTGGGACCCTTGGCTGCAGCAGCAAGTCTTGGTCCCAGCAAAATGCTCAGTTCAACTTGAGTTTAAAACGGTCTTAGTCATTCTGTCCCCTGAATCACTTCCTGTTTCAGGTTTCTACTTTGCAGAGAAAGAAACACAAACAGGTACATTACGCCAGCCTTGTCACCCTCCAAAATCTCCTACAGCAACAAAAGCTGATGAATTAAAGAGAAGTTTCATAAAACCACAGTTAACATCCCATTTAATGCATTAGCCAGCAGTTAGTGTGAAGATCTGAGCAAAGTCGGCAGTGTCTAGACACTCTTATTATTGAATGGAAGAGAAACAGGATGACTTTTTCTCTGGCCTTTATTCTGATTAAATCTTTAGCTGCCTTAGTGTTTTCTCTTTGCTTTTCATTGGGTGCTGAAACTACCGGAAGCTACTTAACCAGCCTTGTTTTATTCACAAAAGGTTTAGGGGCCATGTCTAATTGTCCAGAGAGAACCCTATCTGCTGATAATTTCAGCCACTTCGGCTGCTTTTGCAGCTTTTTGTTTGCCAGTGTAGGTTTTCTTTCTGTCGTTCTTCTTGCTATGGCATGAGTGTGGTTTCACATTCCCTTTTAAATAATAATCACCGAACTGCTCAGTGGCCAAGAAGAGGATTTAAGAACCATCTAGGCCAGGCACGGTGGCTCACCCGTAATCCTAACATTTTAGGAGGCTGAGGTGGGAGGATCACTTGAGCCCAGTAATTTAGGGAGCTCTCGTCTCTACAAACAATTTAAAAATTAGCTGAGCGTGGTGGCACATGCCTGTAGTCCCAGCTACTTGGCAGGCTGAGACAGGAGGATCACTTGAGCCCAGGAGGTCGAGGCTGCAGTGACCCATGATGTGCACTGTGCTCCAGCCTGGGTGACAGAGCAACCCGTCTCCAAAGAAAATAAAAAAAAGAACCATCTAAGCATACTGCATACTCACAAACTATGTCCTCTTATGTACACACATAGACTCCACACATACCACACATTCATTCCATGTACACACACCACACATACACCATACACACATCCCATGCACACACCCCACACACATCCCAGGAACATACCCCACGCACATGCACACCACACACACACACCCCACATCACTCACACACCCAGCACACCCAGGGCATAGAGTGTGGCTCTGATAGAAGTAACATGGGCCTCTAAACAAGTGTGGCTTCTTTTCATTTCCAAGCTATAGGCAGAAAGCCTGGACTACAGCTCTAGAAACCAGATCTCGCCTCCTCTTCAGCCTCATAGCATGTGTCTCATCCCTTCTCAGTCTTTCGGAGCATCTGACTTGGGCAAGTCACTTAACTTCTGTTATAAAGTGAGGACACTCATTCACTCAATAGCTACTGATCACCTATTGTGTGCCAAGCATTGTGGCCATGGAAATAATTCCATGAATTAAACCGTCCCAGCCACCCAGGAGCTCTCCAAGATTAGGGGAGCAATTACAGGCAGATGAACGCTCTGAAGGAAAGGGGATGAGGCAATCTCTGAAAAGGGTATTTAATTAACTCAGCAGGGGATGGAAAGTGATGGATAATCGAAGAAAGACTTCCCCAAGGAGGTAATACTGAAGCTGAGAAGTAAAAGTTAAGTTAGAATTGGCCAGAGGCAGGAAGGGATCCAGGCAGAGCTCTCCGCACAGGCAAAGGCTGGCAAGTTAGACTGCTGGTCCATTCAGTTAAGCACAGGAGGTGGAAGAGGGATGGGCCTCGGTATGTCAGGGGTGGGCTTGCCAGGGTTACCCGCCTGGGCCAGGTGCCCCCCTGAGGTCCCTCCCAGCCCTCAAGGCAGATTCTATCATCTTCTGAGAGCCCAGGTCCTCTCCTTCCCTGACAGCCTTTTCACCAGCATGCTGAAGTCGGCTCCAGAGGACAAGGGGAGTCCCAACCACCTCACGTGGACTCCTGCTCCTTCCTCTTTCGTCTCCTCTCAGCAGTGACCAGACAGTGACTCAGGGAAGGGAGCTGTCCTCTATTTGTCATTTAGTTCTTTAAAAAATACTCGCCTGTAGTCCCAGCTACTCTAGGGGCTGAGAAAGGAGGATCACTTGAGCCTTGGAGTTCAATTCCAGCCTGGGCAACATAGTGAGACCCTGTCTCTATAAAAATAAAAATTAAAAAACACCCAGCGCTCTTATACCCAACTAGCCTTCTAACCAACTCCCTCCTTTCTCCCACCCAGTCCCTCACCTAGCTGAGAAAGGCTGGATTTCTCTGTGTCCTTATCCGTCTCCTCCAAGAGACTTTAAGCTTTAAGCTACCTGAGGGCTCATGCTAGGTTTTGGTCATCCTGGTGTCCCCCACACCCGGTACTATGCCTGATGTCTAGTAGATCAAACTGATTCCCCTCCCTGAAAATGAGCACTGCCCAGAACCCACCCACAGGGCAGCCTGTCTGAGGCCAAGGCAGGAGACCCAGAATCCAGCCGACCCAACACTCCTCCCCACAGCACTCTGTAGGAGACTCTGCCCTGTGAATCCCAATTTGAAAACTGACAGCTATGTTAGTCTAATTCCCTCATTTTATCAACAAAGAACCTCAGGCCCAAAAGAATGATATGACTTGCCCAAGGTCTCTCAGCAAATGTGATATAAAGTTTTTTTAAAGGAGCAAAACATCGCTTAAATGGAAGCCTATCTATCACCCCTACCAGAAACGTTGCTTATTTTAAGAAGAAAACCCTTAATGTTTGCAAGTCGAATGGAAGCTTTCCTTTCTCTGACCAATTTTGCCATACTTTCATGACTCCTGGGATGCTCTAGGCAGCACTAAAAGTTCCCACTGAAGCAAATCTATTTACAAAGGTGACCAGGAATTGTTTTAGGGATTGGATATATTTTTGATTATGGATCATTTTTAAAGTTAATTATCTATTATGTGATCTAAGGCTATAATAATTTTTTAAACAATTGAGCCTCCCAAACCACTTAGATGCTTCCTGGTTTTTAAAAATGTTTTGCTATTTTAAAATGTTTTGCTATTAAACAACTTTACTAGAAGTAAAAAAAAAAAAAAATCACAGATTTTTTTTTTTTTAAACTTCAAACAGGGTCTCACTTTGTTGCCCAGGCTGGAGTGCAGTGGCTCAAACATGGCTTACTGTAGCCTCAACCTCCTGGGCTCAAAGTGCTCCTCCTGCCTCAGTCCCCCAAGTAGCTGTGACCACAGGCACGTGCCACCACACCCAGATAATTTTTTTTTTTTTTTGAGACGGAATCTCGTTCTGTCACCCAGGCTGCAGTGGTGCGATCTTGGCTCACTGCAACCTCTGCCTCCCGGGTTCAAGAGATTCTTCTGCCTCAGGCTCCCGAGTAGCTTGGGACTACAGGCACCTGCCAGCACGCCCAGCTAATTTTTGTGTTTCTAGTAGAAACAGGGTTTCACCATACTGGCCAGGCTGGTCTCGAACGCCTGACCTCAGAATCCGCCCACCTCAGCCTCCCAAAGTGCTGGGATTACAGGCGTGAGCCACTGCGCCTGACCTAATTTTTTTTATTTCTTGTAGAGACAGGGTGTCACCATATTGCCCAGGCTGGTCTCGAACTCGTAACCTCAAGCGATCCTCCCGCCTCGGCCTCCCAAAGTGCTGGGATTACAGGCGTGAGCCACTGTGCCCGAAACAGATGATTTTTAAGGAAGACATTTCTACCCATAATCCCTCCACCAAAAGAAAGAATTCCTTACAATTCTGTGTCCTCCTAAACTGTTTTATCCACAGTTCTGTACTCTGGACATATGTATGTATTTCATTAAAACACATTACCTTTAGTATAAAAGATTGTTAAATAGTTTCCTTTTTTCTTAAAAAATAAAAAAGACAAAAACTTTTATTATGCAAGTCACTGGCACCATGTTTCTGATAAACGCCACGGAGCAAAACCCAGGCTACAAGTTAAGAGCACCTGGAAATTCTGGGTTTGAGACTTTTAAAGCAACATTTTCTAGCCTGCTTCATTCCATAATTATTCTGACACTTTCCACATCCCACTTAATAGGAAACAGACGAAGGAAAACAGGTGTTTTGCTTATTCTACTTGGCATAGCATGCTCTACTGCAGAAGTTTGCAGCAGTTGCTTATTGCTGTATTTTTCCTGCAAGTGAAATGACATCTCTGGTTTGTCCAGAGTTTAAAAATACTGCAGCCGGGTCCCCACTCTGCATAATTAAACAGACTCTCTGGGGAAGCACCCCAGCACCATATTGCTCCAAAGCTCCCCAGGTGATTTTCATGTGCAGCTGGGACTGACAAGCACCAGGCTAAGATAACTCATTAGTCAAAGGAAGCCCATGGGAAATCTTATCTGGAAATGAAGAACTCTTGTAATTAAATAAAATAGCAGATGTAAAAGTCCCTAACAGTGCCTGTTACCCAGAAGACAATAAATGTTAATTAAACAAAAAAAAAATTTAAATAATTACTCCTTCCCCTCAGTGGATTCATCTTGTTATTTTATTGGCTTGTTTATCACTTGTTTTTTTTTCTTTACCATGATTCATTCTATCCCTGTTAATAAAATTATAAACTTATGCCTATAATCCTGTTCAATTACAAGAGCTCTGTAATATTTCTAACAACGCTTTATTGCTTTATTTAATAAAACTTTCCCCCAGTACAGTGGCTTATAGCAAATATGCAATAAACATCTGCTATTTATAATAATAATGGATATTCAGAATTACTTTAATTCAGAATTCATGACCGTTTTTCTAAACTAGACTGAAATTTATTTCACATTATTAGGACCAGTTAGCAACAATGTAAAAAATTATTACGGCAATGTTTAACAAACTTAAGAAAACAGACCTTTAAGCAAACCAATTCTTTTTTATAATTTCCTGGGAAAAAACTAAATGCAGTCATTACACAGGTGAACTTATCTCCCATTCAAGGAGGCCTTGCTCAGCTCTTCCCATAGTTACCTGGAGAGGCTAATACTGCAATTAGTTATAAGCGGTTTTTCCTTCCAATTTCTCCCTACGGCTGCCTCTCTGAGCGTGAATTTGGAAGGTGATTCTTAATGTTTACATTACCCCTCAGTTCTGAGAAGCCAAACATTTGTTTGAAAAAAAGAAATAGAATTTCTGAATCAGAAGAAAGAGTTTTTGTGTGTGTGTTTATGTGTTGTTGTTTTTTTTTGTTTTTTGGGGTTTTTTTTTAATTGAGACAAAGAGTCTGGCTCTGTTGCCCAGGCTGGAGTGCAATGGCGCAATCTCTGCTTACTGTAACCTCCGCCTCCTGGGTTCAAGTGATCCTCCTGCCTCAGCCTCCCAAGTAGCTGGGATTACAGGCATGTGCCACCACGCCCAACTAATTTTTCTATTTTTAGTGGAGACGGGGTTTCACCATGTTGGCCAGGCTGGTCTGGAACACCTGACCTCAAGTGATCCACCCACCTCGGCCTCCCAAAGTGCTAGGATTACAGGCGTGAGCCACCGTGCCCAGCCAGAACAAAGAGGTTTCATGAAGGCCATTTCCAAATGTCTTGCCTTGCTGGCACAAACTTCCCCAGTCATCTTTTCTTGTGTTGTGCCAGACAGAGAAGGCATCTAACAGGTATGTGGGAAGCTGGGCCATGTTCAGCTCAAGATTCACACTCGTTCACAGTAGACCTCTGTATGGCTCACACATGAACTCTGCTATGCTTCAGTTCCTAAGGCCATCCAGCTCCCAAAGTCTGCCATGTCATGTTTTAAATAAACTGGACTCGACACCCAGCCAAAAATAATAATGATGTGCACGTCTCTGTATGTAAATGTCAATAATAAGGTACAAAATGATCACACATGGGCCAATTCCCATCCTATACTATTTGGTATTATCACCTAATATTTGTCCTCACTCTTTTTTTTTTTGAGACGGGGTCTCGCTCTGTCACCCAGGCTGGAGTGCAGTGGAGCGATCTCGGCTCACTGCAAACTCCACCTCCCAGGTTCACGCCATTCTCCTGCCTCAGCCTCCCAAGTAGCCGGGACTACAGGCGCCCGCCACCACGCCCGGCTAATTTTTTTGTATTTTTAGTAGAGATGGGGTTTCACCGTGTTAGCCAGGATGGTCTCGATCTCCTGACCTCGTGATCTGCCCGCCTTGGCCTCCCAAAGTGCTGGGATTACAGGCGTGAGCCACTGCTCCCGTCCTGTCCTCACTCTTTCAATGAGATCATAAGCACCTTGAGGGTGGACATCTTGTATTAGCAGTAGTAGAAGTATTAATTTTATTGATTTATTTATTTTTAATAGAATCTTGCTCTGTCACCTAGGCTGGAGTGCAGTGGCACCACCATATCTCACTGTGGCCTCGAACTCCGGGGCTCAACAGATCCTCCTGCCTTAAGCTCCCGAGTAGCTGGGGTACTACTCAGTTGTACAGGCGTGTGCCACCATGCCTAATTTTTTTTTTATTTCATGTAGAGACGAGGTCTTGCTATGTGCCCAGGTCAATCTTGCACTCCTGGCCTTAACAATCCTCCCATCTAGGCTTCCCAAAGCCACAGTGGGCCACCGTGCCCAGTCTAATTGTAGTTTCGATCCTCTTAATTGAATTGTCTATAGTGTGTTATATAGCTAATCAGATTACCTGAATAATAAAACTTCTCTTTCTTATGTTTTCATTTAATATTCGATCAGCCAAGCACTAAATGACTATTGTGAGATGGTTGTGGGGCAGGCTTCACACAAGTGATTCCAATTTGTCTTGGTTGATTTGAACTTGTAGGAAAAACTGCAATGTCTGAAACCTCCACCGTAACAGATTTAGAGAGAATCCCTGGAGACTCAAGCCTCGCGCTGTGGGCACCATCTCCCCAGGCATGTGCCAGGATGATACAGAACAAAAGATGCACCTCAAAAATGAATACATTTGGAGGAATCCTCCCCTGTGCTAGAGTTTTCTAAAGTATCCCTCAATCCATTCAGAACATGTCCTTTTATATTAGCCAGGTTCTCTACCACTCCATCAATGTGTGTTATTATTATTATTTCCCAAGTATGCAGTTCAGAAAAGATGCTAATACACTGGGGTTGGGGGGTGTCCTTTGAAACACATTCCCAGGTGTTTAATTTCCTATTCATAACTAGTGCTAACCAGCTAAGTGCGTGTACACACACACACACGTGCATGCACACGAACACACACACCTTTTTAAAAATATATCAATGTTGGCCGGGTGCGGTGGCTCACGTCTGTAATCCCAGCACTTTGGGAGGCCAAGGCGGGCAGATCACTTGAGGCCAGGAATTCGGGACCAGCCTGGCCAACATAGTGAAACCTCCATCTCGTACTAAAAATACCAAAAAAATTAGCTGGGCGTAGTGGTGTGTGCCTGTAATCCCAGCTACTCAGGAGGCTGAGGCAACAGAATCACTTGAACCTGGGAGGCAGAGGCTGAAGTGAGCGGAGATCGTGACACTGCACTCCAGCCTAGGTGACAGAGCAAGACTCTGTCTCAAAATAAATAAATAAATTAATTAATTAATTAAATAAATAATATATCAATGTTTTACAACCCTAATACCAGGAAAACACAAAGTACTTCTGGTTTTCAGTGCATGTTTACCACCAAGATGCAAATCCCATACACATTTTGGGGTGCCTTGGAAATAACATAACTGATTCTTGGGTCCACTACAAGTTTACAAACATTCTCTGGCTTGGATTTTCTGTCAATAGTAGCATAACATTTTTCTATGCTAACATATGAAGGAATAAAGCCTATTAGAGGTTCTTTTATTCACAAACTGTCTTCTCCGAGACTATAACCTTTTAGGTTGAACCACTATTAGCTGGAAACTTCCTCTGGAAGGATAAGTGAGAACAGCGCCCACAGTGCACCTTTTGCCCAGAACTCGGGCCCAAGATCTGGGGAGATATTGCTATAATACTGGGTCGTTCTCTTTCAAAGATGATAAACAGCAGGAGGGTCTATTAATTATCATTTCCCAGCTGGCCATGGTGGCTCAAGCCTGTAATCCCAGCACTTCGGGAGGCCATGGCAAGCAGATCACCTGAAGTCAGGAGTTTGAAACCAGCCTGGCCAACATGGTGAAACCCAGTCTCTACTAATAATACAAAAAAAAAATTGGCCTGGCATGGTGGCAGGCACCTATAATCCCAGCTATTTGGGAGGCTGAGGCAGAAGAATTGCTTGAAGCCAGGAGGCGGAGGGTGCAATGAGCCGAGATCACGCCATTGCACTCCAACCTGGATGACAAGAGCAAGACTCCACCTCAAAAAATAAAATAAAATAAAATAATTATCATTTCCCTTTAAACTCATAAACCCTTAAACATGAACCATCTTCCAGAACCAATTCTGATGCATGATAAAAATAAAAACACAGTTTCTACATTTTGCCTACCACACTCCTGGCATAGGCTGATCACAGCTTAAGACACACATCTTCATTTTTCCACAGTATCATGATCTATTGCTTACATAGTTAAAATTGTTTTTAATGGGCCAGAGAAGGAGGTTGCAGTGAGCCAAGATTGCACCACTGCACTCCAGCCCGGGCAACAGAGCAAGACTCCATCTCAAAAAAAAAAAAAAAAAAAGAAAAGAAAAAAGAAAAAAAGCTGTAGTACTTGCAGCTCTATGTCCAAGTGACAAATCTGCCTTCCAGAAATCTGATTTTTGCGGTGGGGGAGGACAACTACATAGCGTGGTGCTTAACATGTTGATAAATGTTCAAAAGAAGTTTTTTGATGCTTTAGGCCAATCATCTGTTTAAACCAATAACATTAATTATTACTGTGTATTTTAATACGCAGTCTTGTTTTTCAAGAAGTCCAGTTCAGCACACCATTGATTTAATAAACAATATGCGCTGGGCGTGGTGGCTCACGCCTGTAATCCCAGGTACTCGGGAGGCTGAGGCAGGAGAATCACTTGAACCTGGGAGGCGGAGGTTGCAGTGAGCCAAGATTGTGCCACTGCACTCCAGCCTGGGCCACGGAGTGAGACTCTGTCTCAAGAAAAAGAAAAAGAAAAAAAAAACCATACTATGAGGTCAGGCACAGTGGCTCACGCCTGTAACCCCAGCACTTTGGGAGGCCAAGGCAAAAGAATCGGTTGAGCTCAGGAGGTCAAGACGAGGCTGGGCAACATAGTGAAATCCCATCTCCACCAAAAATACAAAAAAATTAGCTGGTCGTGGTGGTGCACACCTGTGGTTCCAGCTACTCGGGAGGCTGAGGTGGGAGGATCGCTTCAGCCTGAGGGGTGGAGGCTGCAGTGAGCAGAGGTGGCATCACTGCACTCCAGCCTGTGTAACAGAGTGAGACACTATCTCAAAAAAAAAAACACACACACTCACAAGACAAACAACAAAACAACATAATATGAAGATGGGAAGAAGACAGAGGAGGAAGGAAACGAACTATGGTGTACTGAAAAGCCAGATCCCAATACCATCTCAGTTAAACTGAGAGACAGAGTTAGCCCCCCATTCCCCACCTTTTTTTTCAAGACAAGGTCTGGCTCTGTCGCTCAGGCTGGAGTGCAGTGGTGCAATCTCGGCTCACTGCAACCTCCACCTCCTGGGCTCAGGCCATCCTCCCACCTCAGCCTTCAGAATGGCTGGAACTACAGGCACATGCCACCACGCCTTGCTAATTTTTGTTTGTTGGTTGGTTGGTTGGTAAAGATGGGGTTTCGCCATGTCGGCCAGGCTGGTATTGAACTCCTGGACTCAAAAGATCTGCCAACCTCAGCCGCCCGAAGCGCTGTGATTACAGGTGTGAGCCACTGTGCCTGGCTCCAGCCCCACCCTTTTTTAAGTGGAGACATGGACAGGAGCTCACTAATAGATGAGCAAGATAAAAATGATGTTTCTGAAGCAATGGAGAACTGATTATCAAATACTTCCCCAGTGTAAGGATGTATCACTTTTAAAGGTATGTCACTATTTACTTGAAAATGTGACATTTGCAGAGATAGAGAATATTATTTCTGGGTATCTGGTCCAACTCCCTGATTTTATAGGTGAGGGAATCTAAAGTCTGCAAGAAAAGAACACGCCTGGGGCCTGGGAGTGGGATCACAGCAGAGCAGGACCAGGACCAAGCTTCCTGACTGAGCTTCCTCCCATTTCCAAAGCCCTTCACCTGGAGAACTGCTTCCCGGGCTTCAGGTTTCAGTTCAGGGAGCCTGCTGTCCAGACAGGTGCCCCCGCTGGTCCACCCGACCACTGTCCCCCTCTCTCAGAGCACTCCTCAAGCTATAGGTGAAGGACACCATCATCTATTCATCTAGCTTCCCCGCTGGACTGAGAGTAACTCGAGTGGGCATTCCTCTTTGTGTCCTGGTACTGAGTGCAGTAATGACATCACATGGATACTGTGTGTAGTGAACAGGGGATCAACTTGTCCCCATTGGCCAGGGAATTTCCTAGCTTTAGCAATGCAAGTCCCAAGTCCTGGAAAACCCCTCAACCAAGATGGCTGGTCACTGGTAGCGACATTAACAGGATCAGACAGCCTGGTCACACTTTCCCCTTCTCTAACTGTCCTCCAACACCCAGCCCAGGCCCCAGAGCCCTGTCTGTGCCATGCAGTCCCTCCAGCTCAGCCCTGTCCAATAGAACCTTCTGCCTCGATGAAGATGATCTCTGTCTGAACTATCCAATACCTTAGCTTGGGCCACATGTGGTTACTGAGCACTTGAACTCTGGCTACTGTGACTGAGGAACTGAATTTTTAATTTTATTTAATTTTAACTAACCGAAACATAAATAGCCCCATGCGGCTAGTGGCTACTCTGTTGGACAATTCGATTCTGGTTTTCCATTTATGGAATTAGTGTGCCATCACTGCACACAGGGATGAACTTTAAAGCCAGACAGACCTTGATCCAAGTCCTGACTCATTTACCAATACAGCACTTCTTAGGGAATCTTGTTGCTTCATCTGTAATCCTCACAAACTTACTTTGCAACAATGTATGGAAAGTGAAATGACTGGCCAATAGCAGAACGTCAAGAAACAGGATTTCTCTAGAAGCAACTAAACCAAATATATGTCCAAATGCGAGAAAAATCTGATTCTGAACCAAAAAAGCAAACGCATGAGCATCATTTCCAGCAGATCTCTAAAACCCTTGCCTGTTTTAAATTCTCATTCTAAATTGTCATGGCTGCCCAGCTGGGCTCACCACCTCTTTCTGTCCCCAGGCCTGCAGCTGGCTGTCACCAAGCCACTACAGAAGGTACTGCAGCCAACACAGTCTAGGTACAAACATACATGTCCAGCTCTCCAAAATGTATACACTAAATATGTGCAATTTTTTTCATATACCAATTATACCTTAGTAGAGCTGTTAAAAAAAAAAAAAAAAACACCCTTGGAAGTGGCTCATGCCTGTAATCCCAGCATTTGGGGAGGCAGAGGAGAGAGGATTGTTTGAGCCCAGGCGCTCAAGACCAGCCTGGGCAACACTGCAAGACGCTCTCTCTATTAAAAAACATATAAATAAGGCCGGGCGCAGTGGCTCACGCCTGTAATGCCAGCACTTTGGGAGGCCGAGGCGGGCAGATCACGAGGTCAGGAGATCGAGACCATCCTGGCTAACACGGTGAAACCCCGTCTCTACTAAAAATACAAAAAATTAGCGAGGCGTGGTGGCGGGCGCCTGTAGTCCCAGCTACTCGGGAGGCTGAGGCAGGGGAATGGCGAGAACCCAGGAGGCGGAGCTTGCAGTGAGCCAAGACTGTGCCACTGCACTCCAGCCAGGGCGACAGAGCAAGACTCCATCTCAACAAAAAAGAAAAATAAATATATATATATGTATAAAAAATAAACCTGTTAAATCTGCTACATTAACAACAAAAAAAAGTTTTTAAATAAGAAGACACCATTGGGCAGCAGGCACTGGGTGGGAGTTACTGTGCCAGGTCACCCTGAGTGTGGCCCCACACAGCCCCACCGGCAGGAAGGGATCCAGGGCAGGGAGGGATCCAGGCCAGTCCCAGAGCAGGGACCAGGCAGCGCTCACGTGCGCTCTGCACCAGCCACAGGGATGCGGGGACGCTGGGGACGCGGGGATGCGGGGACACCGGGGACCGCCCGGGAGCACGTCCTGCGCATCGCCGGGCTCCGCGAGGCCTGCAGAGGACGCAGCCCTCTCCCTCCCGCTGGGTGCGGAACCGGGTGCAAGAGGCCGAAGCGCTGCCCCATAAAGCCGATCTTCGCCGGGGCCCCGCCCAGGCCCTAACGAATACATCCCATTGGCAGGAACCGGCAGCAGGTCCTAGGAGAAGCCAGCCTCTGATTGGAATCAACCGGGAGCTTTTTAAAAATATTGTTCCCCGGAATCGGAGATCAGGGTTTACAGACAGCTCCCAGGTGATGGTGCTGCACAGCTGGGGCCTCCGTATTTTTCCTCTGAATGCCTGAGGAGGTGATCCTGCTGAGCCGCCAAGGCGGGGAACACCGCCCACCAGCAGGGAGAAGCACTATTTAGGGCTGTGGCAAGAAGTCCTATCCTTAACAGTCCCCTGCCTCTCTCTGGCTGCAGGGACAACAGTCAGAGGGCTGCAGGGGCCTGAAGCCAGACACGGGACACAAGCTGCTTCCCTCTCCTTGCAGATGGCTGAGCACTTTCCAGTTGCCCAGGACCTCCCCATCCAGTGTCTCCCAGGCAGGGCTGGCAGGGAGGCCCTCTTCCCCACCCACTGAGCATCCAAGTGCGGGAGGCCTAATCCATGCACCTGGCACTTAGGAAGCCCACAGTCACTGCTGTTACTGTGGTTGCTACCCTCATCTCACTGGGAAAGAAGCCGGCTCAGAGAGATGGGATGAGTCACCCAAGGCCACATGATACTGGGGGCAGGGCTGGCACAGGAACACTGGGCTCTAGGGCTCATTCTCCTCCCTGTACCCCAGGATGCGGCCACTGCCCTGCCCTCCCCCAACACCTTTTTTCCTCCCTCTTACAGAAAACAGGCAGGCTCTACCAGTCAGGATAACACTTCATTCATTGCACACGCTAGGGCTTTAATTCATGGGACCCCACCTGTCCTCCTCAAAATAGTCCTGGGTCCTCTAGGAATGCCCTCCAACCACCAAGTGGTGGGGGTTTTTTTTGTTTTTGTTTTTGTTTTTTTGAGACAGTTTCGCTCTTGTTGCCCAGGCTGGAGTGCAATGGCGCGATTTCAGCTCACTGCAACCTCCACCTCCCAGGTTCAAGCAATTCTCCTGCCTCAGCCTCCCGAGTAGCTGGGATTACAGGCATGTACCACCACGCCAGGCTAATTTTGTATTTTTAGTAGAGATGGGATTTCTCCATGTTGAGGCTGGTCTCGAACTCCTGACCTCAGGTGATCGCCTGCCTCGGCCTCCCAAAGTGCTGGGATTACAGGCGTGAGCCACCACGCCCCACCCAAGTAGTGGTTTTTAGTACAGCTTTGAAGCCTGACACACCAGGGTTGCCACTCAGTAGCTGGGTGATCTGGGACAAGTTTCTTAACCTCTCTGGGCTCAGTTTCCTCTTCTGTAAAGTGGGACTGATAATATTTACCAGTAAGGGTTGTGGTGAGGATTATTAGGTGAGATCATCCAGCGGATGGGATGGGCACCACAGCGGCTGGCAGCAAGTACTAACAGGCAGTAGGTGCCACTATCCAGAAGGCCGGTCTTTCTCACGGCCTCTCCACGCTCCATCCTGGCCCGGGAAAGCTCCACACTGCTCACCCTCTTGCCTTACTCACCCCCTTGAAATTCCCCAGGCTCCATGAGCCGGTGACCCACTGCCTCTCGCTTGCCCAAATTCCTCTTGGGTGCCTGGTCCACCCTGGAGACAATGGTGACCCACCATGTGGCTGGAGGTACCACATCCTCCCCCACCCCCCAGAAATAGTAAATGAGAAGTAACCTTTTTCTATTCCCCATTCCAGACTTCCTTAATTAAAATCAAATATTTGCACACTCTCCAAAGCCTATAAACCTGATTGCTCTCAGAAAAAAAAAATGCTTCAGAGCAAATAGAGTGAGTGTGGCACAGGTTGTCTGGCAGGACCTCAGGGTACAGGGCAGCAGGTCCTGAACAACCACACCAGCCCAGAGCAGTCGCCCTCCACTTTTCTCAGTCCACCTCCACAACAAATCAATGCAACATTCACTTTGCAAAAGGCCCACTGAAAAGCCCCTGAGGGTGAGCAGGTGTTGGGAAGGGATGGAAATGAGGAACAGTCTACCCCAGCCCTACCCTGAACACTTTCAAACCAGCCACTTCCCACCGGCATGGCTGCCCAGCTGTTAAAATACTGAGTCCTTCCACACAGGCTGGGAAGTAGCTGCTGCCCCAGGAGTCCTCACCCTAAGTGTCCCTCCCCCAGCACTCCCAGACCTCCCCCAGGATGCAGCAAGGAAAGAATTAGTGTCAGGGCACCAGTAGAGGCTTCCAGAAAGTACTGCGATCTGTGCCCGAGGTTAAATATTCTGGCCATCACCCCTGAGCACTGGTAAGGGGCATGAAGATGCAAACGAAATTCTGGGGGATTCAGAAGAGGGACAAGGTTTCAATAAATGATTGCTAAAGGAAGAGAGAGGGGAAGCAGGTGAAGTGGAGACAGAAGGGAAAGTGATTCAAGTCGTAGTTCAGTGGCCCCGAGGACAGGCCCCAGAACTGCCCACACCTCCCTCCTCTAGGCCACTCACTCTATCCCAGTTCAGGTCACCATTGCAGAAGTCTCCCTAGCCAGGTGCTACAGTTTAAACATTTGTCCCCCTCAAAATTCATGTTGAAACTTAATCCCCAATGTGGCAGTGTTCAGAGGTGGGACCTTAAGAGATGGCTAGATCCTGAGGGCTCTGCCCTCGTGAATGGATTCATCCATTCATGGATTAATAGGTTAATGGATTAATGGGTTATCTTGGGATTGGGACTGGTGGCTTTAGAAGAGGAAGAGAGACCTGAGCTAGCACGAGCTCTCTCAGCCCCTCACCATGTGATGCTCTGCACAGCCTCGGGAATTTGCACAGATTCCCCACCAGCAAGAAGGCCCTCACCAGATGCAGCCCCTCAACCATGGACATCTCAGCCTCCAGAACTGTAAGAAATAGCTTCCTTTTCTTTATAAGTTACGCAGTTTCAGGTATTCTGTTGTAAGCAACAGAAAACGGACAAGACACCAGGCAAAAGCAAATCCAGCACTGCATGCCAGCCTCCAAGCCCCTTCTGGTAATGGCACTGTCTTCCTCTGGGGCATCCCCTAACCCTCCCCTAATGCTCCAGGGGTGGCACATTACCTAGAGGAGGACAGTCAAAGCACGGAACCTCCAGAACCAATAGACGGCTCAAATGCAGCCATATGCCCCTAACTAGACAGTAAGAGACTTCTCTCACACTTTGGCTGAAGCCACTAGGAAAGGGGTACCTTCCCCCTACCCTACAGCGTTGCTAACATGAGTGGATAAAAACCTGAATCCAAGCTGATGGCCTCTTGCCATCTTGAAAGGAGAGACTGCTTGAGAAACAAGAAAGAAAAGCAGGGCCACGACACAGGAGACAAAACCTGGCCCACACAGCTGGGGCCCCTGGATCAGCCATGCCTAACCAGGTAGTGACTTGACACAATAAATGATCTTTTCTAGATTTAAGCTACCTTGAGTTTGGTTACTGTCACTTGCAACATAACGCTGACACAATGTTCTGCGGGTTAATGAGAGGCTGCTGGTTGCTACTAGGTCCCACTTCCTACCCTGGCTACCATTTCGGGTCTGACTGTGGCTTGTTGATGGCACCTGGGAGGCTGAGCTAAGTCCCCAAGCCCTCCATTCATGCAAACACACCATCCCTCTCTCATTGTGGGCCCCGGACTACATTCTCTCGCCTGCCACCTCCCACCTTTTCTTTTCTTTTTCTTGTCTTTTTTTTTTTCTTTTTTTTTTTTTTTTTATGAGACTGAGTCTCGCTCCGTCGCCCAGGCTGGAGGGCAGTGGCACGATCCTGGCTCACTGCAACCTCCACCTCCTAGGTTCAAGCGATTCTCCTGCCTCAGCCTCCTAAGTAGCTGGGATTCCACAGGCAGGCGCCACCTCGCCCAGTTAATTTTTGTATTTTGAGAAGAGATGGGGTTTCACCATGTTGGCCAGGCTGGTCTCAAACTCCTGGCCTCAAGTGATCCACCTGCCTCGGCTTCCCAAAGTGCTGGGATTACAGTCGTGAGCCATCGCGCCCGGCCCCACCGTTTCTAGTACACAAATCCTCCGCTGGCTCCCACGGCCTACAGACTGGGACGCAAGTCCCTTTAATACACCTTACAAAGCCACCATCAGCTGACCCTGATGTCTTCAATGTAAAGTTTTTGTATCGGTTGGAACCCTGCGAGCACGCCAACAGACAACACGAGGCGGTGTGGAGCAACATGCTGTTTTAATGAGCGCCTGGATGCAGGCGGGCTGAGGCCTAAAATGGCGTCAGCCCCAAGTGAGGACGGAACAAAGGTTTCATAGTCTCCTGTAACAGGAAGTCTCCTAGTCGTACGAAACTGCTACGTGATACCCGGATGGCCTCTTTCTCGATCTTCAGGGGTACGTATCTTCCGGCCAGGGCAGGTGTCTTCCGGCCGGCTCTCTTCCTGATTCCGCTATCTTGCTTCGGCACGCTGCTGACGCAAGTAGCCTTGCGCCCTGGGACTGGGCCTGAGAAGGGAGGAGTGATGCATCTCCTTAAGCTTTCAGGCCCCGGGGAGAATCTTACACTCAGGAACCCTCTAATTCAGCCACGTGGACCTGTGAATGTTCTTTGACTATGCTGAGATCCTTCCCACCTCCAGGCATTTGCACGTGTCACCTGACAGGAACAGTGTTTCCGAATGTTTAGGAGTCTTAGCAAGCCCACCTTATACCATAAGCTCTCTGAGGATGAGGGTAACTCCTCATGTTCTATAACCCACATCCAGTCCACTGAGGTCAAAGCCTCTGCTCCCTGTGGGCGTTGGATAAATATTGAAAGGACCTCATAAACATAGCTTCTTCCCCTCCGTGATTACCAAGGCCCATAATCCCCCAAGCTGTCTAACACCCACACTGGGACAGAAAGAGGCTGAGTTCAATATGTCCTTGTTATGTAAATTATGGCGGGTGGGGTTTTTTTTTCTCCTTGTTTTAATTGAAAAACGACCAGATGTGTACATTTCAGCAAGAGCCCTAAGGAAAAAATCTACAAAGAAAACTTCTCTCAACGCTGCACATGAACTGAGAGCGCTTATCATTGCAACGTTGGGAGAGTTCATTTCAAAATAGACCCTGGAGATCTTCTAGTACAACCTTCCCATTTTACAGAAATGGAAACTGAAATTTCAAGAAGCGAAATCACCGTCCAGCATCACACAGCTAGGAGGCTGACCTGCCAGGACAAATACCAGGTTCTGTCTTTTCCCCCCAACATTTATTAATAACTGAATCTTCATTTTCACTTTTCTTTATTACAACACTCATTACGCACTCAAGAATGGAAGCCACAGAGAAGCATATGTGTTTTCGGCTCTTTGCACCACCTCTCAGTGGGTCTCTGGAAAATGGGGTCTCTGTGTTTACCAGCAGGACGACTGGAGCCTTCCAGGCGTTAGACTTTCTGTGGTCTCTCACCCTCTCTCCTACCGGTAAATATGGCCAACACCAGCAGCACAGATGGCAGCTGCCCACTGAGCAATGAAAGGCGGTCTCTACTTCCCAAAGCGGACCGAGGCTGTTCTCAAGTTTCCATCTCACTGATTATTTTGAAGGAACTCAAATTAAGTTACTCCTCAGACAATCTCTGATTTTGGCAAGCACCTAAATCAACACGTAAGGGGCACTCTGAGTCGTTCCCTCTGCAGGGACCAGGGTGTAGGTAGCAGGTGCATGGCCAGAGGGGGTCCTCATGAAGGCAGCAGAGCAGCACAACCAGAAGTCACTCCCACCCCAGCCTCAGGACGTGTTCAGGACCTCGCAAGCCTGATGCCCTTTCTTTTTTTTTTTTTTTTAATTATACTTTAAGTTTTAGGGTACATGTGCACAACGTGCAGGTTTGTTACATATGTATACATGTGCCATGTTGGTGTGCTGCACCCATTAACTCGTCATTTACATTAGGTATATCTCCTAATGCTATCCCTCCCCCCTCCCCCCACCCCACGACAGGCCCCGGTGTGTGATGTTCCCCTTCTTGTGTCCATGTGTTCTCAGTGTTCAACTCCCACCTATGAGTGAGAACATGAGGTGTTTGGTTTCTTGTCCTTGCGATAGTTTGCTGAGAATGATGGTTTCCAGCTTCATCCATGTCCCTACAAAGGACATGAACTCATCATTTTTATGGCTGCATAGTATTCCATGGTGTATATATGTGCCCTTTCTTATTTCACATCGTTGACTTTCCGAGGCAGTAAGAGGGCCACCTCTCCAACTTGTCCTCAGTTTTAGAGCACTTCCCCATCTATGAAGGCACAGTTTTCTTCTCCATCTCTTCTACTAGGCTGTGCTCTCCCTGGTGCCCAGCACAGTGTGGGCACCAAGTAGGTGCTCCATAAACACGTGAATATACATATATGTATATACTGTATATGCATGTTTTATACATACAAACATGTTTATTTGTAGCATATAGTTGGCATTCAATAAACGCTTGTTTTATGTAGTCTTAACACACACATGCATATGCATGCTTTATATATCTAGATAAAGTATGTTTCATCTATAATACATAATAGGTGTTCAGTAAATGACTGGTATATACGTAATATGTATAATATTTCATGCTGCTGAGCAAATGAATAGGTAAAGAACAATACGGTGTGTGTGTGTGTGCATGCATGTGTGTGTGTATGCGTGTGTGTGTGTGTGTGTGTGTGTGTATATATTTTTTTTCTTCCCCAAGACAGGGTTTCACTCTGTCAGGCTAGAGTGTAGTGGCAGGATCACAGCTCCCTGCAGCCTCAAACTCCCAGGCTCAAGCGATCCTCCTGCCTCAGCCTCCCAAGTAGCTGGGACTACAGGTATGTGCCACTACACCTAGCTAATTTCCTTTTTGTTTTTTTAGAGACAGCGTCTCACTATGTTGCCCAGGCTTGTCTTGAACTCATAGCCTCAAGCAGTCCTCCCACCTCAGCCTCCCAAGGTGCTAGGATTAGAGTTGCAAGCCACTGTGCCCAACCAAGACATGGTTTAAAGGTACAACAAGGCCAGGCACGGTGGCTCACACCTATAATCCTAGCACTTTTGAGGGCCAAGGTGAGCGGATCACCTGAGATCAGGATTTCAAGACCAGCCTGGCCAACATGGCAAAAGCCCATCTCTACTAAAAAGACAAAAAATTAGCCAGGTGCAGTGGCAGGCGCCTGTAATCCCAGCTACTCGGGAGGCTGAGGCAGGAGAAACGCTTGAGCCCAGGAGGTGAGGGTTGCAGTGAGCCGAGATCGCACCACTGCACTCCAGCCTGGGCAACAGAGCGAGACTCTGTCTCAGAAAAAAAAAAAAAAAAAAAAAAGGTACAACAGGCGAGGAGTTGAAATGAAAACTCCAGGAGGGCAAATACTGTGTCTTTTGTTCTCCATTGTATCTCTAGGCCCTAACACAGTGCCTGCCTGGCACTAAGTATGTGCTCAATAAATACTGGCTGAATAGAATGGACATTTGAAAGTCTTCTCCAAAACTCATACTGAAACGTAATCCCCAATGTGGCTGTATTGAGAGGCAGGGCTTTTATGAGGTGATTGGATCATGAGGACTCTGCCCTCGTGAATGGATTAATCCATTCATGGATTATGGGTTGGTGAGTTAATGGATTAATGGGTTATCATGGGAGGACAACTGGTGGCTGTATAAGAAGAGGAAGAGAGACCTGAGCTACCAATGTAAGCAAGCTTAGCCCCCTCACCATGTGATGCCCTGCACAGCCTTAGGACTCTGCAGAGAGTCCCCACCAGCAAAAAGACTCACCAGACGCAGCCCCTCCACCTGGGACTTCTCAGCCTCCAGAACTGTAAGAAATAAATTTCTGGCCAGGCACGGTGGCTCATGCCTGTAATCCCAGCACTTTGGGAGGCCGAGGCAGGCAGATCACTTGAGGCCAGGAGTTCGAGACCAACCTAGCCAACATGGTGAAACCTTGTCTCTACCAAAAAATACAAAAATTAGCTGGGTGTGGTGGCACGCACCTTTAGTCCCAGCTATTTGGGAGGCTAAGGCAGGAGAATCGCTTGAACCTGGGAGGCGGAGACTGCACTGAGCTGAGATTGCGCCACTGCACTCCAGCCTGGGCAACAGCAGAGTCGCAAAAAAAAAAAAAAAAAAAAAAAAAAAAACAATAGGAAGCTATTAAGGGTTTTAAGCAGAGGTGTGGTATGATCCGAGTAATACTTTTTAGGCTGAGCATGGTGGTTCACGCCCGTAATCCCAGCACTTTGGGAGGCCTGGCTGAGGCATGCAGAGTGCTTAAGCCAAGGAGTTTGAGACCAGCCTGGGCAACATAGCGAGACTCTGTATCTACAAATAATAGAAAAATTGGATAGGTGTGATGATGCATGTCTATGGTCCCAGCTATTCGGAGGGCTGAGGCAGGAGGATTGCTTGAGCTCAGGCGGTCAAGGCCCTCCAGCCTGGGCAACAGAGTAAGACCCTGCCTCAAAAAATAAAAATAAAAAATAAAACAAAAACATTTTTTAAAAATCTGATACAATCTGAAAATGAATTGGAAGTGGGGAAAATGTCCCCTCAGGACCCTGCCCACTTGTCAGAGCAAGAAATGACCCTACTGCCACCCCCTCTTGGAACAGCGCTCACAAAGATAACAGAGTTTCAGCCATCATTATTATGAGTTCACTGTTTTTCGCTGCTCTTTAACGAACACTGTGAGGCACTGTGATAAATGCTGGAGACCCTGAGATGAAGGACGCACAGACCTTGTTTTCCAAGAGCCTAAAATCCCTAATCTCCAAGATCAGCCAGTCTTTCCAGAGAAGCATTTAACTCAGACCAATACTTTTGGAAGAGGGCAGAGCTGCAGAGCCCTGATCACCCATTGTTCGTATCTCTACCTTTCTTTGTCATGTATGTGTTTATTATACCTTGCCTCTTTCCAAGAGACAGTTGAGATCGCTAACAACAAGAAAAGAACCCGTGAGAATTACAAACAGAAGAAAATATGATAGTGGGAACCATGACAAAGCAAATGGCCTGAACCTGTGGGCTGGCGACAGCTGCTGTGACTAAGCGCAAATTTGGCTCCGAGCTTCCTGGCAGCCAGGGAAGAAAGGAATACACGGCAAGAAGGAAGAGCAACCTTTCCTCTCTGGTAGCATAGTGTTTCCTGGCTGCCTTTAAATTCTACAAAACAAAGGTGGGGCCTACTGTGGATGGGCAAGGCTGGGGTCAGCAGGGTAACCGTGGTTGCAAGCACCCTCTCATTCATCTTGTTCATTACAGAACTCAACATCTTCCCCACCGGGCACGGTGGCTCACGCCTGTAATCCCAGCACTTTGGGAGGCCAAGGCGGGTGGATCACTTGAGGTCAGGAGTTCGAGACCAGCCTGGCAAACATAGTGAAACCCCCGTGCCTACTGAAAATAAAAAAAATTAGCTAGGTGTGGTGATACGTGCCTGTAATCCCAGCTACTTGGGAGGCTGAGGCAGGAGAATCACTTGAACCCAGGAGGCAGAGGTTGCAGAGAGCCGAGATCACACCACTACACTCCAGCCTGGGTGACAGACTAAGACTTTGCCTGAAAAAAACAAAAAAAGAACTCTGGCTGAACACAGGGGCTCACACCTGTAATCCCAGCACTTTGGGAGGCCAAGGCAGGCAGATCACTTGAGGTCAGGAGTTCAAGACCGGACTGGACAACACAGGGAAACCCAGTCTCTACTAAAAATACAAAAATTAGTCAGGTGTGGTGGCAGGCACCTGTAGTCCCAGCTACTCGGGAGGCTGAGGCAGGAGAATCGCTGGAACCCAGGAGGCGGAGGTTGCAGTGAGTCAAGATCATGCCACTGCATTCCAGCTTGGGCGACAGAGTGAAACTCTCTCTCAAAAAAAAAAAAAAAATTAGCCGGACGTGGTGGTTCACACCAGTAGTCCCAGCTACTTGTGAGGCTGAGGTGGGAGAAGCACTTGAACCCAAGAAGTGGAGGTTGCAGTGAGCTGAGACCGCACCACTGCACTCTAGCCTGGGTGACAAAACCAGACCCTGTCTCAAAAAAAAAAAAAGGAGTCCTTGTGCCACCACAGCACCTCTGCCTACCTCCCTCAATTCTCCCACCATCTGGACACCATCATCCAGTTGTGTGTCTCTCTCCACCTCTGGACTGTAAGCTCCTTAAAGTCCAGGATTACTGCTTGGTTATATACTGAATTGTGTCCCCCAAAATTCATACACTGAAGTCTTGACCCCTAATGTCAAAGAACGTAACCTTATTTGGATTTAGGATCTTTGCAGATGTAATGAGTTAGCATGTGATCATAGAGGAGTAGGGTGGGGCCTAATAAGGTGATAACCACGTGAAGACACACACACACAGGGAGAAGGCCACGTGAACACGAGCAGACGGTGTCACACCTGCAAGCCAAGGTACGCCAAAGACTGCCCCAAAACTCCAGAAGCTGGGGGGGGTGGCATGGAACAGACTCTCCCACACATCCTCAAGAGGGAACCAACCCTCCCGGCACCTTCGCCTTGGACTGCCAGTCTCCAGAACAGCTCTCAGACAGTAGATGTCTGTTGAGTCCCCAGTTTGTGAGATGTGTAAAGCAGCCCCGGGAAGCTGATACAGGTTTCTTTATCTTTGTATGCCTGTGCTTAGCACAGTGGCTGCCACACAGAAGGTGGGTTCACCTCTATGGAACTGAACCGCAGAAGCCTGGGTGTTCAAGGCACGGCATCAGGCTGGGGGGCCATCTACCTCCCAGAATGGGAGGCAGGTGCAGAGAGACACCCAAGCTCCCCGTTTCACCATGTCACCAAGGCCCACAGCAGGCACAGGGTGCCTTGCTACAGCCTGGCGGTACACACCAGTCAGGGCTATGGAACATCGACAACAGAAATCAGCTATGACTATTTTATGGAAAAGAGGATTTTGATGAGAAAATATGAGAAACTCCCAGAATCAACAGGCAAAGTGCAGAGCCATGCTCAGACAAAGGACCACGGATACTGTGCAGGGGGAAAATGTGGCCAAGGCCACGTCACAGGACGTCTGCTGCAGACACTGCCACTCCTACTGGGCCTCAACTCTAAACAACCTCTTCCTGCCCCTGCATCTGTGCAGTACTCAGCCCAGGGTCAGAGCAGAGGGTGGCAGTGGTCATGTGGCCAAGCTGAGGCCACAGGCTGCGAGAAAGAATGTGTGGTCCACCTCAGCTTCCATACTGGCAGAAGAGGCTCTGCCTCCCTCCAAGACTTACATACTGAGGGTTCCCCCAACCAGGAAGGTGGGTGGAATGTTGAGCACCCCAAAATATAAAAAGTACCCATGAGACCTACCAACCCACCAAGCTGCAGAATTAAGTAAAGGTAGATCCCTGAGTGCCATCACACCATGACTGAGTCCTACAGAGACCTACAGAATGGACTCAGGCTCCCAGGGTGGCGGAAGTGAGGGAGAGGCCTCTGCATGTCTACACAGCCCCAGAGCCAAGTGTGAACAAAGGAAGTGTTTCTTCATCTCTTACCACAGAGAACAAGTGTGAAGCAGAATTTCAAGCATCTGCTATTGCAAAACATCTAAAGTAGTAGCAAAAGGTCATTTCCAGAAACATCCCTCTTCCCCTACCCTAGAAGCCATTCAGCATCAGTTACATTGTGAATAACACTATCTGAAGCTTGTTCATTCATTCAGCAAACTGTCCTAAGACCCAGATGTGCCTGGCCTCGTGCTGGGCACTGGAGTTACAAAGATGAATGAGTTGCCATCCCTGACCACAAGCTCAGTAAGCTGGAGGAGAGGAGAACAGAGAAGGCTTCACTGGGGATGGCAACTGTCATGGAGGGTTAGAGGTTAGTGATGTGAATTTGCATTCCAGATGTTTTTTAGCATTTGCTGGGCATCACAGATTTCTAAACACACACACATACACACACACATACTTCCTCCCAGTCAGTTACCTCCTTAATCAGCCACCAGCCCGAGGACCGTGGTCCAGAGGACTAGGCCTGGATATGCAAACCTAGGTCCTTTTAGGAAGGGCTGCAGGCTACCAGGTAGGCTAAAGATGTCAACATGGTAGATGGCAATCTGCTTCCCTGGGTGGAAGACAAGACACAGAGGCTGACCCCAACACGCCAGTTGGCTGTGCTCTTGGGCAGACCTTAGCTCTTGGTCAGCAGCTGGTCCTCAGGAAACTGGGAAATGAACCCTGTTTTAGGTGCCCCTGCTCTACCCTCCACAATCATAATACCAGCGCTTACCATTTGCACTGCACACTCCAGTTTGTAAGACACTTTTACAGGCATCCACTCCTTCATTCATTCATTGAACACCAAGGCACTTTGCTTAGAGCTAAGAACCTAAAGAGTAATTAATCACAGCCGCTAGCCGATTGGTTGCCACTTCCTATGGGAAGCCCTCCTTAACCTCTCAGGCTGGGATCAATGTCCCCCAACCCCCACCTCACACCCCACAGGCCACGGCAGCTCAGACTTCCCTACATCACAAGCTCCCTGTATCAGCACTGGGTCTCCTTCTATCTAAACTTCCTGGTTTAGATGTGAAAGGGACTCATCCACCCCATCCACCACTGCATCCTCTGAGCCTAGTACAGTGCCTGGCACACAGTGAAGCAGAATGGATGTCCTGAGGAAGTGCCAGTGGGAAGACCCAGGAGGACAGAGGGGCCGTGGGGAAACAGAAGCCAAGTGGGAAAGGGCAGGGGAGACTCAAGGTAAGAATCTGGCATTATCATTCCCTACTCATTTGTGGATTAGGACATTTATCTCAGAGAGCTTGAGGGACTTGCCCACAATATTACTGCTAGTAAACTAGCTGGGTCTCTGCACTCACTCTCTTCATACCAATTTCCAAACCAACTCTCTACATCTCAGACAGCTTTGAGCCCTCCCTCCCCCACAGCCCGCAGAATTCCATCTCTCTTCCTGTGACCAACTTACTGTTTGGGATCTAATGTATTCTGTACCCTCCCTCCGGGGTATTTTTTTTAAGATACCCTGAAGATAGAAGCCTGTGATTAAAAGAAAGAAAAGGATTCCTAACGATGGAATGGCAGGAACTCACTTATTCATTAAACAAATATTTACTGAACACCTAGAGTATGTTCTATTCTAAGTGCAAATATACCAGCGTGAACACAGGCAAAAATCACTGCCCTCTAAGATACCATCATGAAATGGTGTTATGAAAACCCAGTATGCCTTTGTGAAGGAAGGAAGGAAGGAGGGAGGGAGGGAGGGAGGGAGGGAGGGAGGGAAGGAGGGAGGGAAGGAAGGAAGGAAGGAAGGAAGGAGGAGGAGGAGGAGGAGGGAGGAAAGGAGGGAGAGGGAATACCAAGTGATCTATTCAAGATGTCACTTAAGCTGACCCAGGGAACATGGTCTATTGGGGGCGAGGAGACACCACACAATCCTTCACCCCAAGACCACTCTATTATCTACTGCAGGATACCCTGTCCTCATTCACTGTCCTTTCAATATCCACAGTAGAAGAGAAACAGACAGAATGAGCCTCCTTTTTTGGCCATTGCTGGCTTCCTAATTAAAGTCAAGGATTTGTGTTTATTCAGGGTCTATAAACACAGACCCAAAAAAGTGTTTAAGAGAAAGCAGATGAAATGTGGGTAAGGACTAGCTAATAAAATCACGGGAAAATGCTGTGCGTTTTCAGTCATGAATGTGATTAAACAAAACTTGCAGGAGGATGCTCTGAGGGCCAAGGCACATAAATGTGTGCAGGGCCTGAGCTTCCAGGGGAAAATGTAAACCATAACTTCCTGCAGAATTAATTGGTCCCTGGTGGGAGATACGTGCTAAGTTCCTCTGGACAGAGCCAGAGAATCACGATGCAGCTAATGTGGGTTCCCCTCCCCCTCCTGCCACTAGGTTGTCACATAGCCTGTCAAGACTGCATTTTAAAATCCTGTGGATTTGCAGGTTCCTTGGGGACAGCCTTTGGAGGAAGAAACTCTGCTCAAATTACAAGAGGCACCTAAAGAAGCTCAGAAACAGGCCAGGCGCAGTGGCTCACGCCTGTAATCACAGCACTTTGGGAGGCCGAGGCGGGCGGATCATGAGGTCAAGAGATCGAGACCATCCTGGCCAACATGGTGAAACCCTGTTTCTAATAAAAATACAAAAATTAGCTGGGCGTGATAGTGCACGCCTGTAGTCCCAGCTACTCAGGGGGCTGAGGCAAGAGAATCGTCTGAACTCGGGAGGCAGAGGTTGCAGTGAGCTGAGATCGCTCCACTGCACTCCAGCCTGGTGACACAGCGAGACTCTGTCTCAAAAAAAAAAAAAAAAAAACAAAAAAAACACCTCAGAAACGGAGGCTGCCCCTTCCAGAGCACTGTCAGCTCATCGCAGGACCTCAGTGTCCACATCTGGCCACTGCACCAGATACTGGCTAAGGTCCCTCCCAATAACAGCTTCTCACACACTACGTCCTTCCAAGTCGGTACCTGGGTACAGAGGAGGACCCTGTTATGAAATATATGGGGGTCTGGTCTGAATTTGAACATGAGTGGCAAAGATGTTGAGGAACCCTGAGGATTCCACAAGGAAGTGGATGACTTTGCAGAGATCAAAGAGAGCAAAGGAGGGGTAACATCCAGGGCCAGCCTTAATGAAACCCTAATGCACAAGTTTCCACAATTAAGGACAATAATGGGACAGGAACCAGTGGGGCCCAGAAAACAATCAATGCCTTTGATTAAGCACTGCTGACGAAATTTCCCATTGGTGCTTTAATATGGCTCCCCGGGGGGGTTGTTGGCTTTGCAATGTCTTAAGGAAACTCATCTCTTTTTTTTTTTTTTAGATGAATTCTTGCTCTGTCGTCCAGGGTGGAGTGCAGTGGCATGATCTCAGCTCACTGCAACCTCTGCCTCCCAGCTTCAAGTAATTCTCGTGCCTCAGCCTCCCAAGTAGCTGGGATTACAGGCATGTGCCACCCCACCCGGCTAATTTTTGGATTTTTAGTAGAGACGGGGTTTCACCATGTTGGCCAAGGTGGTCTCGAACTCCTGACCTCAAGTGAAATATATAAACCCCTTTCTGACTTTTTTCTTCTCCTTCTTCTTTTTTTGAAAATTCAAGACATGGTGCTCGATCAATGCTAAGTAGAACAGAGAGCCAGGAAGCTCATCTTTAATTCAGCGCCGACAATCCTCAGCTCAGCTCAAACTTGGCAAAACGCTTTCTTCCCTCGCATCTATTCATAGCCGTCTGTTCCTAGAGTTAACGCTCAATTATTCACCCTAACAGAGGAATTGTCCCATGCTCTGAGAATAACGTGGGGGGGGTGGGACGCAGGAGGGGCAGAGGAGCAGGGACAGAGTAGAAGAGACCCCAGCTGCCGCCAAGTAGGCAGCCACACTCCTCTGAGAGAGCAGCAAGGTGACAACACCCTCCAGGCATGGCCAGTGGGGAGGAGCCGACCTTAGTCACCAGGGCCTGCAACACACCAAACATGCTGAACTGCATCCACCAGGCCCGTCTCGGGATCCCTGTCCACAGGGAAGGGAAGGGAGGCTCAGACAAGTGACATGACCCCCCAGGAACACAGAGTGAGCAAATGGCAGGGCTAGTGACACGATGCAGAGGCAAGGCCCACGTGCGCCACGCACCCAAGGACCAGATGCAATTGACACCCTCAGGTGATGAAAACCTTGGAGCTGCCACAGGCCCCAACTCCTCCCAGAACTAAACCTTTTACCAGAATTGCTTCCTGCCTGGTGGGCACCCCCAACGATTGGCTAAGTTGGATGGAATCTCCCACAAGGTTTTGTGCTTTTGTATTTTTAATATGCTGGAGACAGAGTCTCACTCTGTTGCCCAGGATGGAGTGCAGTGGCACGATCACGGCTCCCTGAAGCCTCGACCTCCCGGTTCATGCAGTCCTCCCACTTCAGCCTCCCGAATAGCTGGGACTACTGATGAGTGCTACCACGCCCAGATAATATTTTTATTTTTTTGTAGAGATGGGGGCTTACTGATGTTGCCCAGGCTGCTCTGGAACTCTTGGGCTCAAGCGATCCTCCCGCCTCTGCCTCCCAAAGTGTTGGGATTACAGGCATCAGCCACTGCACCCAGCCTCCCATAAGGTTTTGATGAGGATTAAACGAGATGATGTACACCCAGCAGAAACCTCTACTGTTACCGTGTCCCCCTTGTGTTTTAGTCCTTCATTTTCTTCCTCTGACCCTCGAAACTGTAAGGACAAGGAGCATGCATGACTCAGCATGACTCAGCTTGGTGAGCCCAGGGCCCAGCTCAGCAAGTAGCTGAGTTCATTCTTCACTCCTTCAGCCACAGCACCTGACTTACTTATCACTTCCTTTCCCAGGTGCTGAGGAGAAGAGAGCCCAGATGTGAGGACAAGAGAAAGGTGGGGTAAGGGATAGAGACGGGGAAGACAATGAGCAAACCTAGGGTTTTTTCTGGACATTCAATAAATGCCTATTTGAGATGCTAAGACATGTCCCCCTTTTGCATCTAATCACAGAAATACTTATATACACACATCAAAATGATAAATCCTGGGCATGAAATGAATAGTTTTAAAGATGCCAATTTAGGCCAGGCACAGGGGCTCACGTCTGTGATACCAGCACTTTGGGAGGCTGAGGCTGGCAGATCACTTGAGGTCAGGAGTTCGAGACCAGCCTGGCCAACACAGTGAAACCCCATCTCTACTAAAAATATAAAAATTAGCCAGCCGTGGTGTCTCAAGCCTACAGTCCCAGCTACTCAGAGGCTGAGGCACTAGGATCACTTAAACCCAAGAGGTTGAGGTTGCAGTGAGCCAAGACTGCACCACTGCACTCCAGCATGGGTGACAGAGCAAGACTCTGTCTCAAAATAAAATAATAAATAAATAAATATGTCAATTTAAATTATCAGCCAGGCACAGTGGAGAGAGCCTGTAGTCCCAGCCCTTTGGGAGGCCAAGGTGGGAGGATCCCTGGAGCTCAGGAGTTAGAGGCCATAGTGAGCCATGATTGCACCTGGACAACAGAGCAAGACCCTGTTTCTAAAAGAAAAAAAAAATCTAATAATAAAAAATTGTCCTCCCAAAAAAATAATTGTCCACCCAAAGTAGAAAATTAACTCATATACTCATTCATCAAACATATGTTTGGTACCTACCTACCAGGTACTTTCTATATTTGGTGCCTCCCTTTAAAAAATGGCTGAGGAGCATTGAATCCGAACCCTTCCAAAACACAGGCAAAGATGACAAGTGGGCTGCATCACACACCATAAGAGTCTGTCTGGAAATTTGCAATCCCATAAACGGTTATAGCTCAGCCAGCCGCTGGGGTGCCTTCGTCTGTCTGCTCCGTATGGGCTTCTCAGAGGCAGATCCATCCTTTTCTTCTGCCCCTGCCTCCCACCACAGAGCACAGGAAGAGGGTTCTGAAAAGTGGTCCCTCTCCCCAAGAGAAGTTGGGCACACCCTCTGCATCCTTGCTCCCTGGACGTCCAGGAGGCAGGAGCAGAGAGATTGGTCAGGTGCTTGGAGCCATAAGGTCACTCACCTTCCATTGAGAACACACTGACCACAGCTCCCACCACCTGAACCAAAGTTCATTTCGCTTTGGAAATTACATGAAGCCCCCAAACAGAAAACACTTGGCAACTGTTCGTCAGTGGCTCTCATTCATCTTACCTTTCCCTGAAAATAATTTCTTTTTTTTTTTTTTTTTTTTTGAGATTGAGTCTCACTCTGTCACCCAGGCTGGGGTGCAATGGCGCAATCTTGGTTCACTGCAACCTCCGCCTCCTGGGTTCAAGCAATTCTCCTGCCTCAGCCTCACGAGTGGCTGGGACTACACGTGCGCCACCACGCCTGGCTAGTTTTTTAAACTCCTGACCTCAAGTGATCTGCCCGCCTCGACTTCCAAAAGTGTTGGGATTACAGGTGCAAGCCACTGCACCCGGCCCTGAAAATAATTTCTATAGGACCTGAAGATGGGTACTGGTATGTGGATGTCTCTAGATTCCTTAATCCCATCAGCTGTTTGCCTGGAAGGAATGGTGAGATTCTAGAAAAATCTTGTGACCTCCCTCTGACCCCAGGTTTCCTCATTTATAAAACGGCAACAATAATGTCTTCTGCATAGACCTAGGAGATGTCTATGGTGGCTGTTCTATTCAAGAATTGCTAGCTGTCTTTCTTTAATCAGGCCTGTCCGTATTTCACCTCAGGGATGCCTGGGCCTAAGTTTTATTAATTGAACTGTTTTTGTTGTATATCTTTTATGAAGAGTCATCTAAACTTTGGTTTTCTCTGTTTTCCTGAAAGCAGCAGTATTTTAGGTTTCTTAGAGAAGAAGAAAAGAGGCCAAGCTCAGTGGCTCACATCTGTAATTCCAGCACTTTGGGAAGCCAAGGCGGGAGGACTGTTTCCGCTCAGAAGTTCTAGACTAGCCTGGGTAACATAGGGAGACCCCATCTCTACAAATAATTAAAAAATTAATCAGATGTAGTGGCATGCACCTGTGGTCCCAGCTGCTCGGGACGCTGAGGCAGGAGGATCACCTGAGCCAGAGAGGTCGAGGCTGCAGTGAGCTGTGATCACACCACAGCACTCCAACCTAGGCAACAGAAGAGAAGAAAAGAAGAGGAGACTCTTAGTGGAGAGGAAAAAAGAAGGGGAGAAGGGAAGGTTTTCTTACAATAAAAGTAACATAATCACATTAGAAAAAAACGTGAAAATGAGAGAAAGGGAAAGAATATCTCCATATTCTTATCTCCCTCACACAACCTCTGACACCATTTTGGTCTATTTCCTCAAAGTCTTGTTTCCTATAAATGACAGATGGTTTTCTAAGTCTCCTCACAGCCTCCATGGCCCTGACTTTGAGGGGCCGTGTAATATTCCACCATGTGGCTAAAGCATAACTGGTTTAAGTACGTGGTTACTGTCAGACACTTAGATTATTTCCAATTTATTTTGTTACTGTAAAAAGCTGAGCTAGCCAGGTGCGGTGGCCCACGCCTGTAATCCCAACACTTTGGGAAGCCAAGCGAGGAGGGTGGCTTGAGCTCGAATTTGAGACCAGTGTGGGCAACACAGCAAGACTTCATCTCTACTAAAAATAAAAAAATGAGCCAGGTATGGTGGCAGGCACCTGTGGTCCCAGCTTCTGCCTCTAGAGATGGCACTTGCCAATCTATGTGAGTATCTGTAATTACTCCAGAGGATTCTGAAGAAGCCTATGGAATCAAATTAGGGAACCACTGCTGTTCCCAATTGAATTGAAAACTGAGGTACTCGGGAGGCTGAGGTGGGAGGATTGCTTGAACCCTGGAGGTCAAGGCTGCATCATGATCGTGCCACTACACTCCAGCCTAGTTGACAGAGTGAGACCCTGTCTTAACAACAACAACAACATAAAGCTGAGCTAAAAATCTTTATGCAACATTTTGTCCATATTTTTTACTGTTTTTCTTAGGAAAGATTCCCAAAGTGGGTTCCCTGGGTCAAAGGTTATGAAGATGTTCAAGGCTCTGGACATCAATTGCAATAGTTGCCCAGAAGGGTCACTCGAAGACCTGGTTGGCCACCAGCAAGAAAATGCATGCACCTTCACTGGGGTGACACCTTTCACAGGCATCACAGCGCAGGGTCAGGGACACCTGTTGGGTTTTCTCTGGAGTGAGTTCTTATGGAACATTCTGGTCTCTGCACATTAGCTGCACAATCTCAGGTGCTTTTCAGCTCTGCCCTGCTGAATGAGAGATCCATAATGCATGCGAGGATAAGCTCCAAGGTGGAATCAAATGCTCCCTCCTCACCCAGCAGCTATTTGGGGATGATCAGGGAAAACGAAAGATCAGGTTCCTCTTCTTTTGGTTTTAGGTGTCCAAGGTGTTGGGACAATGATGAGTTTATCTAGGGAGAAGCATTTTCCAACCACATTGATCATGGGGGACAGTGGGGGACGTTCAAAGGTCATACCTCGTTTATTCCTCATTTATTCTGAGACAGGTCCACTCAGGCAGGGCCTCAAGGACTATGGGATCAAATCCAAAGGCCCAGGAGGCCGAAGCCCTTTCAGATCAACTCCTGGATGGGGCCTTCAACTGCAGATTTGAGACGTGCAGGAACAATGACAAAGTCAGAAGGGGCCTAATTCTAGGGGCTGCGGTAACCAAAAAGACTCTGCTTTATTTATTTATCTATTTATTTATTTTGGCCTCACCAGGTCAAGAAAGGCTGTCTCCCTCTGTCCACTCTGTCTCTCACAGCAGACAACTAGACATCCAGAAACTCTCTCCAAGGTTATCACACTCAAGCATGAGAGACCCTCGGATAATCACACATACACAGGTAACACCCCCACTGGGTATCAAGACAACTTAGCACATTCCGAAGATGCCCTCAGTGCATCAAACATACAATGGGATTCCTCTGTACCCTCATTTTCTTTTTTATTTTTTGTTTAGAGACAGGGGTCTCCCTATGTTGCCCAGGTTGGTCTCAAACTCCTGGGCTCAATCAATCCTCCCACCTGAGCCTCCTGAGTAGCTGGGACGGCAGGCGTGTGCCACCCAGCCATACCCTCGTTTCACTGAGCCGAATTCAGCTATACTCAAAGGGCCAAATGCTTTTCTTTTTCCATTTTAAAAACTTTAAATAATATAAAAGTGTATTTTGCCTATTGTATTTATTTGTATTTGTTTCTACAGGTTTTTTTGTTTCTTAGTGTGGGAAAACTAGAAAGCCTGCTGGACAAATTCTAAAAGAGCTATAGTACTCTTTTTTCTATTTTTTGTATATTGTGCATTGTACTTTATCGTATATTGTCTACTGCAGTTTCTTTTATGCATTGACTCACTGATGTTCCTGTACAGCGTCACACACACAACCAGCGCATGGAAAACCAACCTTCAGGAACAACTCGGGAGATTGTCAGGAATTTTTTTTTTTTTTTTTTTTTTTGAGATGGAGTCTCGCTTTGTTGCCCAGGCTGGAGTGCAGTGGCACAATCTCGGCTCACTGCAAGCTCTGCCTCCCCGGTTCAAGTGTTTCTCCTGCCTCAGCCTCCCGAGTAGCTGGGATTACAGGCACGTGCCACCACACCTGGCTAATTTTTGTATTTTTAGTGTAGAGACAAGGCTTCACCATGTTGGTCAGGCTGTTCTCAAATTCCTGACCTCGTTATCCATCTGCCTCAGCCTCCCAAAGTGCTGGGATTACAGGCATGAGCCACCGTGGCTGGCCAGGAATTTTTTATTTTTTATTTTTTGCCTACTGTGCTGACTTCTGAACTTCACAGAATTTTTTATTTTTTATTTTTTTGCCTATTGTGCTGACTTCTGAACTTCACCATGAAGATGTGACTCTGTTGAGCAGAGTTTCTTCTCCTTTGGTGCTTTTAGGTCTTGGGGGCACGTGTCTGTCTGTTAGGAACCAGCGGAAAATCAGCCCAGCTCGGATCAGAACAGGAAACCAGGACCCAGGCTGGTGGGTGCTAGGGCAGGGCCTTGTGGCTTCACAACCCGCCTCCCAGGGACAGGCTATCTGGTCAAAAGAACTCGCCCTCCTCACTGCTGGGTCCCTTAGCGGGCTTTCACGTGCCTGGCCTGGTCCCTCCTTCTTTAAATGAAGAGTGGCCTAGATGATTGTCACACTCCTGTGTGACACTGGACAACACACATCACCTCTCTGGGCTTCCATTGCCTCTGAACAGTCTTCCACCTTCGACTGGAATCAGAGCCCCAAAAGCGAGATTCTAACAAGAGGTTACATTGTGTGAGATACTGACCTCCTCAGCATCTAGGGTGATGGGGTCCCCGGGTGGGTCACCTCTAGCTGGGAGATGCTTCCTCTTTCACAGCTCCATCTGTGCCTTAAAAATTAAAAGCTGGGAACCTATAATTCCAGCACTTTGAGAGGCTGAGGCAGGAGGATCACTTGAGCTCAAGAGTTCAAGATCAACCTGGGTAACACAGTGAGACCTCATCTCTTAAAAAAAAAAAAAAAAATGTAAAGGCTGGAAAAGATGGGACTAGGTGATCTCCACTGTCCTTTCCATCTCACACCAGCCACCCCACGCCCAACACCCTCAGAATAGATGACAACGGGCAGATTACCCTTAACAGATATTTCTCTAACCCAGTGACAGGGACCTCTGCATCAGAATCACTTAGAATGCTCATTAAAAATATGACTCCAGGCTGGGCGCGGTAGCTCATGCCTGTAATCCCAGCACTTTGGGAGGCCAAGGCAGGCAGATCACTTGAGGTCAGGAGCTTGAGACTCACCTGGCCAACATGGTAAAATACTGTCTCTATTAAAAATACAAAAATTAGCCGGGCATGGTGGTCCACACCTGTGATTCCAGCTACTCAGGAGGCTGAGGTATGAGAATCGCTTGAACCCAGGAAGCGGAGGTTGCAGTGAGCCGAGATCACGCCGCTGTACTCCAGCTTGGGTGACAAAGTGACACTCTGTCTCAAAAGAAAAAAAGAAGAAAAAGAATCTGGCTTGCCGGGTACAGTGGTGTGCACCTATAGTCCCATCTACTTGGGGGGCTGAAGTGGGAGGATCACTTGAACCCAGGAGAGTGAGTCCAGCTTGAGCAACGTAGCAAGACTCTCATCTCAAAAAATAAAATAAAATAAAATAAAATAAAATATATATATATTTATTTATTTGGGAGGCCGAGGCAGGTGGATCACCTGAGGTCAGGAGTTCGAGATCAGCCTGGCCAACATGGTAAAACCCCGTCTCTACTAAAAACACAAATTATATATATATACATATATATGTGTATATATATACATATATATGTGTATATATATACATATATATATGTATATATATATGTATATATATACACACATATATCTGGAACCTCCCACCCAGGAAGTGTAAGCACACCCAAGGTATGAGCAGATTAAAGAAATCCTGCAGAAGGGGGAACACATGCATAGAGTATGCTGGCAAGGTCACATATAGAAAATGGGTGGGGGGACTTGAAAGCAGAGGTATAAATCCTATGTGCACCTTATTTGCTCAAGTCTACATGGACCAGCATCCAAACATTGAAATTTTCCTTTCAAATTCAATCCCCCAGAGTGTATGGTCTCAGGACCCTTCTTTCCCCCAAATCTTTTCTAGTGGGGATGCATGTATGCAGACAATGCAAAGTGCTACAAATCGCAACACCAAATGCATCAAGAGGTAGATTATTAGTATGAGTCAGTTTCACACTAACTTTACCAAAAACCTCACTGCTCACATTAGCTCAAGTAATCTACTTACAACCACAATTATAAATTCTGAGCTTCCTTGGCTGACGAGTTTGCAGTAGGTGGTTCTTGGCCCTGAGGGCTGCTGAGATGCCCGCCGTTATGAGATGCCCACTGAGAAAACCACCGCCCTCTCCCAGCAGGGTCCAGCAGGAGCAGTGTCTGCTCTCGGCTACACAACTCCATTCATAGACTTTTCCAGTTACGTTTGAGGTTCACCCAAAGGAGGTAGTAAAAACAGGAGGTGGGCACTGAAGCTGGCCTGGTATGTTTGAATTCCAGCTCTGCTTTTTATCAGCCTCCAGGTTTTCTCAGTTTCCTCATCTGTAAAACGGGAATAATATTACCTGCCTCACAGAGTTACCATGAAAGTAAGAAATAAAATATTCAAAGTATATGACATGGCTGGGCGCAGTGGCTCACGCCTGTAATCCCAGCACTTTGGGAGGCCGAGGCAGGTGGATCGCCTGAGGTCAGGAGTTCGAGACCAGCCTGCCCAACATGGTGAAACCCTGTCGCTACTAAAAATACAACATTAGCTGGGCGTGGTGGCACAGGCCTATAATCCCAGCTACTTTGGAGGCTAAGGCAGGAGAATTGCTTGAACCTGGGAGACGGAGGTTGCGCTGAGCCGAGATTGCACCATTGCACTCCAGCCTGGGCAACAAGAGCGAAACTCCATCTCCAAAAACAGCAACAACAACAAAGTACAGGACACTTGCTCCATGCTCCATAAAAGAAAGTTAATATTGCCATAAAGGAGACCAAAAAAATCACAGAAACCCACGACGTGATCCTGATGGGAGCCCTGTTAAGAGGGGCTTCCAGGCCAGGCATGGTGGCTCACGCCTGTAATCCCAGCACTTTAGGAGGCCGAGGCGGCCAGATCATCTGAGGTCAGGTGTTCAAGACTGGCCTGTCCAACATGGTGAAACTCCATCTCTACTAAAAGTACAAAAATTAGCCAGGTATGGTTGCGGGCGCCTGTAGTCCCAGCTACTCGGGAGGCTGAGGCAGGAGAATTGCTTGAACCCGGGAGGTGGAGGTTGCAGTGAGCCGAGATCGTGCCACTGCACTCCAGCCTGGGTGACAGAGCGAGACTCTGTCTCTAAATAAATAAATAAATAGAGGGGCTTTCTGCCAGGTCCATAGCTGCCTGCACACATAGTCCAGAAATGTGACCTCACTCCCTAGCTCCTGCTCCACTCGCCACCATCAACCTGCTGGCCTGTCATTCATGGTGTCTGGTGACTCTCCCTGCCATCCCATTCCAAACCCCTCAGAAAAGCTTATCCAATTCCTGAGTGAAAAGAATGGGCCTAGAAGGGCTGAGTTTAAGTTAACCCAAAGAAATAAACCCAAACTCCTTCATTCTCCAAGCTGTTCAGGCCTCAGGGACATGTGTGGGGTGACTGTGGGGCACACACTATCATTCCCCATGTGGATCCATCACGGGGCCTAGCACACAGGAGGTGCACACTCAGTGACTGTTCTGTTGTTGAATGGCAGGATGAATCTCACTCCTCCCTCAAGACCTGAAAACTTGAGAGTTATGAAGGCATGTTTAGGAATGACTGTAAAATACCACTTTTCAGAAAACACAGAAATCTCCATTTGATTCTTTCATTTGCAAGCCTGTTTGATCTGTCTACACACTGGTTGGTCTCTCGTGTCCCAGAAGCAGAGGGCAAGACACAAAACCAGAGTTCAGGGGAGCAAAGCAGACATTTTAGGAAGTTATTGCCCAAGTTTCACTTCCACGTCGTCTTCTGCATTCTACTTCAACTCTGGTTTTGAGCAAAGCTGGGGCTGGTGAAGAAACTTCCCTTAGTCTACATGTTCCTCTCCCTGAGTCCCAGCACTGAGGCTCTGTAGACCAGGGACTCAAATTACTGAGCACTCACTGATGCTAGACCCTATGTCAGGCATATTCAGACATCTTCTGACCTAAGAGCCACAACAAGCTGGAAAACAGACACTGAGATGCCAAGAGAGGTTATGCAATGTGCAAAAGACTTCACAGTCAGGGAGTCGGGTCTGAATCAAAGATCTCCTTGGCTCCAAGGTCCTTGCTTCTCAACCTGCCACTGTCCTTTTTCAAAGGCGCCAACCACTAACATGGCAAAGTGTTTCATTTTTCATAAAGCCATCTGAGGAGTTCAAAAGCATCTTTTTTTTTTTTTTTGAGACAGAGTTTCCCTCTTGTCACCCAGGCTGGAGTGCAATGGCACAATTTTGGCTCATTGCAACCTCTGCCTCCCAGGTTCAAGCAATTCTCCTGCCTCAGCCTCCCGAGTAGCTGGGATTACAGGTGCCAGCCAACACGCCCAGCTAATTTTTGTATTTTTAGTAGAAACAGGGTTTCACCATGTTGGCCAGGCTGGTCTTGAACTCCTGACCTCAGGTGATCCACCCGCCTCGGCCTTCCAAAGTGCTGGGATTACAGGTGTGAGCCACTGCGCCCGGCCCAAAAGCATCATGAAAAACTGTCCCCCTGCATTAAATTCAGATCCCATCTCTGCCAGAAGGATAGCCCTGGACAAATCATACAGCTCTCACCCACCTGTGACTATGCCCCATGGGAGAAGGACGTGTATATGGAGGCTTTCTGCTAGACTATGCTAGATGCTTTGATACACATTATCCCACTCAATCCTCCAAACATTCCAGGGAAGCAGGTGATAGTAGCCCAGCTTCATCAATGACAATTCTGGTTCTGCAGTGGGATGTGATTTGCCCAAGGTCATGCAGCGCTGAGAAGCAGGCCCAGGGCTCCATCAGCCCTGCCATGCAATAGGCTTTGTTGAGTGAGCACTGGATGTAAATTCCAAAGAGCTTAAAGCGGCCAGACAGAGCCAGTGACAGGAGACTCTATTAGGCAGATGAGGAAAGAATGGAGCTTTTCTTCCTCCTACCGCCCAAGCCTTTCCCATCCTTAACTCCTCTGCACAACGGGGCCCTCACTGTCCTTCCCCCACCTTCTTATCAAAGGATGCTGGTGCTGGGAGGGGGAAAAGACAGAAAGAGGATTAGTCTCTGGCATGGTTTATGTTGATTTCAAAGCTGTCACTTTTCCCACATTGGGCCTTCTTTTTCACTGTGGATTTAAGTGCCTAGTCCCCTGATGAACGAAGGTCAAGGGCAGAGGTACATTTTGAACTAGAGAAAGTCCTCAGCATCCTCCTGCTCTCACAGCCTTACTGCTAAACACAGCAGTGGATGCAGAGGGTGGCACTGTGGAGCGGTGAGCAAAAACCAGGCTCAGGAGCCAGAGGCCTAGGTTCCAGTCCTGACTGTGCCTCTTGGTCAAGATGCTTCCCCCCAGGAGGTCCCAGTTCCCTTGTGTGTTAAAATTAGAGTACTGGATGCTTAGGCCTGAAACTCTGAGTATGGGGTTTCTGCTCAGTCCTTCAGCTCACACTGCCTCTCCTCCCCCGCTCCCTGAAGGCAGCCCCATCTCAATGGCTCACAGCATCTAGGCCCTCCTGGGCTTATTCAGCACCTGCTGGCAGACAGAGGTGGTCTCTCTCCCACCCCTTCCTGCTCCCACTGTCACCTGTCCTGAGGTCCATCCTAGGCCTTTGTCACTTTGTCATATGTGTGTTTTCGCATGCATGCCTCCTCCTCTAAGCTAACTTGGAAACCTCCAGGGTCATGTAGAGATTTGCACCATCAGCATCAGCCTGGCTCCTGAATGAATGAAGGGGAGAGGGTCAGGTTGGATGATCTCCTGGCCCACTGCACTCAAAGTATGGTCTACAATCCAGAGGCATCGCATCATGTGCAAAAGTGTTCAAAATGCAGCATCTCACCCTGCCCCAGCCCCTGCTCAGAACCTCCGAGGCAATCCCCACGTGATGCGCAGCACACTCAAGTTTGGAAAGTTCTCTTCCAACTCCTCCCTCCCTTGCTTCTACCACCTAGAAGCCTCCGGAACTATGGCCTTAGCAGGTCTCACTAAAACATAGCCCATCATTAACCAAAAGAGATCTGCCTTAGGAACCTTCTAGAAGCCCGCCACTGACTCTCACAAGCAGAATCTGAAATGTGTGCTCCCCGGGGGGACTCCTGGCACACATTACTCAGTGGCCCTCTCCGACCCTCAAGGAAGCCCAGGAAGCTTTCAAGAACGCTGAGGCGGCCAGGCGTAATGGCTCATGCCTGTAATCCCAGCACATTGGGAGGCTGAGGTGGGTAGATCACCTGAGGTCAGGAGTTCGAGACCGGCCTGGCCAATATGGGGAAACCCTGTCTCTACTAAAAATACAAAAATTAGCCTGGTGTGGTGGTACGCGCCTGTAATCCCAGCTACTCGGGAGGCTGGGGCAGGAGAATCGCTTGAACCCGGGAGGCAGAGGTTGCGGTGAGCTGAGATCATGCCATTGCACTCTAACCTGGGCAACAAAGCAAGACTCCATCTCAAAAAATAAAAATTAGGCTGGGCATGGTGGCTCACGCCTGTAATCCCAGCACGTTGGGAGGCCGAGGCGGGCGGATCACAAGGTCAGCAGATTGAGACCATCCTAGCAAACACGGTAAAACCCCATCTCTACTAAAAATACAAAAAAAAAAGAAAGAAAGAAATTAGCCAGGCATGGTGGCGGGTGCCTGTAGTCCCAGCTACTCGGGAGGCTGAGGCAGAAGAATGGCATGAATCCGGGAGGCGGAGCTTGCAGTGAGCCGAGATCGCACCACTGCACTCCAGCCTGGGCGACAGAGCGAGACTCCATCTCAAAACTAAAAATAAAAATAAAAATAATTAAAAAAAAAAAGAACGCTGAGGCCTGGCAGAGTCAGACAGACTGGCTGCCCACTCACCCACACGGATCCCATGTCCACGTTCAGAAAGCTCTCTTCCCTCATTTCTCTACTCTTGACATTTATTCAGCTTGTAAAGAAAAGGATCCTTTCCAAAACACGTCTTCAGTTTTTTAATAAACCCCGCAATTCCTTTAATGATTTCAGATTATCTTAAATATTTATAAAAATCACTCTCAGCAACACTTCTTTAAGCAAACCTCCTCATCAACTTCGATTATTTATATATTTATGAACACGATGTTCAAGGAGCAGATGGCAGCTAGTAAGTCCTCCAAAAGAAGGAAAAAAAAAATCAATGGGACAGAATGTAAGCTCCATGACTCGTCCATGTACTCTTCTCGACAAGCTCTGGTACAATTATCTTTCCATTCAGCGGAAGCGCCACACAAAAGTCCACAATTGGTTTAAAATAGCACACTTGGACTTCATAAAGCTTGGAGGCTCCAAGTTTAATCCAGGAATGACCTGCCAGCCAAGGGCTCTATTCCCAAAGGAAACTGAAGCTCTGTCAGGGGAGGGTAAGACATTGGATGCAGGGACAGATGATGGGACCAGGGGAGGGACAGAAAGAGCACCAGGGGCTGAGGGAAGAAACAGACATTGCTGAGCACCTCTAGGTGCCATGCTCTCTGCTGGGCACTTTCCATACAACCTCTGGGTTGATCGTCACAGCAACACTTCCAGGTGGCGACTGTTAGTCCTCATTTGAAAGATGAAGAGAAAGACAAAGAGAAAGGAAGTATCTTGGCCAAGGGCACAGAGCTAGTGAGTGGCAGAGCCAGGATGTGAACCCAGGCTGTAGGGCCCCAAAACCTTCACTGCCTCTAGAAAGAGAAAAGGAGGAGAGGAAAAAAAAAATATTGCTCTCAACCTCATGCATCCTAGGCTAACAAAGTTGCCTTTCTTTCAGCCTGGTGAGGCCAATCACCCATTTTAAGACTATCAAAGACTTAATTGCCAAAGTTCTACTGAAGCAAAAGGACCTGATCCATCTGAGAGCCCAGAGAAGGATGAAAAACAAGATTACAAGGCGTCCGTCTTCAACAGGCCTTTATCAAGTATCCCCTTTAGGGAAGAGAAAAAAAATCAATCCTTCACTCCTCCCACCCGAATTTCCTTCTTTCAAGAAGCTCCAATTCAAGCTAAAACAGAGAGATGAATCTGGCCTTTGAGACGCCTATACGCTTGCTGAGCAAACAGTGATTATTACTGTTGTTGATGATGATAACAATAATCATGGATGGTGATCACTATTATACGGGGTGTGCAATGGGAACAGGGGCCTATGCTAAGGACTTTGCTTATGCTACTGCCAGGAGCAACACATCCCCGTGACACATGCGCCCATTTTACAGATGAGAACACTGAGGCTCCAAGAAGGCAACAAACTTGGTTCCATGCACACGAGCAGTGAGAAAGAAAACCAAGGCATGAATTTGGATCTTACTCTCTTACTCAGGAGCCCTGGGAGACCAACGGGGATTCTTTTGCCTGTTTAGAGATGAGGAAAAGAGGGGGCCGAGAGTGTAGTGACCTCTAGAAGGCTGCACAGCCAAGAGATAGTGAAGGTGTGTCTGATAAAATTCATACTTAAAATCTGAATTTTCAGCTATACAACACTTCCTTTACAATGCTCAGTGGTGGACGATTTTGCTGAAGACAGCCAAGTCCCAGACCGCCAAAGCCACATGAATCGTGGTCTCTTCAATTAACGAGATGGCAGTAATGCTGAGCACGGGTGAGGCCACAACCTCCTGGCACCCGCGTCCCTCGGGCGTCCTTCCTGTTCTTCGTGTGCATGGGTCTCTGGATCCTGATATAAGAGCTGTCAGGGACCAGGATTCCACATAGGGAGGAACCACGGGACAACCATTTCAAGGTCAACTGCAGGCCAGTGCGCTGACCTTGAGATGGAAAAAGAATGTACATCCTCAAAGAGCAAAGGGGAACCCATCATTCTTCTGCCCATTCTGTCAAAAGACACGTACTGTTTCCTGCATGGGCCAGGCAGCAGGTCAGGTGCCAGAGGAAGCACAAAGACCACTCAGCGTCTGCAAGAAGAAAAGTGAGCTCTGCAGGCTGAAGACTTAGGCAAGGACCCTCAATCTGCCCCTTCCTGACTGAAGGTCTTGGGCCAAGTCCTGCACTCTCTCTAAGTCTCAGGAAAACGAGAACCCTAGCTCTCCTTTACAGGTAACCCTGGCCACTCCACAGTTCAGTCATTAAAAATGAATCTGGGCCGGGCACAGTGGCTCACACCTGTAATCCCAGCACTTTGGGAGGCTAAGGCAGCGAGGATCCCTTGAGCCCAGGAGTTCGGGCAACATGGAGAGACCCCATCTCTACAAAACATTAAAAAATTAGTTGGGCATGGTGGTGCACACCCGTGGTCCCAGCTACTTGGGAGGCTGAGGTAGGAGGATGGCTTGAGCCTGAGAGGTCAAGGTTGCAGTAAGACATGATCACGCTACTTCTGCACTACTTCAACCTCAGCAATGCGTGAGACCCTGTCAAAACACAAACAAAATGAATCTGCACATGCTCAAACTGCAGCACGCTGCTGCACAGAAGGGTCTGCACTGTCTCTTAAAAATAATAGTAGCACTTACGGGGGTCGGGAGTTGGGGGACCCACATAGCTAAGGATCCTAAGAGAGGCACACAGAAGACTTTGGGAGCTGAGAAAGGAGAAGGGGTGGCTGTCAGAGACAGCAAAATTACTTGAAAATCTCCCAAAGTGAAGGGCAGAAACATATATTGGCCTTTATCTGAAAACCATTTCCAAGTCTCCCTGTGCTGGAACCCACTTCAGCCTCCTGCATCACACACTCTGCCCTTCTCCGTGCTGTGAGCCCAGCAAGGATCTAGAGTGCAAATTCCAATGTGCCTCCTCAGGAAGAAAACTCAGGCCAGCTGACCACTTCTGCATGCCGACCAAGGTAGAAAAGTCACCTCTTCCGGGCTTCCCCCACATTACAGGAACCCCAGGCCTGGGAAACCATCCCAGACGTCAGCCCTGGCTCAGTCTTGGCTGTTGGCCTCAGCCAGTCACCTGGCGGTGGCAATCAAAATGACGCCTTCTTTTTATTTTTCCCCCAGTGCAATCTTCCAAGAATGGGAGAGTCTCAAAGTCAGAGTTTAAGCCCTTTTTCACAAGGGAGTCAGTATTTTCACAAGATGGTCTTCCTCAGAGAGGGGAGGAGTCCATCCAACCCAGATAGCAAAATTGCTCCCTGGAGATCCTGGATGGATGTTACAGGGCAAGGAAGCCAAAATGTGGAAGCACACCGACTCACCTCTCAAAATTCACCACCCACTCGTTCATCTCACAATTATCTATGGGGTGCTTCCCACGTGCTTCAACGCACCCTTTCTAGGTGCTGGGGATGCAGAAATTCAAGGTGACTGGCAATGACACTTTCTATCACTGCGCCCCCTGCAGGCCAGGAAATCTACGCTCGTTTTCTCAAGGCCCCACTCGCAGCAGCCCATTTCACAGACGGGACCCTAAGACTCAGAGAGGGTAAGCGACTTGCCCAAGGTCACACAGCTAGTAAGCGGCAGGGCCAGGAATTAAACATAGCTGCAAAGTGCATGTGACACTCCCCCGCAGCCCCAGCTCTATCCCTCCGCACCCCTCCACCTCTTGCAGCAGGGTGGGTAGCAAAGGCACACTCCAAGTAGCTCCAGCATGGTAAGACCTCGATTCCTCCTTCGTTCCACTCCTGACACAGGACACACGTTTCAAAGGACACACAGGTTTTTCCCAACCCCAGTGTGTGTGTACACAGCCCCAGGAAAGCCCTGCAGGCTGCAAGGGCACCCACCCGCTAACACTGAACTTCCATTTAAAAAGAAAGATAATGAAAAGATAAAAGGCGAAGAGGAAGTGCTCTTTAAACACAGGCGGGTGGCTACCCCAGGAGGAAGTCTTGAGGCCAGTGGAGATTTTGTTCACCCCCTCTAGTTCCTCAAATCCAATGCGACTGGTCTTCCAAGCCCCTGATGGGAGGTGGCCGGGGGCCAGCGCTGCTCCCGGGGTCAGTCCCCGCACCGACACCCGGCTCGCAGGAAGGGTCTGCCAGGGACCAGCCACCCCGACCCGAGCGCCCCCTGCCTCGAGGCGCACAAGGCGCCGGCTCCGCAGCTGGGTGGACCCGGGCGGCGGCCCCGCTGCGCGCTCCCCTCGCGTCCGCCCGCCGCCCCCCGCGCACTCGAGGCGCCTCCCCCGGGACCCCCGCGCCCGCCGGCCCGGACGCCCCCACCACGGCGGCGCCCCCTGTCCACCCGCCGCAGCGCCCGGCCCGGCGGCCCGGATGGTACCTCCGCCTCTCCCCGCACCCATCACGCGCGCGCCCCGCACCCCGCGCCCTCTCCGGGGGCAAATCGGATCCAGGGGCGCGCGCGCGGGCCGGCCGGGCGGCGGCGCCTTCAGAGCCCCGGCACGTACCTGGCGGCCCGGGCGGGCGAGGGGAGCGCGGCGCGGGAGCGCAGGAGCCTCGGAGCCTCCGGTGCCGCCGCCGCCGCCGTTTCCGGGTTGGCGGGGCTCACGTCACCGCCACAGGTTTGCGAGCTGCCCCCGCCGCGGCGGCAGCAGCAGCAGCAGCAGCAGCCCGGGCGAGTGCCAGGCGAGAAATAACTATAAAAGGAAGAGGCGCGGCGAGGAGGAAGAGGAAGCGCTGTTTACCTTCGAGAAGCCGAGCCGCCGGCGCTCGCACAAAAGGAGGACGCTCGCCTCGCGACGCGCCTCCCCCCGCGCCCAGTCCCCGCCGCATCGCGGGGCCCCGGCGTCAGCGCGCGCCGCGCCCCGGGACCGCCCCGCGCCGGCCCCCACCCCAGAACCCCGCGCCCGCCTGGCCCGTGTCCTCCCGAGCCGGGGCGCCACGGGCCCGGGACGGTGGTGACCTTGGGCAAGTCACCGCGGGGCGCGCTGCGATTGGGGGTCATCGCCCTCATTGTGCGAGGAGGAAACCCGGCTCCGAGAGGCGCAAGAGTGACCCCCAAGGTCACTGCCTGTCAGGCAGGGCTTGGGCTCGAACCCCGGTCTCCAGACCTTCAGGCCGGCCAGGTTCCCATCCCTGGGTCGCTTCCCCCTCACCTGGACTTCAGGAATGGTGACAGCCCCTGCCTGGCTCACCTCGCAGCGGGGTCAGTGAGAGGAATGCTGTCCACGCACCCATTCAGCCCTCCCGCAGATACTTACTGGGCCTACTAAGTGCCCGGGCTGTTCTAGGCCCTGGAGCTGCAGCTGCGAACCAAAACAAAATCCCTGCCCGGGAGGGGCAGCGGGGACAGGCCGTAAATATCTGATGGGTCCTATGGTGCTAAGTGCTGTGCCAGAGGAAAAATAAAGCGGGGTGAGGGGACGGTGCGGGCTGTCGGTGCTACCCTAAGCGGTTCTCCAAGGACTTTAAATTTAGTACAGAAATTCCCACATAAAAAGCTCCTCGCCATAATTCCAGTTTCAGGTATTATGGGAGACCTCATCTTTCCCCTGATCTAGAATGGAAAATACTGTGTTTTTCTCCCTGTAACAGGACATGCCTAGGAAACTGATACTCTCCTTCCCTCTGCCTTGCTCCCCTGGCCCAGAAGCCCATCCTATCATTATCTTGACATTCAACCAGAAATTTCTCGGGAAGATAGACAACATTCTCTCAAGTATCTTTCTGCTGTCCTCTAGCAGGGTATCAAAAGGGTTACATCAAAGGCTTCCATTGTCTTTCCACCTCCACCTCCAGCTATAGGGGGGTTGGAGTGTGCTCACATCATACTCAGTGCTGAGTTACCTGATTAGGAGCCAGTTGTTCCATTTCTTTTCTTTTTTCTTTCTTTTTTTTTTTTTTGTCTAAGACAGGATTTTGCTCTGTTTCCCAGGCTAGGTAGCGCAGTGATGCGATAGCTCACTGCAGCCTCAAATTCCTGGGCTCAAGCGATCCTCCCACCTCAGCCTCCCGAGTTGCTGGGACCACGGGTATGCACCACCATGCTCAGCTAATTTTTATAGATTTTTGTAGAGGTGGGTCTCCCTGTGTTGCCCTGGCTGGCCTGTTTCTCCTGGGCTCAAGGGATCCTCCCTGCCTCCGCCTCCCAAAGTGTGGGGATTACAGGCATAAACCACCACACCCAGCCCGCCAATTCTTTAACAAAGGTGCCTTGCGCCTTCTCTTGGCCAGGCCCAGTTCTCGGAGCTGGGGACCCTGAGATGGTGCCATTTCAGCAGTACTCCCTGGACTGCTCTCTAAGCTTACCCGAGCGCCAGTGCCTTCATTCCTAAAGGAAGGGAACTAATGTCCACCTTGCTGTGGGGGCTGAGAAGTAGGTGGGGAAACACTGGGTCCTGAACTATGACCTTGAGGAGAAGCAGGAAAAGGGTTTGGAAGCAGGCAGAGCTGAGCCGCTTATAAAATGAGCATTAACAATTCTGAACATTTATAAAGTACTAAGCAGGTGCCAAGTGTGTGCAGGCCCATGAAGCAGGTTTATCATGGCCCAGTGTCATGCATTAAGATACTGCAGCTGGAAGAGAGATGAGATTTGCCCAAGATCACACAGATTAGACAGCGGTGGAGCTGGGTATGTACCTAGATTGTCTGACTCCAGAGCCCAAGCACTTAGCCACTCTCAGCCTCAGTTTGTTCATCTGTGAAATGGAATGGATAATAATGACTTCGTTAGGTTATGGTGAGGGTTAAATGAAATAGCGAATATATAGAACCTAATATGGATAGGACCCAGGAGAAAGCAATCACCATTGTTGTTACTATTATCATAACTGTTACAATTTACCTTTTTTTTTTTTTTTTTTTTTGAGGCAGGGTCTCACTTTGTCACCCAGGCTGGAATGCGGTGGCGCAATTTTGGCTCACTGCAATCTCTGCCTCCCGGGTTCAAGCAATTCTCATGCCTCAGCCTCCCAAGTAGCTGGGATTACAGATGTGCACCACCACGCCTGGCTCATTTTTGTATTTTTAGTAGAGGTGGAGTTTCACCATGTTGGCCAGGCTGGTCTCGAACTCCCAACCTCAGGCGGTCCGCCCACCTCAGCCTCCCAAAAACCGCACCCAGCCTAATTTTTGTATTGTTCTGTGATGACAAGATTTTGCCATGTTGCCCAGGCTGGTCTCAAACTCCTGAACTCAAGCGTTCCACCCGCCTCAGCCTCCCAAAGTGCTAGGATTACAGGCTCAAGCCACTGCGCCTGGCCTACCATAATAATTGTTAAAGGCATGAGGTAAGGAACTTTCAGGCAAGCTTGGGATCTGTAAATAGTTTGATGTGAGCGTAACATGGAATGCAAATTTGGGGGTCCAGGAAGCAGGGAAGAATAGATGAAGGTGAGGGCAGGGCTTGGATGCCTGCTAGCCTGCACTCTACTGAATTCTGAAATATGTGGGATGGAGAGTCTAACTCTGATGTGTGTGTCTCAGAGGAGAAAGTCTCCATTCACTGGATACAGTGAGGCTGAGAGCATGAGCCTAGGCTCACTCTGATCCTGATAGGTTTGACCAATTCAAGCCATTGGGAACCTGGGAATAATACCCGGGGAAACCTCTGGCAATTCTGTAGTGACTGCTCTGTTTCCCCGGGATGTCAACCCTGACAATGGTAGGCAGAAGTCCAGCATCCTATAGACAGCACTGTCTTTGGAGTTGGGAAAGCCTGCCTGCCATTTTCAGCTGTGCAATTCTGGGCAAGTCATTTAACCTCTGACTTCTTGAATGTTCTTATCTGTAAAGTGGGAATAATAACATTATCTTCTGTTGTTGAGAGGACTATGTAAGAAAATGAGTTTTTCATGCTTTATAACTGGAAAGCAGCATGCACATTTTACTTTCAACATTAGAATCTGGTGCTTTCATTGGCCAAGCAAAGAATCTTGAAAAACCAAGATTTTAAAAATTAAAAATTAAAAAAGAAGGCTGTGCTTTCATAGCACATGTGGTCCACACAGCTTTCAAGCAAAAAAAAAAAAATAGCTATTTCCTTCATATATGCAAAAGTCCCTCAAAAATATTCCTCCAAAATGCATTTCCCTGCTGAGCATTTGCAAGAGTGCTATTATGTACAAAAGGTAACAGAAGGTAAAGTTGGGAGACACAGAGACTCAGTTTTTGTCCTGCTGTTAGTATTTTGCAATTAAGCCCACTCCACATCCCATCGTGATAAAAGCAAACTCAGCGGCATTAGTCTCCTCACACCTGCTTTTCAGTCTCCTCACACCTCTGGCCATTGGGAACCGAAAGGGAAAACTACGCCCAAGCTCACTAAGGAATGCCGTCCTGGCACTGGAGCACAGCCCTCGGAAGATGCTTCAGAGGCTCAGCTAGCCCCTTTAGGCTGGGAATCCCACTCAGTGAGGTGGAATGACTTCCCGGGACACACAGAGCTAACCCTCAAGTTGGAACAGGGTCTTTACCGGGAGATGCAGAGCCTCGGGCTTCAAAGGCTGATAAGTGATTGTTTCCTGGGGCTGGGAGGAGGGGAGAATGGGGAGTAACTGCTTAATGGATATAGGGCTTCTTTTGGGGGTGACAAAAATATTTTGGAATTAAATCAAGTGTGGTAGTTGCACATTAGTGAATGTACCACATGCCACCCAATTGTTCACTTTAAAATGGTTAGCTATGTGTCATATGAATTTCACCTGAATTTTAGGGAAAGAATAACTTGACGGATAAAAAGCTAGTGAGCAGAACCTTAAGTATATTTTCAGTATTTCAGTATATCCACAATAGCATTGCAGAAATGAACCAATATGTCAGAATCATAGCAACAGAGTGCGGTAACTAAGAGCAGCCGGTTTATGTAACTAATCCTTTCACAATGGAAAGTAAAAGGATTTAGGATTGAATAATGTAGTTTGAATATTATTGTTATTATTATAACTTAATTGGTGCTTTTTGTGTTTTTTGAGGGTTTTTTGTTTGTTTGTTTGTTTTTCGGTAGAGACGGGGTTCCAATATGTTGCCCAGGCTAGTCTCGAACTCCTGACCTCAAGCAATCCTCCTGCCTCAGACTCCTAAAGTGGGATTACAGGCATGAGCCACCACAGCCCGCTCATTAATTTGTGTTTCTGAAGAAGAGTGTAACATAGTGGAAAAACCAGGCTCAATTTAGAGAGAGCTGAATTCAACTCCTGCCTTTAGTTCCTATTGGCTGCAGGGGCTTGGAAAACTACTGAGCCTCTCTACGCCTTGCGTTTCCTCATCAGGCAAAATGGGGGCGGAGATGCTGCGTCACCGTCATCTCAGGACTGTGGGGGGGACTGGGTGGGACAGCATAGGTGACATTCACCCGGAAGGTGCCTCATCGGTGACAGCTATTGTTATTGTTGTCATTGTCGCCATCGTTGTTGTTACTATACGGTGTAGAAAATCTTTCAGAACATGGACCCATGGGGAAAACCGGGTACATCTTAGTCCATTAGGGCTTCTGCGACAAAGCACCACAGACTGCATGGCTTATAAACGACAGAAGTTTCCTTCTTGCAGTTCTGGAGTCTGGAAGTCCAAGATCGGGGTGCCGGCATGGTCAGATTCTGGTGGGGGTCCTCTTCCCAGCTGCAGATTTCTGCCTCCTCGCTGCATCCTCAAGTAGTGGAAGGGCCAGAGGAGCTCTCAGGGGTCTCTTTTACAAGGACACTTGTGCACTCATGAGGCCCCCACCCCGATGACCTAATCACCTCCCAAAGGCCCCACCTCCTAATACCATCACATTGCGGGCTTAGGATTTCAACTTACAAATTGTGGGGGGACACATGCAGTTCATCTCAGGGTAATTTTAGAAATTGCTGCCTACAGCCTAGTTCCAAGTCAGGAACTGTACATGCTACAGTTACTGATGGGACACAGAACGTTTCCGAGAGGTATTTTCCCCCCGCCCATTCTGGCACAGAGCACACACGGTAGATGGTGGTGACATGGCTGAAGCAGGTGCAGCAACCTCCTCTCCCTGTCAGCTCCTCACAGCCTCTGTGGACACGAGCTGAGAAGAGGATGCCTGTCATGTTACTGGCACTTTACAAGGTGACAGCTACTATTAAGAGCAAGAAAGCAAACAGAAACACTGCCAACTACCTGGGATGGCTCAGTGGGAGAGCCTCTAGCCCTTCATACTCCACCAAGAGCCTTAAATCCTCAAGAAAAGCTGCGAAACATGATTTGTCTTGGAGACACTGCTGTTAAGTGCTTAACTTTTTGTGGGGGGACAGTCTGACTCTGTCACCCAGGCTGGGTGCAGTGGCAAAATAAATGGGTCACTGTAACCTCTGCCTCTTGGACTCAAGCCATCTTCCCACCTCAATCTCCCAAGTAGCTGGGGTTACAGGCACACCCCACCCCACCACACCCGGCTAATTTTTGTATTTTTGTAGAGACAGGGTTTCATCATGTTGCCCATGCTGGTCTCAAACTCATGAGCTCAAGCAATCCACCTGCCTCAGCCTCCCAGAGTGCTGGGATTACAGGCGTGAGCCACCACACCCAGCCTGTTGAATAGTTACTTACAGAGAGAAGAATTGCATAACTAGGTTAACTTTCATTGTCCAGATAAACTCACTTTTGGAGGTGGGGGGTACCTTATTCCCCATCGAGGTGTTGCTGGCATCCTGTGTCAGTGATGCTGAATGAGACATCAAATGGCCCTATGTGATAAGAGATAGGAGTTGTCTCCCTCTGATCACAGTGAAATAAAACCACCCCCTCCCTACACTTAATATGAATAATTTCTCTAAGCATAAAACAACTGTCTATCCTGGTCCACAAGCATAGGCGTGTGCACACACACATGCACGCATGCCCACGTGCATACTCACAGGAAGAGGACAATGTTTATGTGAGTTATTTTTTCTAATTCTGAAAGTAACCCATGTTAATCATAGAAAAATCAAGAGAGGGGGCTGGGCGTGGTGGCTCACGCCTGTAATCTCAGCACTTTGGGAGGATGAGTTGGGCAGATTGCTTGAGCTCGGAGTTTGAGACCAAACTGGGCAACATAGTGAAACTCCATCTCTACAAAAATACAACAAAAAATTAGTCGGGCATGGTGGCAGGCACCTCAGAATCGCCTGCACCTGGGAAGCAGAGGCTGCACTGAGCCAAGATCACACCACTGCACTCCAGCCTGGACGACAGAACAAGACACTGTCTCAAAAAAACAAAAAACAAAAAAAAACAGAAAGAAAGAAAGAAAGGAAGAAAAGGAAGGAAGGGAAGGAAGGAAGGAAGAAAGAAAAGAAAGAAAACAGAGGGAGAAAGCAAAACTCACCCATAATGCTCCAGGGCCAGGCATTCTTTCTTGACATTTAACTTATTATCTCCTGGTATTTGGGGAATGCATTTTAACACAGTTGCCGTCACACTGTGTACATATGTCGAATCCCACGGTTTGATTCACATATAGGTGAGGATGTTAATCTGACATGGTTTTTGTTTGTTTGTTTTTGAGATGGAGTCTCACTCTGTCACCCAAGCTAGAGTGCAGTGGTACGATCTCGGCCTACTGCAACCTCCGCCTCCCAGGTTCAAGCAATTCCCCTGCCTCAGCCTCCAGAGTAGCTGGGACTACAGGCGCCCCGCCACCATGCCCGGCTAATTTTTTGTATTTTTAGTAGAGATGGGGTTTCACCATGCTGGCCAGGCTGGTCTCAAACTCCTGACCTTGTGATCCACCCGCCTCGTCCTCCCAAAGTACTGGGATTACAGGCGTGAGCCACCGTGCCCGGCCTTATGTTTTTTAAATAGTACACTGCAAGGCCACTGGCAGCCCAAAACCCAGGCAGGGAAGAAGAGTGTGAGAGAGAAATTGCTGTTTTCCTCTTCAGGGTAATTTCCTCCAGGGCTGACACTATCTTATTCAGACCTTAGTCCTGTACCAGAAACAGAGATGCTAAGTCAAAGTTTCATACATTCATGAATAGGTGGATGAATGGGGAAAGGATACAATGTCAATGATAAAAGGGCCACCAACCTTGCCCGACAGGTCCAGCCACAGGTCTCCTCTGCAGGCTCTCACCCTTCATGCAGAGAAATCTGCCTGGTTGAGGGTTTAATTTTGCAATCACCTCGTTCTAGAGCCCAGTCAGAAGGTGCCAAAGTCAGTGCTTCTCAAACTCCGATGCATAAGAATCACCCAGGGGCCAGGCATGGTGGTTCATGCCTGTAATGCCAGCACTTTGGGAGGCCGAGGTGGGTGGATCACCTGAGGCCAGGAGTTCGAGACCAGCCTGGCCAACATAGTGAAACCCTGTTTCTACCAAGAATACAAAAATTAGCCGGGCGTGGTGGCACCTGCCTGTAATCCCAGCTACTTGGGAGGCTGAGGCAAGAGAATCACTTGAACCTGGGCAGTGGAGGTTGCAGTGAGACACGATTGTGCCACTGCACTCCAACCTGGGCAGCAGAGTGAGACTCCATCTCAAAACAAAACAAAAAAACACCCAGGGAGCGATCATAGAATCTCCAGGAAAAAGTGGAGACTCTATGGCACAGTTTGGTTACTAGCTCTGGCGTGGGGCTCGGAGAGCTGCCTTTCCTATGGATTCTCCACTGCCCCCCACCACCACCCCGCCCCCCAACCCCAGCCCCCCACCCCCCAACCCCCACCCCCGCCACCCCGCCCCGCCCCCAAGCTGATGGTGGTTTCTGCTTTGAGAAATTCTGGCCTGGAGACTGTCTATGATCCGAGTAAAGCTGGAACTTGTCATTGTTGTTTACTGAGCCATCAGCAAGGATTTGGTAAGCCTGCAACCTGCCTCAGTTGGGCTGATAAAAATAGTGTGTGCAATTGACTTGCCACGAGTTCCCCATCTCACTGGGGAGAGAAATGCTTGTGGAAAATAAGAGTGAGGAGCTAAGTTTTGCAGCAACCTCAGGAGCGCTCCTGCAATCTCCTGCAACCCTCAGGAGAGCTTAAGAACAGGAAGCTGCCCACAGACCTATTGCATCCCAAGGAGGGTGGGGGAGAACCAATATTGTGGTTTTTGTTTTTTTGTTTGTTTGTTTTTTGAGACAGAGTCTGGCCCTGTCACCCAGGCTGGAGTGCAGTGGCACCATCTCGGCTCACTGCAATCTCCACCTCCTGGGTTCAAGTGATTCTCCTGCTTCAGCCTCCTGAGTAGCTGGGATTACAAGCGTGAGTGTGGCCTGGCTAATTTTTGTATATTTAGTAGAGACTGTTTCGGCATGTTGGCCAGGCTGGTTTTGAACTCCTGACCTCAGGTGATCCACCAGCCTCAGCCTCCCAAAGTGCTGGGATTACAGGCATGAGCCACCACACCTGAGAACCAATATTTAGCAAGCACCTACCATAGGGACAGAAACTGGCTACTAAAGAGAAAAAGTGCCCATAAGTGGTTTTCTTTTTGCCAGCACAGTGCTGGGAAGTTTGGAACATCTGAATACATTAGGGCACATATTCTTCAATTGTATGAGGCTCCCAGACTCCCTATGTTATTACATGAAACCCCCATCTGCTTGGGCTTCCTGTTGGTACCTCAAGCACTGACATTCAACTTCAAGTTGAACATGTTCAAAGCCAAATGGAAGAGTCAGAATTGGAACCCTGGTCTGTCTGATGCTAAAGCCCTGTTTCTTGCAACTTTGCCATGTTGCTTCTTGAAGAGAAGGGATGAAGGTATAAATAATGTTTTGTTAGATGGGGAAGATTCCAGGCTGGGTAAAGTTGAAATAACCCCAAACTCAGTGCCATTTATTATGGTTGTGTCTATGCCAGGTACTGAGTGCCTACCAGGGATCATTTGTTTTTTTGTGTGTTTTCTTTGAGATGAAGTCTTGCTCTGTCACCCAGGCTGGAGTGTAGTGGCATGACCTCAGCTCACTGCAACCTCCACCTCCCGGGTTCAAGAAATGCTCCTGCCTCAGCCTCCCAAGTAGCTGGGATTACAGGCACCTGCCACCAAGCCCAGCTAATTTTTGTATTTTTAGTAGAGACGGGGTTTCACCATGCTGGCCAGGCTGCTCTCGAACACCTGACCTTAGGTGATCTGCCCACTTTGGCCTCCAAAAGTGCTGGGATTACAGGCATGAGCCACCGCACCTGACCACCAGGGATCATTTGTAATTCAGGCAAGGAGATTTCATGAGTGAAGCAACAGATCAGGAAGGTTAAGTCCTCTGCTCAAGGTCACACAGCTAGTAAGGGGCAGAACTGGGCAGAACCCCCAAAATGTTAACTGTCCTAACTGCTTTGATTATTGAATTTAATCCTGTGGTGGGGCTCAGGACACACCACCCCAAAATATGACTGTAGGAGACCAGAATATGCCAACCCAAAATATACTTCTTTGGCGTATTTTGAGCTGGTTATTCTGAGAAACTGCAGACATAGGAGTAGCTCTGAAAAGCTGTCCTTTTGTAAAACAAATTTACATCTATGAAGGAAATCTACATTAGTCAAACTATCTGTATCAGGAAGCGGGCTGCTCCAGACAGCTTCTATTACCTGAGAGAATATTTTTAGAGATGAAATTGCGCTATGTTGCCCAAGCTGGAGTGCAGCGGCTACTCACAGGCACGATCATCATTCACTACTGTCTCAAACTTCTGGGCTCAGGAAGTCATCCCACTTTGGCCGCCCGAGTGGCTGGGACTACAGGCACATGCCACTGAGCCTGGCTACAGAGGCTGTTTATCTGTGTAACAAGACAACCTTATTCACCATACATTTCTTCCCATCACCCTCCCATAACTTGTGTCAAAGCCCCCTTGAGAAACCTCAAGCCCTATTCCTTTCTGCAGCTCAGGATGCTATATAAGCTTCAATCATCGACCCTTCTTCGAGACTCACGTTTTGTGGGACTCCTGTGTGAATGCATGTTAATTCAAATGATTTTTCTCCTGTTAGTCTGTCTTATGTCAATTTAGTTTGTAGCCCAGCCAAAGAACCTAGAAGGGTGGAAGGAAGCCATTTCGCTATCCCCTATGCCTGATACAAGAGAATTAAAATCATATGTATCGAGCCGGGTGCAGGGGCTCATGCCTGAAGTCCCAGTATTTTGGGAGGCAGGGACCTGTGGATCACCTGAGGTTGGGCGTTTGAGACCAGCTTGGCCAACATGGCGAAACCTTGTCTCTCCTAAAAATACAAAAATAGCCTGGACCAGTGCATGCCTGTAGTCCCAACTACTTGGGAGGCTGAGGCAGGAAAATCACTTGAACCCAGGAGGCAGAGGGTGGAGGTTGCAGTGGGCGGAGATTGCACCACTGCACTCCAACCTGGGTGACAGAGCGAGATTCCATCTCAAAAAAAAAAAAAAAAAAAAATCATATGCATTGAATAGCAAAGGCATTTGGTCCTATTCTCACAGCTAGAGAATGGTTCCTTTGATATAGCTTTCGTTATACATATTGTTGTTAATGTCTGTGGACAATTAATCACATTTTGCAGTTTCCCCACATTCAACAAACAGCTTTGCTAGAAAGGTTTCAAAGGTTCATTCCAGGCTGGTCATGGTGGCTCATACCTATAATCCAACATTTTGGGAGGCCAAGGCAGGAAGATTGCTTGAACCCAGGAGTTCAAGACCAGCCTGGGCAACATCTCTACAAAACCCCATCTCTACAAAAATAAAAAATTAGCCGAGTGTAGTGGCTCATGCCTGTGGCCCTAGCTACTCAGGAAGCTGAGGTTGAAGGATTGCTTGAGCCCCGTAGGTGTAGGCTGCAGTGAACTATAATTGTACATCTGCACTCCAGCCTGGGTGACAGAGTGAGACCCTGTCTCAAAAAAAAAAAAAAAAAAAAAAAAAAAAGGGGCCAGGCATGGTGGCTCACGCCTGTAATCCCAGCACTTTGGGAGGCTGAGGTGGGTGGATCACGAGGTCAGGAGATCAAGACCATCCTGGCTAACACGGTGAAACCCTGTCTCTACTAAAAAAAATACAAAAAATTAGCTGGGCATGGTGGTGGGTGCCTGTAGTCCCAGCTACTCAGGAGGCTGAGGCAGGAGAATGGCGTGAACCCAGGAGGCAGAGCTTGCAGTGAGCCGAGCCGAGATCATGCCACTGCACTCCAGCCTGGGCGACAGAGCGAGACTCTGTCTCAAAAAAAAAAAAAAAAATGGTTTCATTCCAGCTTCAGCCCCAGCTCCAGCATTCTGTGAGTTTGCCAGGGCAGCAAAACTCAACCACTATCAAGGCCAGGCAAGAAACATAAATGAGTGAGGTGCACCCAACTGCACGATAGGGAGCAGTGGGGACTGGGGCAAAAAGGTGTGACCTGTCTTTAGGCATATTCACATTCAAACCTTTACAAAACCCTGTGCTCATCACAGCAGGTTCCTGTCTGCAGGTTGCAAGCTTGCAACACTGAGAGCAGTGTCCTCAAAGCACAGTCCTTGGACCAGCAGCATCAACAGCATCTGGGAACTGCTTAGAAAAGCAAAACCTACAGACTCGGCAGACCCGGGGCTGGGACCCAGCAATCTGGGGTTTCACAAGCCTTCCAGGTGGTTCTAATGCAGCTGAAGTTCCAGCAACACCTGGGGAACTTCTACCACCTCCAATACAAGCTCAGGCTTCAGAAAGTCTTGAAGTTCTTCAAGTGCCTTTGTTGTTGTTGTCGTTGTCGTTGTGATGAAGTCTCGCTCTGTCGCCCAGGCTGGAGTGCAGTGGTGTGATCTCAGCTCACTGTAACCTCTGCCTCCCGTGTTCAAGCCATTCTCCTGCCTCAGCCTCCTGAGTAGCTGGGATTACAGGCACCCGCCACCACACCTGGCTAATTTTTGTATTTTTAGCAGAGATGGGGTTTCACCGTGTTAGCCAGGCTGGTCTCGAACTCCTGATCTCAGGTGATCCGCCCACTTCGGCCTCCCAAAGTGCTGGGATTACAGGCACGAGCCACCGCACTCAGCCCATTTGCTCTTTTCTTCCATGTGGAAGAAGGTTCCCCAGCTCCCCAAGGATGTTCCCTGGCCACGCCACATCAAGACTGCCTGGTCTCCAGTCCTCCCTGAAATCCTAAATACCTGTTGAGTGGGTTTCATGTGTCCCTGCTTTGCTGCCTGCTTGATTTTCCACGGGACTGTGTTTCATAAGATTAGCACTTCCTACTCCTCAAAGGATTTCCACAGCCATTGTCTTCAGCGCTTTTGCCTAACAATCCCGTGATAGAGAGAAAGCAGCGCCATTCCCTTCCATTTGCACACAAGGAAATTGAATCACAGAAAGGTTGAGTGCCTTCCAGAAGGCCACAGAGCAAGTTAGAGACAGATTTAGGACTAAAGCCCTCCAGTGCAGACCCTCAATCCTACGTTCTTTCTAACATGTGTATTATGAAATTAATTACATTTAATGCTTCTATCAACACTTTTGAGTTTTATTGCTATTCTCATTTTACAGATGAGAAAACTAAGTTTTCCCAGAACATGATCCCAGAGCCACTTACATCAGAACCCCCTGGAGTACCTGTTTAAAATACAGATTTCCAGCCAGGCATGGTGGCTCATGCCTGAAATTCCAGCACTTCGGGGAGGCCTAGGCGGGCAGATCACTTGAGGTCAGAAAGACTTCCAGACCAGCCTGGCCAACATGGTGAAACCCGTCTCTACTAAAAATACAAAAATTAGCCAGGCATGATGGCATGCACCTGTAATCCCAGCTACTCAGGAGGCTGACGCACGAGAATTGCTTGAACCTGGGAGGAGGAGGTTGCAGTGAGCTGAGATTGAGCTACTGCATTCCAGCCTGGGTGACAGAGCAAGACTCTGTCTCAAAAAAAAAAAAAAAAAAAAGAAAAGAAAAAAGAAAAAAAAGTCACATTTAAGCAAGATTCACTGAGTGCCCAGCACCTGGCTGAGTGCTTCACATACACGACATCATTTAACAGTAGGCACTGCTATTATTCCCATCTAACAAATGAAGACACTGAAACCCAGAGGGCCTAATGATTTTTCCAAGGGTCACAGCAGGCAAACAGATGCCTGAACGTGTGCTCTTCGCCACAATTTAATGCTGCCTTCCCCTACAAGTCTTTTTTTTCTTTTTATTTACATATTTATATATTTTGAAAACTGATTTGGGGGTCTTGATGCATTGCCCAGGCTGGTCTTGAACTCCTGAGCTCAAGCGATCCTCCTGCTTTAGCCTCCCAAAATGCTGAGATTACAGGCATAACCCACCATGCCCAGCCATAAAAGTCACTTTTATCTGCCACTTTAGCATATTTTTTTTTCTAAAAGTCATTTTTTAAAATGTTATTTTTGTATACTTGGCATAGTGCCTGGGACTCAGTAGGTGCTAAGTAAATGAGCCAAATGAATGAATGAATGAACAGAAGTGAATTTTGTAGGACCACTGATGTAAAAAGTTCCAGCATAATCCCTCAAGCTGTATTTAAAAAATGGGGGAGCTAGGCGTGGTGGTTCACACCTGTAGTGCCAGTTTCTTGGGAGACCGAGGCAGGAGGATTGGTCGAGCCCGGAGCTCAAGAACAGCCTGGCCAACAGAGCAAGACTCTGTCTCTAAATTTAAAAGGGCAGGTGAGGGAAGAATTCTTAAAATAAGTTTCTGTGGTCACTTGCTGCTTTTCTCTTGAAGTCTGTTGAGCCTGAAAACACATACACACACACACAAAGTTAGTCAAAGGCTCTAATTGGAAACACTGCGGCTATGTAGAATCTCACTTGATTTGCTTTAATTGTTAAAGGTTTTGGAGGCAGGAACTGCCACTTCATTCTCCAAATTCTCCATGTCTCAGTTGACTCATCAGTAAAATGAGGCTGATCATAGTCTCACAACAGGGGGTTGCCGTGAAGATTCAGTGAGATAACACAGCCCAGGTGCTTAATGCAGCACACGGCACAAGAGAAGCTGCCAATGATGTTAGTGACTGTTATTCTTCTTTTATTGTCACTATTTGTAGGGAAAGGCACAGATATAAGAATTATTCTGGCCGGGTGCAGTGGCTTACACCTGTAATCCCAGCACTTTGGGAGGCTGAGGTGGGCAGATCACTTGAGGTCAGGAGTTTGAGACCAGCCTGGCCAACGTGGTGAAACCCCGTCTCTACTAAAAGTACAAAAATTAGCCGGACGTGATGGCAGGTGCCTGTAATCCCAGCTACTCGGGAGGCTGAGGCAGGAGAATCACTTGAATCCGGGAGGTGGAGGTTGCAGTGAGCCGAGATGGTGCCACTGCACTCCAGCCTGGGCAACAGAGCAAGACTCTTAAAAAAAACAAAAACAAAAATTATTCTTGTGTCATACTCATGCGAAAGGCAAAGCCCCTGTAGTTTAGGTTGTAAATACAAATAAAGACTGAGAGGTAGCAATGGCACCTACATATTATCCCTAAAAGACTAATTCCACATATATGTACAATTTGCATTTGTCTTTGAAACACATTATGATTTTTCCAAAATATTGCAATTGTGTTTCATTTCCATTTACAATTACAGGTTGCTTAAGCTACTGTCAAAGTATTCCTTGAGCACTAGCTTTGTTTGGTTGATTAGAAGCAGGGGGCCTGTAAAAATGGCTAATGAAAAGACCTTACAATGATATGGGGCTCTAGAGTTTACATAGGGATTTTACACACATTCTCTTTTTTTTCTTTTTTGAGATGGAGTCTCGCTCTGTCACCCAGGCTGGAGTGCAGTGGTGCAATCTCAACTCACTGCAACTTCCGCCTCCCGGGTTCACGCCATTCTCCTGCCTCAGCCTCCTGAGTAGCTGGGACTACAGGCACCCGCCACCACACCCGGCTAATTTTTTGTATTTTAGTAGAGACAAGGCTTCACCATGTTGGCCAGGATGGTCTTGAACTTCTGACCTCATGATCCGCCCACCTCAGCCTCCCAAAGTGCTAGGATTACAGGCATGAGCCACCGCGCCTGGCCCACACATTCTTGTTAATCCTCAACCACCTCATGTCCCCTGTGGTGAGGCTGGTACTATCACTGCCACCTGACAAAGTTGAAGTGATGTGCCCAAGGTCATCTAGTCATCTATTTATTATTATGTATGTGTATATATACACATTTTTTTTTTTTTGAGACGGAGTCTTGCTCTGCCACCCAGGCAGGAGTGCAGTGGTGAGATCTCAGCTCACTGCAAGCTCCGCCTCCCGGGTTCATGCCATTCTCCTGCCTCAGCCTCTCTAGTAGCTGGGACCACAGGCGCCCGCCACCACACCCGGCTATTTTTTTGTATTTTTAGTAGAGACGGGGTTTCACCATGCTATCCAGGATGGTCTCGATCTCCTGACCTCGTGATCTGCCCGCCTCGGCCTCCCAAAGTATTATGTGTATTTTTTAATATTTTTCTGAGATAGTGTCTCATTCTGTCGCCCAGGCTGGAGTGCAGTGGCAGGATTTCGGCTCACAGCAACCTCCCCTTTTTGGGTTCAAGCGATTCTTCTGCCTCAGCTTCCCGAGTAGCTGGGATTACAGGTACCCGCCACCACACCCAGCTAATTTTTGTATTTTTAGTAGAGACAGGGTTTTACCATGTTAGCCAGGCTGGTCTCAAACTCCTGACCTCAAGTGACCCGCCCACTCTCAGCCTCCCACAGTGCTGGGATTATAGGTGTGAGCCACAGCACCTGGCCTATCATCTATTTAGTAGCGGAAGCTGGGCTTGAACCCTGTTTCCAAACTCTAAGCCCCACAGCAAGAACTGACTCTAGGATTCCAATTCACTCTTGGATACTTAGTAACCAAGTCACTGGTGTGAAAGTTGGCAGAATCAAAATGGAGTCACTAAGGTTAAGAAAACTCTGGCCAGGCATGGTGGCTCATGCCTGTAATCCCAACACTTTGGGAAGCCAGGTGGGAGGATTGCTTGAGCCCAGGAGTTTGAGACCAGTCTGGGCAACACAGCGAAACATGGTCTCTACAAAAAATACAAAAAATTAGCCAGGCATGGGGGTGTGCGCCTGTACTCCCAGCTGCTTGGAAGGCTGAGGTGGGAGGATCATCTGAGCCTGGGATGTTGAGGCTGCAGAGAGCTATGATTGCATCACTGCACTCCAGCCTGTGTGACAGAGCAAGATCTTATCTCAAAAAGAAAAAAAAATTAAGAAAACTCTGACAGAGGAGGAGAAGGCCATGAAGATCAGGTTCTCAGGCTTGTATGCCTGATAATGAAACAGACTCGGCTGGGCGCCTTGGCTCATACCTGTAATCCCAGCACTTTGGGAGGCCGAGGCGGGCGGATCACCTGAGATCGGGAGTTCAAGACCAGCCTGACCAACATGGAGAAACCCCGTCTCTACTAAAAATACAAAATTAGCTGGGCGTGGTGGCGCATGCCTGTAATCCCAGCTACTTGGGAGGCTGAGGCAGGAGAACCGCTTGAACCCGGGAGGTGGATGTTGTGGTGAGCTGAGATCGCGCCATTCCAGCCTGGGCAACAAGAGCGAAACTCCGTCTCAAAAAAAAAAAGACTCTGCTAAAACCACAGCTTGGCACGAAGCCCATCACAGCCTTACACAAACAATTTTTCTGCAAGGACATCTGCCCAGCAACTGCCTGTCCAATCTCAGACTGGCGTCACCCTTGTTATTGATCTTTGTAGCCAAGGATGATCATCTTAAAGCAATCATATAAACCTCTTCATTTTTCATTTAAAAACCTTTGTCTTCCTTTACCTCCCTGAACAGGCACGTAGTTTACAATGGCCCATGTATTCCCACTGCAATGGTCCATTCCCAAATAAACATCTTCTCTTTTGCGGAGCCTCTCTGTTTGCTATTTAGGTTGATGCTGGGTGACCACATGAATGTGATAGTGGGGATTGCCAGGAGGAAGAGACTGTCTCCCCAGTAAAAACACATTTGGGGAGACTTCAATTCAAGATGTGGTAACAAGGACTGAATTTATCCTCCAGCCTCAAAAACTGGGAAAAAAATGAAACCACTGTTTGCAAACACGGGACAGCAGACAGCAAGGGTGGTGATACCTGAGAGAGAATAAAGGCTACTACCCAGCCTCTGCTCCTTATCTGGAAATCCCTTCCTTCAAAGCCGCCTTAATGCCACCAGTGCCACGAATGGCCCCCAATTCCCTGCTGGAAGGAGTCTCTGTTCTGCCGTGAATGTCTCCAGTGAAGCCTGTCTTTCAACTTGTGCCATCGTATGAGGCCCAGCATGGCTGTTGGTGCCTGACGGCCAGGCCTCTGGAGCACAGGAGGGCGCCTCCCATCACCGCACATCAGAGAACCGACACTTCACAGATCAGTGCTCATAAAACGTTTCTGGAAAGAAGGAGCAATGATACTTCCCATGAAGTTTATCATGAAAAGGAAAAACAGGCCGGGTGTGGTGGCTCAGGCTTGTAATCCCAGCACTTTGGGAGGCCGAGTCAGGTGGATCACCTGAGGTTAGGAGTTCAAGACCAACCTGGCCAACATGGCAAAACCCCACCTCTACTAAAAATACAAAAATTAGCCAGGTGTGGTGGTGCGCACTTGTAATCCCAGCTACTCAGGATGCTGAGGCACCAGAATCGCTTGAAGTCAGGAGGTGGAGGTTGCAGTGAGGCAAGATCGCGCCACTGCACTTCAGCCTGGGCGACAGAGTGAGGCTCTGTCTCAAAAAAAAAAAAAAAAAAATGAAAAAGAAAAACAGTTACAATAAAAAAGAAAGAGATAAATCATACAGTCTTCACAGTCCCCCTTGATATAGATATATATATTTTTAATATATATATATATTTTTTTAGACGGAGTCTCGCTCTGTCACCCAGGCTGGAGTGCAGTGGCGCGATCTCGGCTCACTGCAAGCTCTGTCTCCCAGGTTCACCCCATTCTCCTGCCTCAGCCTCCTGAGTAGCTGGGACTAAAGGCGCCTGCCACCATGCCCAGCTAATTTTTTTGTAATTTTAGTAGAGACAGGGTTTCACCATGTTAGCTAGGATGGTCTCAGTCTCCTGGCCTCATGATCCACCCGCCCTGGCCTCCCAAAGTGCTGGGATTACAGACGTGAGCCACCGCGCCCGGCCCTCACCTTGATATTTTTGTTTTGCAGCTTAAATAAGTGGATCTCTGGATAAGCGGCCTGACTGATGAGAGAAAGAGCTGGCTTTTCTTCCGACAATAGTTGTTGTGACCTCTTTGCGGCAAGAACAGTGATAGAACAGACATTATCATCAGGAGAATCAGCTCGTAAAAGCCACATTCTTGGCACATCAAAGGTATTTGAGAGGGACAGAAAGAGTAAAGCGATTCTTTCCAACTAACAGTTGGGAAAGATGGCACTGTTTTAACTTGAATACCCCTCTTTTTTAAGAAAAAGAGGATCATAAGGCTAAAACAGATTTTTTTAATTGAGAAAGTTTATTTTAAACATTTTTGAGAAAAAAATAAGAAGCCTCTAAATTACTTTGGCACTACCAAGTGACACCAGTCACTATCGAGTTTTCTTGTTTGATTTCTCCGTGACACTTATTATCGGCTATTCTCTTCATTTTACTTGTGTATATTTTGTTTTCTCCCTTTGAACGTGAGTGCCAGGAAAACCTGGACTTTGAATTCTCTGTGTGATCCCAAGTACCAGAACAGCCGCCCAGCAGGGGCTCTGGAAATGTGCCCTGAAAGAACTCAGACAACAGGAGACCCTCCTCAGCTCCAGGGCTGCTGCCATTTGCACACAGAAGGGAGCAGCCTGTGTTTCAAAGGTGAGATCCAGATACTTTTTAAAATTATTATTATTTTTCTTTTTTCTTTAAAATTTTTTTTTTGTATAGACAGGGGTCTTGCCATATTGCCCAGGCTGATCTCTAACTCCTGGGCTCAACTGATCCTCCTGCCTTGGCCTCCCAAAATGCTGGGATTATAGATGTGAGCCACTGCACCTCACCCAGATACTTTCTTACCAGTCTCTGGCTGAAATTTCACAAGAAGTGGGGACACCAAAGACAAAAATGAACAAATGAACCGAGGTAAGGTTGGGCCTGGTCTGGAGGACAGAAAGGAGGCCATCAGGCCGATAGCTTATGTCCAGGGAAACAAAACCATTTTGGATTTTCATTTCTTTATTATTATTTTTTGAGACGGAGTCTCGCTCTGTCACCCAGGCTGGAGTGCAGTGGCATGATCTCGGCTCACTGCAACCTTTGCCTCCCAGGTTCAAGTGATTCTCCTGCCTCAGTCTCTTCAGTAGCTGGGATTACAGGTGCCCACCACCACGCCAGGCTAATTTTTGTATTTTTAGTAGAGACGGGGTTTCGCCATGTTGACCAGGTTGGTCTCAAACTTCTGGCCTCAGGCGATCCACCTGCCTCGGCCTCCCAAAGTGCTGGGATTACAGGCGTGAGCCACCGCGCCCGGCCTGGTTTTTCTTTAAAGTGCTGAACGTTTGGTCACAATGATGTAGAGAACAGGGTCAGTTCAGACAGCCCCTCCCTCCTGGAAGGCTCCCTCCTCCCTGGCGCCTCCTGTCCATAGATGGCCAACTCCAGTCTACCTTCCCCACATACTCTCTCCAGATCTTAACATTTAGCCATGTTCGCATCAGATCTTTTTTTTCTTTATTTGGTGAGGGAAACCCTGTGTCCCCTGGTACCCACGGCTCTCCCTCCCTCCTCTGAGATAACCAGTCTCCTGAGTTTGGGGTTAATTATCCCAATGTTTCCATAAACGGTATGTAAAAATTTGCAGATCTTGGCTGTTCGCGGTGGCTCTCACCTGTCATCTCAGCACTTTGGGAGGCTGAGGCGGGCAGATCACCTGAGGTCAGGAGTTCGAGACTAGCCTGACCAACATTTTGAAACCCTGTCTCTACTAAATACAAAAAAATTAGCCGGGCATGGTGGTGCATGCCTGTAGTCCCAGCTACCTGGGGAGGCTGAGGCAGGAGAATCACTTGAACCTGGGAGGTGGAGGTTGCAGTGAGCTGAGATTGTGCCATTGCACTCTAGCCTGGGCAACAAGAGTGAAACTCTTAAAAAAAAAATTTTGCAGATCTTAAAAAGTCAGAGAAATGGTTTCATTTGGTATGAATCCTTCTGTAACTTTCTTTTTCACTCAGCACTATTCATTCATATTGTTACTCAGCACTATTCATTCATATTGTTACATGTAGTCCTGGTGTATTCATTTAGTGATTCATGCCACTCATGAACACTGTGAACCACCGAATCTTCCTACCTATCCAAGTCTTATTACCTATATTCCTCCATAAGACAGCCAGCTCTGTGAGAGCAAAGATTATTTTTTAGGTACTAGAACAGCATGTAGCATGTAATGTGACCTGAAAAGCTGGTTAATTCGTTCCAAGAATTAATCAAAGCTGTGTAGTATCTCACCATTGAAATGTAACACAATTGTTTTGCTCATTCTTCCATGGATGACACTTTCATTACTCCAGTATTTTGCTTGCTTATTTATTTATTTATTTATTTATTTATTCATTTTGAGACATTCTTGCTCTGTTGTCCAGGCTGGAGTGCAGTGGCGTGATCTTGACTCATTGCAACCTCCGCCCTCTGGGTACAAGTGATTCTTGTGTGTCAGCCGCCCAAGTAGCTGGAATCACAGGCACGTGTCACCACGCCCGGCTAATTTCTGTATTTTTAAAATAGAGACAGGGTTTTGCCATGTTGGTCGGGCTGATATTTTTGCTAATTTAAACAGTACTTTTGCAAGAATATTTCCCTTGTCTCCTTTTGCACGTGTAGGACAGAATTTTTATGTACTCAAGGATGGATTAGCTGAGTAATGGGTAGCTATGTGCAGCTTCAAATTTATTAAATATTACTATCTGCTTTCTAAACTGGTTATACTGAGAGTACATAAAAAGTCTGACCTCAGAACCAGGGCACTCAAATCCTTTCAGAACTTTTTTCCATATAAAAAGCAGGTATGTTACTGTTTGACACATCGAGAATTTCCATCTCTTTCTTTTTGCCGGCTGTTAGTGTTCCATTGTCAAGAGTCACCTGACTTTTGCAAATCAGTTTCCTGTTGGTGGATGTTGGATTCTGCTCTGAAACATCATGTGTTCAGCATGTTTGCATGTTCTGTGGTTCTGTTTTTGTGGTTACATATTATTTTATTGGGTGGCTCTATCAAAATTAACTACTCACATATATTTTTTAAATAACTGCATAAAATAAATGTTTTATTTTTCTTAGGGAATTTCCCAAGAATTAAAATTTTGGTCAGTGTATTAATAAGTTTTGTGCTTCTTATGTATTGCCAAAAATATTATTATAATTTAGATTGTCTGTTGCCTGGAAAACTGCTTAAGTATTGTGTGCATTTTTTTTGTTGTTTTTTCTGTTTTGTTTTTTTGAGATGAGGTCTCACTATGTTGCACAAGCTGGTCTCCAATTCCTGGCCCCAAGTGATCCTCCTTCCTTGGCCTCCCAAAATGCTGGGATTATAGGTATGAGCCACGGTGCCCAGCCTATATGCATTTATTTTGCTGACTTGACTCTGAGTCTCCACATAGGCAGTGCTGTGTTGATTATTTTCTGTGAATGGAACCTGGCACATAGTATATACACAGTTAAAAGAAAAAAATGGGGGCCAGGTGTAGTGGCTCATGCCTGTAATCCCAGCACTTTGGGAGGCGGTGGCGGGCAGATCACTTGAGGTCAGGAGTTTGAGACTAGCCTGGCCAACATGGTGAAACCCCATGTCTACTAAAAAGACCAAAATTAGCTGGGTGTGGTGGTGTGCACCTGTAGTCCCAGCTACTTGGGAGGCTGAGGCAGGATAGTTGCTTGAACCTGGGAGGCAGAGGTTGCAGTGAGCTGAGATCACGTCACTGCACTCTAGCCTGGGCACAGAGCAAGACTCTGTCTCAAAAAAAAAAAAAAATTAAACAATTAGCTGGACGTGGTGGTGAACCTATAGACCCAGCTATTCATGAGGCTGAAGCAGGAGGATCACCTGAGCCTAGGAGTTCGAGGCTGCAGGAAACTATGACCATGCCACTGCACTCCAGTCTGGGCAACAGAACGAGACTCTGTCTCTGAAAAAGAAAGAAAAAATGGCTCCCAGAGGAGAAATGGCTATCAGTCTACTATAAAGATGGGCCTCCAGGTATAAGGACAGGTTGCTCCAAGCCTAAGTCAGTTAGAGAACCAGAGCTGGTGGTGAGGGCAAGGCTGTGATTCCTGGGGGGCTACCTGGGGCCACCTGGGCCTGCCTTCTCATCCATTCCTGCTGCAGGCAGTCAGCTGGCTGGGCTGCCCCTGCCCCTGGCTGGTGAGCGTGGGGTAGGGAAACCGGCCAAGGGCAGAGCCAGGAGCCAGCCTCGCCTGCCTGCTGCAGGCCTGAGACAGCTGTGGGGTGTGAGACCAGGAGGGAGCTCACAGCGCACAAGCTTGTAGTCACAAGGGGTTTGAGGGAGCAAGCCACCTGGGCGACACTTGCCCAAGACATACGCTCTAGCTGTGTGACTTTGGGAAAATGAGGGATCTTCAAATGGGGAGATTATCGTGAATTACCTGGGTGGACCCAATGTAATCACAGGGATCCTTATGAAGGGGAACGAAAGGGTCAAAGTCAGAAACAGGAGAGGAAACCACGCAGCCAGAGGTTGGAGTGAAACGTTTTGAAGATAGAGGAAAGGTGCCACAAGCCAAGGAATGCAGGAAGCCTCTAGAAAATGGAAAAGCCAAGGAAGGAAGTTCTCCCCTGGAGCCTCCAGAAGGAACACAGTCCTTCCAACACCTTGGTTTTAGACTTCTGACCTCCAGAAGAGGAAGAGAATAAATCTGTGTTATTCTAAACGACTAAGTTCGCAGTAATTTGTCGTAGGAAATGACACCCTCTAAGCCCCTGAGACCTCATCTGTAAAGTGGAGATGCTAATAGAACCTATTTAATACAGCTGCTTTGTGATTTACACACATTAAGGTATTTGAAATGTTTAGAAGAATGCCTGGAAAATAGCATTTAACAAACACTTGGGCAGGTCACTCAAGCTCTCTGGACCCAGAGACCCCCAAGGTCAGGAAGGGCTACTTCTGAGTGCGTGTTCTCAGCGGCTGCGGCCACCTCTGGTCTCCCTGGACCAGCAGATCCTTCTGCAGCCCTCCTCTTTAGCAGGTGCCTGAAGCTGTCAGTCAGACAAGCTCTAGGAAGGTGCCAGGATGGGTATCTTTCTGCATCATGGGGGAGCACTGTGACCTGAAACCCTGACCCAGCATTCCCAGGGCATCAGAGGGGAGTTAACGGGTTCGTTGGAGTGGAGAAGAAAGCCCCTTAGCTCCCGACCTTCCTGCAGGGCTGCATTACATACAGCCGAGCAGCCAGGAAAGCAACGAGAGGCATCCACTTTCCAGAAGGTCAGGGAAGAGGAATCAGCTCGTTAATAGAATAGTGATTTACCATGTTCAAAGCTTACACACAGGCCGGGCGCTGTGGTTCATGTCTGTAATACCGGCACTTTGGGAGGCCGAGGTGGGCGGATCACCTGAGGTCAGGAGTTTGAGACCAGCCTGGCCAACATGGTGAAACCCTGTCTCTACTAAAAGTACAAAAATTAGCCGGACGTGATGGCAGGTGCCTGTAATCCCAGCTACTCTGGAGGCTGAGGCAAGATAATTGCTTGAACCCTTGAGGCAGATGTTGCAGTGAGCCGAGATCGCGCCATTGCATTCCACCCTGGGCGACAAGAGGGAGACTCCATCTTAAAAAAAAAAAAAAAAAAAAGTGGTCTGGGCACGGTGGCTCACGCCTGTAATCCTAGCACTTTGGGAGGCCGAGGCGGGCAGATCATGAGGTCAGGAGATCGAGACCATCCTGGCTAACACAGTGAAACCCCATCTCTACTAAAAATACAAAAAATTAGCTGGCGTGGTGGTGGGCACCTGTAGTCCCAGCTACTCGGGAGGCTGAGGCCGGAGAATGACGTGAACCCGGGAGGCGGAGCTTGCAAAGAGCCAAGACTGCGCCACTGCACTCCAGCCTGGGAGACAGAGCAAGACTGCATCTCAAAATAAATAAATAAATAAATAAAAAGCTTACATACATATATATATGCACAAGTGCACACACACACGTAAGAACATCTATGCATGTACATGCACACACACACATGCTCCCAACAGTGCCAGGATCTAGGCAGAACTATGTAATCTCTGTTTTCCAGATGAAGAAACTCAAACTTAGAGGGAAAAATGCTCGCTCAAGGTCATCAAGTTGGCTATAGGCACCCAGCAAGGGCCACAGCCTGGGCCACATCCCCGCATCTTGGTTCAGCAGTCCTGGGGGTGGGTGATCTCAGCAGTCAGGTTCCAGTTTGTCTCCTGCCATTGCTGTCCTGCAGGGCTGCCCCTCCTCATTCCTTCTTCCCCTCCTAATTGGGTGCAGGTACAAATAGGATTATATTGATAGCAATACCAATTGGATGAGGTATCAGTTGTTTTTGAATGTCCTCTCCTAGGCCAGAAGGCAAGAGAATGGCTTCTGTGGTTCTCACCTCTTCTCTCAGTGTATTTTTGGTAGGAGGGGGTCAAGTTTTTGATTTGTTTATCTATTTTTTTTTTTTTGAGAAGGAGTTTCACTGTCGCCCAGGCTAGAGTGCAATGGCGCAGTCCCAACTCACAGCAACCTCCGCCTCCCAGGTTCAAGTGATTCTCGATTCTCCTGCCTCAGCCTCCTGAGTAGCTAGGATTACAGGCGTGTGCCACCACACCCGGCTAATCTGTGTATTTTTAGTAGAGATGGGGTTTCACCATGTTGGCCAGGCTGCTCTCAAACTCCTAAGTGATCTGCCCACCTCGGCCTCCCAAAGTGCTGGGATTGCAGGTGTGAGCCACCGTGCCCAGCCATGGGGTCAGGTTTTAAAGATGTTGAGGAGCTGCTGTGCATATCACTGCAGAGAGCATCAGATGGGCAGACACAGGCCATGCCTAGCAAGCTCAACATCTGGTCATGGCCTGAGCCCCACAACTTGCCGGAGGTTACACAAGGTGCTGATGGAGTGTGGAGGGAACAAGGAGAGTGGCTTGTGCAGGAGGTGCCTCAGGGATGAGGGAAACGCTAAAGCAAGTGAGAAAAGCATGGCCTGATGGCCTCGCAGGACTCAGTGGTAGAGGCCAGGCCAGGATCCAGCCCATTTCCATCTAAGCCCTCCTTTTTTTTTTTTTTTTTTTTTTTGCTTTAATATCCACATATTGCTTTAAGAAAAAAAATCAAAATGTGTAAATGCTATTTTTCAAAGGATAGTCTGTGACCACCGACATCAGAATCACCTGGGGGAATCTGCAAAGACAGAATCCTGGGCCTCTGCCAGCTCCACCCGACCTGCTGACTCAGAGTCTCTGAGAGCGGGGTGCAGGGTTTGCATTATTAGCACTCAAGTTTGAGACCCACAGGTTAAGTAATGGGAAAAGCAAAGACTCAGAGATTTGGCAGGGACCAATGGGTCTGCTTGGCAGAGGCGGAAGGGTAGCATCAGGGTACCTGCTCTGGGCTTGGCTCCTCTTGGCCTTGGCTCCTCTGGGGCATCATGGGAACAAGGAGGAGCAGACACCTCGCCAGCCGGGGTGTGTCTGAGCCCCAGGAATCCTGCCTCGCAGGGAGGATTCTCTGAGTAGAGGTGATGTGTTATCACAGTATCAGCATTTCTCAGCCTGACTCATGGAGGGGAGTGACTTTACTGTTAGGGCCTGAGGGGAAATAATGAGGAACTTCTAGACCAGTTTCATTTTTATTTTTAAACCCACAGTTCACCCTTGGGCCTTTTGCCAGACCCACTGTTCTAGAACCTAACACCGGCCTGGCCCTTTCTTCTCCCCCAGGCCACTGTGCCACCTGACTTTGGAAGCAAAGCATGGCTGTGGGTATCATCAGAGTGGCAGAACCCGGAACAGACTAGGCCCAAAGGCTCCCGGCACATCTGTCCAGGCAGCACTCCCCATTAGGCTGGGATGTGGCAGATGCGATGCTGTGGGGGAGACTGAAACCCCTTACTAGGGCCAAAAGGCTGTTTCCCCTAGACAGGAGACAAATAAACGACACTTTCTCTTGCTTTCGGCTGATGGCAAACTTCTTACTGGCCCAACAGGCTGAGAATCATTTCTGCTTGTCTCTGCTTTAGTAATAATAAAAGCAAAAGCAGGGATATTTTGCCCTTTCTCCCTCTCCATTGCCCTAAAAGAGCAGTTTCAGGCTTCCTCTACTAAAAGCATATGATCATTGACCAGTTATGATCAAAAAAGTGAAAAGAAAAAAAGCAGTTATAAGCCATTAAGAATGCTCTGGGTCAGGTACAGTGGCTCATGCCTGTAATCCCAGCACTTTGGGAGGGATTTCTCTTCTTGGGAAGCTGCCCAAAGTGCTGGGAAAATGGTGTCACCACTTTGGAAAACAGTCTGGCAGTTCCTCAGAAGGTTACACATAGAATTATCTATAACCCAGCAATTCCACTCCTAAAATGTATATATAAGAAATGAAAACCAGCAGGGCGCAGTGACTCACACCTGTAATCCCAGCACTTGGAGAGGCCCAGGCAGGCAGATCACCTGAGGTCAGGAGTTTGAGACCAGCCTGGTCAACATGGCAAAACCCCGTCTCTACTAAAAATACAAAAATTAGCTGGGAGTGGTGGTGCACGCCTGTAATCCCAGCTACTTGGGAGGCTGAGGCAGGAGAATCGCCTGAACCCGGGAGGCAGAGAGGTTGCAGTGAGCTGAGACTGCGCCACTGCACTCCAGCCTGAGCGACAGAGTGAGACTCCATTGCAAAAAAAAAAAAAAAAGGAATGAAAACCAACATCCATACAAAAAATATGTACACAAACTTCATAGCAGCATTATTCATAATAGTCAAAAAAGGTGGAAACAACCCAAATATCCATCAACGGAAAAACAAAATGTAGTATATGCATACAACGAAATACTATTTGGTACTAAAAAGAAATGAAATACTGTCCCATAATTTGAGGGAGAAAAAAAAAGAAATGAAATATTGATATATGCTACAACATGGAAAAACCTCAAAAACATGGTAAGTGAAAGAAGCTGGTCACAGAGGCCCACCTATCATATGATTCCATTTCTATGAAACGTCCAAAAGAGACGAATCTACAGAAACAGGAAGGAGATTAGTGGTTGTCAGGGGTTGGGGAAGATGGGGAGTGAGATGGGTAGGGGTCTTATTTTTGGGGTGATGAAAATGTTCTAAAATTATGGTGATGATTGCACAATTCTGCAAATATACCAAAAACCATTAAAATGTACACTTTAGGCCTGGTGTGGTGACTCACGCCTGTAATCCCAGCACTTTTGGAGGCTGAGGTGGGAGGATCCCTTGAGCCCAGGAGTTTGAGACCAGCATGGGCAACATAATGAGACCCCGTATCTACAAAAAATTTAAAAATTAGCCTCGTGTGGTGGTGCATGCCTATAATCCCAGCTACTGGGGAGGCTGAGGTGGGAGGATCGTTGGAGCCTAGGAGGTTGAGGCTGCAGTGAGCAGTGATCATGCCACTGTACTCCAGCCTGGGAGAGAGAGAGACCCTGTCTCAAAAATAAACAAACAAAAGGTACACTTTAAATGAGTAAATGTATGATATATGAATTCTATCTCAATAAAGGTAAGTTTTTTTTTTTTTGAAGAGTAAAGAGAGGTGGGGAAGTAGGTGATGGGTGTGCTAGCAGGATACCAAGCAAGAAGGAACTTACCCCGTCCAGCATTCAGTTTCACCTCTCATTTTAGAAGACTTTACTTTTCAAAAGATCTCTTTGTTGAAGTATAACCAATGGTCTCCTGGAGCTGGCTCAACTGAGCTTGCAAGAACCAATCATATGTCTCTTTGCCCAACTCAGAATTGACACCACATTCGTAGCATGTAATCAACCATGGTAGAAATATTTACACCACAGGAATTGACAAATGCTACAATTAAGGGCTTTTTAATTAAAACAAATTTTTTTTTTTGCGAGTTAAACATTTACCAGCTTATCTGTGGGGATAACACGCATAGAGAAAAGCGCATGTATTAGAAATGAATGGCTTGATGAATTTTCACAAACTGAACCGACCTTTGTGACCAGCACCCAAAGAAAGAAAGAGAACAGTGTCTTCACCCCCAAACCCTTCCTCCAGCGTCCTCTTCTAGTGGTTACCCAAAGGTAACAACTGTTCTTTTTTTTTTTTTTTTTTTTTTAAGATGGAGTTTTACTCTTATGCATTGGTGCAACTTCAGCTCACTGCAACCTCTGCCTCCTGGGTTCAAGCAATTCTCCTGCCTCAGTCTCCCCAGTAGCTGGGATTACAGGCGCCTGCCACCATGCCCAGCTAATTTTTTGTATTTTTGGTAGAGACGGGGTTTCACCATGTTGGCCAGGCTGGTCTCGAACTCCTAACCTCAGGTGATCCAGCCGCCTCGGCCTCCCAAAGTGCTGGGATTACAGGTGTGAGCTACTGCGCCCGGTCTGTTCTGACTTGTAATTGCACAGATTGCTTATTTTTCCACATTAAGTGGAATCAAAGAGTGAATTCTGTTGAGTCTGGCTTCTTACACGCAATGTTATGAAATTCATCCAGGTCACTGCATGTGGTTATAGAGTGCTCATTCTCATTACTGAATACATTGTGTGAATAGTCCCCAATTTATATGTATTTATATATTTCACTGTGGGTGGATATTTGGGTAACCTGCAGGTTTTACTGTTGCAAACAGGACTGCTACGGACATTCTAGTGCATGTCTTTGGCCAATGTATGTCACATTTCCACTCAAGAATCTATGGGTCACAGAACACGAGTATGTCCAGCTTGAGTAGATATGTAGCCGACTTCACTTTGACTCTATTCCTGTTCTCTGCCTCCTATCCCATGCCCTTAACTTCCCTTTCCTTGCAAGCAAGCAGGGTCACCACCCTGGCATCTTCCACTCTGGGGCAGACCAGACAGGGCCTGGGTTTTGCGTGGGAAAGTAAACCCCAGGCCACTGGGACTAGTTGGTGGGTAACCCTGGAGGCACCGCTGTTCCTTCATCTTCAGAGCTCACTTAGGGTGGCAGAGCCATAAAAGGAGCTTCAGATAGGGAAGTAGCTGGTAACCGGAGGTGGAGCCAGCCAGGGTAGTCTCGGTGTCTGACGTTTCTAAGTGCTTCCAGCTGAGCAGGAACCAGGCTTGCACATTCAGACAATGTATTCCTGTGAATCTGTTCAGCGGCTTAATGCACCATAAAAAGAGGTCCATTGTCAAGCAGCCTGTTTCCCGGGTGGGAGTCAGCAATATGCAGCGTAAGTGGGTAGAGCCACTGTGGCTCAGAGGCTCCCCGGCTTTGGCCCTCGGTTGGGGGCGGGTGCTGCCCATGCTTTTGAAAGGAGAGCAGCTAATGTGACTCCCTGGACTCCGCCCCTTTCAACAGCGGGCGCTCTGCTCGTTATTTTTGACCGGTTTCATGTGCTCACTCGTTCAAGAAATACTCTTGTGATCACCAACTGCAGGTCAAGCATGGAGGAGGTTTATGTCTCTAATTTATCACTTGTCACCGGGGAAGGTGAGGAGTTTTCAAAGTTCTAGTCATTTTATTATTCTATTTTGCACATGGTGGTCAGTGTGCAAGTTCTCATCATTTTTGAAGTGGTGAGTGCTGAGGATTAGTATTCTGTGCTACTTTGTGTTAGGCACTAGGACAAGCATGTTACATGTACCGTCACATCAGTGATGTCATTTATCACACCAATTCTATGATACTAAGACTACCATTATCCCATTTGGGCAAAGGAAAAATGCTGAGGCTTGAAGAGGTTAAGGCTCAGCACATTGTTTTCTGATTTCAAAGTCCAGACTCTTACCCTCCCCTGATCCTATCCCTCTGGACCCAGGTAACAAATGGCTGTGGCTGGCCCAGCCAGGCTACCAAGCTGCCACCCTTAGGGATGAACAGAAGCTGTGCTGCAGGTGATGAAAGTCCCAGGCCCTGCATCCAGTTCACACTGCACGGAGAAGCCAGTGGCTACGCATGGACAGTGTGTGTCTGGCTTTATAGAGATGGTCACACAGCATTGGGCGGGTCACTGAGCACTGTTCCACCTTCCAGCCCACAGACTCCCAAGCTGTGTCACATCTAATGGAACTTGAGGCTCAGAGCTCAGTCCATGTGCCTGAGGTTAGAGATGGCTGTTCACACGTGGGCGTCTCAATAAATGTTGCGCACATTTGCTGGTAAGTGACCAAAGCAGAAGGTCAACTAGGCCTGTCAAACTCCAACTTGTGTGTCCTTTTCTTTTTTTGAGACAGGATCCCTTGCTCTGTTGCCCAGGCTGGTGTGCAGTGGTGCGATCATGGCTCACTGCAGCCTTGACTTCCTAGGCTCAAGCAATCCTCCCACTTCAGCCTCCTGAGTAGCTGGGATCACAGGTGTGCACCAGAACGTCGGCTAATTTTAAGTTTTCCATAGAGATGAGGTCTCACCATGTTGCCTAGGCTGGTCTCAAATGCTGGGGTCAAGTGAGCCTTCCGCCTCAGCTTCCCAAAGTGCTGGGATTACAGGCGTGAGCCACTTTACCTGGCTTCTGTGGTCTTTTCACTGCATCTTAACATAGCAGGAAAAAGAGCTGTAGTTCTGTAAGTACCGAGCCCAGGATGAGGGTTCTCTCCACTATTAGAAGGTGCCCCTGTATGGATTCCAGGTAATCCTCCCTTGTGGTGTCAGTTCCAGAGTCTCAGGGATTCAAGGTGGCCCAGGAGCGACCTGAGTACCCCACCCAGGGACGCTGGCTAAATGCAGATTCTCAAGCCCTTCCTGAGACTTGGAATCTGCCGGCACTGGGGACCTCAGGTGATGCTGCCAAAATGTGAAAACCTGGCCCTAATATATTTTAGGCCAGTGTGCATGTGACACATTTGCCATCTTGTGCCCTCATATTTTCTCAGAGCTATAAAGTTTTAAGTTCTGTTGAAGAGTGAACCCAAATAAGGCTTCTCCCCTGGCGGTTTTGCAGAAGGTGAAAGTTTTGGCCTCCTGAGCTTCAGACCAGGGTTTGCTATGTGGTAAGATTTTGCAAAACAGCTGTTTATCTGAGCTTTAATTCTGGTGTTCAGGAGCTCAAGTGTTTGTGTACGGGCTGCTGTGCTCACACACAGACATGCACACTCTGCTTTCTTCTCAGTCACTCACATTGTACGTGCACCAAGTCACCCTGTGTGCCAGCTCCACCTCTAGCTCCCAAGTGCACAGTGGCTGTCCATGACATGTTATGAGAAATGCTCGCTGTGGGGCCCTCTGGCAAATGCCTTAATTTCCGAATCCGGAACTTCATTGCCCTTCATGGTTCACCCCTCCCTGGTGCTGACCTAATGGTAGAGGGCCGGGACAGGCCAGCTTTGACCAGCAGCAGCCAAGAGGCAGCAGAGGGTTGTGGCCAGGAGCTCCATGGCTGAACCCTGATGTCAGGGCTCAAAATTCTTGCCTCCACCCTTCATGAGTGACTTGACTTTTTGGCACGCCACGGCTCAGCTGCTCTGAGTATCAGTCTCCTAATCTGTGAACGGGGAAAGTAACAGTCCCTGCCTCTCAGTACTGCTGAGAGAACTGCAATCGTGCTGCTCAAGCGCTTGGCCTGGTGCTCAGCCCCCGTGGAGGCCTCAGTATGATGAGCTGCTGGTGGTCCACGGATCCGCCTGCACAGAGTGCTCCTCAGCACAGCACAGGGACTTTGGGGCTGGTCCTGCCTGCCTTCAGTCTGCCGTTTCCTTCTCCTGTCTGCTCCATCTGTTGCAGGGATGCCACCCCATCCCAGCAGCTTTGCAGGAGCTCAATCTGTGCAGGCTCCTAGGATGAGCTACGCTCCTTTCTTCAGGCAGCTCCCTGCCAGGTGAACTCTACAGTCATCATTACTTACCTGTGTTTCTCCGCTTCTCAGGGACAGAATATGGGGCTGTCTTTGCAACCAAAGGCCTGGCACTGTCTAGACAAAAATGGAATGCTTGTGGACCATGTGAGCCTCAGGTGTGTAAGAGTAAGGTGACCTAATTTAGTGGACTTCACCTCCATCCCAGGCAGCTGGCTGGAGAGGCCAGGCCTCTGTGGGAGGGACACGTGCTCAGACACCCCTGCTAGAGATGTGAGCCCATTCACTCCAAATTACCCACAGACTGCATAATGAGGAGAATCAAAGATTTCCATGGGGTCGGAGAACACATGGGGGGGCAGAGGAGAACACATGGGGGGCAGAGGAGAACACACTGGGGGGGCGCAGAGGAGAACACATTGGGGGGCGCAGAGGAGAATACATGGGGGGGCAGAGAATACATGGGGTGCAGAGAACACATGGGGGGCAGAAGAGAACACGGGGGGCAGATGAGAACACATGGGGGGCAGAGGGGAACACATGGGGGGCAGAGGGGAACACATGGGGGGCAGAGGAGAACACATGGGGGCAGAGGGGAACATATGGGGGGCAGAGGGGAACACATGGGGGGCAGAGGAGAACACATGGGGGCAGAGGGGAACACATGGGGGGCAGAGGGGAACACATGGGGGGCAGAGGAGAACACATGGGGGCAGAGGAGAACACATGGGGGGCAGAGGGGAACACATGGGGGGCAGAGGGGAACACATGGGGGGCAGAGGAGAACACATGGGGGCAGAGGGGAATACATGGGGGGCAGAGGAGAACACATGGGGGCAGAGGGGGAACACATGGGGGCAGAGGGGAACACATGGAGGGCAGAGGGGAACACATGGGGGGCAGAGGAGAACACATGGGGGCAGAGGGGAATACATGGGGGGCAGAGGGGAACACATGGAGGGCAGAGGGGAACACATGGGGGGCAGAGGGGAACACATGGGGGGCAGAGGAGAACACATGGGGGCAGAGGGGAACACATGGAGGGCAGAGGGGAACACATGGGGGCAGAGGGGAACACATGGAGGGCAGAGGGGAACACATGGGGGGCAGAGGAGAACACATGGGGGCAGAGGGGAACACATGGGGGGCAGAGGGGAACACATGGGGGGCAGAGGAGAACACATGGGGGCAGAGGGGAATACATGGGGGGCAGAGGAGAACACATGGGGGCAGAGGGGGAACACATGGGGGCAGAGGGGAACACATGGAGGGCAGAGGGGAACACATGGGGGGCAGAGGAGAACACATGGGGGCAGAGGGGAATACATGGGGGGCAGAGGAGAACACATGGGGGGCAGAGGGGAACACATGGGGGGCAGAGGGGAACACATGGGGGCAGAGGGGAATACATGGGGGGCAGAGGAGAACACATGGAGGGCAGAGGAGAACACATGGGGGGCAGAGGAGAACACATGGGGGGCAGAGGGGAACACATGGGGGCAGAGGGGAATACATGGGGGGCAGAGGAGAACACATGGGGGCAGAGGGGAATACATGGGGGGCAGAGGAGAACACATGGGGGGCAGAGGAGAACACATGGGGGGCAGAGGGGAACACGGGGGGAAGAGGGGAACACATGGGGGGCAGAGGAGAATAGGTTGAATGATCTCAGTAATGATCATCCCCACCACCACTGCACCCCTGCCACACACACACACACATTCAAGCCTGAAACAGTATCCAATGGGGGGCTAGGCTGGGCATGGTGGCTCATTCCTGTAATCCCAGCACTTTGGGAGGCTCAGGTGGGAAGATGATGTGAGCCCAGGAGTTCGAGGCCAGACTGGGCAACAAAGTAAGACCCTGTCTACAAAAAAGAAAAAAACAAAAAAAGAAAAAAACACATACGAAAAGTGGGCACAAGGTTAGGGGAGGGGAGAAGAACAAGGGTGTGGAGAGTAGGGGGCTGTGGCTGGGGCCACAAGGACCTGGGTCCACACGGCTGCCCATCACTCAACTGTGGTAATGTGCCTAACGGTGTCACGCGCCCTGCCAAAGACTAAACGCAGGTAAAGGAAACATGGGCCCAAGCACAGTAAGCCCTCAAAGGACCTGAGGTGGAGAGACAGGGGTAAGCCTCCAGCTCCTGGCCTCACCTTGGAGGCTGGGCTGTCGGGGGCTGGTGGATAAAGGGAGGGGCTGCTTTCAACGGAGTCAGGGGGTGGTGAAGGGGGACGTCAGTTCCAAACAGATACTGTTCCAGGCTTAAAACCACATACAACCGATGTGAAAGAACATTTTGTCATCAGATAAAAAGCTGGCTTCGCCTCCCCCTGGATTATCCAGGTCACTATGTTAGCTTTTCCCAGAAATATCCCGATAGAAAGCCGCTGGCTTCCATGCCCAAGCCCATTTTCCCCGGTAGCACGGTGTTTAAAGGGTTTGTCTTGGACTATGAACAGGCACATTATGTCTACCAACTTTTTTTTTTTTGACAGAGTCTTGCTCTGTCATCCAGAATGGAGTGCAGTGGCGTGATCTTCGCTCACTGCAACCTCTGCCTCCCGGGTTCAAGCAATTCTCCCACCTCAACCTCCCGAGTAGCTGGGAATCACAGGTGTGAGCCACCACACCCAACTAATTTTTTGTATTTTTAGTAGAGACAGGGTTTCACCATGTTGGCCAGGCTGGTCCCAAACTCCTGACCTCAGGTGATCCACCCGCCTCAGGCTCCCAAAGTGCTGGGAACACAGGCGTGAGCCACCGTGCCCAGCCATGTCTACCAACTTCCATGAAAGATGACAGAAGGAATGCTGAGACCAGCACTTCGGGATCCTCCCTGCCGCAGTCTCGGCCTGCTTTCCGCCACTGTGGTTCTCCATAAAGGAGAGTGTCTTCCAGGCAGTGGGAATTGCAAGGATGGCCTTGGAGCCAGAACCACCTGTGTGCACTCCCACCTTAGTGATTTACAAGCCACATGTCTCCTGTGTGTGAATGAATGCCTCTGAGCCTCATTTGTCAGCTCTGTAAAGCTGAGGGGCTCACGCTTCTCCTGGGCTTGCTAAGGATTCAGGGGTTAATGCAGGCAGAGTGCCTGGGCCAGGTCTGCTCCACTGCGTGGCAGCACTAGTTGTGACAGCTACGTGACAGAAGTGCTGTCCACACGACAACATGTAAGCCTCGTGCCCCTCCACCCTCTTCTTGCCCTGTTCACATCAACGGGCGCACAAGTGGACGTGGTGGAGGTGGAATGCGGAAGGTGGAGGACAGAAAGGGGCCGAAGGCCCACAGTTTGTAAGCCGGGGCAAGTGCCACATATTTTTATGTATCCAGAGTGATCTCTGACAAGGGTTGGAGTGACCTGTGTCATCTATATACCCGAAAGCACAGCCAGAGGAAGCCTTGATTCTCTCCTGTCAGCAGGGTAGTGAACAACTCACAAAATGGCCTGATTTCAGAAGTTTGGGATCAACTGAGAATATGTTTATTTAAAAGCAATTTTAAATATTAAAAAAAGTAGAAATTAACACATACAGTACTGAAAAACTGTCACATTAAACACATGTGAAATGACAAGTGTACTGATGTTTGATGGTAACATCCAGATGAGAATTCGGCATTTAACTAGTGGCACTACAGGATTCCTATACAACATGTTGAAGTTCTAGGCAATAAAAAAATAAATAGCAATTGCTGTTCAACAGTAAAATAAGACACACACTATTTGCAGAACATAACTTTCCCCTCTGGGGGAAAAAGAACTAATTTGCTATTTTTTTTTCATAAGGTTCCATATCTTCAAAATACTATATAATGTACAAAATTGCAGATAGTGGCTTACTGAGTTTAAGATCAAGATCAGACTTAAACTCAACAAGATCACCAAAGGTATTTCTACTGAGTTTTCCTATGTCCCACAGTAAGCTGGGTTAGAGAGAACTCAAATTCCTGATGGAAAACAAAACCGAACAAAAAAACTAGAAAAAAAAGGTGTTAAAAATGCTGTGTAAGTTGCTGCAAAAGGGGAAAAAGAATAGACACTAACTCCATGTAATTTTAGACATGCAGCTTTTGTGTTTTTTTTTTGTTTTTGTTTTTTTTTTTTTTTTGAAAAAAACCAGTTTATTTTGAGATCAGTGAAAAGAGTCTAGGCCACAGAAAAGAACAGCTCTTTAATGCAAGTTAAAATGTGTAAATGAATGACCGGGACACTGAGCAACCTCAGATGCAGACTTCCATCCGGACACTGGTGTGGCTTCAGTACCGAGGCTGCTAAAGCTGCCAGTCACAACCCAGCATGTCAACTGGTTCCTCATGCTCTGTTTGGTGTGGAAATTCACATGTGCCCTGACACTGAGGAAGCAATTGCTTAAAATCACTTTCCAATAACAGCTGATAAAATATTTTGCAGGTTTGTCATGCAAGGTTTATTTATTAGGTGGCTATTCAAAGTTTGTATAGCAACCACTTAAGCAGAACTAAATTAATATTCACTGAGCACTGTAACGATGGAAGAGGGCTTTTCCTAAGGGTTGGGTTGGGAGTTGTGCTTCTGTGAAATTAACATCTCTCACTCATTGCCAAGATTCTCTGCTTAAAAATATTAGTTTTCTGTGCTGTTGCCAAAATAGCAATTTAAGCAAATGTAGTGCCAGAATGACACATGAGCCTCGGACTCAGGGAACAGTTCCACTGACTGTGGAGTACAACTATTGCATTCTTTTCCAAAATTCAGACTGATGTAAAAGACTGAAATACAATGTTCTTAAGGATCTGATAAACATGGCTGGGATGAAAAGAAAACTGAGAGGGAAGAGTGCTTTTCACAGTGCAATTCATAGCAGCGTTCAAAAACTTGGTTATGAATTGACTTGAAGGTGGACAGAGCTTAAGACTGGAAAAATTATCTATAATTGGGGTTTAACAAAGAGCATGGGAAAAGAAACACTTGGTTTCAGCACCTGGATTCTACATACAGTAGGGAAACTGTGTGAAGGGTTGACTTTTAAATTCATCTTGAATAATCTTTTAAAAGTTTAAATTTGTCCAAGAACAAAACTAAGAAAATAATAAAAAATGGATGCAATGGATGCTTCAACACATCTGAGAGATGTGCATTCATAACACAATATGTCAATCCATACTCTTGAGAAAGCCAGTGATTAGAAACAAATATTGTTGCAACCTTATAATTTCTGCTTTAATGGCAATCAAGTTTAAAAAATGTACAATTCCACTTATCCATACTATTCCTTTATAAAAGGCAGATTTCAGGTAAGCTTCTAAATGCATGCGTAATGTAGAGGCTAATATTTTCTGGCAGTCCTTGGTTCCTGAAATTTGAACTTCATATGTGTTTTAAACTTTTGTCAAAATAGTCATGAAAGATATGTTATTTTTGCATAATGAGGTAATATATCAGGGGCGGGCACTCATAAGACAGTATAAATCCACTTGTCTAAACTTGCATGAGGCTGTGTGCATTGTAAAATGCCATAAAGAGTTTTGGGTCAGTGAATATTTTGCTGAAGGAATAACACTTACATTTAACTGAGCACTTTTCTGTAATAAATACCAAAGTAGGTTTTTGTAGCTGTAAACTGTGTACACAGATAACTACAGGCTGGTCTGTCATGGAGCTAAAAGTTTCACCTGGAAAACAGAACCCACCTCTTTGCTAATGTTGCATTTTCAGTAACACAATTGAGAATACTGCATTGTTAGGAACAGAGTCAATTCTATGCCTTTCAACGGTTGCTGGAGACCACTTCTATTTGCAAAGCCAGCAGTTCCTATACTCCTATTTTTGTTTGTTTGCTTGTAGAACAGCATAGAGAGATGTAAGTGCTAGATGCCAAGGATGGCTTTGGCAAACCAGTAAGGCGCGCCGGGTCCGAGGCTACCCTCATACTGGTGAAGGCAGAAAACCACAGGATATTTACAACACACATTATATCCCCCTCCTGAGGTGGCCCTTCCATGAGTTTCTTACTCTGTAACAGCAGCTATATACACACTGTGCCCAGGGTTACATGAAGGCAGCAGTCTTGCATGAAGGATGTGGACAATCTTAAGGTTCTGCGTTTTGCTAGTCAGACAGGATATGAACAAAGGACACTGGAAAGACCCCCTTCCTTTCAGGCTGTCCTTCGATGTGGCCAATCTGCAGGGAGAAAAGAGAGTGGTCAGGATGGAGGCAGCAGGCAGTGGCCCCACGACAAACCCAGTGGGTAAGAGCCCAGCCTAGTCTGCCCACAGACCTGGCGGTGGAATCCCAGGCTTACCCTTCTTCCCACCCTTTAGTGAACTACAGAGAGCTTAACGGTCATAAACTACATAAGGAAAGAGCAAACGACAGAACTTCCAATATGCTCAGCATTCTACATGGATCTTGCTGTACCCACACAGCAACCCCCTGAGGTGGATATTTCTTATACAGTTTACAATCTTCATTTTACAGATGAAGGGACAGTGGCCCAGAGAGGTGACATGCTCTCCCACAGGCGTGGGGCTCTAGAGTCCTTGCTCTGAACCAGGGCGCCTGGCTGCCTTTACAGCTGGGTGACCTCACACAAACCTTGCTAAGCCTTTTCTCTGTTAAGTGGGGCTAAAGAAAATCCCTTCTCTCCAGGCTTGTGTGATACATTTAAAAAAGAAAAAAAAAAAAAAAAGCAAATGAAAAGGCTGCTATGGCACCTGGCCAATCCCAGTACTATTACCTATTCCTAGTTGGGAAGGAAGGGGTTTCTTTGCCCACAGCCCAGGTAGGATGCATACAGACCATTAAGCTGTGTCAGCTGCCTGGCAAGACCCACTGCGGGGTACCATACTCAAATCAAAGCTAATCTTGTTCTGTCTCTTCTCTTTGTGAGTAAAGTGTTGTTCTAGCCAGTAAAAAAAAAAAAAAAAGGCTGCTATGTACTATCACTTGTTTTCTGGTTACCGTGGAGGAAGAATACTGTGAAAGTTTGAGACTGATGGTGGCGAATGGCAATTTTATTGTCTGCTGCATTGGCCTGTAAGCCAGTTACCTGTAAAAATTTTCTAATTACCTCAATTAGATTAGTATTGATTGCACTAAAGAGAATCATGTAATGGGCCTTCAATAGAAAAAACAAAATCGTGCATATTGGCTTCCAATGCCAAATCGATAGAGAGGAAGGTGGTTTTAAGAGTGGAACAGAGTCAACCAGGCCTGCCCAGCTCTCCTGAAGGCTTGCCCACCCACCGCGTGTGGTCTTAGTTGGCATCATGCATGTGTGAGGTCTTTGTGAATTTCACATCACAGTTAGCATGTGTGTGTGGCACCATCTTTACATCTGGCGAGGCACGTAATGGTGGCACACACAATGTCCCCTAGGAATGATGCTAGGGACACCAATGACAGCTTCCCATTCCCCGCAGGTATCTCTGCTGTAGTCATCAGTTGCTTAGCAAAGAACATGATCACTGCTTGATTATAATAATATTAACAGATTACAAAGTGAGTTCCTCAACATCCTTGTGAGAAACGATTAATCATGTCCTATTTTTCAGAGGAAAGTGAGGCTTACAGAAGGGACATGCTTTATCCAAGGCCCATAGAGCTAGTAACTGATTCACGTGGGGGGGCTTCAGAGCCCACCTCCTCGTCATGAGATGAAGTGGACTCTCTGACAGGCTTCATGCCAGGGGCTGGCCCCACTCTGCTGACAGAGGCTGGAGGTACCCCTGGGCCTCCCCAGGCTGATCCCTTCAGTCCAGTTTCTCAACCATGGTGCTACTGGCATCCTTGCTTGTGGGGGCTCCCTGAGTACTGGAGGATGTTTAGTGGCATCCCTGGCCACTAAACTTCCATCTACTAGTTGTTGGTAGCAACCCCCTTCCTAGGTCCTGACAATCAATATTTCCAGATATTGTAAATGTCCCTGGAGGGCAAAATTGCCCCAGTTGAGTCCAAACAAAATCCCTACAGCTGTGATTAAGAATCTGAGGTCACTGTCTAGGCCTGAAGGAAGAAAAGTCAAAGGTGAATGTGTGCCCATGCCTATGTGTGTGTGCACACATGTATATACATATGTATTTCTGGGTATTCTTAGGTACTGCTGGCTCAACTGCGAGCCTCAGGTCCCTTCCTGGCAGACAGAACTGAGTCCCTCTTGGCAGGACGGGGCTCAGGCTGCCAAGGAAGGGGAATTTTCACCCTGATGTCAGGAAATGATCAACAAGGAGAGCAGAAGAGGTGGCTTATTCACTGTACCTTGGCCTGGCAGTTCCCATCGGGAGACTTACTCCCTGGCAACGTGAAAACCAATAGATGTGTGGACTGCCCTCGCAGGTCACTCACAGCCTGGGTACCTAGCAGGGCCTATGAGGATGCTGATGTCTTTCCCTCCTGATGCCTGAGCTGCAGGTTTTAATGTAAAAGGAGTTTTCATAGATATTTTCATTTAATCTTTTCCTAAAATTACGTGGAGAAGGTGTCTTGGCCTATTTGACAAAGAAAGAACTGCAGACTGGATTAAGAATTGAGTCTGAGGACTTGTCAACTGCTCAGCCTGAGCAGGAACTTGGGCATTCTGATTCCCAGCCTGGGGACAGTGTGGAATGGTGAGCAAAGCACATAGGCTCTGGGGTCAGGGCCGATCTGGAATCTTGACTTAGCCTGCTTACTGGCTGAGGGACCACAGGCAACATGCTCAACTTTCTTCCGCTTTAGTATTTATATGAAAAATCAGAAAATGCCTACAACTCACAAGGTTACATGATACCATGGGTAAAGTACATACAAATGTTAATTCTCTTGACCTGTCTTCAAAGCCCCATGGCTGTTTTTCTTTTTTTTCAGATGGAGTCTCGCTCTGTTGCCCAGGCTGGAGTGTAGTGGTGTGATCTCATCTCACTGCAACCTGTGCCTCCCGGGTTCAAGCGATTCTCCTGCCTTGGCCTCCCGAGTAGCTGGGACTACAGGTGCGTGCCACCATGCCCAGTTAATTTTTTGTATTTTTAGTAGACACGGGGTTTCACCATGCTGGCCAGGCTGGTCTCGAACTCCCGACCTCGAGATCCATCCGCCTCAGCCTCCCAAAGTGCTGGGATTACAGGCGTGAGCCACTGTGCCCGGCCAGCTCCACGGCTGTTTTTCTAGCATGTAATAGTGTGTGACATAGAAAAGACACCAAATGCAATGGCTGTTGGGTGAGTGATGCAGCTGACAGGGTCCTTGTGCTCAAGAGCCCTCTTTTACTGCACTGTCTGTAGGCTCCAATGTGGTGCCTGCCCAGGCATGCTGTATGAATGTACGGATGAAGTGGATGGATATTCGTACGTACCCACCACTCCTGGTCCTCTTCCCCTGTGACGATAATCACTTCTCCCTCGATGAATGTGAGCTCGTCATCGTTGTCTGCCTGGCAGTCATAAATGGTCTTCACTCGCCTCACTTTATTTTTCCCCTTAAAGAAAGAAACTGGGTTTTAATTGAAAGAATGGACTGAATGGAAAAAAAGAGCAGCGGTTCTTTGTAAAATGGTTGACCTTGGCCAGTAACTTAACCTCGCTGAGCCTTGATTTCCTCACCCTTGAAGGGCGGGAAGAAGAGTGTCTGTCAGGCACCCAGCATACTGTGTACTCTTAACTACAGGCCCTTCCTCTCCCCCCATCATCAGGGTGGCCCTGCATTGGTGATTGGGCATCATCAAGTTATTTTCACCAGAAAGCAAACACTATGGGTAGGGATCAAAATTGAGCTTCACCAAAAACCATCAAGCACTCTGTACGCACCCCCAACCCACATCAGCTTGCAGAATGACAGCAGAGTCTAAAAATGTTTTTAGGAAACATGATGTAAAGCAAAATCTGCAGCTTCTGCATAATGAATGTGCAGCATAAACAAATTTGTCAGTCCCCTCATGCAAAACAGCAAGTCAGTACATGCTGGTTAAACACAGCAGGATCGGCCTGGGGCTCGGAGAAGTCTATGCAGTTCCTAAAACAGTTTTAATTTTTGATTAGTTTTGATTTGAGCATTTATTTGTTGAACTTCCAGTTCTTTGCAAATAGAAAAGTGAAAATAGAGGTATCACCTTCTAAATGATGGGTTTTTGTTTTGCACCTGGCTAATTGGCAATTTTAAAAAAAGCAAGCTGTCTCTTTAAATGTTTTGGGTGGAGTGCCTCTTCCTCTCTGTCCCCTGGTTTCTCCTTTAATCACCCTGATAGTTCCAGCTGCTTTCCGAGCTCCCTTCTGGGCCGTGCGGGTGGGTTGGAGAAGCCTGGCAGAACTGTGGCAGTGACTGCGTGAGCAACTGAGAGGCCTGTAGTGTGTTAATTTATAACACAGAGATTAAATGACATAATAAAACTATATAGTGTGTAGCATGAAATGAAAATTTTGCATCAGTGGTGCTTGGGAGTCATGGGAGAGTTCCCTTTTGAATAGCAGAAGTATCCACCATCAGACACGGCAGCCTCCAACCTACAGGAAGATGGGTTTTATTTTTCTTAATTTAAGTATTGATATGACACACTTTTACTGCAACATTTAAATTTTTTTTTTTTTTGAGACGGGGTTTCACTCTGTTGCCCAGGCTAGAGTGCAGTGGCATGATTACGCTCACTGCAGCCTCGATCTCCAGGGCTCAAGCAATCTTCCCGCCTTAGCCTCCCAAGTAGCTGGGATCGCAGGCATGTACCACCATGCCCAGCTAATTAATTTTTATTTTTTATAGAGACGGTTTCTCTGTATGTTGCCCAGGCTGGTCATGAATCCTGGGCTCAAGGGAACCTCGCACTTTGGCCTCCCAAAGTGCTGAAATTACAGATGTGAGCCACTGCACCCAGCCCCATTTTAATTTTTTTGAGACAGGGTCTTGCTCTGTTACCCAGGCTGGAGTGTAGTGGTGTGATCACAGCAGCCCTGAACTCCTGGCCTCAAGCGATCCACTCGCCTCTTCCCAAAGTGCTGGGTACTGTAACATTTTATAACAGAATGTGAGGCAGGTAGAGCTGCCATGTGCAATGGGAGAACTTCTGGATATAGAGTAGGAAACATTTCATGAAAATGACAGAATATGAGATTTCTACAAAATTCTATGCTATTCTATTATATCGAGAGCTTTATCTCCAATTCCTTTAGGAAGATGCAGCGAGAAAGTCTGACTTAGCAACTCAGGGAGCCAGGTGCAGTGGCTCACGCCTGTAATCCCAGCACTTTGAGAGGCCAAGATGGGAGGAGTGCTTGAGCCCATGAGTTCAAGACCAGCCTGGGCAACATGGCAAAACCCCATCTCTACCAAAAATATTAAAAAAAAGCCAGGCGTAGTGATATGTACCTTGGTCCCAGCTACTCAGGAGGCTGAGGTAAGAGGATCACCTGAGCCTAGGAGACTGAGGCTGCAGTGAGCTGTGATCGCACCACTGCACTCCAGCCTGGGCGACAGAGCGAGCCCTTCTCAAAAAAAAAAAAAAAAAAAAAAAAAAAAAATAGAGAGAGAGAGAAAATACCCAGAACCCCGAGAGGGAAATTGGTTTCTCGTGACCCTCAGGAAAGGAAAAGTTTCATCCTCAAGGTTCCTAGGTAATAGTGACTACTTGCTCAGTGGTCTAGGTGCCAGCCAAGTGCTGCTCATTTGTCACTGTATTTAATCATCTGTGAGCTCAAATATTGTATTAGCTCCTTTTTGTATGTGAAGAAAGTAAGACTCAGAGAAAGTAACTTGCCAAGGTTGTGCAGTTATGTCAGGCACTGAAGCCAGGTCTTGAAGCCTGTCTGCTGGAGCCTAAAGCCTGGGTTTGTAACCCACAGGCTCTAATCCACCATCATGCTTGAACCAGAGCACATAAGGGTCAGGTGAGCAAGCTCTCACTTTTTCTTGTGTAAGTTGGAGCACCTGCCCTCCCACCAACTTGCAAAGTGCGGAATAGGGTTCCTAAGGGCCTGAACATTGTCCCACCCACCGTATTGATTTTTCTGGGCAGTGGTACGGGCGTCTCTGGCAGAGTAGGCGTGAGGTCGTTGGAGTCTTCAGATGCTTGCTTTTGGATGGCGTCTCTGGACTGCACATTTGGGGATAGATCCAATGGGTGTGACTTCAGTGTGACCTCAGAGGGTTGCTGAGCCTTGGGTGAGACATCTCCAGTCTGGGATTTTGCTAGCAGGTCTCCCAGCTGTGGTTTGGGGGGCAGGTCCTTCATCTGTGGTTTGGGAGGTAAGTCTGAGAGTTGGGGTTTGGGTGGCAGGTCCCCCAGCTGTGGTTTGGGGGGCAGTTCTCCTGGCTTAGGCGGCAAATCTCCAATTTGGGGCTTGGGGGCCAGTTCTGTGGGCTTTGGGGGCAGGTCTCCAGGTGGTGGCTTTTGTGGCAACTCTGCCAACTGTGATGATTTCTGAAAGATTTCGGGCGGGATGGTGGCTTTGTCTAGGGAGAGATGATCTGTTTTCCTTAGTGCCACTGTGGAAGCAATCAAAAACAAGGAGGTCATTGGTGGGAAGGGCTGCTTTCCTGTCAGTCACCTAAAAGAGGCACCATCATCATGAAGGGAACTGACCTATAGTGAGCACTTGAAATGGATGAACTCAGGGGCCAGGCCCACCCAGGCAGTTTTACAAAGACAAAGTTTGAAAGCCTGGAAAGTGTTACAATTCATGATTTTATGCTTCAATTATATAAGAACAGGATGTCTACATTCATCCAGAATTAAAAAAAATAAATAGAAACAGATTGCAGAGAATCGGAAAGTACAGAGTTCTTAAGCCTAACACCTAAATGTAGCCATTTAAAATTCTTTTATATAGTTCCTTTTAATTTTCCTATATATTTTCTATAGATATAACTTTTACTTGCTTTTATCTAATACCATTTTAGCAACAGTATTTGTCATGTTATTAAAAATTATTTACTAGTTGTATGTAATTTTGAATGGTGCATTCTATTCCATTCTATAGCTGTATCATAATTTATTATTATTTCTCCCCATTTTACATGATTCATGCAGTATATAAGCGAGGTAGCAAAAGGCTTCTTCTACTTTGTGCCCCTGTCTCGGGTTAACCTCTGTTACATTTTGGTGATACACACGCGTGTGCTATGTCTTTTAAAAACCATACAAGGGATACATAGTCTGAAACTTTGCTTTTCTCCCACTTACTATGTTTAGGAAAGCTCCAAATCAGTTCTTTTTTATTCTGTTTAATGGCTGCACAGTATGCACAGCTTAGGAAATGTATCAATTTGTTGACCCATTTCCATAGCTCTTTGTACAGCTCTTGGTACTTAGAAAACTATGGACATGTCTCCAATTTTAGCTCCACCACTTACTAGCTGTGTGAATTTGGGCAAATTACACAACCTCTCTATGCTGCAATTTACTGATCTCTTAAAACCCTACTTCAAAGGGTTGGCATGCAGATTACATGGGTTAATATATGCAAAGAATTTACTGACAAGCCCTGGCAGGCTGTAAGCATTATGCAGTAGTACTACCATCACTGTTAGGGTTCTTTAAGGCCCTATTACAGTATTACATTCCTGTTTTACTCATTTTTGTAACTTTGGCTCCTGGCACAAGGGCCAAGGACATAGCCTGCACTCAGGGAGGAAACAGCTGACTAAGGCACACTGAGTGACTCACATTAGGAATTTGATCCTAAAAATATAACGTATTCAGAAAGACATTCTTAAAGAAGGAGAAGAAACAGATAAACCTCATGTTGTAAATGTCACAGGCTGTACTAGGGCTGTTTCTGCTCATGACCTGTCTAGTCATATCTCTAAAAAAGTCAAAATCAAGGGGCACCCTGCTCACAGGCTGGTCCCTAAGCTTCTGCTGAGGTGGCTTGGCTCTAAAAGTTAATTTACATGAATCTCGTTCCTCTCTTGGAAGTCTGAAATTGGCTAAGAAACAATCTGAGCCAGGCAGTCAAGAGGGAAAAAGCTAGGGGGAATCCCTGAGGTGGTGGGGCTAGAAAGGCCTTGGCTGTGAGTCACACTGATGGGGCAAGAGAAACTCTAAGTGCCAGGCATGGAAAACCTTCAAAATACCCCACCCTCTTCACCTGCAGCTCCAATTCTAGGAATTTATCCTAAAACAGTGATCAAAGTCATACACTGAGATGTCTGTGCTAGAGTGTTTGGCACAGTACTGCTTATAACGAAAAAAATGCCACCCATCTGAATGCAGGGGATTGTATGGACAATAAATAAAAATTAGCCAGGTGTGGTGGTACATGCCTGCAGTCCTAGCTACTCGGGAGACTGAGACTGGAGGATTGCTTGAGCCCAGGGTCCAAGGCTACAGTGAACTATGACGGTGCCATTGCACTCCAGCCTGGGTGACAGAGTGAGACTCTGTCTCAATAAACCAACAAACAACAATGATATGTAGCCAATAAAAATTATACTGTTGTATAATTAATAGCATGAAAAATGTTTTTATTATGTGAAAAATATTAGCTTAAACAGAAACTTTAAAGAAGAGCAGAGAAAAAAAAGATGAAAGATATACACTAACTCATCAGTTATCTTGGGTGGTAAGACTTCAGGTAGTTTTTATTTTATTTTTCTTTTTAGTTCTATTGAGACAGGGTCTCCCTCTGTTACTGAGGCTGGAGTGCAGTGGTGCAATCAGGGCTCACTGCAACCTTGACCTCCCAGGCTCCAAATGATCTTCCTGTCTCAGCCTCCTGAGTAGCTAGGACCACAGGTATGTACCACCGCACTCAGCTAATTTTTAATTTTTTAGTAGAGACGTGCAGGGCCATGCTGTCCCCAGCTTCAGGTATTTAGACCCTGTTCCACATCCTCTCTCCGCACTCCTGGCTTTGGTGTGACAATGTGACTGTTGGCACCAGTCTGAGACCCTTGAGGGGAAGAGGCAAGGCTGGCCAGGGCCTCAGGGTACACTGGCCCAGGTGACTCAACTCTGGGCAGGAGAGAGATGGGACTACAGGGCAGGGAAAGAGAGGAGACTGGCCTTCTTGAGACCTGCTGCATGACGTAGCTTCATCTTCCTAAGAGCCCCGCGATGTGGATATCACCATCATCCCCATCTTCCAAGATACCGAGGGAGGCCGTGGAGCCTCCCACATCACAAAGTGAGTAAGAAGAGATGGTCGATTCCTAGCCCAAGGATAGTTCAGACTTACAGGAAAAGGGTTACCATTCCACCCCTATTTGCTGGGCATGTGCCGTGCCCAGCACCCTTTCAGGCACTTGGGACACAGCTGATGGAAAGAACTAGGGCCCTGCCTGCTGGGAGCTCACATTCCACGAGAGGGTGACAAGTAAACATGGAGTTACCAGAGGGTGAGGGCAGGTAAGCAGGGGAAGGGAGAAAAGAGTGCTGGCTGGGTGGGGAGGAGGAGAGTGACCACCAAGGAGGGTGTGGTCAGGGAAGGCCACTCTGATATGGCAAGAGTGCGTCAAAAATGTGCAGGAGGCTTGGACACCAGCCATGCTGATATCTGGTGGGGGTTGCGAGAAGAACCACCAGATGGTTCAGGACAGAGGAGTGACATGATTGAATGTGGAAGGCTCCAGTGTTCTGTTGAGAACAGACTGCAGGACCAGGTTAGAAGGCTCCAGGCAGACAGGGTAGGAGGCTCCAACTGTCCAGACAAGAGATGATGCTCATTTGATCCTAGCTGACAACGGTGGAGATGATGAGAAGTGACTGGGTTTTAAATAGATGTGGAAGGGGGAAGAAACAGTATTTGTACAAGCACAGGATGTGGTGTGTGAGAGAAACGGAAGAGCTAAGCACCTCTCTCAGGCTTTAAGGCCTGAACACCTGGAAGAATGACACTGCCTTTAACAGACGGGGACACTGAGGAAGGAACAGTCTGGAATGGAGCCGGAGTCCGTATTCCAGTTTTAAGTAGAGAAGCCTGTCAGACACTGTGTGGGGAAAACTTGCTCCTCTAACCGTGCTTTTCCCTCTACTCTCACACCACAACAATCATCAACACAGAAGAAAACTTCTGTGACCAAATGTGTGGGGGTCTCACCCCACCACCAAGCAGCGGATACCAGCCAGGTGTCTTCCAATCCAATTCTGACACCATCTACCTGGAGACAGCGTTAGATCCCACAGCTTGAGGCTCAGTCCCCCAGAATGTTCCCACCTTCCTGTCCAGTCGCAAGCCCAGGCCTCTGGAATTTCTGACCAGTTGGCTTCAACTGGGGTTCCAACAATCCCCTCTGGGTTTGACTGATTTGCTAGAGTGGTTCACAGAACTCAAAGAAACACTTACCTAAGTTTATCAGTTTACTAAGAATGTGTGTGTGTGTGTGTGTGTGTGTGTGTGTGTGTGTGTGTAAGAATCACAGCTCACTGCAGTCTCGGTCTCCCAGGCTCAAGCTATCCTCCCACCTCAGCTTCCCAAGCAGCTAGGACTACAGGCCTGTGTCACCATGCCCAGCTATTTTTGTTTTTATTATTATCTGTAGACACAAGGTCTCATTATGTTACCCGGCTGGTCTCCACTCCTGGGCTCAAGTGATCTACCCACCTTAGCCTCCCTAAGCGCTGGGATTACAGGTCTGAGCCTTCTCAGGGCCACAGCTCCTGGCTCTAAGAAGGATATTTTAAAGGATAAACAGCCAGATGAACAGACACACAGGGCGGGGTCTGGAAGGGTCCTGAGCACAGGAGCTTCTGAACCTGAGGAGTTGGGGGTGTGTCGCCCTCCCGGCACGTGAGCGAGTTCTTCTTCACTTTCCTGTTGGCCTCCACGGGTTTAGCTTTCTAGAAGCTCCTTGAACCCAGTCCTCTAGGGTTTTTAATGGCAGCTTCATGACGTCAGCATTCCTTCCCCCAGGGTATAGGGTAGGATCTCAAACCCACAAGATGGGAAAAGATTAGAGTCCTGCCTTGGGGTACATAAAGGAGGGCAGGAGAGATTCTGTTTCCTGAGGCCTAACACATCCAGCATTACAACCAGACTGTAACAAGGGATGTGGACACTATAAACCAGGAACTGTGGACGGATACCAATACATATATATCTACAGCTCCATAGGCCATTCCTTGGTTTTCAATCACAGATCCCTTATACCAAAACAAATGTATCTATCAGAACATTTGTTGTAGCATTTATAAAACAGTTACAGCAATGCCGCCACCTAAAATCTGGAGAAGCCAGTGTGGGTAGGGATGAATTTAAAGAAATGACTAATTTGTCCTATGAAGTCACACAAACACTTTCATAATCGTGTACTAGCCTCACTGTTCTTTCCTGCCTTGGTCTACCGCTATTGGACCTTAGGATAAACTTGTGCAGAGCTGTTTCGCACAGAGATCAGCTGATGGTTAGCTAGATCCAGTTCCTTCTTGGGCCGTTTTCCACAGGCATTCCATCCTGAGGGAGCTTCAACTCAACCTCCCAATACATCTGATCGTATCAGTATTATCATAAAGCTTATTTACATGAGGAAGCTGAACCTTACCAATGCCCCCAGTATTACACCATATTGTGATACAATCGTGGTACAATTTAGCTTCATTATAGATTAGTAAGAATGACAGAGGTATTTCCTTTGCCTTCCCAATAAAATCTCCCCTTGCCCATATACCAAATGTTATTAAGGACAGGTGTTGTTACAATGGCCATGACTCAGTCATTTCTGGATTTGAAATTAATTAGGGGCAGAGCCAATCACCCTGTCTCATCTCACAGGCTTGTACTGCTGGTTTCCACTGGGTGCTATCAGTTATAGCACAGCCCACCTGCCTCCTGCAGACAGTACATGGGTGGTGTTAATTTTACTAATTAAATAGAGACAGGGTCTCACTTCATTGCCCAGGCTGGTCTTGAACTCCTGGGCTCAAGTGATCCTCCCGCTTCAGCCTCCCAAAGTGCTAGGATTAAAGGCTTGAGCCACAATACCTGGCCTATTTCTTTCTTTTCTTTCTTCCTTTCCTTCCCTTTCTTTTCTTTCTCATTCTTTCTTTCTTTTTTCTTTCTTTCTTCTCTCTCTCTCCTTCCTTCCTTGTTTCTTTTTCTTTCATTCATTCATTCATTCATTCATTTGATGGGTGTTTAGAATAGTTCCTATACCTACCAACTACACTGCAGAACATGTTTTACTTTGCCCTAACCTAAAGGCATGGGCAGTCATAGCACATTGATGTAAACTGCAAGTGCCCTCAGAGAACTTCCGTAAATTCAGAGGGCCATAAGAGTCCCACAGGTGTGCCCTGAGCCTCAGCAGCCAAGACTGAGGGCCACTGCCCCCCATTTCAGCCTCTATTTGTATTAAAATTGTGAAGAGGCCCTGTTGGGTCTGGGTACAGGCCCTTTCCCAAAGCTGCATCTTAGCATTCTCTTCAGCACTGTTTATTGAGTTGGCCTGGCTCACTCTGCCAAAGCCTCCTTATCTTTCCAAGCTGACTCCCATCCTTTTGCCTTCCTCCTGGAAGAGAACTCCCTCTAATCTGCATTTTCCTCTGAATTCTGCTGCTCATTGAAAGCAAACTCAACTTATCCCAGGATACCCAGACCTGCACCTATCTCCTATAAGGCCCTTTTCTGTCTGGTGGGTCAGTGTTGTTTCATCCAACATGCATGTTGCTGCAGTGTGTAGTAAAGGCCTGAGTACAGTTAGGATATATGTTTTGCACCCAGAAATGTTGGGTGACCCATACTAGAGTTAGATGAGTGGTGGTCACATCTACATGTAGTTTAGTGTGAGTGTGCCACAAGGCCTCCTACAGCTTTCCTTGTCTCAGGGTGGGACCATTCCCTAAAGGAACTCAGATCCACTATGTGATGCCCACTATTTTACTGATTGATTGATTGACAGGGTCTCACTCTGTCACCTAGGCTGGAGTGCAGTGGTGCAAACATGGCTCACTACTACCTCGACCTCTTGGGTCCAAGAGATCCTCCAGCCTCAACTTCCTGTATAGCTGGGACCACAGGTGCGGACCACCACACTCTGCTAATTTTTCAAATTTCTGTAGAGACAAGGTCTCATCTCATCATGTTGCCCAGGCTGGTCTCAAACTTCTGGACTCAGGTGATCCTCCAGCTTGGGCCTCCCAAAGTGCTTGGATTACAGGTGTGAGCCACCGTGCCCAGCCCCACTGCTTTAATCCCATTAAGAACCCAGTGTTTTCCTGTATTCTGCTTAATAGCTTTTCATCCACAAAAGGAACGGTGATAAAAGTGTACATAGCACACTGCGGCATGTTGTGTATGCTGCCATTACATTTTGTCCTTTACACCCAAAGATCTTTCAAAGCATCTGATCATCAAGGTTTATATTAATAGCGACATAAAAATCAGTCTGCTGGGAGCCGTACACCACACATTTGGTATCAGCGAAGCAGGATTTGTTGGAACAGCTCTGACTCACAGAAACATGTGGTTTGAGAAGAGAAAGGATAAAAGGGTGGGGGATCAGGAATCTTTGGATTCCTATGTGGCCATGTGGTCACCCAGGGTATGAAGCCACAGCTGTGCTGAGATCAGTTACTAAAGGTAAAAGTTACCAGTGGAATTCAGAGATGGATCCAACTCCCCAGGAGTTGGGGCACTGGATGCATAAAGAAATGCAAACTAAGAAAAAAGTGAAATATTTAATCCCTGGTTATTGTTGTCTATAATGGCTAAAATAAAAGAGGGTGCTGGGTCAGGACTTGAGGCTGGACTAAGCTCAGATGTGGGTCTGCCTGAGCTTAGTCCACTAGCCTTAAAGTTACCCACAAAGGAGAAAATTACGCAGGGACAACAGAAAGTACCTCTGAGACTTGTGGTTACCAAGAAGGTAGTCAATGTGAAGGAGGGGCAAAACTAAGTAACTATGGAAACTAGAGGGTATAGTGCGAAAGAACTGTTTCATTCTGTAGATCAGTATCATCAGCTTCCTGAGGAACCTTTACTAAAACGCACTGTAAGAGTGACTAATTTAGGGGCAGTATCTTTGGTTTTAAACACTACAGAGTAGAAGTACATGTTTGGATTGATGGGACCCACAGCTCACTATTGAACAACTGCATATGGGTATATATGATCCAGACACACAGGAGGCTATTCCTGCGGTAACTGGCAGCTTGGTGGAACAGATAAAAGCCACTGTAAGGTCTGTTCACCCTGAGAAGGGGGACTGTCCAACTCTACCTACAAATGTCAAGTGGGACACCCCAGATGCAGTAGCTGATATGCTCTGTATGCATGTGGGACTGGCTTTATGATGACAGGGCTATTCACACGCTGAACATGCCTGTTACCCAAGTCATGGTAAATGTGTGGTTAAGAGGGCCCCTTCTACATGGGCACCCCATGTGATATTACTCCTACAGAAATGAACAGTTCAAGAAGCCTTATTAAATTTGCTGTCTCAGCTTCCCTTCATGGGTCTTATAGATGCTAATAAAAATATTAGGTTAATTAACAAGAGAACAGGGAAAGGCAAAAGTGAGAGCCAAAGGACTCCTCCCAGGAAGGTGGAAATTTTAAAATGGTTATTAACAAATAAGGTGAAGAAAACACTGATAGGATAAAACTAAGAAGAAAAAGAAAGGGGAGAGTCATGGGACTCATCCCAGCAGGGTAGAAATCTTTAGATGGTTATTAAGAAATGGAATGAATAAAATGGAAATTGATACAGTTAAAACAAAGGTCTTTGTTTTTTGAGGCAGGGTCTTGCTCTGTCACCCAGGCTGGAGTGCAGTGGCGTGATCTTAGCTCATTGCAATCTCTGCCTCCCAGGCTCATGCAATCCTCCCACTTCGGCCTCCTGAGTAGCTGGGACTACAGGCATGTGGCACCACGCCTGGCTAATTTTGTGTATTTTATGTAGAGACAGGGTTCTGCCATGCTGCCCAGGCTGGTCTCAAACTCCTGAGCTCAAACAATCCACTCGCCTTAGCCTCCCAAAGTGCTGGGATTACAGGCATGAGCCACTGCGCTTACCAAAACAAAGGTCTTTTTTTGCTGTTGTTAAAAAATAACGTGTCATTCATGAGCAGGGGCCATGCTAATCTTCTCTGTATGGTTCCAATTTTAGCATATGTGCTGCCGAAGTGAGCACAACAAAGATCTTAATACAACATTATCGAAGCTTGGGTGGACCAAACCCCTCCGCTCTCCCAACATTAAACGGCCCTAACCCAGTTTACTGTATTTCTTGCAGTTTGAAGAAATTTTAAAAGTTGCAAGGTAGAGATTACAATGAAACATATGATATGAAATTGCCTGGGGCAAAAATGGGGCAGACTAATCAAAATAAAGATTGACAAAAGGTCCAGGGTCCTTTGGCTCAACCCTTGGCAGAAGACCCAAAGCTTTTTGCGCAAGAGAGAGTAAAATGGTCTGGGGGTGAAGAAGTTCCTGAAACTAGAATATAAAAATGTAAGGGTTGATAGGATGATGAAAGTTGGTATATTTGAACACACTTCATGTGAATTGACTGCATCTCTTTTTTTTTGTTTTTGAGACGGAGTCTCACTCTGTCGCCCAGGCTGGAGTGCAGTGGCGCAATCTCGGCTCACTGCAAGCTCCGCCTCCCGGGTTCACGCCATTCTCCTGCCTCAGCCTCCTGAGTAGCTGGGACTACAGGCGCCCGTCACCATGCCCGGCTAATTTTTTCTATTTTTTAGTAGAGACGGGGTTTCACCGTGTTAGCCAGGATGGTCTCCATCTCCTGACCTCCTGATCTGCCCACCTTGGCCTCTCAAAGTGCTGGGATTACAGGCGTGAGCCACCGTGCCCGGCCGACTGCATCTCTTTTATTTGATTGTATCATGGTAATGAACACAGTATCACACTGGAGAATGTTTCCCCTACCTGGTACTATAAAACAGAAGGCATGTAAATCTGCTCTCCAATATTAATTGGACATGCCCAAGCCTGCAGAGTGCAGAGTAGAAGCTAGAGTGCTGGCAGGGACAAACTCTCCACTTGATAACCCCCTGTGGAGCAGTTCCTGGGGCTTATGGCAAAAGTGTTTTGAGCACCTCCCAGCAACAACTACTGGGACTTTGGAATAGAGAATTTCCACTTAAGGGACCTTGCTATGAAATGTTAGTTGAAGTTACCCCTATGACATCTGAAATACCCATGCTGTCTCAGGTGATGTCCAAGAACATTCTAATGGGGAAGGCAGTGCCTAGAAGAGTTCCACAATAAAATGGAAATGGTTTATAGAGGATCATGCTACCTGAGGAACTCAAGGAGGAGATACTCCTTGAGGGGAGAGAGGGAGAGAGGGAGAGAGAGGGAGAGAGGGAGAGAGAGGGAGAGAGGGAGAGAGAGGGAGAGAGGGAGAGAGGGAGAGAGGGAGGGAGAGAGAGGGGGAGAGAGAGGGGGAGAGAGAGGGGGAGAGAGAGGGGTAGAGAGAGGGGGAGAGAGAGGGGGAGGGGGGGAGAGAGAGAGAGAGAGGGGAGGGGGGGAGAGAGAGAGAGAGAGAGAGAGAGAGAGAGAGAGAAAGCAGAGTTTCCCCAAATCATCTAAGAAAAAAAAGTATTTTTTCTCCCCTACCCGATGCAGTGATCCTAGGACAGGAGTTGCTGGGACAGCAAAGATGATTTTTGTTTTTTAGCTATGGGGTCTCACTGTATTGCCTGGGTTGGTCTCCAACTCCTGACTTCAATCCATCCTCCCATCCTTCCACAGAGCTTAGATTATAGGTATGAGCCACTGCGCCCAACACTTCAAAAAATTTTTAGCAGGAATGCTAAGTAAAAAACTGTAACCATGTTTTTAAATATTATGTCAAAATTCCTGAGGGCATCATGGGGGTGAGATGTGCCTTCACCCCTTCTAACAAAATTGGGGCTAACAGTGAATATGGCCGGTGGTAAAAATAGCTCATTGGTTCTGCATCTATGTAGCCTCACCCTATCTGAATGGGAGTGGACTGAGGAGCTACTTGCTAGACTTGTATTGCTGCTTGTAATCTAGACCAGCACAGTGGTGATTCTAATGTCCCTTCAAAAAAGTTTGGAGATTAATGGAGAGAAGGAGAAATAGTAGCTGAGAGTAAACAAATAAATGGGCAAATGAGACAACTCAAAAGAGTCTCAGGGCAAGAGATGACACTGCCTCTTAGCTCAATGATTCCACATGCCTGAGAGGGTGAAGCTGTGTATTTACCCAGACCACTCCTGCTTGTGGAACCTGACAATATTGAGAGGAAACCTGCAAACCTGAGTGTCCTCATCATCCTGGGAGACATTCATACACTATGATGGACTGGACTAATTATTAATGATTGTGTATATATATGTTTTTTGATATAAAGGATCCACAGTAGAAAACCAGGGAGTAGGCTGTGGTGCTATGATATGTATTAGTTTTCGTCCACAGTTGCTGGCTTATAACCCTTGTTATAGTCATCTGTTATTATGTTAGGTGTGTCAGGCCTCTGAGGCAGGCCCCTGACCTTCTCTTGCCCTCTTATTACCTATCCCAAGGCAGGACTCTATTCCGATTGTGGGTCTTAAAACACCTTCCATGAGAGGGTCCTACCCTATACCCTGGGGGAAGGAATGCTGACATCATGAAGCTTTCATAAAAAGCCAAGAGGACAGGGTTCAGTGAGCCTCTGGAGAGCTGACCATGTGGAGGCTCCTGGAGTTTCCAGAAAGGGCTTGGAAGCTCTGCACCTGATATAGCTTGGCTGTGTCCCCACCCAAATTTCACCTTGAATTGTAGCCCCCATAATTTCTACATGTTGTGGGAGGGATCTGATGGGAGATAATTGAATCATGGGGGCAGTTCCCCCCATACTGTTCTCATGGTAGTGAATAAGTCTCATGAAATCTGATGGTTTTATAAGGGGTTTCCCCTTTTGCTTGGCTCTCATTTTTCTCTTGCCTGCTGCCATGTAAGACGTGCCTTTCGCCTTCTGCCATGATTGCGAGGCCTCCCCTGCCACATGGAACTGTGAGTCCATTAAACTTCTTTTTCTTTATAAATTACCCAGTCTCAGGTATGTCTTTATCAGCAGCGTGAAAACGGACTAATACAGCACCCCTTCCCCCATACTTCTCTCTACACATTTCTTTATCTGTATCCTTTGCAGTATCCTTTATGATAAACTGGTAAATGTGTTTCCCTGAGTTCTGTGAGCTGCTACAGCAAATTAAATGAATCCAAAGAGGGAGTTGTAGGAGCCCCACCTTGTAGCCAGTCAGTCAGAAGTTCTGAAGGCCTGGACTTGCAATTGATATGTGTGTGTGTGTGTGTGTGTGTGTGTGTGTGCGCGCGGGGGGGGGCAGTTTTGGGGACTGAGCTCTCACCCGGTGGGACTGGCACTATCTTCAGGTAGACAGTGTCGGAACTGAATTCGAGGACACCCAACTGGTGTCTGCTGCTTGGTGTGTGGGGAAAAATCCCCACACGTTTGTCACAGAAATCTTCTTCTGTGTTGATGATTGTTGTGATGTGAGAGCAGAGGAAAAACACAGTTAGAGAATTATCCCCCACAGGCATCAAGTGGCGATGTGAAATAGGCTGTTGTTGGTGAATTCGGATTATGGACGAATACTTTGGTAGGAGATAGAAATGTGGAGCTTTCCACATTGGGAGGCTGAGGCGGGGGGATCACCTGAGGTCAGGAGTTCAAGACCAGCCTGACCAACACGGAGAAACCCCTGTCTCTACTAAAAATACAAAATTTGATGGGCGTGGTGGTACATGCCTGTAATCCCAGCTACTTGGGAGGCCGAGGCAGGAGAATCGCTTGAACCTGGGAGGCGGAGGTTGCGGGGAGCTGAGATCGCACCATTGCACTCCAGCCTGGGCAACAAGAGTGAAACTCCGTCTCAAAAAAAAAAAAAAACAAATACAAATGTGGAGCTTTCCAGATGGGTGTAAAGCTGTGGGACTGTTTGGATGAGTTAAGGAGTAAGGGAAGATGCAGAACAGAAGCAGTCCATGACCACGGCCTGTGGTGCTCAACATGCTGAGGTGGAGGAGACGAGAAAGCAGTTAAGGGGGTCGGGAAGGAACTGACAGTGCAGCGAGAGTGGACAGGTAGTGTCCAGAACACAAGTACATAGCGTTCCAGGCAGGGGAGAAGCAGTGACTGTGCCAAGAGCTGCAGACGGCCAAGGAAGACAGGGCTGAAGCTTAACCGCTGGCCCATCGGCTTGCAGAGGGATGGAAAGAGAGGATGGATGGATCAATCTTGGCTCTGAGCATTAACAGCTGTGAACTTCACACACAGAGACAATGCGATGGTGTACACCTCGTGATAGAACACACTACCACCTATGAAGTGGTTTTGCCAAAGCCTCAATCTATCTGATCAGGTTTCTGGAATCAACTTCCAATTAATAGGAAATATGACAGGCAGGGGAACACGTTAGATGAACAAACACGAGGGGATGGAATCTAGACTGGAGAAATCTATAGAACGAATAACACAGTTTCTTCAACAAATAAAAAGAGAGATGCAGGGGAAACTTTAGCCTAAGACACTTAGAGACAAATCAATCAACTCTACTGTGTGGACTTTATTTTAATCCTTATTCAAACAAACAAGTTCTTAAAAAAAAAAAGGGGGCAATTGTGAGACAGCTGGATATGTTAACACTGGGTATTTGATGATATTAAGAAATTTTTGATTTTTTAGACATGATGAATTTTTTGATGTAGTAATAGAATTGCGTATGTATGAAATTGGCTGGGATTCGCTACAGAATTACTGAGAGTGGCTGGGCAGGGAACTAGATGAAAGAAGATCAGGTATAAACTGTTAAGTGCTGGAATGGGTGATAAGTATGTGGGTGTGGTGGAGGAGGCTGCAGGATACTATTCTGTGTCTTTTTTTGTATTTCTGTATATGTTTATTACGGAAAATTCCAAATAGTAAACACACACACACACACACACACACACACACACACACACACACACACAGAGAGAACGAGAGTAGAGCAACGGGGTGGTGGTAGGAGGGACACAGGTCTTCATGGGTATTGACAGTAGGCCTGCCCTGATAGGGCAAGTCAGATGGAAGGAAACAGCAATGCAAAAGATGGAGGGACACCTGCTGGAGTCTGTCCCCGAGGGGGTGGGAGGGTACAAGGTCTACCTTAGGACCACGGCCACCATGCCAGGCAGGTGGTAGTAGGGGTGGACTCCTGTGCTGACTCAATGAGGAACAGAAACAAGGTGCTCCTAAGGAGAGGAGAGACAGTGTAGGGGAGTGGGCTGAAAGGTTGCGGTGCTGGGACTGCTGGGCAGCCCCAGATGACCATGTGAGGTCAGCAGTCATAGGGAGAGCCAGACTGCCACACTGACTGTGCCTCTCAGAAGTCAGTTGAGTGGCAGAACCCAGCACAGGAGGGGCAGGAGCTGAGGGAGCACATCAGGGAGTGACTTTGGTGATGGGCTGACGCCATGCTGCGAGGGAAGGGAGGGCATGGAGGGGATGGGTGCAGGGAAGAGCTGGCGGCAGTTGCGGTAAAGCCCCATGGGCACTGGGAAGTGCTGGGGTCTGCTGCTAGAGAAAGCAGGCTGGAGAGGTAGGGTGATATGTGAGCGATCTAGGACGGAATCTGGGCACACTGTAAATGGGGATACATGCCTGGGAAACTTGTTTCAAACTCTTCTGAGATCAAAACAGCCCGTTGGGCAGAGTTTAAAAATAAAAGACAACAAAAACCAACCCTAGATAAAGACTCAGCAAACCCAGGGGAAGTCTTGCATCTGTTCTACGGAAAGTGAATCAGCAGTCATTTGGGAGTCCCCTCATCTTACTACACAGGAGCCTGGCCTGACCAGTCAGTGCTCTTCAAAGTGTGTTACTTCACTGAAGAACTCTAGAGAGTGGTGAATTTCAGCTTCCCAATACTAACCCCCAGTTTGACTTCTGCTCAAACTAGGCAACGGAGCACTAGACTGGGGTCACAAATCTTGCTGCTGGCACTGAAAATCCAAGGAGCAGGCCCTGAGCTCCTCGGAGCTTCCGTCTGTATCCAAGGTGGGCCCTGCTGGCCTTGCAGGCTTATAGAAGGATGGAATGATCTAGATGCTCCTAAAGGTATTTTGCAGCTTTAAAGGTAAGGTATGGTAACAACAACGACAACAAAAAAGGCATAACTATCACTTGTGTTGTAATAAGAAGACTGAAATTTTGGTTTCACAAATGAAAACCTTGTCAGCATTAAAGAAGACTCAGTCAAAGAGCTGAGTGTCTTAGCTTGGCAAAAAAACAGTATTTATAGACACTGCTTTCTTGTACTTTGCAGAGCATGGGTATCTCTACTCTGCACAACAGATGCCATCCTAGGGAAGGATTCCTTTGCCACCCACTTGCTGGGGACTTTCTGAAACATGACTTCATTTTGTCCTTACAAAACCTCACGAAGTATTATTTTCCCCATTTTACAGATGAGGAATCTCAGGTTTAGTGAAGCTACTACGTCACCTGCCCAAGGCCACACAGCTACTAAGTGGTAGAGCTGGTGTTGGTTCCCAAGTCTCTCTGATTATGTTTATAAGGGGAGAAAGAATGGTTCCTGGGGATTATAATAATGTAATGTCTACAAAATTATTATGTATTCTGGAAAAGTATGGTGCTTTGCTAATCACCAAATTTGAGTTTATAAATACCTTTCGTCATTTAATGTGTATTTACTAGGCATCCACTACATGCCAGGTGCTGCTCTAGGCATTTGGGATGGATCAATGAACAAGGGAGATAAAAACCTTGGGCCCCTTGGAGGGGGTAGTGACACTTTAATTACATGTAAATGTAAAAATGATAGATCTTACCTTTCTGAGGTAGTTTAGGAAGAACTCTTGGGCCAAGGGCAGTCTTTGCAGAACTGGTGCTAATCAACAAATAAGAATCATTTAGGATCTAAAAGTGCTAGAATATCAATAGCAAAATATTATTCAAGTAAATCAAATCAAAGGTATTTACATAATCATCTAAAGAATGCTTTCAAAATTTCCTTTTTTTTTGAGATGGAGTCTCCCTCTGTTGCCCAGGCTGGAGTGTAGTGGCGCGATCTCTGCTCACTGCAACCTCGGCCTCCTGGGTTCAAGCAATTCCCTGCCTCAGCCTCCTGAGTAGCTGGGATTACAGGTGCCCACCACCACACCCGGCTAATTTTTGTATTTTTAGTAGAAATGGGGTTTCACCATCTTGGCCAAGCTGGTCTTGTACTCCTGAGCTCGTGGATCCACCCACCTCAGCCTTCCAAAGTGCTGGGATTACAGGCATGAGCCACTGTGCCCAGCCTCAAAATGTCTTTAACAAAAGATTAGTCTATTTTCCATATTTCAGTTTGCCTGGCTGAGGAGGCACAGTAAAAGGATGAAAAAAAAGTCCCTCTTAATGATAAAGCCCAACTCCTCCACTTCAAAGCATTTATGAAGGCACCTGGCACACTCTAAGTGGTGACCCCAATGTAGTGCACAGAAGTAACTCTTCCCACATGATCCCACAAAGCAGCTCTGTGTTTCCAGACAAGGAAATGGAAGGGAATGGGGGTGTTGGCGGCTGGCAGAAGGTCTCACGTGGGTCAGAGGTAGAAGTGGAAATTCGGCCCTAGCTCCCCTGGGCCTCCAGAGCCCTCACTTCCTCCACTATAGCAAAGAGCTTGGTTCTCGGGCCTCCAGGCTCTCCTAGGCCTTGCTTTCCTTTTGGAGGACAGGTAAATGAGGGTGACAAAGGCCCAAGTCCCTGGAATACAGGTCCATACCACATTGTCTAAATCATCAAACGTTAACCTCTGCAACTGAAACCCCAGTGCCATCAGTGGTCTACATTAGGTGGAAGCCACTATTTTTCTTTAACAAGAGGTTTTGGCGATTCTCAGAGGACACCAGGAGGCCTGCATGCCTGAGAAGCAGCAGTAGCCAAGTGCCTGAGCCCCATCTGCCAAGAACCCCTTTATTATCTCATCTCTCCATTTCTGTCCCCTGATGTCCTAAGAGTTGGTTGCTGCTGCTGCTGCTTTTTTTTTTTTTTTTTTTTTTTTTTTGAGACACAGTCTTGCTCTGTCACCAGGCTGGAGTGCAGTGGCACGATCTCAGCTCACTGCAACCTCTGCTTCCCGGGATCAAGCGATTCTTGTGCCTCAGCTAACTGCATTTAAAAGAAAAGAAAAAGCCAAACCAACCAACAAAACAAAAAGTAGTCAAAGAGAGAAGATGAAAGGTGTGTGCTCCTTTCTGTCCTGGCTCTTGGCCATCCTTGATCTTCACTGCTCTTTCCTCAGCTCACTTGAAATCCTCCTGTCTCTGGGCAACGGGGGAATATTGCTGAGATAAAGCCACCACTAAACAAGAAACAGTAAACATGAGAGGGCTTTGTTTCTCTTGAAAGAGACTCCATCTCAAAAGCAAACAAACAAACTTAACGAGTTGCCAAAGGCTCTAGTTCACAATCAGCTTGATTTTGTTTAAAAACTTTTTTTTTTTTTTTTTGAGACGAAGTCTCGCTGTCACCTAGGCTGGAGTGCAGTGGCGTGATCTCGGTTCACTGCAACCTCCACTTCCCAGGTTCAAGTGATTCTCCTGCCTTAGCCTCCTGAGTAGCTGGGACTACAGGCGCACCCCACTATGCCCGGCTAATTTTTGTATTTTTCGTACAGACGGGGTTTCACCATGTTGGCCAGGCTGGTCCTGAACTCCTGACCTCAAGTGATCCACCTGCCTTGGCCTCCCAAAGTGCTGGGATTGGTTCTCCCAAAGTGGCGAGAGCCACTGTGCCCTGCCAAAACTTTTTTTTTGAGACAGGGTCTTGCTGTCGCCCCGGATGGAGTGCAGAGGTGCGATCATGACTCACTGCAGCCTCAATTTCCTGGGCTCAGGCGGTCCTCTTGCCTCAGCCTCCCGTATAGCCAGGTATGTACCACCATACCCGGCTGATTTTTTTTATTTTTAGGAAGCAAGGTCTTGCTATGTTGCCCAGGCTGGCCTCAAACTTCGGGGCTCAAGCAATCCTCACACCTTGGCCTCCCAAAGTGCTGGGATTACAGGTGAGCCACTGTGTCCAGCCTTTAAAAACCTTTTATGAGTGCTTTTGGAGTGTCAGATATTCTCCTCACTCTGGAAAAAGAACACCAGAACTTTAGTTTTACAGGGTCCCCCAAATTAGGGTTGAAGGAAGGTGAGTGAGGAATGAAAGGCAGGGCACAAGGGCAAGGAAGGGGTGTGGAATGTGGAGTTGGGAGAACAAGTAGGCTGGAGAGCTGGCTCTGACATCTGCACCCACCACCTAACCACTCTGGGCCTCGCTCTCCTCACCTGCAAAACTGAGGATAATAGTAATTGGGCCTATCTCACAGGGTTATAAAGAGTACATAAGATAGTGGTATTAAAAAAAAGGCTGGATATGGTGGCTCCCACTTGTAATCCTAGCACTTTGGGAGGCTGAAGCAGGAGGATTGCTTGAGCCCAGAAGTTCAAGACCAGCTTGGGCAACATGCTGAGGCCTTGTCTCTACAAAAAAATAAAAAAATCAGCTGAGTACAGTGATGCATGCCTCTGGTTCCAGCTACTCGGGAGGCTGAGGCAGGACCATCTCTTGAGCCCAGGAGGTTGAGGCTACAGTGAGCTGTGCTCATACCACTGCACTCCAGTCTGGGTGACAGAGAAAGGCCCTATCTCAAAAAAAGAGAGATTTTGTTTTCTCATCTTTCAGAAACTCTGGATAAGAGCTGACTCTTTTTCCCTGAAGTTTGGGTCTGGAAGTGGCTCTCTGTCCTTTCCTTGGATGGCACCTCCAGAGAAAACACTTTAGGGTAAGGCTGGATAAAAACTGCCCGTAAGAGATCTCCTCAAGTATACAATTTCAGTGAAAAAAGGGAAGAAAAGAACACTGCTGTCAGCCTAGCCTAAAAAAAAAAATATTAGAAACAGAACTTGAAAGAGTGCTATTTTTATGTTTGAAAATCTCCAGGCAATCAGATTTCCCTAAGGATTATCTTTTCATTTCCAAATCTGCAAAAGGAGTCAAGTGGAAAAGTAACAAAGTTACTTGATTAAAATATCAAAAATAAAAACTCATTCTGACAGGAATTTTGTTCAAGACCACTGCACAACCCTGCGACCACCGGGAAGTGAGGTTAGCTCCTGTCTGTGAACTGGGTAGACAGCGTTGCTGCTCAGAGAACGGTCTGCAGACCTGTGCCCAGTCCAGTCACAAGATGTGCATGCAAACCAAGAGTGAACGTCTGGTTTCTTGTTGTGGCCTGCCCCACTTGGCTGACCACAGCTTTGAGCAGCGCTGGGAAATTCATGAAAACTCATTTCTAGAATTCTGTCCATTGCATCAATGGATCCAACAGGGGAAATGAAGCGCTGAGATGGCTTACCTCGACTGCTGGGATAGTCCCTCAAACTTGTTTGTAGTCTTACTTGAAGAGGATGGACCCCCATCGTTACCTACAAGGAAAACCGAAGGTGAAAAGGTATGTCTTTAGATGGGGAAATGCAATGAGAATACATGGGTTTGGCCTGTAGACAGGCATTGCTCAGGTTCCAGAACGGCATTTAAAAGACCCAAGCCAAAACGGCATGCATTTCTGGCCTAAGACCAAAACAAAACTGAGCACTGTTTTGGGCTTTGCGGTTTTTTATTTCTGGTAAAGGAGTGTATCAAAGAGGTGAGCAGCTGCTCTGTGGCAAGGCCTCAAAGAGCATAGAAACTTGGTGATGTTCCCACTGGCTCAGGATCTTGTCCTTAGTTTGAGGGTAGAGAAAGAAGAATAAATTTCAAGTTCACCAAGAGGCCTCATGCTAGGAGACTACCCTCTAGTATCCAAACTCAGAAGAAACACACAACTCACAAGTGGAATGTGCATGTGAACACCATTAGCAGGGTGGTGGATAAGTGGTCATCTGTTGGGCCAGGCCCTCAGGCACTTACTGACTCGTCATTCATTCTCTCTCTTTTTTTTTTTTTTTTTGAGACAGTCTCACTCTGTCACCCAGGCTAGAGTGCAGTGGTGCAATCATGGCTCACTGTAGCCTTGAACTCCAGAGTTCAAGTGTTCCTCCTGTCCAGCATCCCAAGTAGCTGGGACTACAGGGGCATTCATTCAAATATTAACTTTTTTTTTTTGAGATGGAGTCTCACTCTGTTGCCTAGACTGGAGTGTAGTGGTGCAATCTCAGCTCACTGCAGCATCGGCCTCCTGGGTTCAAGTGATTCTCCTGCCTCAGCCTCCTGAGTAGCTGGGACTACAGGCATATACCACCACGCCCAGCTAATTTTTGTATTTTTAGTAGAAACAGGGTTTCACCATGTTAGCCAGGCTGGTCTAAAATTCCTGGCCTCCGGTGATCCACCTGCCTCGGCCTCCCAAAGTGCTGGGATTACAGGCATAAGCCACCATACCCGGCCAAGTATTAACATTTATTAAGCATCTACTATGTGCAAGGCATAAATGTGAAGCAGAAGGCACAAAAACAAATAAAACTTCACTGCTCTCACAGAGCTTATGCTCTGGCCTGTGAGACTTAAGACATAGGAAATACACTAATAATGTGTAATGAGATGAACATCAGTTGCTGTCAATTGAGGAGAATAGTTTCTAAACTCTGACTGCTGGCAGGAGTGGGGAAGAGGGAGTAGGGAATGCTGTCTGGGGAAGACATAGCACCTGGACAGGTGAAGAACTTTCTAGCGGGTGAGCAGCAAAACCAGAGGCACACAGGTGGAGGTAAGTGTGCTATGTCCAGGAGAGGGTCACAAGACAATAAATGAGGGCTCTTCTATGATCCATTTTGTGGTGGGCAGAGTGCAGGGCAGTTGTGGAGCCCCAAGCTGCAGGCACCCAGGAGGATTCCCCGGGACCCTGCATGGGCACCCTGTCTCTGGGGCTCTAGTTCATTTCCTTGTCCTTTCTTCCTATGACTGCTCTGGAAACTCTTGTTCTCTTCTTTCAGCAGCCTCCTCTCCTCCTCTACCTAGAAGACTATAATACTGCCTAGGTGGCACTGGGAATGGGCTGGCTGAGGAGGCTGAGCACCAGGAGGGCAGATGAAGAGGGCAGGGCTGAAAAAAAACTAACTGATCCTCACTACACTGCACATCTGCTCAATAGCACCACCGATTGCCCACATGCTTTTATATTCATCCAGCCTTCCTTCCTCACAGCATGAGACTGGCATCATAAGATAAGGAAATGAGACTAAATGAATAAATGGCTGCAGGTCCCGTGGGGAAATGGTGTACCTGGGAGTCCTGACCACAAATCAATGTGCTCTTCATTACCCATCAAGACGCCCTGATAGTAACATTATTAACAGCAACGACCGTTTACTGAGCACTTACTGTGAGCAACATACTGTGCTACATACTCATAGTAATTATGCTTATGAGATAAATAGTATAATCACCCCTCATTTTATATATGAAGAAGCACACAGAGAAGTAAAGTCAATTGCCCAAGGTCAGGTCACTGGTAAGGGTCAAAGCTGGGATGGAAAGCCAGCAGCCCTCTTCCAGGGTCTGTACTGTGAATCACCACACTCTAGCACCTATCACCTCCTGGTCTGACTGCACCTACTGAAGAGGGAGAGGCTGGCAGGGTGCTCACCTCCTGGACAGAATGTTCTGTAATTCTATGATATTGATACAAGAAGAAATGAGATAAACTGGCATTACTAGAAGAACCAAAGGCTTTCAAATTTAGTTTTATTTAATTTTAATTAAACTAACCATCAGTATATGTTCATGAGCCCATATAACTTAATATTTAAGGACTTCTTTGGTAACTCATAAAATCCTCAGAGCTGTGATGTTCTTCAAGGTAGGGCATTTATTTTTTTTCTTATTTTTTATTTATTTATTTTTTCAAGATGGGGTCTAAGTTGCCCAGGCTGGTCTTGGACTCCTGAGACCAACTGATCCTCCCACCTTGGCCTCCCAAAGTGTTAGGATTACAGGTGTGAGCCACCACACGTGGCCTTTTTTTTTTTTTTTTTTAAGAGACAAGTTCTTGCTCTGTCACCCAGGTGGGAGTGCAGTGGCATAATCATAGCTCACTGCAGCCTTAAACTCCTGGGCTCAAATGATCCTCCCGCCTCAGCCTCCCAAGTAGCTAGGACTACATGCATGACCCACCATGCCTGGTTAATTTTAATTTTTATTTTTTTTGTAGAGACAAGGTCTCATTACTAATTTTTTTTTTTTTTTTTTTTTTTGGTAGAGACAAGGTCTCACTGTATTTCCCAGGCTGGTCTCAAATACTTGGCCTCAAGTGATCCTCCTGTCTTGGCCTCCCAAAGTGCTGGGATTACAGGTGTGAGCCACTGCACCTAGCCTGGTAGGCATTTCTTTCTAGCACTGTGCTCAATGATGAGTCTTCAGGGCTAGATATCAAATCTTATACTTTCCCACTTAAATGAGTTATAACAATCAAAACGTCAAGGAAAATTTTATGTTTGGGGAATGAACTGTTACATCCACTAATTCCCTTTCCAGGTAGAAAACATTCCAAAGAAGTGATTATTAATGCAGGTTGCATGTGCTATACATGAGTAAATTTGAGACCAACAGGGCTGCAAAGGCCCTCTGGCTCTGCTGTGGTCATTCATTCTGCTGTCACACAGACGAGTCATCATGTCAGGGGCTGCTGCCCAATACCCACAGGCCCAAATGTCCAGAGTTCTCACTTAACCTTACTCTTTGGCTTCTCAAAATGAGTCTCCTTTTTCCAAAGATGGTGTGAGTTTTTATGTCTCTGTAACTTTGCCCCTTACGTTCCTTTTCCCTGCAAGGAAGGCCTGTCTCCTTCCAGTTTTGGTGAATTCCTACACAACCTTCAAAGAACACCTTTAGAGTCACTTTCTGAGAATTCTTCCATAGCTGACTTGACCAGCCCTTATAACCAGCTTCTTACCAGGAGTGGTTAATTAGGGGTGCAGATTTTGGACCTAGACAAGTGTGGCTTTGAATTCTAGCTGTACTGCTGACCAGTGGGTATGAGTTTGGGTGACTTCTTATTCTGCTAAGCCTCGATTCCGTCATATATCAACTGGGAACAACCATGGTACCTACTACCCTAGATGGGCATGAGTATTAAAGGAAATAAACTATAAAGTACGGGACACAGTGCTAGACCACAGGAAGCCTGACACAAGGGTATTATTATTCACAGCTCTTCAATGGCATGAAACAGAAATGATGTTAATTTACTCAATGAGTGGTCACTTCAAAGAATGGACCCCACCTTCTATGTCTTGGTAACACCATTATTTTTATTTTTATTTTTTCTGAGATGGAGTTTTGCTCTTGTTGCCCAGGCTGGAGTACAACGGCATCATCTCAGCTCACTGCAACCTCTGCCTCCTAGGTTCACTGATTCTCCTGCCTCAGCCTCCCAAGTAGCTAGGATTACAGGCATGCGCCACCACGTCTGGCTAATTTTTGTATTTTTAGTGGAGATGGGGTTTCGCCATGTTGGCCAGGCTGGTCTTGAACTCCTGACCTCGAGTGATCCACCTGCCTCGGTCTCTCAAAGTGCTGGGATTACAGGCGTGAGCCACTGCGCCAGGCCGATAACACCACTTTTTAACAAAATGTCTGGCACAGAGCAGTCAATAGTCCCTGCTAGCGAAAGACAGGACTGACCGTGCTGGCTCATCAACTTCTCTGCCCACAGCGGACCTTCTTACACCTGGCTGGGTAGGCGTCTATGGTCTGGTTGACAAGAATCCTGTCACTCTCATAGCTATGCAAAGGCTACCTGCTGTGCTTGAGAAGAAAAGTGTGGCTAGAAAAAATTCTGAAAATAAAATAGTACTGAAAAGAGGACAATGAGCAGCAAAAATATGGAAGCAACTCAATCCCTTTTTCTCTCTCTGTGCAATTTGGAAAAAGGTCTTAGTGTATCATACAGATGTGTGTAAGAGAAAGTTGGAGATACCTCCTGGGCAGGCAATGGAAGAAGTGTGGCCAAGACTCCTGGTCACCTACCATAGCTTCGAAGCTACAGGAGAAGAGTTTGTGGAAAGAGAGGGGGCATTGGCTCAGCAGCGAATGGCCAGGTTGCTACAGGAGTATTCTGGAATAGTGAATTACTATACAGGCCTTGGAGTTGGAAATGGGTTCAAATCTCACTTCTGCAGTTCCTGGATTTGAGATCTTAAGCAAGTCATTTGACTTCTCTGTGCCTAATTTCCTCATCAGTAACTGGGACAATGACAGTCCCACTTCCAATAAGTAGATATGTAATAAAACAAACAAACAACAAGAAAAAACAAAAAAACAAAGGAAAAGAAAAGAAAATAAGTAAATATGCATGTCTCAGACATTTCATCTATGGAGCTTTTTTACCTGGAAGTCCCAGGCCTGAAATATAAGCAGTAAACCAATTTTTGGTATAGTTTTTCATCCATTATTTGCTCTATATTAAATAAAAGTACAATTCTAACTCCCAGTGACCAAAGATGAGGAATGTAAGTGATTCCCAGAGGTCACTTTGTCAGGGATTGGTAGAACCTGGATCAGAACCTGGGCTTCTGGAATGTTCTTTCAGTGCATGTTATGGTTTCCCACGTGCACTGCAGACACTTCTCTAAATGCCAAAGGATGGAGGGCCAGGGGAGGGGGGAAATTGTTATTAGGTATTAATTCAAGAGTGTTAGAATAGTGTCAGTCTTAAGGCTACCATGAACCTAACAATTAGTTGTATTTCTCTCTTTGCTCTTGCCTGTAAGAATCTTAGGGTCAAATCCGTGGCCCACTTCCAGACACTGTATGTGACTTTTTGTTACTCATTTTGTGGAGAAATCACACTCCTGGAATTCACCTTACTTTGCTACCTTTATTCTCCCTTTGTCCTCATTTCTTATTATTTAAATTGTGTTAAAATATGTGTTAGTCTGTTATAAAGTAGGTTATTAAAGAAAGAGGAGGACCGGGTGAAGAGGCTCACGCCTGTAATCCCAGCACTTTGGGAGGTCAAGGCAGGAGGATCACCTGAGCCCAGGAGTTCGAGACCAGCCTGGGCAACATAGTAAGACCTTGTCTCTACAAAAATTAAAAAATCAGCTGGGTGTGGTGTGACGCACCCAGAGTCCCAAGTTACTTGGGAGGCTGAGATGGGAGGATCACTTGGGCCCGGGAGGTTGAGGCTACAATAAGCCATGATTGTGCCACTGTACTCCAGCCTAAGCGACAGAACAAGACGTTGTCTTTAAGAAAAAAAAAAAAAAAAAGGAAAGAGGTTCAATGAAATGCAACTTCAAAAATCATAAATTCCCTACAAAACCCAAATCTGTCCACAGGACTATTTGTTTTGCTATCAAAAGCCTGCCTTAGAAGTCTCCTGAGACAGATGGCTGGATTCATCACAGAAGCAGGACTTCAGTAATGTAATGCTGGGGCTATTTTGGGCACTGTGGATGTTGTGGTTCTGGCAGGGAAAAAGCCTGGGGTGGCCCTCCCAGCCTGGGCAGCGCAGGAGCTGCATACCAGGGTGCCATGCTGCAGATGGATAAGGAGGCACAGCCAGCAGAGCTTGTGCTGCTTGCCAGGAGAACCATGCTAAGTTGATCGCCTTCTCCACACTTCAGCTTCATGGGCACAGAAACCACTGCTGTGAGGAGAAATGGCCAGTGGGCCTGCATTTTGCGAGCACAGAGTGGTGCGTGGAGAGGGTGAGGAGGGCTGGCTCTCAGCCACACAGGCTGCAGGTGAATCCTGGCCCCCACGTACTAGCTGTGAGAAACAGTGTAAATCACTTAACCTTTCTGCGCCCCGAAGTTGAGATAATAGCATTTTCTCTCTGTGTAACCATGGTTAAGAATGAGGTACGTTAACACATGCGAAGTGCTCAACACAATGCCCAGCACTCTGTGAGGCACTTACAAGTGATGGCCTTATAAAATATTACGTACGTAGTTTTTTATCCGAAGATTCTAAAATAATGAATTGTCATTTTCTTTTGTCTTACAAGCCATAAACCTGTATTAAGAATTTATGGGCTGGGTGTGGTGGCTCATGCCGGTAGTCTCCAGCACTTTGGGAGGCCAAGGCAGGTGGATCACATAACTCAGGAGTTTGAGACCAGCCTGGGCAATATGGTGAAACCCCGTCTCCACAAAAAATACAAAAATTAGCTGGGCATGGTGGTGCACACCTGTAGTCCCAGCTACTCAGGAGACTGAGGTGGGAAGATAGCTTGAGCCTGTGAGGTGGAGGCTGCAGTGAGCTATGATCACGCCACTGCACTCCAGCCTGGGTGACAGAATAAGACCCTGCCTCAAAAACAAAGAAAAAGGAGTTTATGAAGGCATGAAATGGAATTTGAGAGGGGGAAAGACAGACTCTTTGTAATGAAGGAAGTGTGGCCTTCTGTGAAGTAGATGCATTAAAGGTTATGATCTCTGGCCCTCGTTCTCACAAAACACTCAACATCAGCTGCCTTGCTTATTTCCTCCTGCCTATTCCACTCATCTTCCAAGGCTAAATGCAACATCTACTTCCTTCTTAAACCACCTTCTACCTCCTTCTTAAAGGTCAGCATGGGGGACTGGGCGGGGCTAATCATCAGCATAGAAAGTGTGATCATCAGCAGAGCCAAGACCTGTCAGCCATGGCTACTCTGCAAAGGAGCTGAATGTCAGAGGTGCCCCTGAGACCAGAAACACAAATGTCGGGGAACCAAAGAGGGGTATAGGCTTCACACTTGACAGGTGGGCCAAGTTCGGTGGCTCATGACTATAATCCCAGCACTTTGAGAGGCCGAGATGGGTGGATCACTTGAGGTCAGGAGTTTGAGACCAGCCTGGCCAACATGGTGAAACCCCGTCTCTATTAAAAATACAAAAATCAGCTGGACATTGTGGCGGGTGCCTGCAATCCCAGCTATTCGGGAGACTGAGGCAGGAGAATTGCTTGAACCCATAAGGTGGAGGTTACAGTGAGCTGGGACTGCACCACTGCATTCCAGCCTGGGCAACAGAGTGAGTCTGTTTCGAAATAAAAAAAAGAGAACTTGACAGGTGGAAACCTCCACCTGGCTGAGGAAAGAGGCTAATGTGCTGCAGGGAGGGGTCATGGGAGTGATGCCAGTGCTGCTGTATGGATGGCTAGTGAGACTGGTGGGTACAACAGAGTGGTGGTGTGAACAGGTGGCCTAAAACAGATTGGGACAGGAGGCCTCGAGTCTTGCCTACTTTACAAGTTTGATTCCACATTTAATGTTAGGCAAGCGATCAGCGTGAACCCATTGATCTAAAAAATAGAGAGCTGCTGACAACAACTATTACCCCCAAATCTCCCCTGTGAATCTGGAGGAGGAAATCCTAGGCACAGTGGGGAGAGGAGTACATGACAGCTCACATCTTCTCTGAAGACTAGAAAAAACAATGGCCAAGACAGGGGTTTGAGACTTTTGAGGTTGCTGGGATGGGTGAACATATTTTGCATGTGGGTTGGATGTGACTCTTTGGGGGTCAGAGGACAAGCTGTGGTAGGCTGAATAATGGCCACCCAAAGTTATCGAGTCCTGATCCCTGGAATTTGTAAATGTGACCTGACTAGGAAAAAGGGTCTTTGTAAATATAATTAAGTTAAGGATCTTGAGACAAGGAGATTATTTTTTTTGAGAAGGAGTTTCGCTCTTGTTGCACAGGCTGGGGTGCAATGGTGCAATCTCGGCTCACCACAACCTCCGCCTCCCGAATTCAAGCGATTCTCCTGTCTTAGCCTCCCGAGTAGCTGGGATTACAGGCATGCGCCACCATGCCCAGCTAATTTTGTATTTTTAGTAGAGATGGGGTTTCTCCATGTTAGTCAGACTGGTCTTGAACTCCAGACCTCAAGTGATCCGCCCGCCTTGGCCTCCCGAGACAAGATTATCACAGAAAATTCATGTGGGTCCTATATACAATCACACGTACACTTATGAGAGAGAGGCAAAGGCAGTTCTGAGAACACAGAGAGGCGGCGGCAGTGGGGAGATGACCATGAAGGCAGAGGCTGCACCACTCCACGGATCACCTGGAGTCACCAGAAGCTGAGAGAGGCAAGAAACAGATTCTTCCCACAGGGCCTCTGGAGGGAGCAAAACCCTGCTGGATTTTGGACCTCTAGCTTCTAATACTGAAAGAATAAATTTGTCATTTTACAACATCCAGTTTGCGGTATGCGTTACAGGAGCCTCAGGAAACGAATGCAGGTTTCTCCCATCTCTAGCTATCCAGCAAAATGCTAGGCTGAGAATAATGGTAACAGTAGCTATCATTTATTGGGTGCTGCCTATGGTTTTGGTTGCTTTTTATGTGTTCTTCTCATTTAATCTTCATAACTCCATATGCAATACAGACACTATTACTAGCCCCATATTATAGTTGGAGAAGCTTTGGCACTGAACATTTCAAAGATACTTGCTGAAAATCACAAGGCTATTGAGTAGTAGAGATGGAATGAGAATCCAGACAGTATGACACTTGAGTTCACCTTAGAGCACTTTGCTCTGCTGAGAGAAGCAGCACATGCCCTCAGAAGGAGTTCATGTACTAGGAAAGACAGGCAAGGAAACAGCCACTGTGATACCCACTACACCAGTGGGGACAAAAGGGTGGGGAGTGGGGAGTTTTACTGGACTGCAAAAGGCCTTTTAAGTAGATCCCAGGACAGCAGATCTTGAAAGATGACTAAACATTAACATAAAGAAGTA